>NC_000008.11:132589222-133214222 GCF_000001405.40 Homo sapiens
GAAAACAAGCATGAGCAGAGACAGGAAAGTAAATGACCACACAAACTAGCACGAAATATGTGGCAGACTGTAGCTGGAGAGAAGGCTGAAAAACAGACAAAAGAGAGATTTGGGGGAATTTATTTCATGGCACTTGGACTTTGCATAAGTGGTGATGAGAACTTTGCAGTGCTTTCTTCCCAAGTCACACAGTTACTCACCTCAGCTCAAGAGTAGTATTTTACACACGTCCTTATTTTCCTTAGACAAGGTGTGTGATGTTAACAAAAATACTAACTCCAGTGGAGTGATAGCTTTTGAAAAGTGTCTTTTTCTCTTGCCTAGCTAGATAAAAATACTTTCCTTTCTGTTTAGACTATTTTAGTCAAATTTCTGTTCCTGCACCCAACCTCACTCTGAAAATACTCATGACACACAATCCTATTGGGAAACTGTCTAAATGTGCATAATGACTGCCACAGAGATTCTACAAATTCACACATTCGAATCATTGGCTAATTGTGCTGTTCTGTTGGGCTTTATTTGCCTACAGACCACCATTTCTCTAGAAGACCACTGTCTCATAGGAGGTAGGTCTTGGACTCTGCATTTAAGATCACTTAGCATTTATAGATCCTCTTAAAAGGGGTCATTTGCATGAAATACAATCCATTATCCACAAGTGCCCCAGAGTGGAAGATCATGAAAGTTAACATGAAGGTTAAGGGGATGGTTTCTTAAAATGAACTGAACATTAATAAATGATTTTTACACTCTTCAGTGCAGACCTTTGCAGTACTTTCATGTGGGTGTGACATGGTGTCTTAACGCATAGTACAGGTGCTGAACCTGTTTGTCCTCATATCCATTGCCTGCCCTGTCTTTGCTCTGCTCTGTAAATCACAGGAAGATAGAACCCTGCTGGCTTCACTATCACTATCCACAGAACCCTGCTGGCCTTCCATGTTAACTGGCTTCCACCTGGGCCTGGCCAATGGGAGGCAATGGAGGGAAGCTGGAGGGCCAAGAACCGTACGTGCTTTCACAACCCCTGTCTGCATCAGCAACTTCTCCAGCAGTGGTAGAGTCTACTCTGTGGCTCCAGGCCCTGCCCAAGAGGGTTACTGCAGTTTTGGTTTCTTTCAGGTGACCTTTCCAGGTGACCTTGGTGTTTGCTTTCTGCCGACACCAACTTCTCCCTCTGTCCCAGGAATAGTGGTAACTTCCTGATGGTACACATTTTTTCCTTTCTTTGACTTCTCAAATCTCCTATTACCTGTGTAATATGTTTCCTGAATTACTCCTAAACAATAAATTCCCTTATAAATCCTGTACTGTATACATTTTGATACTCAAGTGTTTCCTGATTTCTCATTAGACACTTTCTTATTTATGTTGTGTTTCTCACACCTTGGGCTGCTCATTAAAACAAGATTCCCACACCTTCTAGTTAGAATCTGTAGATAGTGGCCTGGGAATCTAGTTTTTAGCAAGCTCTCTCCAGGTGATTCTTAGATTAGGTGAGTTTTGAAAACAGTCCTAGCTGATACTGCAGCTTCTAGGCTTTTCTGAATGCAATTTAACTTATACAACCCACATTTACAAGATGCCTATAGTGTCCCAGAAATTGTTCTAGGAGCTGGGATGCTGTGGATGAACCAGAAAAATGTGGTCACTGCAATGCTGAAATATTTTACATTGCTATTCAAAATTATATACTTTGATCTACAGATGAGAGTTAATAATTGTATAACACTCCATTTTATGTGTGCACTATCATTTAATGGACTGGTTTTGAATAGTTAGATTGTTTCCAATTTCTTTTATCATGGTGTCTACCCATGTACATAAATTGTATATTGTATGATATATGTAACTATTTTGTTAGGAGAGAATCAAAATTTAGAATTATTAAGTCATAATGTACATTTTAAGGCTTGATATGTGTCAATAATTTTATTCCCAAAAAGATTAAATCATTTCCTATTTTCTCTAGCAGTTTATGAGAGTACTCTTTCAATGAACCCTCATTAGCATTAAACTAAAAAACTTTTTTTTTAAATAGGAATTTGGCAGGAGTGGTTGCTTCTAGAAAGAACTAGATGGTTGAAGAAGAGAGATTAAAGGAAGGCTTGCTTTGTACTGTAAGTTACTTAATACTTTTGGATTCTGTCCTGTAAATATATATTATCTATTTAAAAATAAATAAGCCATAAAATTTTTTTAAATGTTTGATAATAAGATGAAAAATATAATATTTTATTATAATATGTAATGGAAATTTCTCATATCTTTTGTGTTTGTTTTGTAACTGTCGTTTCCCACCTTTCTATTAGAGTTTTAATTGTTTTCTGAAATACTTTTATGAATTTACACATATTATCCTTTTTTAGTCTTTTGTGGTTTATTTTTCTGGCAATGGGACATATCAGCATTTAAAAAATTATATCTTAACTTGTTTATTATACCTCACTAAAATGTAAACTCCATGAGGACAGGAAGTTCTCTGTTGAGCACGTGGTAAGCCCTCAACAATTATTTGTTGAATAAATAAATACATAGATGAAATGCAAGTGAACAAAAAGTATTTACTGAATGGTAGGTTTTGACATACAACTCTTAGATTGTAAATAATGAAATAATTATTTAATTATTGTAGATTGTAAATAATTAAAACTATTGCTTTTCCTTGGTAATTTTTAAAATTATTTTATGTTTAGAAAATCCTTTAAAGAATGAAAGTAGATATTTATCTTTATTTATTTTCTTAATGCTTTTAAAATAATACTCAATTCTTTAAAATCCATATGAAATTTATTTTGGTGTCTGGTGTATTTGATGAACTAAGGTTTTCCAAATAGCCAATATCCTCCAATTTTATTATAAAATATGCATTTATGTATTCACTCAATTTCAATCAACAGGTATTTTTTTGAGTTCTTACAACATGCCACTGAACTAGATACAGTTCTTGTTTCAGGGAGCTTATGGTTTAGTAGAAGAGAAAACAAGTCAGCACACAGCTTTAGGGCAGTGAGATCAATACTAAGAGAATAAACGCAGCTTGCTGTAGGAGCATTGTGGACAGACATATCCTAGCTTTGGGGGCTCAGGGAAATTTCCCGAGGGAGTGTTATCTGAGCTAGAAAAGGAATATCCAATTGAAAGGAGGAAAAGTGCCTCTTACAGAGAAGGAAAACTTGCACAAAGGTAAGAGAGAATAGCAAGTTCCTGGAACTGTGAGTTGTTCTATATTCCTAGTGTATGGGCTTTAGAAGGGGAGACAGTAGGAGCTGAGGTTGTGGATGTAAGCAGGGTCTACAGCATGCAGGAATTGTAGGCTGTTTTAGCAATTAGGACTTTATTCTAAAGATGAGAGGGTCCCCACTAACAGGCTTTATAAAAGGAGAAACTGGCACCATAAAGTCTGCATTTTTGGAAGGTTGCTGGAAAGCAAAGTATATATTGAAATAAAATATGAAAAGAGGAAGTCTATTTATAATACCATTGTAGTAATAAGGTAAGAGATGATTGTTATCTCTGCCAAGACAAAGACAGTGGCAATAAAGACAAAGATTGAATTTGAGGTATGAAGGAGGTAAAATCTAGCAGACTTGAATGTAAAGAGTGAAGATAGAGGGAGATGACAAAGATGATTTCAAGTGGGCGGATGAAAGGGATTTGGGAGGTATAGTAAGTTTGGAAGGGAAATAGAGTTCAGATTTTAACTGAAAATCCTGCAAATACATATTAAAAGTCCGTCATATTTAGGAAGTAACAGAAGCCAATTCAATGGATAAGATCAATCAGGAGAGGGTAAGAATGAGGAGAGTTCAGTAAGAAACACAAAAGAAAGTGAACATTTAAGGAATGAGCAAAGGAAGATGTACTTACAAAAAAAGACTGCAAAAGAATGGACAGAAAGGTAGAAGAAAGGAGTACATGATTATATAAAACTAAGAGCAAGATTAAAAGGAGGAGGAGAATCCAACAGTATCTCATACGATGGAGAAATCAAGTAAAGTAAGTGTTCCAAACTTCCTATTGAGCTCAGTAAAAAAAGATATGTGTTTAGTATGATAGAAGTTTCTGACAGATAAAAATAATAAACTTCAAAGAATATATACATACATATATATATATATATATATATATATATATTTATATGTAATGCCCAATGACTTTTACCTTGAAAATGACAAATTGCTGTTGAGAGACAAATCTTAGAACACCCATAGAGAGAAATCTCATGACCATACACTGGCAAACTTAATAACGTTAAGATGTCAGGTCTTCCCAGATTGACCTACAGATTCAATAAAATACTAATTAGCATCCCAACCATGTTTTTGTATGAAAATTGATAAGCTGATTCCTAAATTTATATATAAATACAAATAATAGACAAAATGATCATCAAAAAGAAACAAAGTCATAAGAATTGCAGCCTTGAAGGTTTATTATAAAGCTAAAATTATTAGCATAGGGTAGTATTGGCATAATAATAAAGAGATCAATGGAAAAAAACACAGGCCTAAAAACAGACCCTTCTTTATGAGGCCATTGATTTTTGACAAAGGTGCCGAAGCAACTCAATGGGAAAGTAAAATCTTTTGGGCCAGATCTTCAAATCCATAAGAGAAAAAAAATGACCCTTAACCACTACTATATACCACCCATAAAAATCCAACTGAAATGAATCCCAGACTTAAAGGTAAAAGCTAAAAGGGTAAAGCTTCTAAAAGAAAATGTGGGAGAGTATCTTTAAAGCTAAAGATTTCATAAATAGGAAAAAGGAAGTAATCACCAAAATAGAAATAAAATAACATATGAGAATTCACCAAAGCCAAAACTTCTGCTTATTATACAAATAATAAGCAGAATAAAATAATAAGCAAATGACTGGCTGGCTGACAGAAAATATTTAAAAAATCAGATAAGGAATGAATAAGGACATTTGGGGGTTTCATTCTTCAACTAATATTTATTTGTTGTAATATTTATTTACCAGAAGGCAAGTACTATTCCAGTCATTGGCTGAATCAAGGTCTCTACTCTCATAATCCCCACATTTAGATAGGTAAAGACAAATCATACAAAATTTAACAAATAAGGCCATTTCATACAGTAATCAATACTGTGATCAAATAAACCAAGTAATATGGCTGAGAAAGATGACTGTGACTTATAGAGATTGTGACTGGCTATATTAGCTCTGGTATTAAAAAGAAAAGTCCTTCTAAAAATGTAACATTTGAGCCCAAACCTGCATAATACAAAGGAGACAGATGTTGATATGGTTTGACTCTGTGTCCCCACCCAAATATCATCTGGAATTGTAATCACCATGTGTCAAGGAGGGACCTGTAATCCCCCTGTGTGGAGGGAGGGATGTGATTAGATCATGGGGGCAGTTTCCCCCATGCTGTTCTCTTCATAGTGAGGGAGTTCTCAGGAGACCTGATGGTTTTATAAGGGGCTCTTCCCTCTTCACTTCCTTCACAGGCTCTCTCACCTGCTGTCATGTAAGATGTGCCTGCTTCCCCGTCCACCATGAGTGTAAGTTTCCTGAGGCCTCCCAAGCCATGCAGAACTTTGAGTCAATTAAACCTCTTTTCCTTATAAATTACCCAGTCTGGGGCAGTTCTTTATAGCAGTGTGAGAACGGACTAACAAAGGAAATTGGTACCAAGAATGGGGGTGGTTTCCCCCATGATGTTCTTGTGATAATGAGTGAATTCTCACGAGATCTGATGGTTTGATAAATGGTAGTCTTTCTGGCTCCCTCACACACTGTCCTGCTGCCACGGTCCACGTTTGCTTCCCCTTCACCTTCCACCATGATCTGGAGGTCTCCCCAGCTATGTGGAACTGTGAGTCAATTAAACCTCTTTCCTTTATAAATTACCCAGTCTTGGGTATTTATTTATAGCAGTGTGAAAACAGACTAATACAGATGTAAACAGAGAAAGGGGCAGAAATGCTCTTGGCAGAAAAAGCACAGAAAACACAAAAGTCCTGCCGGTGGGAACAAGGTTCCAGAAACTTATTGGAACCTTCTGTATTCCAGAACCTTATAGGAATTTCCTGTGTTTCAGAACCTTTTTGGAATTTTTTGTGTTCCCGAAAGAGAGAGAGACAGAGGGGAAAAAAAAAAAAAAAAAAAAAAAAAAAAAGCTGTGTCCAGAATATGAGAGGAGAAAAGTGGAAGAAGGTATCAGAAACATAGGCAGAAACTACCTTGTACACAGCCTTCTGGGCCACAACAAGAAGTCTGAATATATTTCAAGTGCCATGGAAAGCCATTGGTAGGTTTCAACACGGGAATAAAGCTATTATTTGCAAGATGTATATTTTTATTTTGCAAAATTTACTTCTTTAAAAAAAATAAATAACAACCACGTTGAAATAATTACACCTGAGCACAGACAAAAGACTGAAAAGAAACAAAACAAAATGTTTATCCAGATAGTGGGACCATGAGTTATTTTTTTCTTTACATTGTGTTCTATTTCTACAGTCATAATTTCATAATAGGAAAGAAAAAATATTTTAAAACACAACTATAAACGAAAAAGTAAATAAAAGGGCATTCTGGCTTCTCTATGGAGAAAGTATCAAAGAGGGGAAAGAATAGAGCAGGGCAAACCGTGAGAAGGCTGTCCAAGGTAGTCCAGTTGGGGGAGGACACTGGCTTGATGGGAGGTGATGGTGGGAGGTGGTGTTAAGAAACTGAATTCAGGATGTATTTCAGTAGTGGTACCCGCAAGATGTAGTTAAGCATGCCTCCTAATCATTGACTTGAACAACTGTGTATCAGTTGATGGCGCCATTTTCTGAGACAAGGATGACTATGGGAGGAGCAGGTCTGCAGAAGGAAATCATGGGTTCATTTGGCTATTTTAAATTATTGAGGCTGGATATCAGCAAGATAGCAGGATAGGAAGTCCATGCTGACCATGAATTCATGTGGCCCGTCAATTGGCAGGTGCATACAAAATGTCATTGATTCTCAGGCCAATAATTTGCTAATATTTATATTATGAGGAAAATTTTTAAAGATGTAGTTACTGATATGTATATGTAAAATCAACACTGACAGTTACATAAGGCAGTTATGTGGCCTTGAGTAACCAGAGAGCAAATCTAACTATCAACTGATTCCTTCAAAATTATTTTCTACTTGGAAGGTCACTCTTCTGACAGTTCCCCATAGAAGATCATCCACACATTGCAGTCTAAAACTGAAAATATTTTATTAAGTTAGGACAAACATTAAGACTGAGAATAATATATAAAATGAAAATAAAATTTTCTTTTACAATCTTGCTAGAGACAGTCTCTAAACATGCTGGAGAGGGTTTTGTGCCTTAGGAAAAAAATGACATCCTGAATTCAACCCTTCTGTCTGACCTGCAGGCTAAGTACCCAGGACCTGAGGCTCCTCCCACTCACAGTAGTGGTGTTCACAGTAGGTGATAAAGTGAGCAAATAACCAGGCTGACTTGCCTAGGCTACTTTAGCCTCACTGCCTAGGAGAAAGCTTCAATATCAGGAACACTGGAATAAAACAAAGAGCGACACTCCCTCTCCTGTTGCCCCCTGTAAGGATCCAGAGTGATGGGGGCATCAGCCTGGTTCCCAGCCTCGAAGGGACTGTGATGAGATCTGTCCGACTAGGGACAGCTGTGCAGGGAATTGCCACAGTCTATGGCTTCTCCCAGTTGTCTTGAATTGTTGTCTGATGTTGTCTTATGTTTTCCTCCTCATTGCTGGCAATTAGAAGAATGACCTGTCATCCACCCCAACTGGCCAATGGGAAAAAGGGACAAAGCCCATTTTAAGTGGCAACTTTGCAGTTCTGCAGAAGCTATGAAACCAAGTCACAGAAAGACTGTGTTTGGAGCCTTTGCAGTCAGGGACAGAGACATCACTTGACCAGTGGAGAGCTAGCCTTGGGTCACCTCTTATTTTATTTTTAAAATAACCATATACAGATTCATGGATATAAAGAATACAAGAAAGATGCAGTTGATGGGTCTGTTTCAAGACGTGGCTGTTCCCCAGAGCCCACCGAGCACTGCCATTCTTGAGAGCACCACCTGCCCTGTGTGTAGCCCTGAGGAGCCTTCTCCCTCATACCTAGGAGCCTCACCTCGCAACGGGAGGCCTGTGAGTTTCCAGTGCCCGCAAAGCTGATTCCATTCTTGGATCAAGGTCAGCTGTGCAGGGAGCTCCTGGTGAGATCTGACTTACCTTCTGAGCAGCTAGGGCCTGACCTTCATCTGGTATCTACTATATGTTTATTTTGACAAGAATGTATGAAGTTGGCAGCAATAGATTTCATTATTTAAGTGACATTTGTTTATTTCACTTCCAGGAAACACAGAAAAGAGAAAAGACAACCCCTTGGTCTGGGAGGATGCCAGGCAAGGTTTTAGAGAGGATGCCCATGATTTGGAAAAGAGGCTTCTCTATAACCTTGAAGAAAACAATTATCTGCAAATAATGTGTATTTCCTTGTCCCCAGTTGACAACAAGCTGGGTAACTATGCAGGTTATCTTCCAATTAAAGTGGTATGAGGAATCATGGAAGAAAGGATACATTTCATTGTATCTACTTTTGATCCTCAACAATTTTCTTAGTGGGGTTGGGGGGGAATTTCACAGGAGAATAAAGACTGCTAAGATACTGATACTCATGAAATATCCTAAACCACTTCCTTATTTTAGAGTAGAAATATTGGGAACAAAATTTTAAAGGTGAAGCACTTTACTATATTAAGCTGCTAATGATCCAAAAGTAATCTGGCTGTAGATGAAAATTATGAGGCATTGTTTGTGTTCATTTGGAAACATACCCTATGATTTAAGGCAACATCAGAATTTCATTTCCTCTTCTGCAAAATGATAATCACCCCTACTCCATAAGATGTTCAAAGTATTCAACACTGTGTGTGGCACATGGTAAATGCTCAATAAATAGTAGCTATGTCTTTGTCGTTATTATTAACTGGTATAAGGATAAAAGCAAGAGCCTAAATGGTGTGTCTACTTATCACATTTATTACAGGATTCTGAAAGAAGAGAACTAATGACCCCAATCTAGTGTTTTCTATGACATGACACATCTATTTATTAAATTATGACCTTGGGAAATGTATATAACCTCAGCAAGCCTCATTAAATAATCTGGATAATAAAAATCCCCAGGTTACAGGGTTATTGCAGAAAGTGAGTTGTTTAAACTGTTTATCACAGAGCATATACAATTTTTGCTAAATAGTCATAATTGTAGATATATGAATGTAGGTGGTAAAGTCTTTCAGGGCAGGGGCCAAGCCAATTTTATTTTTCTATTCATAAAAAGTATAGCACAATATCTCCCAGACTGAAGGTATATAAAATGTTTTCAGTTTGTGCAGTGGGTATACATGTAAAAACCCTAAGTATAAATCCTGCAGTTAGCCATTATCTCTTTAAATATTATCTCTGCTAGAAATAAAGATGTTCTTTGAAACCAATGAGAACAAAGACACAACATACCAGAATCTGTGGGACACATTTAAAGCAGTGTGTAGAGGGAAATTTATAGCACTGAATGCCCACAAGAGAAAGCAGGAAGATCTAAAATTGACACCCTAACATCACAATTAAAAGAACTAGAGAAGCAAGAGCAAATGCATTCAAAAGCTAGCAGAAGGCGAGAAATAACTAAGATCAGAGCAGAACTGAAGGAGACAGAAACACAAAAAACCCTTCAAAAAATCAATGAATCCAGGAGCTGGTTTTTTGAAAAGATCAACAACATTGATAGACCGCTAGCAACACTAATACAGAAGAAAAGAGAGAAGAATCAAATAGATGCAATAAAGGATGATAAAGGGGATATCACCACCGATCCCACAGAAATACAAACTACCATCAGAGAATACTATAAACACCTCTACGCAAATAAACTAGAAAATCTAGAAGAAATGGATGAATTCCTGGACATATACACCACCCCAAGACTAAACCAGGAAGAAGTTGAATCCCTGAATGGACCAATAACAGGCTCTGAAATTGAGGCAATAATTAATAGCCTACCAACCAAAAAAAGTCCAGGACCAGAAAGATTCACAGCCAAATTCTACCAGAGGTACAAAGAGGAGCTGGTACCATTCCTTCTGAAACTATTCCAATCAATAGAAAAAGACAGAATACTCCCTAACTCATTTTATGAGGCCAGCATCATCCTGATACCAAAGCCTGGCAGAGACACAACAACAAAAAAGAGTTTCAGGCCAATATCCCTGATGAACATCGGTGCAAAAATCCTCAAAAAAATACTGGCAAACCGAATCCAGCAGCACATCAAAAAGCTTATCCACCATGATCAAGTGGGCTTCATCCCTGGGATGCAAGGCTGGTTCAACATATGCAAATCAATAAATGTAATCCAGCATATAAACAGAACCAAAGACAAAAACCACAGGATTATCTCAATAGATGCAGAAAAGGCCTTTGACAAAATTCAACAGCCCTTCATGCTAAAAACTCTGAATAAATTAGGTATTGATGGGACGTATCTCAAAATAATAAGAGCTATTTATGACAAACCCACAGCCAATATCATACTGAATGGGCAAAAACTGGAAGCATTCCCTTTGAAAACTGGCACAAGACAGGGATGCCCTCTCTCACCACTCCTTCAACATAGTGTTGGAAGTTCTAGCCAGGACAATCAGGCAGGAGAAAGAAATAAAGGGTACTCAATTAGGAAAAGAGGAAGTCAAATTGTCCCTGTATGCAGATAACATGATTGTATATTTAGAAAACCCCATCATCTCAGCCCAAAATCTCCTTAAGCTGATAAGCAACTTCAGCAAAGTCTCAGGATACAAAATCAATGTGCAAAAATCACAAGCATTCCTATACACCAATAACAGATGACAGAGAGCCAAATCATGAGTGAACTCCCATTCACAATTGCTTCAAAGAGAATAAAATACCTAGGAATCCAACTTACAAGGGATGTGAAGGACCTCTTCAAGGAGAACTACAAACCACTGCTCAACAAAATAAAAGAGGACACAAACAAATGGAAGAACATTCCATGCTCATGGATAGGAAGAATCAATATTGTAAAAATGGCCATACTGCCCAAGGTAATTTATAGATTCAATGCCATCCCCATCAAGCTACCAATGACTTTCTTCACAGAATTGGAAAAAAACTACTTTAAAGTTCATATGTAACCAAAAAAGGGCCCGCATTGCCAAGAAAATCCTAAGCAAAAAGAACAAAGCTGGAGGCATCACGCTACCTGACTTCAAACTACACTACAAGGCTATAGTAACCAAAACAGCATGGTGCTGGTACCAAAACAGAGATATAGACCAATGGAACACAACAGAGCCCTCAGAAATAACACCACACATCTACAACCATCTGATCTTTGACAAACCTGACAAAAACAAGAAATGGGGAAAGGATTCCCTATTTAATAAATGGTGCTGGGAAAACTGGCTAGCCATATGTAGAAAGCTGAAACTGGATCCCTTCCTTACACCTTAACAAAAATTAATTCAAGATGGATTAAAGACTTAAATGTTAGACCTAAAACCATAAAAACCCTAGAAGAAAACCTAGGCAATACCATTCAGGACATAGGCATGGGCAAGGACTTCATGTCTAAAACACCAAAAGCAATGGCAACCAAAGCCAAAATTGACAAATGGGATCTAATTAAACTAAAGAGCTTCTGCACAGCAAAAGAAACTACCATCAGAGTGAATAGGCAACCTACAGAATGGGAAAAAAGTTTTGCAATCTACTTATCTGACAAAGGGCTAATATCCAGAATCTACAAAGAACTCAAACAAATTTACAAGAAAAAATCAAACAACTCCATCAAAAAGTGGGCAAAGGATATGAACAGACATTTCTCAAAAGAAGACATTATGCAGCCAACAGACACATGAAAAAATGCTCATCATCACTGGCCATCAGATAAATGCAAATCAAAACCACAATGAGATCCCATCTCACACCAGTTAGAATGGCTATCATTAAAAAGTCAGGAAACAACAGGTGCTGGAGAGGATGTGGAGAAACAGGAACACTTTTACACTGTTGGTGGGACTGTAAACTAGTTCAACCATTGTGGAAGACAGTGTGGTGATTCTTCAAGGATCTAGAACTAGAAATACCATTTGACCCAGTCATCCTACTACTGGGTATATACCCAAAGGATTATAAATCATGCTGCTACAAAGACACATGCACACGTATGTTTATTGCAGCACTATTCACAATAGCAAAGACTTGGAACCAACCCAAATATCCATTAATGATAGACTGGATTAAGAAAATGTGACACATATACACCATGGAATACTATGCAGCCATAAAAAAGATGAGTTCATGTCCTTTGTAGGGACATGGATGAAGCTGGAAACCATTATTCTCAGCAAACTATCACAAGGACAAAAAACCAAACACCGCATGTTCTCACTCATAGGTGGGAATTGAACAATGAGAACACTTGGACACAGGAAGGGGAACATCACATACCGGGGCCTGTCATGGGGTGCGGGGAGGGTGGAGGGATAGCATTAGGAGATATACCTAATGTAGATGATGAGTTAATGGGTGCAGCACACCAACATGGTGCATATATACATATGTAACAAACCTTTACGTTGTGCACATGTGCCCTAGAACTTAAAGTATAATAATAATAATAATAAACTATCTCTGCTAAATTCTTCCTTTATTCTCCATATGACACTAACTAAACATGTTAGACCTTCTCACTCTATTCTATGTGTTCTTACTGTCTTCGTTAATATTTTTTTTTCTCTATGCTTCATTCTGGATCTCATCTTCTTACTTTCCAGTGTAGCAGTGCTCTCTTCAGCTATGTCTAATCTGCTGTTAAATCTACTCATTAAATTTTAAAGTTATCATATTTCAATTTTAAAACATTTTTATTTCATTCATTTTCAAGTATTAAACCACTTTTGTATTTTCTGTTTCCTTATAAAACATTTCATGCTTGACTATTGCCTCCTAACATAATCAGCATCAACATCAATGTCACTACCACCCCACAACAGGGAGCAGCCATCAACCAAGGATCCTCAGGAGCTGGTGCACAAATGTCCCAGTTCCATCACCCCTTATGTAGGGTTGTGCTGAGGTATGTGTTTAGCACTGTCTTCTAGAGTTTTCCCACCAGGGAAGCTGGTTTAACAGAGAACTCTCTATTGGCCGCCTTCCCTTCCAGCATTCCCATACTTCCCAAATAAACTACTCTACTGCAATCCCTATGTAAATTTCTGCTTCTGAAAGACACCAAATTAAAACAGTGTTTTACAGTCTGTTTCTAACAATTTAATGCCCACAGCAACTGTGGGACCCTCAAGGTTGCCCTCAAGGAAGAAGAGCAACAACCTGCCATAATCAAATTCCAAAACTGGACTGGGTTTCTACTGAATCCTACTCATGTCCCTGTGTGTATCTAGTTTATCTTTGCATACTGGATACTTAATTTGAAATATATATATATATATATATATATACACACAGCACACATACATACATATGCGTGTATGTTTGTAATATATATAATTTGAGCCTGCCTCTTCTAGAAAGGATTTTCACTGGGTTTGCCAGGCATGTGTGGGTGTTACTTATCCAAGACAACCTTCACTCAAGCTCAAGTCCAAGTTAGATAGTGTGAAGACAGGCTGTGAGGCCTTCTGATGACTGGTTTACATCTTATTCACCTTACTAAAAGGTTACAATCCTTCAGAATCACACCCCAAAGTGAGAGCGATTTATTAGAGTCCCCTTTTTGGCAGGCTCTGGACATTAGTTGTTTTCTTCCCACCTGTGTGGTCACTGAAGGATTCTTTTTGTCCAGAGGACAGTGGCTATTCACTATCTTGGTAGGTACTGGTACTATTAAGATGTTTTTAAAATATGTAGTCCATCTTCTTAAGTTCTCAGTGTGATTGTTGTTCCTTGTGACTTAGTTGGCCTTTAGCAGATGACAGAGCTCTAGAGGTATTATGAGAAGATGGTAGTATGTAGGAAGGAGTACAAATAGAGAAGAACAGAGGTCTCAGAATTGAATTATTGCACACACCAACTTGCAGAAGCCTAGGTATAAGAAACAACCAGCAATGAAGCACCTGGTGGCAAAGGACTCCAGCAGACAGAAGTATCTGGTGGCAGAGTGAAAGCTGTGTATTGAAAGCCAAGTGAGCAAGGATTTAAATATGGAGGAACTGTATAAGGGATAAAAAGCCTACTAAAAGGTTAAATAAGAGGAGGACAAGGGATGATCACCAGGTTTAGTAATCTGGAGGTTATTGGAGACATCAAAGAGAGATGTTTTAGTGGGGGGTGGGGGTGTGGGGAGGACATAATGCCTAATTGGAGTTGATTTGAGAGATAATGAGAAAAGATTTGAAACAGCAAATAGAGGCGTCTTTTTTAAAAGTTTTGCAATGAAGTGGACCAGGGCGGTAAATAGAGGGGGATGTTTTTATTTTGTTCTGTCTTTGTTTTTTAAGAGGGGAGACCTTTCAGAATGTTTTCTAATGTAAGATTCAGAGAGGTGACATTCAAAGAAAAAGTATAGAGAGCAGAGAACTGCCAAAGGCGGGGGCGGAGTGGGAAGTCTTTTAAAAGCAAGTGGAAATAGGATCCAATACACATCTAGAGGGATTGCATACACCACAGACAGTTCATTCATAGAATTAGGAAGGAAGGAAGGCCAGGTTGCACAAGGGGATATAAATGCAGATAGGTTGGTAGCCATTATGGTTAAAGTTTGTGGAAATTATCTTTTGAGGCTTCCACTTTTTTCAGTTAGAAATTTCAGGAATGAGCTTCAGTTGGAAGTTTTATAAATGAGCTGAGAATGAGAAATAAAAGAGCAGAAGTATGGATGAAACAAGAAAACCTAGCAAGATGCCCAGGCAACACTATAGACCCACTTGACAATCAGAGAATAAAAGTGCATTTGTGTTGGGTATATCACCAGTATATTTGAGCAGAGAAAAAGTGGAATGTGTGCAACTAATAAGGAGGAGGTTGGTTTGAGATTGTGTTTTTTAGAAGTATGGTCTGTATTATTGACCTTAATATGTGATCTTCACTTCTTATGCTCAGTATAAACAGAATTAAGCAAGATATTCACCACTGAAGTGGTAAATATATTTTGCTGTTCAGTTCACATGGCAACTTCCTTAATCTCAGTTAATTATTCTGAAGAAACACCCAAAGGAAATCATGAAGCATATTCTTGGAGTGTTCCTGTAACTTGTCATTTAAGAATTGAGATGGCAGTTTAATTTAATGACTTGATGCAAGTGAACAAGCCTCTCAGTGCATGCAAAATTCCAGTTAAATTTTAAGTTGGACTGTGGTAAAATCATATGCTAGATATCCTCCGGATGATGATGAAAAGATTATGTACATAGAACTTAGTTTGATTACACATTTTAAAGAACTTGGAATGAAGGCCAGACATAAACTCCTAGAAAATGTGATGAGGAATAACCCCAACCAAAATAGAAACTAAAATCATACATATAATATCTATAAATAAACTTAGGACATGTGTAGCAACTATAGAGAGAAAACTACCAACAAAGAAAACCTTCTAATGGACATAAAATAAGAGTAATAATGGAGAGACACATTATTGAATATCCAATTTTGATAATGTAAATACATCAATTCATTCCTATTGCAATCTATAAATTCAATGCAATCTTAATAATTATAAAATACTAGCTAGTAGCAATTGATATTATTTAATAATATGCATTACTAGCAATGAATAATATTAACAGTAAACATTAATGTAGTGTGTATTATGTCCCAAGCGCTGTCCTAGGTACTTTATTTATATTCACTTGCATAATCCTCAAAATAACCTTTTGAGGTCTGAATTACTACTGATATCATTTTATGAATGAGGAATCTGAGGCACAGAGAGATGAATAATTTGCCAAGGTCACACAGTTGCTGAGTGAAATATCAGAATTTAATTCAGGTTCTCTGGCTCCAGAGCCCATTCCCTTAATCATTTCTTCCCACTGCCTCTAAATCCATGGCAATAAAAATTCCAATGGTCTTTTCAGAGGCGGAATTTGAGAAACTCATTTGAAAGTTAACCCAGAAAAATACATATGGAAAAATAATCAGGAAATAGTTGAGAGGGAGAGTAGTTTAGGGGAGACGCATGTTCTAAATATTAAAATGTATTTTAAAGATACATTTAAGGTATTCACTCATTCAACAAAAATTTATTGAAGACCTACTCTTTGCCAGGATCTGTTCTAGGTGCCATTGACAAGGACAGACAACACTCCCTGTTCTCAGGAAGCTTAAATTCTTGTTGGGGAAAATAGAAAAAGAAATAAACAATTAAATATTTAGACTGTACAGCAGGAACAGGAGATTTAGAATACAGCAGGAACAGGGGATACAGAATGCTGAGGTTGGGAGGAGATGTTTTGTAAATATGGGTATCAGGAAGGGCCTCAGTGATATAATGACACTTGAGCAGAAAGCAAATTATGAGGACATCTTGGGGAAGGACATTCTGGCAGAAAGAACAGCAAGTGCAAGAGTCCTGAAGTAGAAAGATGCTTGTCATGTTTGTGAAATAGCAAGGAAGCCAATGTGGCTGCAATGACTAGGAAGGAAGTGGTAGAAGATGATGTCAGGGACATAATGGGGTCGGGGGGACAGGTTATCAGGGGACTCTGCCTTTAACTCTGAATAAAATGGGAAGAGTAACTTGGTCTGATTTACATATACAGTCATATACAATGGTGGTCCCATTAGATTATAATGGATCTGAAAAATTCCTATTGCCTACTGACACTGTATCTTAATGTTGTAGAACAATGAATTACTTGCATGTTTGTGGTGATCCTGGCATAAACAAACCTACTGCACTGCCAGTCGTATAAAAGTATAGCATATACAATTATGTCCAGTACATAATACTTGATAGTGATGATAAATGACTATGTTACTGGTTTATATGTTTAATTGTACTATACTTTTTATCATTATATTAGAGTGGGCTCCCTCTACTTATATTTAAAAAAAATAATGTTGTCCCTGAAGACCTTCCCATGGGACAAGATGTGGAGGCAGAAGACAGTGATACTGATGATCCTGACCCTGTGTAGACCTAGGCTAATGTGTGAGTTTGAGTCTTTAACAAAAAATTTTAAAAAGTAAACAAATAAAATATTAAACTATTTTTATTTTTCGAGACAGGGTCTTGCTCTGTCATCAAGGCTGGAGTGCAGTGGCACAATCAATGCAGCCTCGATGTAGCCTCTGGACCTCCTAGGCTCAATGTAGCCTCTACCTCCCAGGTTCAAGCCATCCTTCTGCCTTAGCCTCCTGAGTAGCTGGGACTAGAGGCATGAGCCACAGTTCCTGGCTAATTTTAATTTTAATTTTTATTTTTGTAGAAATTGGGCTTCACTATGTTGCCCAGGCTGGTCTCAAGCTCCTGGGCTCCTGCCCCAACCTTCCAAAGCGCTGAGATTACAGGCATGAGCCATTGCATCTGGCCAAAAATTTTTAGAAATGGAAAAAAGCATACAGAATATGAGTATAAAGAAAGGAAATATTTTTGTATAGCTGTATAATGTATTTGGGTTTTAAGCTAAGTGTTATAAGAGTCAAAACTTAGGAAAAAAACTACAAAGCTTATTAAGTAAAAATGTTACAGTTGTTTATTGTTGTAGAAAGAAACACTTCAAAAATAAATTTAGTGTAGCCTAAGGGTATAGTGTTTTGAAGCCACAGTAGTGTATAGTCATCCTGGATCTTCCCATTCACTCACCACTCACTTGCTGACTCACCCAGAGCAACTTCCAGTCCTGCAGCCTCCATTCCTGGTAAGTGCTCTATGCAGGTGTACCACTTTTTATGATTCCCCCGTTGCTGGATGCTATCTTTATGAGATGGCCAGAGTACACCTCTTCTACTACTTCACTTGCCACTTCTAGCCTAGACAGTGACCCTTGTTAAAACGGTAGAGGAAGTACAGTGACAACTGACTTTCTGGGAAATGTGGCTGTATACTAGGGACCGTGATATTTGTGTATTACAGCAATCTGTAGTATGCCATCGACCCAGTGGTGAGTGTTGGGAAGCACCTAGGATTGCACAGCTAGCACAAAGTGAAACCTCTTGGAACAAGGGGCTGAGCTGGGAACATCCACTGACATGGCAGCAACACAAAACATAACCATGACCCACATGACAGGGAAAAGACAAACTGATGAAACTTGCATATTGGTCAATACCCAGAGTGTATAGATCCAGCCTCATTTAGGAGTAAGAAAAGAGTAAAATATTAATTTGACATCATGAAAAAACGCTGAGTAACCACTGTTTTGTTCTCTATCTCTGTATATTTGAATTTATTTTTAATATTCCATATATAAATGACATCAAGCAATATTTCTATTTCTGTGTCTAGCTTAATTCACTTGGCATAATATGCAGGTTCATTCATGTTGTGGCAAATGGCAAAATCTCACTCTCTTTAGGGCTAAATGATATTTTATCATATTAAACGGTCACACACACACACATATATCACAGTTTCTTCATCAACTTGTCTGATGATGGACAAATGTTGATTCTTACAGTATGTTTCATAACTCCAAGAATTTCCCTCAGTAATTATAATGCAGGTCAGACTCACACAATTCCACAGTAAGTTCATAAGTCCAGACTAATACAGAATAGCTCCATGGGTTAAACTTTGGTACTTAAAATGTTTCAATCAATAATAATTAGAAAGATGTTAACTTTCAGAAATATACATTTTTAATATTAAGTATAAATGAAATTAGAATTTTTTTAACTTTTGGTGGTTTTTAAGATCCTTGCAAATAACTACTTATGGATGAAAAAGACGACAAATTTTCAGCAAGAAATTATTCCCCAAAGTTTGTTTTTACTATCTACCTTTTAAAAAGAATAATGATAGAAAACGAAGAACTTATACATCAATATTACTTTAACATAGTAGTCGAAAATCTTAAAAAATATATCCCTCAAGGGAAAATATTATTCATAATTTATTAATGACGAAAATAGAACTATTCCTAGTCCATATATATATAAATTATTTCATCTCCAATCAAGCACTTCTAAAATGCTTTTTCCTCATAAGCCATTTATTATTATTTTCATGTGAAAAATTTAGACAGATTAAAAACATAAAGGAAAAGGGGAAAAGAATGCTGCAGTTGTTTAAGACTCATAAACAGTGACAGTAGAGCTTTTCTCATCAATTGGTTGGCACCCTGCAAAAGATACACAAATCATCTGTCTTGATTTCCCTTTAGGAATTAGCAGAGTCTCTATTTAATCTTTGGCTTTCCAGTTAGAAGTTTCACACAGACACAAAAACAACAGGCTGCTAATCATAGTGTTACACAAATGTCTGTATCAAAGTACTGAGGTAATTAACTTATATCTTAGATTTCCCTATAGAATATTCTGGTTACTATAGAAGCATTTCTTTAATTTGTTATAGTCATCAAGAACAATACAATTCTTACAGCTGTGTTTGTTATTTTATTACTTGACAACAAATTGTATTTGCTATTTTATTGCCTCCAAGTAAAAATACATAATTGAGTACCTATAATGAATCCGTTGGAAATTGGCTACAGGAAACGCAGAATTATTAAATTATTACAGAAATCTTTTTGGTTAATCAAGTTTGTACTCTTCATAGCTGACATTCCCTCATTCTACTCTTTTTCCTCATCAGCAGAACCCAATTTTGACTGGTTTATCTACTCTTCCCCTTTGAAATCTAAATGACTTGGGCAAAGTTGACCCTACCCCTAGCTTATGGGATGAGGTATGATTAATAGAAACCAATCAAAATACGTCTGTGGGGAACTGGTTCCAGGACATCCCTTGAACACCAAAATCTTCAGATGCTCAAGTCTCCAATAAAAAATGGCATAGTATTTGTATATAACCCACAAACATCTGTACACTTTAAATCACCTCCAGATTACTTACAACACCTAATACAATGTAAATGTTATGTAAGTAGTTATTATACTGTATTGTCTCGGGAATCAAGAAAAAAAAAAAAAGCCTGTACATGTTCAGTATAGACACACTTCTTTTCCTGAATATTTTTGATCCCTGGTTGGTTGAATCCATGGATGCTGAACCCATGGAAGGCTGATAGTACTACCATCTTTTTGGCTAGAGATTGGTTTTAATGGTTCAGGATTATGGTAATCAAGACTTGGTGGGCTCTTCAGCTAAACTGACCTAAGAAGTTCCAGAGGAACTTCTGTTTCATTGTGATGGGAGAGATTCTCTGTGTTTCTTTCTCTGATCCTCTGTCTTTTTATCTCATGCAAGATAGGAACATGAAAGTATGCTGCCCAAGTCACTGCTAGTGCACATCTTATGGAAGAAAACCAGTCTGAGGACAGAATTGACACATCAGAAAGATCCTGACCCAATGTTCTTCGACCACCTATTCCCCACTTTCTCCTATCTTGATACAAGAAATGAACCATTTATTTATGATAAAAGCCAGTTTTATTTGGGGTTTCTGCAGCTTACAGCAGGAAATATCCCAACTCATTCATATGGCCTGTAATGATGAATCCAAGTTCTTTCTATGGACAAATTAATTTTTTTAAGTTTAATTTCCTTAAGTTCTTTCAGGAAAGGATAAACCACCTTAGGCCCCAAACACATTCCAGTCTGAGTTCTTTGTTCTCACAGACCGTTGTTCTCCTACCTCAGCTGCTGTGAGATTTCCTGGTGCTCCCAACTAAAATGTACTTTAATCAGAAGTCATCATTAGTCCTGACAGGTCAAGTTCCTTCAGGAACCCTCATATCCAGACTTGAAATTGACCCAAATGACATGACCTACCTTGGGCATGCAGATGACCAAATGACCCGTTGTCTGAGATCTTTTAGCAGAACTACTATCGGGTTTCACTTCTGCAGGAAGGACAAGCTGAAATGGCTGAAAATAAGTAGAAAGAAAGTATCATTGAGAGCAAGGACGTTACATGAGAGGGTTACTAAAAGGGGCATTTTCATTACAAATTCAAGATACACCATTCAATTAAGAAATGTGCTTAAGCTTATTAAAAATATTGATATGAGCTATGCTTTCTATGCACAAACTATTTTACCTATTTTAACAAGTAGTCTAAAGAACAGTTATCAATCACAAACAGTGACATGCTCGTGGGTTCATGTAATTTATAGAGAAAGCCCTGTCAAAAAACCATCAACATTATTTCCATTTAAAAATCTTTAAGCTAATCTTCAAGCCCATATTAGCCCAAATTAGCAAAAAATGGTATTTTAGAAATAATAAAATTATAGTTTTTATGAATGAAATCATTGACAACTTAGAATGGGTGTACAATTTAATTTCATGCATAGGCTCCCACACATATAATTATGTTATTAGGTTTGAAAAAAGTGTAACACAATAGACACAGGTTTAAAATATTAATGATATCCAACTACATATGGTCAGCAGCCATTCCCACCTTATACCACTCCCATGATACAAAACCATGTGCTAAAAAATAGCACTCTGTTTCATTTCCCTTTTTCTATGTTTTGTTTTATTTTTGTTTATTTATTTATTTATTTATTTTTGAGTCAGAGTCTCACTCCAATAGCCCAGGCTGGAGTGCAGTGGGGTGATCTTAACTCACTGCAACCTCCGCCTCCCAGGTTCAAGCAATTCTCCTGCTTCAATCTCCCGAGGAGCTGGGATTACGGGCATGAGCCACCATGCCTGGCTAATTTTGTAGTTTTAGTAAAGACAGTATTTCACCATGTTGCCCAGACTGGTCTCCAGCTCCTGACCTCAGGTGATCCGCCCGCCTTGGCCTCCCAAAGTGCTGGGATTACAGGCATGAGCCACTGCGCCCGGGCCCTTTTTCTATTTTAATAATACTTAAAAACATTTGAGGCACCACAGCTTAGTTCAAAGCTTAGCTTTTGAAATTGTAATAGCCTACAGGGTTCTACTTACCTTTCCTTTGATCATTACTCGCACGTAAGTTGGTTGCACATCAACATCGATTAAAGAGGTATCCATATACCTTCAAAATTAAACACAGAAAATCTTATAATTTTAAAAAATATCAAGTTTGAATAAGTGCAAATATAAATTCACACTTACAGGACCATTTTAAATGAAGGGCGTTTAAAATATCCATGCAAAATGGGTCTTTAAAAAATTAGTTTTAAATTAATTCCCAGACCAAAGGAAATTCAATATATCAGCAATTTCATTTTTAGACCCACAAGTATACTTGGCATTGATTGCCCCTAACCCAAAAATATCTGAGGTCTGAAACACCAGAGGTTTGCAAAAAACAGCTTGCCATGCTCTTTCATGAATATTTTATTTTAAGCCCCTAAGACTTGAATAGCCAGGAATGCTGATTCTACTCTGCTTGAGGCCTGCAACCACCAGCTCCTGCTTCCTTGGCGGCTCTGGATCCCCTGCAGCTGTTCTGCAGCTGCCCTAATACTATCTCTCCTGGAAGACTAGATTGCTTCTCCCCTCAAAGTCACATCCTGCTGAATAAGCAAACCCTTCTGTTTATGGCAGTGACCCCAAGATCAGGTGGCAATTATTCTCCTCCACTCATGAGCAAATTAAAGATTTAGATTTCATATCACTCATTAAATCAGAAGCTTGGCCAAATAATTATGTTCACATACTTCAAAATACTAATTGTGAACATTAGAAACTGCAGAGCTGCTTTAAAAATCACAAATGTTAAGGCAGGTAAGCTAATACAAGGGTTACAGGCATAGGTTTGGAGTCACACAGGCTTGTGGGGAACTGGCTCCATGCCTTCCTGCTTTATTACCTGGGACCACATTCCTTAACCTCTCTAGGCCTCAGTTTCCTCTTCTGTAAAATGGGGATACTACTAACACGTAGCCCTAAGATTGTTAGGAAGGAACATGTATAGTGCCCAGTACATAGCTAGTGTTAATAAAGCATCATTATATGCCATTTAAAAACAATTTTTATAATAATAATAGAGATGAGGTTTTCTACAGCTTCACATGTGATATCTACACTTAATGGATTATGCAGTATTTTCCATGCTTGGGCCCCCTAAAATGTTCATCTGTCCTTACCTACATGGCCTTTCTCTGGCAGAAATAATTGTCTGACAGTTCTTTGCAGAGCAAGCTGCTTCTTATCTTTCAATTATCATTGCTCACGTCTCCCCCTTTCCCTGACTACTCCCCGCACAGCATTATTCCCATCCCTGAACACTGTCCCTCTCCTTGACAGCAGCCTTCTTCCTTTGTAACTCATCAGATGTCTATTTATTGTCTGTTGCCCTCCCCCACAGGGCTCTAAGTGATAGGAGATCATGACTGGGGAGACAGTTACAGTCTCCCCATGCCTGGCACATAGTAGGTATTCTATAGATGCTTGTTGAATAAAGGCAGGAAGCAGGCGTGAACGAATGAATTTAACTTTCAAGTAGACACCTATGTGCCCATAAAGATAACCAGGAATTATAGCATAATTCATTTAGACAGAATCATGGGAATGAAAGAGTTTTACTACATAGACTGGAGAAATATTACCACCCCTTAAAATGCACATGCATGGGAATGAGGAATGTTTCCATTTGAGGACTGAACAGGAAGCAGCCAACAGAGCTGAAAAAGAAAGGGTTATACATTCATTAAACACCAGACATAGGGCCTAAAAATGGAAAGGACTTACAAGGATGAAACAGTGATTTGTCTGAAAAACAGTAGAAACGGCAGCTTGGGAAGCTGGAGGAGCAGAGGATATGAAGCTAGCTGGAGAAGAGCTGGGATCTTTGTAAAGGCAGATAACCTGGCAGCAAGCAGGCAGAAGAATTGACAGGAATTCTGTGGAGAGGCACACAGCTGATCTGAGACAGCTTGGTGTGGAGAGGAAGGGACCACACTAAGGCTAGCCCTGGTACACAAGAGCCAAGGTGGAAACAACCCAAATGCCTACCATCTGGTGAACGGATAAACAAAATGTGGTACATCTATGCAATGGAATAGTATTTGGCCATAAAAAGGAAGGAAATTCTGACACGTGCAACAACATGGATGAGGCTTGAAGACATTATGGTAAGTGAAAGAAGCCAGACACAAAGGCCACATGTTGTATGATTCTATTAATATGAAATATCCCAAATAGGCAAATCTATAGAGACAGAAAACAGATTAGTGGTTGCCATGAAGACAGAGAATGGGCAGTGACTGCTTAAGGACCATGGGGTTTCCTTCTGGGGTGATAAACATTTTCTGGAACTAGACAATGGTAATGGTTGTACAATATTGTGAATTTATTAAATGCCATGGTGTTGTCCATTTTGAAATGGTTGAAATGGTCGATTTTAAGTTATGTGTATTTTACCACAATCAAAACAGCAAAGTTGGTTGAAGTCCTGAGGGCTGATGTTCTGGCTCCTTCGGTCCCTGTTCACTTTGACAAGACTCACTCTTGGAAAAGTTACCCCCTCTTGGGTAATAATCCCTCCAACCTCCCAGGGTTACTGAGAGATTAAATAAAATGGGGCACATCAAAAGCCATTAAAAAGAGAAAGGCATTTATTATAATTCATGCATGTAAACATTCATCCATTCATTCATGCATGTCAATGTCATACTCCCATCATCAGTATTTGTTCATTCATTCATTCATTCATTCTTGTGTTTATTGAGCACCTAACAGGTGCCAGGTATTGTTTTAGGTGTGGAGATGTAGAGAGGAAAGAACAAACAAAACAAGCTTCCTGCTCTGACCACAAACTTTTAAGAATACAAGTAAATTTACACTTTGTCAGCAGGAAGTCAAAAAGTAGAAAGAGTGGAAGGAAGTGCTGGGCAGGGGTAGGTACTGCTTTATGTCAGATGGTGGGGCAGAGAGGCCCCTCTAATGAGGTGACATCTGAGCAGAGGCCTGAAGGACACGAGGCAGCAAGCCACAAGGACACCGAGGGTGATACAGGCAGAGGGAAGCACAGGCAAGCAGCCTCTGAGATGGTGCCAGGGGACACTGAGGTCATCAGAAGGATGTATCGGCACAGTGAACCAGGGCCTAAAATCTTCAGGGAATGAGGCAGAGTGACCTGCTGCCTTTAGATGCTTCCACAAAGAAGAGAAGAAGGGGATACAGGCTGAAGGTTTGAGTGTCAAAGCCATGGAGCTTTAGGGAGGAGAAAAGGACAATAGTTTGGGTGTGGTGATGAGGGCAGGCAGGAGGTCTGTGCCACTCCTACCCATGGGTGAGAAAACAGGCAGGATGTGAGAGGGCAGCAGGGAAGAAGGGTCCACTGGTGACAGGGGCTGCTAGGTGTTCCCCCAGGCCTCTGAGATGGGACTGAGGGAGGGGAGCCGATCACCTGATACCTACTACTATAGGAAGGCATTTTAGACAAAAACAGAGGACTATGCCAGCAAAGACAGAGTGGGGTCCTTGTAGTATCAGCATCAGAAAACAGCACAGGTCTGAGAATTATTTAAACTCTGCCTTAGATATTCCTGAGTTCATATCCATGAAATTGTGGCTTTATTTACCTTTCCTTTCATTTTCATGCTTTTAAAAATTATAGTAACTTCTCTGTCTTAACAAATAAGCTTCATTTAACTATAGGTCTAAGTCAATTCCATTTCAATTTTTTCAAACTAAAAAATTACTACTGAGAATGAAAACAGACAGAAATGTCATAAATAAATACGTAGAAAATGTCTTTACCTATAGACAGCAAGGTCCAGGATGATCTGCTTTTCGTTATCTTTCAAAGAGAAGTCAATTCTAAGAATAACACATTTGGTGGGAAAAAAGAGATGTCTTTAGGATACTGTATAGAAAACCCCATCATAAATTCATAAGCAGATTAGATAATAATTCTATAATAATATCCAAAGACAACTTATTTTAGTGGTTGAACAATCAAATATCAACGGTAATTTTAACATTTCAGCAAAACCTACAACATATTAATAAATTATTTGTGTTTACAGTGTTTAAATGTGAGAATCTTAAGGTAAATTACACACAAAAAATTAGCTTTAGTGCAGAGATAGAGACATCTGGTGGCTAAAGTTTTCTTTTCCATCTCATATGAGTTTGCCAGAAGCAAACTAAAACATTGGAATTATTTATGGAGAACTAAAGGTTGCTTTTGCCTCCCCTTTATCCTGCATTCTATTCCTTAAGTTTTAGAGTCCTGTCTTCCTTCTTTTTTCTTGCTATCTTTTTTCTTCTCCTTTCATCGCTGACCTTTCCATTGCCCTGAAAAAGGCTGAGACACTGCTCATTATCTATTACCTCTGTTTTATAGATGAAGAAACAGAGGTTCAAAGAGGTTGGCATAGCTGAATTATAATAAATGCCTTTACACTTTCTCTGCACGAGCCTGGCTAGGCAGGATTTCAAAGCTCCACCATCTTTCAACTGTACCCCGAGGTTGAGTCCTAGGTCTAGCTTCCACACTGAACAACATACTATCAGAATTGCCTGGTCAATTTTCTTTTGAACATTTCAGTTACTGTATTACTCTATAAAACATACAACTCAACAATATTAAAGAACATAAGCTAAACTGTTTAGGAAAATGTGAAGTTAGCGATAGATTTGGCTGTTCGCCCCATTTCTGCTTGTGGCAGGCACTGTCTCATTGCTTTCAATAGTCAGGCCTGTGGGACTTCTTCAGTGTCTCAAATGACCCATGCATTTGTAGAACCTCATCTCAGGAGCCTTTTTATATGCTCCTGCTCTGCCTCGATTGCTTATTACTTGTAAAGTAATTTCAGAGAATTTTCCTATGGCAGAGATTGCTATTTAGTTGCTATCTGCTTCCCCTTTATTCCTAGTGACAGGAACCATGGTTTTAACTAGGGGCATGGCTATGTACAATAAAGGTTGCATTCTCTGGCCTCCCTTGCAGGTGGGTGAGGTCATGTGAGGGACAGTCGTTGTATGGCACTTTCTAAGAATGTCCCTTAAGAAAAGGAGCGTGTATCCTTTCTTCCCTTTTTTCTTCTTTATTTAGCTGAGTAGAACAGAATGTAGGAGGCCAACAGATAAACCATGGAGACTGCTTAATAAGCAATTGCAACTGTCCAAGCAAGAGTTAGTGTCCACTAGTGGTGGTGGTGGGGTCAGTGAGATGTGGCTGGATTCTGATAATATCGAAGGAAGAGTTCATAGGACGCACTGATAAAATGAGGGAGAGAAGAATTAAGGGAGAATCCAAGGTTTCTGGTCTTAGCCAAGGGGTGAATGTGTGTTACTGAGATGGAGAACACAGGGACACAAGCACACGATGCTGGAGAGTGTTAGTGAGGCTGGAAATCAGGGGTTCTCTTTTAGTCGTCATAAGTGTGCAATGACTCTCTTATATCCACCCAGTGATGTCAAACAGCTAATTGTTAGAAACAAATTTTCAGTGCCACAAAGTGAAACCAGCACTCAGGCAAAAGTTTTCTCAGCAAGGCAATATACTTCTATAGAAGGGCACTTCCTGCATGCAAGGCAGAGGCAAGGGAGAGTGAGCAAAACAAAGGAGAGCAGGAGTTTTTTATCCCTAACACAGACCCTATTCCTATGTCCTTCCACTGCAGGCTGGGGTTGGACCGCTCAATCTAGGCTAATTCTGATTGGCTACTGTTGACATCATCAAAGGAGGCAACAGTGGGCATTTCACAGGAAGGAAAGGTACGGTATATCTTGGGGTGTTTGGGCACAGTAGAGATAGGGAGGGCTGACAGATGAATGGGTACAATTATCTTTTAGAATAGAACAAAGAACCAGGAACCGAAACCCTCTGAAGAGGAACTATATATTCTTAACAACATAACTGAATAGACAAGTCTTGAGCTCAGAGAAGAGGTTGGATCGAGTTGGGAGAAATGTAAAGGGAGTGTTTACAGCCATGGGATTTGGTGAGAGCCATGAAGAGCGAATGTGAAAAGGGAAGACAGCTGAGGAGTTTGTTATAGGGCACCCAAAAAACAAAATCAAAAGGATCTGTCAAAGCTTAGGAAGATGAGCAGTCAGTAAGATAGAAGAAAAATCAGAAGTAAAGGGAAGAAATTGCTTTAAGAAGGATGGTACTGAAGCAATTGTGAATGGGAGTTCACTCATGATTTGGCTCTCTGTCTGTTGTTGGTGTATAAGAATGCTTGTGATTTTTGTACATTGATTTTGTATCCTGAGACTTTGCTGAAGTTGCTTATCAGCTTAAGGAGATTTTAGGCTGAGACAATGGGGTTTTCTAGATATACAATCATGTTGTCTGCAAATTTTCCTAATTGAATACCCTTTATTTCCTTCTCTTGCCTAGTTGCCCTGGCCAGAACTTCCAACACTATGTTGAATAGGAGTGGTGAGAGAGGGCATCCCTGTCTTTTTGCTTCAAAGAGAATAAAATACCTAGGAATCCAACTTACAAGGGATGTGAAGGACCTCTTCAAGGAGAACTACAAACCACTGCTCAAGGAAATAAAAGAGGATACAAACAAATGGAAGAACATTCCATGCTCATGGGTAGGAAGAATCAATATTGTGAAAATGGCCATACTGCCCAAGGTAATTTACAGATTCAATGCCATCCCCATCAAGCTACCAATGACTTTCTTCACAGAATTGGAAAAAACTACTTTAAAGTTCATATGGAACCAAAAAAGAGCCCACATCGCCAAGTCAATCCTAAGCCAAAAGAACAAAGCTGGAGGCATCACACTACCTGACTTCAAACTACACTACAAGGCTACAGTAACCAAAACAGCATGGTACTGGTACCAAAACAGAGATATAGATCAATGGAACAGAACAGAGCCCTCAGAAACAATGCCGCATATCTACAACTATCTGATCTTTGACAAACCTGAGAAAAACAAGAAATGGGGAAAGGATTCCCTATTTAATAAATGGTGCTGGGAAAACTGGCTAGCCATATGTAGAAAGCTGAAACTGGATCCCTTCCTTACACCTTATACAAAAATCAATTCAAGATGGATTAAAGACTTAAATGTTAGACCTAAAACCATAAAAACCCTAGAAGAAAACCTAGGCATTACCATTCAGGACATAGGCATGGGCAAGGACTTCATGTCTAAAACACCAAAAGCAATGGCAACAAAAGCCAAAATTGACAAATGGGATCTAATTAAACTAAAGAGCTTCTGCACAGCAAAAGAAACTACCATCAGAGTGAACAGGCAACCTACAAAATGGGAGAAAATTTTCGCAACCTACTCATCTGACAAAGGGCTAATATCCAGAATCTACAATGAACTCAAACAAATTTACAAGAAAAAAACAAACAACCCCATCAAAAAGTGGGTGAAGGACATGAACAGACACTTCTCAAAAGAAGACATTTATGCAGCCAAAAAACACATGAAAAAATGCTCACCATCACTGGCCATCAGAGAAATGCAAATCAAAACCACAATGAGATACCATCTCACGCCAGTTAGAATGGCTATCATTAAAAAGTCAGGAAACAACAGGTGTTGGAGAGGATGTGGAGAAATAGGAACACTTTTACACTGTTGGTGGGACTGTAAACTAGTTCAACCACTGTGGAAGTCAGTGTGGCGATTCCTCAGGGATCTAGAACTAGAAATACCATGTGACCCAGCCATCCCATTACTGGATATATACCCAAAGGACTATAAATCATGCTGCTATAAAGACACATGCACACGTATGTTTATTGCGGCACTATTCACAATAGCAAAGACTTGGAACCAACCCAAATGTCCAACAATGATAGACTGGATTAAGAAAATATGGCACATATACACCATGGAATACTATGCAGCCATAAAAAATGATGAGTTCATGTCCTTTGTAGGGACACGGATGAAACTGGAAATCATCATTCTCAGTAAACTATCGCAAGAACAAAAAACCAAACACCACATGTTCTCACTCATAGGTGGGAATTGAACAATGAGAACACATGGACAGAGGAAGGGGAACATCACACTCTGGGGACTGTTGTGGGGTGGGGGGATGGGGGAGGGATAGCACTGGGAGATATACCTAATGTTAGATGACGAGTTAGTGGGTGCAGCGCACCAGCATGGCACATGTATACATATGTAACTGACCTGCACATTGTGCACATGTACCCTAAAACTTAAAGTATAATAATAATAAATTAAAAAAAAAGAAGGATGGTACTGAACAATTTGATCCAAATCTGCTATGTCCAGTAAGACAAAGACTAAGAATCGAACACTGAATGTGGAAATAATATGGCTAAGGAAATTTCAGGATGATGGAATGCACAGAAGTGGTTTCAAGAAGGAATATGAAGTTAGAAACTGGAGACCAAGTGCAGACAATTCCATTAAATGGGGGCAGAGAAAAAGAGCTGCGGCTGGAAGGAAAACCAGGGGAAGGGAGGTTGTTGCTTTAATTTTGTTTAAGACAAAGATTTTTAGAATTTGTTTGCACATGTGTGAGACTGATCTAGCAGAGTGGAGAGAACTAGTGCAGAAGACCAAGGATAACTGAGCAACTAAGTCCTTGATAGGCAGAGGGGATGGAGTCAGGGTGCTTACACAGACTGATTTTGGATGGGAAGTTCACCGTCAGCAGCAGGAGAGAGGGGAGTACATGGGACAGGTCCAGATACACTGGTAAATTGGATGTTGGGAGGAAAAGAAATCTCCTGATTGCTTTTTTTCTCAACGAAATAGGAAACAAGGTCCTCAGTTAAGACTGTGGAAGTGTCAGATGATGTTGGAAGTAAGGAGAGAGAAGGTAGGAGAGCAGCTTGTAGGACAGTAGGAGAATGGATGGCCCAGGAAAATACAGGAAGATTGCCAGAGTCCATCTGAGATCTGTGGTTATGAATTTAAGGTAAGACCAGCAAGTAGAGGTGAATGGTCTCCTCCAGCCACACAGGAGGACCAGCCCAAGAGTGGGTAGTGTGCTGGATTTTCAACAGGTTGGGGTTTTGTGAGGTGAGGATGATGGAAAGAGAAAAAAACAAGAAAGCTGAAGACAAACGACAAGGACTGATTTCATTTTTCTTTTCCTTTTTTCTTGAGACAGGGTCTTACTCTGTCGCCCAGGCAGGAGTGCAGTGGCGTGATCTCGGCTCACTGCAACCTCTGCCTCCCAGGTTCAAGCGATTCTCGTGTCCCAGCCTTCCGAGTGGCTGGGATTACAGGTGTGTGCCACCATTCCTGGCTAATTTTTGTATTTTCAGTAGAGATGGGGTTTCACCACGTTGGCCAGGCTGGTCTCGAACTACTGACCTCAAGTGATCTGCCTGCCTCGGTCTCCCAAAGTGCTGGGATTATAGGCGTGAGCCACTGCACCTGGCCCAAGGACTGATTTCTGTGATGAACCATAAAACTAAAGCACAGCAAGAGAAGATGAGGGGTTAGGGTACAGTAAGAAAAATAGGAGAGTGAATTATCTTATGGTCTTCATGGGGGCACGTGGTTGTTTGAGTGGAGGGAGTTCCCCCAGGAACATAAGAAATGGTGTCTAGTGAGACACTCAAGGTTAAGTTTCTGAGGTGGAAGAGATATTGACAGTGGCAAATCTAGGAATGAAAATGAAATCGTGTGGCTGAGCTGAGCTGGAGAAGTGAGCCGGTTGGGGAACTGAGAGGCCAGGGCTTCTGGTGGATCACCTACATGTTTGATAAAGTCATCACCAAGACTGATAATAGCAGGAGAGGCAGAGAGAGACACGGGTGTGGGTGAAAGATCTTCAATGAACTGACAGGGCTGGGGTTGAGGGTTGACCAGGGTGATGTAGATGACTGCGGGAAGAAGGAGCAGGGGTGCTATATCTAGATGGCTTGTCCTTCAACAGAGAAAGGGAGAAAGATGGCCTGAAAGTGGCGATGGGCTGTAACTGCCCCTGTGGTGTATGTGGTGAGGAAGAACAGCTGTCAGCCACAGAAGTGAACCCTCCACTTCAGTTAGTGAAAGAGGAGAAACGGTGGAAGCTTCAGGCTTTGCTGTCCAAGCTCAAGCTCCAGAGGGCACAGGGGTCCAAAAGGGGTGACAATGAGTTGAAGTGGATCAGCGCCATTTGGGTATAAGATTCTGGCCAGTGGTGCATGACCTGGGAGGGGAGGAACAGGGGATGATCACATGTCGGGAGGCAGTGCTAGTGAGGAGGTGGTGGGTAAACAGTTCTTCATAGAATCAATCTCAGTAGAACTGGTTTTAGGGGCAGGTGAGGCTGCAGTGTGTGGGAAGAGTGGTGGTCTTACCAGAGACACATGGAGTTCCGAGAGTCTCCCTTGAGTTCTGTTGTAGGCTAAATAGAGACCGCCTAAAGTCGATTTCTGAACTCCATGAGGTCAGAAAGAAACCTGTTAACAGTCATTGCTCTATCCCCAGGGCCTAGCCTAGTGTTCTGTCTTGCATTCCTGTCTGCTGAGTGTGGGTAAGGGGAAGGAATTATAAAGTTTATCATGGAAGTCACTAGAACTAGGTTAGCATGAGCAACTCAGAAACACCACCTATTAGCTGTGTGACCTTGGGCAAGTCACTCCACCTCTCTCAGGCCCAGGTTCTGGACATGTAAAAAAGAAATACTGTTTACCACCTGTGACTGCTGTGAAGACAAATGATGCCCAGGAATAATTCAGGATTGTACCTTCACCATGGTCATGACAGAGCAAATGAAATGATGACAGAAAATAGGTTTGAGTAATAAAATGAAGTGAATGAGATTTAGTCTGTAGGCTCTCTGGTCTGTATTTTAGCTACAAAAGGCTTTTCTGTCCTGCTTTCTAATTTCAATTTTTAAGACAGACAAAGAGGGTAGATCAGATGTGATTATACTTGAAGATTTCCAGTTTGAGTATCCATCCTCTCATTAAATTCATTGAGGGTATTATATTGATTTCCTTCCCTAGCTCTCCAGTGCTTTGTAGATGTGCTCCAGAGTATAAAGTAGATGTATAGAAGGTACATCAGTATTCTCAAGCAGCTTGCTCATGGCAGAGTTTTAAAAATTCATAAATACAACAATAATGTGATGGCAATTTTCAGGCATAAAACTGTATATGGTCCAAAGTTTCATGGGGTACATAAATAACTAAGATCTCCATATGTCAAGATCATTTTCTAGATGCCAAGAAAATTATGCATTTGAAAACATAATAGATGTTTTGCCTTTAAATATGCACCAAATGACATTATTTTTAGACTCATCAAACTTGTTAAGAGCAGTCAGAAATATTCTTTGCAGAGCAAACCTGGAATTGAAACAATGATTGACCAACACCATTGACTGACACTTTTGGGTCTTTAACGCTCTATTTGGCCTCACATACTTGGGCTCATTCACATTTAGGGCTTTCCCATCTTCAGTGATCAAAGTCCTGGGTGGTTTCACTTTCTTCTTTTTTTCACTTAAGATTGGTGGTGGATGAGAACAATGGGCAGCATGGAAAGAAAAAACAAGCAAAGAGAATATAAAAGCAATTAATACATTTTTGTGAAACAGTTTTAAAAAAATTAATTGGACTTTTACGAACACATCAACAATTCCTTGTTCTTAAGTCCATTCCTTTAATTCTATGCTGGGAACTGACAATCAAGCCAGATTTTTTATATGGTTGTATCTGTATCTGTACAGCAAAAAAATGACCAAGACAATTTGCCAGATAATTTGAATGAGGGAAGAAAACTCCTTTTCATGAATGTCTATTAATATTTAAGTAAGTCTATTTTATACATGATTTACCCAGATAACTGTCAACTCTCCATTTGTGCACAGAGCTTCTGCTTTAGCTAAAATACAACATTTAACATACCAAGTAGAATCTATTCAATAGAAATAAAAATACCAGCACAGAAGAATCTATATAAAAGGATATTTCTCACAGCATTATTTACAGTAGCAAACCCCTGGAACTGTTGTGAATGTCCATCAGTGGAAAAATGGTTGGATCAACTGTGCTTCATTCATGCTATAAAATATTTTGCAGCTATTAAAAAATGTGTTTGCTCATTACCTATTGATTTAGAAAAGTGTTGATGATGTATTTAGTGAGAAAAAATATATAAAATATAAATCCATTTTTGTTTTACAAAAAGACCCCAAATCCTACATTTGCAGAGATAAGTTATACAATTACAAAGAGCAAAAAAAAAAATGTAGTGAGATCAACCCAAGCCTGTTAACACTCATTACACTGAAGGGTTGGATAGGAGGTAAATAAAGGAAGCAAATAATAGAAGATTAATGGAGTAATAGGAAATTAAAATGCAGTATGTAAATTCTATTTAAAAGATTACTGAAAGTATATAGAACCTTAAATAGGCAAATATGGACAATATCTAGATCAGATAAACAAATCTGTTTAGATGATGGAACTGTTGGCAATTCTTTGCCTTAAATTTCTATTGTACTTTTAATACAGATTTTGTGTCAGTTAACTTTATTTTGGAAAAAATCATTCACACTCTTCTGCATTTTAAACTGGGCCTCCAGATCCAATGGAGTTAATATTTCAATGACCCAGGACAATTAAGGGGCATCCACAAGCCCTTGGCTTCACCCTACTCAGTGTAAAGCAGATCAGAGTTAGGAACAAAAGATTTCTTTTGTCCCTGCTTACACCGAATTAATAAAAATGGTAACACAATCAGAGGCAAACATCTCACAGACTCACTGGATTGGGAAATCTAAGGTGTCCAAAACATAGTGACTCAGATCTCCATCCAATTCAGCCTTACTTTATTAGGTAACAGGGAGTAAAAAAAATTTCTCCTTATTTCAGGCTCAATTCATAACAGATTAGATATTATTTCTACATACCCACAGATATATAAATATAACATATGTGTGTATGGGTATATATGTAAGAAATAGTTCACATTCTATAAACATGTAGAACTTCCATTTCAAAGGGCTCTTGAGTCTGCAAAGCACTTTCACAGGTATAGGCTCATCTGATTTTCTTAACAGTACAGTGGGGTAGGTAAGACAGGTATGATAATCCCTGTTTAGCAGATGAAGAAACAGATGAGGAGAAGTTAGGTACTTGCCAACATCACACAGAGGGTAATAGTGGAGTCAAGACATGCATACATAATCTTATTCAATGCTCTTCCCAAAGGACTGTGTAGTCCCTTAGTGTGCAAATCACCCACGTTTTACAAACAAGTATTTTAGATAAAATTTGAGTTTTGATTGTTATACCTCCCTAAAACTTTATGAAAGCAGCTGAGATTTCAAATCTTTTTTACTTCTAGTTTCTTGCTTTTAGTTGTTAATCACAAGGAGAGATATTGTGTTTTGTTTCACTTGAGTCATTGCCATGTAGATTACTATATTTCAGGGCTAATTTATCACATTCTCAAGCTCATGAATAATAAGTATTCCCATAAGTTATATATTTTACATACTAGACTTAAGCAATGACATGAAATGGAATGACACAAAATCTATTTTTGAAAAAGCTACTCTGAAGATAATAGCATAAAAATCCTAGCTTCTAACAAATCATCAAATTATATGTAAACAACTCAAAAGTGAAATCATGCTGTTAAATGTCCAAGAAAGTTGTATTAGGAAAATAAAATGTCTAATGAAACTAGTTTCTAATTCTTCACTTTGCAAATTAATAGAACAGACTCAAAAAGGAGCCCATTCATTCCACAAAATGACCTTTTTCTAGGCTAGAAATACTAATGTATTAGTGTAACTTAATACACTATTATTAGGCATATTAAAAGTGGTAAAAAGCTAAAGATATACAAACAAACCTCTACCTAAAATGTCATAATTCATGATGTTCTAAAGAAGGTACTTTGATATTAATGAATGTTAGCCAATACAATTCAACAAAAAGCTATACTTAGAAAAAACAAAATCTATATACAAGTGCTAAAGGTTTAACACAAATAATGGGTCAAAAAATGGGCAATCATAAAAATATAGTTGATAAGTGGCTACTGCTTCCCTCTCCTAGGAAAGAATGAAATACCTTAATTTTTCCTGTTTCTTCCGTTGTTTTTCCATGTGTCTAAGAGTTTCCAATCTTGATTCAGGAGTAAACAAACAGGGCTTATTCCAGAATTCCAAGTCATCTTCACTGTTGTCTAATTTCTTTGTGTTGTGTTCCTCTGTGTCTGGTGCCTGTAGGTGGTCTTTGCTCTCTAAAGAGGAACTAGGAAAAACAAATAGAGCACTTAAAAACAATAATGGATTCATGAGCTTCATCCTTAATGCTGGCCCTTTAATATCTATACACTTTTCTTATGTGATCTTCTTACCTTTGAATGACAAAGTGACTCTGAAAGACAGTTTAACCAGGCCTGGTTACCCTGCATGGATATGTAGTGAGATCAACCCAAGGCTGTTAGCACTCATTACATTGAAAGGTTGAATAGGGCAGGCCTTCATCTTCTATCATCAGGAATATTGCTGTAATCAGATTCCAGGGTTCACAGACCTGACTGCTAAGAATCACCTGGGGAGCTTTATAAAAAGTACAGATTCCTGGGCTCTCATCAGAAAGCCTATTCAGTAGATCTGAAGTAGTAGATCTGAAGCCTGGGAATCTGTGTTTTATAATATTTTGCAGGAGATTCTGATGATCAGACAAGAAATCACCCCACTTCTAATCTTGTACCTGTCAATTACACTCTCCACACTACTTCCAGAAGGACTTTTCTAGCAGGCAAATTGGATCACATTATTTCCAGGTTTTTAAATGATTCTCTTATCTCCAAAATTCGCTTGTGGGACCTATGGCACCTTCTTTTTTTTCTTTTTTTTTTGAGACGGAGTCTCCCTCTGTCGCCCAGGCTGGAGTGCAGTGGCCAGTGGTCTCTGCTCACCGCAAGCTCCGCCTCTCGGGTTCACGCCATTCTCCTGCCTCAGCCTCCTGAGTAGCTGGGACTACAGGCGCCTGCCACCACACCCGGCTAATTTTTTGTATTTTTAGTAGAGATGAGGTTTCACCGTGTTAGCCAGGATGGTCTCAATCTCCTGACCTCATGATCCACCCGCCTCGGCCTCCCAAAGCGCTGGCATTACAGGCATGAGCCACCGCACCCAGCCGGCACTTTTTATATTATGGCCTGTGTCTAGTTTATTTTTCATGGATAACTTCTGATTATGTAGCTTTACATGGTAACAGTTCTCTCTTCCCTTTTATTCATGTTTTGTGGACTGTCAGAGAATTAAACAACGTCTCTGTATGTCATCAAATGGGTATTATATGAGATATTCAACATTTGTTCAACATGGATCCAAAATATATTTATTTATTAAGCATCTTCTGTTGTGCCAGGCACCAGAGATACAACCCTGGCCTACATAAACCACGATGCTACTTTCAGGAGATTCTATTCTTGTGGCAAGAAAATGACATCATTTAAGCGATAAACATTAGGTACAGTCTCTCTCCCCTCACCTCTCCCTAGAATAGACACTTTATTAGATGACATCAAATGAAAAAAATTACATGAAGCCTTTAATACAACTACAGCAAATAGTAGGTACTCAATACATGTTGGGTTTTGTTAATGAATGAGGTGACAAGAAAGGCTTCTTTAGCTGATCTTCAAACTAAAGATATTTTCTTCATTTTGAAAGTATCTTTTCAAATATATTTTCTTTATTTTGAAAATATTGTGAAAGATACTTTTCAAAGGGATGAACTGAAAATACTAGAACATGAAATTTAAGTAGCATCAATAGAATATAGAGTAAAATTCTGCTTAGATTCTTTGCAGATACAATGCAACTAAATATTTTAATAAGCAAAATAATGCAAATTGCTGAAAATAAATAAATTGCTTTGCTATACAGCTACAGTTCTTTATGGTATTGAAAGAATAATCTATGAAGGGTATCTATAATATTCTACAATATTCTATATAATTGCCACTGAAATAATTGGTTCCATTCTCATTTAACCATTTAAATTATATTTTTCCTGGAAAGTGACTAATTGGTTCAATCTGGCCTTTTGCAATCTAAAATAATAATTATAAAAACATAAAAATAACAGTACTTAAGAAATTTATCAGAGATATGAGCTAAATAACATAAGTCTCCAAGGCAAAATGCATATAAATGTGTGTAACTGGTTGATGAAACAGAGTGAGCTCATTAGTGTATGATCAAAAAAACTTTCTCTTCAACCATTGCCTTCAAACCTGCTCTCTCAGAACTCTCTTCCCATCCATAAGCAGATCCCACAGCTGTAGAGTCACTTTTAAGAGCAGCATGATCTCAGCTAAACATTCATTTTCAGGTACTAAAGGGTCTAAAGTTTAAATAAAAGTTCAGACCTAAATTTCAAATCGAAGCCATTCCCTCCCCCTCCAACCCATTCTCTCTCCTGGCCCTGTTCCAGATTGGGGTGTGCACGGGAAGAGGGACACCCTCTCGTTCTACTTTTCATTGTCATCCATTCCTTCCTCTGAATCCCATACTACTGGGCCTCTTAGGTTCAGAGTCTTCCTGCCTTGAGAATTTGGGGCTTGGGAAGATGAATGAGGAGAAGAATGTGAACATGCTTATATGACCACTCCTATTATAACCTGGCTGCTGCTACCCTCGCTGGGACCAATATCCAGATACTGGTTTCTCTTCCTGCAAGCACCTTTGTCATTCTTGGAGACACTACAAGAGTCCTCCAAGTGTACTGTTCACTGTAGAGGTGGTCAATATACTTCCTGGCTCCTTTTGTGATAAATCCCCAGCTTCTGCCACTGATAATCCACCCCCTAGTGACTTATTGCTGCTGTCCTCTTGGACAGCATCTCTTCAAGACAGCTCAAACCCAGCCCCTTCTACCATGTCTACTTGTTCTATAAAATATTCACAAATCTGGCTGGGTGGGGTGGCTCACGCCTGTAATCCCAGCACTTTGGGAGGCCGAGGTGGGCAAATCATGAGGTCAGAAGTTAGAGACCAGCCTGACCAACATGGTGAAACCCCATCTCCACTAAAGATACAAAAATTACTCGGGCATGGTGGCACACACCTGTAATCCCAGCTACTCAGGAGGCTGAGGCAAAAGAATCGCTTGAACCCAGGAGGCAGAGATTGCGGTGAGCCGAGATTGCGCCATTGCACTCCAGCCTGGGTGACAGAGTGAGACTCCATCTCAAAAAAAAAAAAGATATTCACAAATCCTTGCCATGTGAAGTGTGAGCTGTTTCCATTAATACCTTCTTCCCTGATCCCTCTGCTTTAGGCTGCTCCAGGCCACTTTCTATCTTTTCAATTCTCCAGGCTGGAGGCAGGCTCTACCTAGTCAAGAGGTAGATGTTCATCTCCCTTTCTTGCAGCCTCTAATTCTCTGTAGTGTTTCTTCTTGAAGCCTTGAGAGGGGAGTAACCTCCTACTCCTCCCCAACTAATTCAATGATTCAGGATTTCAATGATTCTCTCCAGAATGTCTACGTTTCTGTTCAAATAGGCTAAATAGGGTGAGAATGATGAAGACTCAAGGATCAGCCAGGCCTATAAGGGAGGCAAGAAGGCACCTGCAAGAAACCCCACTGTAAGCTTCTACTAAAGTACAAGGAACAGACCATTTTAACTTTTGTAAATTTTTATAAACCAAGGATAGTAAATTATCTCCAAGATATTGTATGTGCCTATTACATAACTTTGATGCAAAACACCAGGAAAAAATACAATCAGACAAGGATATTATAGCATAAACTCACTTATGAACACAGGTTCAAATATTATAAATATTAGCAAAATCAATGGAGCAATGCATTAGCAAATAATCATGGACAAAGGATGTTTATCCTAGAAACTCAAGGATGGTTTAATATTAGAAATTCTATTAATGTAATTCAACACAGTAACAGAAAAACACTATTGTCTCCATAGATTAAAGGAAAGCATTTAATAAGAATCAATATAATGCATGTGATGATAAAAGCTTTTCATCAACTGAGAATAGAAGGAAGCTTACTTAACATGACCCAAAATCCCATAGCAAACATTATACTTAATGATGAGAAATTGCACACATTCTTTTTAAAGTCAGAAACAAGATAACAAGATACAGATACCCATTCTCTTTTTTTTTTTCTTTTTTTTTTTTAAGACGGAGTCTCGCCCTGTTGCCCAGGCTGGAGTGCAGTGGCCCAATCTCGGCTCACTGCAAGCTCCGCCTCCTGGGTTCATGCCATTCTCCGGCCTCAACCTCCCGAGTAGCTGGGACTACAGGCGCCTGCCACCACACCTGGCTAATTTTTTGTATTTTTAGTAGAGACGGGGTTTCACCATGTTAGCCAGGATGGTCTCAATCTCCTGACCTCGTGATCCGCCCATCTCAGCCTCCCAAAGTGCTGAGATTACAGGCATGAGCCACTGCGCCCGGCCCAGATACCCATTCTTAACGCTACTATTCCACTCCATACTGGAGGCCTTTGCAGGCACCATGAAGAAAATAAAGTAGAAGGAGAGGGACAGGAAAAAAATTTTCAAGTTACTCCTTACAAACAATTGTTTTTCCAACTAGAAAATGCAGGATTGCCTCTTTTATAAAGGTTAGCAAGATTAACACAATATCAGTATACAGAAATAATTTGTCCCTTTAAATATCAGCAAAACCAATTACATCTATTTTTAAAATCTCATTCTACAAGATACTTAGAAATAAATACAATGAAAGATGGTTTAAGACTTTTACAGAGAAAATTTAAAACCTCATTGAAGGACTCAGAAGAAGATCTAAATAAATAGAGCTCTTCCAAGGTTCAGCAAGGAAAGAATCAATGTCATGAAGATGTCAACTTTCCCTCAATTAACATATAAATTAAATGTAATTTCAATCAAAATTCCACTAGGGATTTTTAAGGAATTTGATTAGCAGCGGATTCTAAAACTCATACAGACAAGTAAAGAACTAAAAATAGCCAAGATAACTTTGAAAAATGAGAATATCTCCTACCAAATATCAAGATATGCTATAAATCTATACAAATTAAAACCAGGCAGATGTACTCCTATGGAACAGTCTAGAGAGCTCAGAGATGAACCCATGAATACATGGTTAGAAGGGATATAGTAAGGGTAGCATTTCAGATCAGTGGGAAAAGAATAGCACCTTAATCAATGGTGCAGACAATTAGCTACCCATATGAAAAACAATTAGTACCCTACCCTATACATTGGCAAAGGTTAATTCCAGATGAAAAGATACAAACAGATATGGCACTGGGATAAAGAAGAATTCCATAAACAAGACAAAAATGTACAAATAAGTTTAACTACATTAATATTTTTAAACTTCATAAAACATAAGCACTTATAATTAAAGACAAGTCACAGACTGGTAGAAGACACTTGTAAAGCACATAACCACCAAAGAATGTATTTTTTTATTTGTATCCAGAATCTAAAAGAACTCTCAATAAGAAAAAAACTTAACTACTTATTTAAAATAAGTAGGGGACTTGAATAGAGGATACCTGAATAACCAATAAACATATAAAAGATATTTAAAATATTCAAATTCACTAGTAACTACAGAAATGCAAATTAATTTTTTTAAAAATAGAGGATACTATATACTACACAACACACTTGATTGGCCAATATTTTTAAATATCATATTATCCAGTATTGGCAAAGACTGAAAACTCTTGTATATTGTTGATATATGAGTATAAATTATCACAACTACTCTAGAAAACAATTTGGCAATATGTAAAAAGTTGAAAAGATGTCATAATTGTAGCAATGCCATTGCTAAATACCCTGGAGAAACTTTCATACCTGAACAAGGAGACAAGGGCAACATTGCTTGAATATCTCAACAAATGTTCAACATGGATTCAATAAATATTTATTGGGCATCTTCTGTTGTGCCAGGCACCAGAGATACAGCCCTGGCAAAGAGAGACCATGATGCTACTTTCAGGAGATTCTATTCCTGTGAGAATAGGAAATGGGAATAGGGAAAACAACGTGCATGGCCATCCAAAGAGGGATGGCTGTGTCCAGGCTGACCAGCTGGCACCACTAGGAAGACCACATGTGTTGTTAGAGCCGCTGCACATTCTGATGGGTCAGGGCAAATGAAACACTGGTCATTAACTACTTTGAATATTACCTCTGGGATAAATTGTAATTTATTCATCCAACAGGATATTATTCTATACTTACAATGAATTAGTTTTGCATGTCTTCATGTGCGTAAATCTCAAAAACATAATGTTGCATGAAAAGCAAAGCTATAGAAAGGTATCATTCATGCTAAACACACATACTCAAACTACTATTGTTTAAGGAGGCATACTTGTGAAATAAGGGTATTAAAAATATGGATGGGATCAACATATATCAAACACGCACCAGCTTCAGGATAGCAGACGCCACTGGGATGAAGAGAGGCATGGGATGAAGGGGAAGTCTTTAAGGAGTGTCTGCTCTCTTAATGATATTTTATTTCTTATTTAAAAAAAGATCCATCATTCTCAGCAAACTATTGCAAGGACAAAAAACCAAACACCGCATGTTCTCACTCATAGGTGGGAATTGAACAATGAGAACACATGGACACAGGAAGGGGAACATCACACACCGGGGCCTGTTGTGGGGTTGGGGGAGTGGGGAGGGATAGCATTAGGAGATATACCTAATGTTAAATGAAGAATTAATGGGTGCAGCACACCAACATGGCACATGTATACATATGTAACAAACCTGCACGTTGTGCACATGTACTCTAAAACTTAAAGTATAATTTAAAAAAAAGTAAAAAAAAAAAAGATCCAAAGCAAACATACAAACTATTGTCATTTATTAAATCTAGGTGGTAGAACTACAAGCTGCCTATATAACTATTTTCAAACATTTATGTATGTCTGCAATATTTTATAATTATTATTTTCTCAATTTTAAGGGATTCTGTTATCTAAATACTTAATACTTTCACTGTATGGAATCAAATCAACTGACTATAGTTGCAATTCACTTAAAATAAACAAACATGAAAAATTTAATTTTTAAAAAACCAATTAGAGAGTTATTAATCACATTAAAAATGTATTCAGTATTTTTCTGAAATCTATTCCAATTCAGAAAATAGAATGTTTTATGATGCAATTAGAATTATTCAAATTATAATGTGATTTGTATTTAACTTTTCTAAAATATTCCTAGTTCGTAAATCAAAGTACACCTGTTAATTCATCTTTTCTGTACACATTTTACGGATTTCTCTGAGAATAATTTTAGATGCAAATTAAAGTTGCTAGTTTAAAAAGGAATTTTTCCCCCAAGGAAAGAAAGCCTTACAGAATTGTCACAAGCAATGGGATGCTCATATTCTTCCATCCAAAATTCACATCATATTTCATTCTTCAAATTAATCTGGAATATAAGTGTACTGCAAACAACTTGGAAAGAGAATACAGTTTGCTGCTTTTAACAAAAGTTAACTAGAAAGTAAACTAATAATTTACATACAGAGTAGCATTGATGTCTGTGTACCAACGTCCATCAAAGCCTGCGTTACTTCTCTTGTCTTCATTTTTATCCTCTTCTTGGTGTTTCCTCTGAGCCTCTTCCTTGAGTTTGGCTCGTTTAAGACAGTGATCTTTTTCCTGCTCTCTGATTTGTGGTTCAATTACTGAATAGTCCTGCAATGCCTTAATCCTTTCTGAAGGCTCTATTTCTTTACCATCCAACCACTTAAAGAAAAACAATAAATATAGTACAATTGTTCAAAAGTAGCAGTGTGAATCAGCCCCAGGTTGATTTTGATTAGAAATAATAATATACCCGATAGTGATAGAGAATTAAAACAATATAATTAATGGGAAATATCAGAACATTGTTCTAAATTAATGTATATTTCATATAATTTACACAGTTTAAAAAATACCTTTACTAGTAATAATAATAATTAGGTCTGTTAAAACTGATAATTAATACAAGCTCTCAAAATATTTTCTATTAATTTTATAATTGCTCACTATGTCAAAAATGTCAATGCTTAAGTCAAATCATAGCTTCAAAGTACAACAATGGCACTTCCCAAAAGCTCTCTACAGAAAAAAAAGGCCTTGAATATTACACATGATTGGGCTCTAATACAAATGAGCCCATGTTTCACCCTTAACAACAAGACAAACAGATAGGCTATTGTTACAGCATTGTTTACATCTGATACTTCAATTATGATTTTCCAAAGTAAAATATTAAAATAAAAGCATCAACTAAAGTTCTAAAATGTTAAAGCTAACAGTTTAAAGATACCTATTTATCTACCCTGCCTTATTCTGCAAAATGAGGTGAGGTATTTAGGAAGGGGTGGTTGGAAGATAATGGTTCCCCAAGAATGTCCATGTTCTAATCTCCATGAATGTTACCTTACATGGCAAAAGGGGCTTTACAGGTGTGATTAGGTTAAGGATCTTGAATGATCAGGATGATTCTTATAAGGACCACAGAGGTCCTTATAAGTAAAAGAGAAAGACATGAGTGTCAGAGTTAGGGAGAGAGGTAAAGTTGGCACACTGATGTCTTTGGAGATGGAGGAAGAGGCCATGAGCCTAAAAATGCAGGTATCCTCTAGAAGCTGAAAGGGGCAAAGTAAGGGATTCTCTCCTAGAGCCTGAAGAAAGAATAACCCTGCCAACACCTTCATTTTAGCCCAGTGAAACCATTTCAGGCTTTTGATCTCCAGAATCATAAGGTGATACATTTGCATTGTTTTAAGTCACTAAGTTTGTCTCAATTTGTTACAGCAGCAATAAGAAACATAAAAAAGGAAAAAAAAATACACACAAAGATTTAGTCAAATATAAATTAAAAAATTATTAGAATCAGCTGAATTATAAGTCAAAATTATGTAGAGATTTGGAAAAAAGATAATGCCACATATGCTCTGGTCATAAGGACTCATATGGTTGCTATAGATGGGCTGCAGATTTGGTTCTGAGCTTCTTGGCAGCCAAAGCGAAATAGAAAAACATAACTAGTTACACAATTTTCATGGTCTTTAAGGAAAAAATAAAGTTTGTAGCTTTCCTCTAACATGCAGCTCTAAAACACATTTCTAGCACAGAGTTTCATAATGGAGATATTGAGAGATGTCAAGCATTGTTTCTGTAGAAATATGGCCATACAGTCACAGGTTTCATAAGGCTGTTTCTTGTAGTATCCTTCAATAAAGGTATCTTCATACCATTACTTATGAGACCATAATGATAAATTCAATGCAATAAAACCTATTATTTAAGGCATTAAGTAATTGTGGTCCACATACTTAATTTGATCTAATTTAATACAGGATTGGGATCAAATCAATTTGGAAATTTTTGGATAAATGAAATTTACTTATTTTGTAAGTATATATAAGTAAATACACTGATATAAATATATGAATCAACATAAAAGTAAATATATTTATATATAACTAATACTATATAAATAAAGCACTTTCATAAATTTCTGTTAAGTCATCCAGTTTGTGGCACTTTGTTATATTAATTTATATAGTATAATTTATATATAAATATATATTAACATAAATACATTATATATAACTGTATATTATAACAAGCTAGAAAACTCTAGATAATTTCTTTCAACTAGGATTTCTTCCCAACAGAACCCTGGGGAGCAAGGTGATCTTTTCTTCCTTGTAATTGAAGTACATTAATTGATTGATTGATTGATTGATTTCTGTCTTATAAATGATGTAAGTCTATTTTGATTTAATTAGAACTACATTCCTAAAAGGCTATGACAACTGAACCCTCTGTCACTTTACTGACAGGAGGCAAAAGACCTCATATTAATAACTGATGACAAATTTGGGACTGTACCCCAGCACCTATTCTAGGAACCTCACTTTTTTAGTGATTTCTGTTAGTCTTTGAAATTGGCCCACATTTCCTTCAATCCAAAATCATGTCTGAGTTTAGAAGGCCTAAGAATCAGAGATCCAGTTTTAAGCTGAGCGTTTCTTGATCTTTCTTCACCCAGGATTCCTGCAGCACAAAGGTGGAGTGTCCACACTTATTGATAATAACTGTGCAAGTGCTGAAGCAGAGAGAGGGACACTAAGATGTACTGAAGGCCTCACAGAACTCCCTTGAAGTAGGAATTATGATCCTACTATACATGAGTAAAATGAGGCACACAATTCACAGGCAGTGGAAGCAGGGGTCAGACCTTGGTTTGTCTGCTAACAAATCTGTTTCCCACTATACTGCAGGGCCCACCTACTTCTGGAGTGGCTCAGACACTGGGAAGAAAAACCTTGAAAAGGGCTGACTCTCCTCACACCTCTTCTATGTGACTATCTAAAATAACTACTCTGTTGTTTTGGGTTGAATTGACAAAAAAAGATGTTGAAGTCCTAATCCCCAGTAGCTCAAATCATGGACTTTTGGGAAATAGGGTTATTATAGATGTCCCCTGACAAAAAAAGATGTTGAAGTCCTAACCCCCAGTAGCTCAAATCAGGGACTTTCTGGAAACAGGGTCACTATGGATATAATTCACTGAGACTAAATTATCCTGGAGCAGGTGGGCCCCAAGCCAATATGACTGGTGTCTTTATAAAGAGTCTTGTGAAGAGGAAGGCAGAGACCCTCAGGGTAATGTGTCTACAAGCTCAAGAATGCCAAAGATTGGCCAGCAAATCAGCAGAAGCTAGGAGGGAGGGCATGAAGCAGATTCTCCCTCGCAGCCCCTGGAAGGAACCAGTCCCGTCAACATCTTGAACTTGAACGTCTGGCCTTCAGAACTACAAGATGATACATTTCTGTTGTCTAAGCCATCTAGTTTGCAGTACTTTGTTACAGCAGCCCTAGGAAAATAATACATTTATTAACACAATTCCTTTTAAGCAGCTCACAAGCTTTCAATGAAATGGTAATTAAGACTCTAAAGCATATCAACCTATTTTTACATAGTAGTAAACATATGAATACCATTTTTCAAAAAGGGGCTGTTTTCTATTGAAGCAGTTAATTTGGAGAAGTCTTTCTGAAAGGAAAGACTTGATCCAAAGCCTATAATTTAACCCGGAGAGAAGCAGTGAATGTGGGTATAGTGTGAATGGTGGAGGCATCAAGGTCCGACTCACATAGGTTCAGATCCCACCTGTGTCACTTGCCAGATATGTCAGCCTAAACAAGCAGTGTTCATTCCCTGAGCCCTGACTTCCTCATCTCTGAATGTACCTAATTGTCTCCCTGAATGGGTCTGGGAGGATCAAAAACACTGTGCCCAAAGTACCTGGCACAACCTCTGACCCTGTCTGCAGCAGCCATATGATGGCTCTCACACCTCTAGCCTGACCAGGCTCAGCTGCAGCACTGACACAGGCTCAGCTGCGGTGGCCATGAGGACTCCTGGACCCTTAGCCCTTCCAAGGGAACGGCTCACAGCATTACACTACAAGATCTAGTCCTATGATAGTCTGGGTCTCATCAGTTCATTTTCTAGGAAATCACTGTATAATAATGATCAGTTTAGGTTATGTATGAGACAATTTATCATTTATTCTATATTCAATTACTTGAATCACTCATTCTCTTAATCTGAGAAATTTTACATTAGAAGAAATGTGTTCCATTAATCCAGCAGTCAGCAGTCTCTTGACTGCAGAGAACACAGAAGTCTAAGAAACAAACGTCCTTTGAGAACTGAAAAAATGCCTATTGAACAGGCGATGTATCCATGCATTCTCTTTCCAGGAACATGGAGCCACATGCAGGCTGGGAACTCTTAGAATTACATGAAACGTAACATTGCTATCTTAATATTCTCTGTTGTATGATTTCTCAAGAAATAATATTTTTTCCTCAGTTCTAAAATTACTCGATTGGGGGGATATGGTATAAGAGTAACATACGCAGTAGTGGTTGTCAAATGAGGTTCCTGCACCAGCAGCAGAATTACCAGATTTTGTTAGAAATGTGAAATCTCAGGCCCCATGTCAGACCTGACCCAGAAACCCTGGGGGAGGAGCACAGCAGTCTGTGTTTTGAAAAGGCCTCCACGTGCTCTGATGCACACCAAAGACTGTGAACCTGCCGGGCACGGTGGCTCATGCCTGTAATCCCAGCACTTTGGGAGGCCGAGGCAGGTGGATCACCTGAGGTCAGGAGTTCAAGACCAGCCTGGCCAACATGGTGAAACCACATCTCTACTAAAAATACAAAAGTAGGCAGACATGGTGGCACATGCCTGTAATCCCAGCTACTTGGGAAGCTGAGGCAGGACAATCACTTGAACCTGGTAGGCAGAGTTTGCAGTGAGCCGAGATCGTGCCACTGCACTCCAGCCTGGGTGACAGAGTGAGACTCCATCTCAAAAAAAAAAAAAACAAGTAATAATGAATTCTTATCAGTAATGATGAATGTTCTTCGTAACTATGATTTGAACTCATTGAGAAAAAGTCAAATTAAGTTCTGTGTGTTTTGGATGAGAAAGGTGAAAAGTATGCAATTTATTTTTCAGGGATTTATTAAAACTATTCAAACAATATTAAAGGTCTAGCCATTCAAATAATTACTTTGGGCTCTCTGGAATATTCCATTATCTGAAGCAACACATTCACTGTTGCTGCCAGTAAAGCAGGAATTATTGTAGTTGCTCATGCTCATTTATCTGTGATTTCTGCACCATTAAAAGAACCATACCTTTAATTGTGGAAGAGTTGCTACCACGAACTCCCTATAGTGGTCAAAGGAAGCACATGGGTTCCCCATGAGAAAGAGCTCCTTCAGATGGATATTGTGCTGCAAGTTTTTAATGCTGCTCAGCTCTCCAATGAAATTCACAGTCAGGTCAAGTTTTGCCAGCTCTTCACATCCTGTTGAGAAAAATAAAGTGAAAACAAAGCAAACAAAGAAAAATCACACTGGTAACAAAACGTGTGTAACATCACATAACAGAAGTAACAGTTGTAGTATTTTCAGTCTGCTGATTTATTGCATTGCTCACCATGAAGTGATTCTTCAGAAATATCAACTCAAAGGCTTCATCTTAACTCATTTTTCTATCTCTGTCTCTCCTTATTTTCACCGTCTGAGTCCTTCCAGCCAGGGGAAATCACTTTCCCTGCTCACACTTACAAGGCTGGTTAATTTTTCTGATTTGGTCACTATCTGGCATGAAAAAAGGAAAAGTAAAAGCTGCTACTATACTTTTCCAGTGGATGCTACCTCAGAACAAAACTCCTACTACAGAGGGCACCTGGAACCTGTCCTCTTGAGTTTTAGCAGGTAGGTGGGACATATTTCATCTTGGAGGGTGATAGTGGAAAGATTCTCCAAAAAGAAAGGCATTTCATAAAACCAGCGCATCCAAACCAATATTTGCAAAGTCACCTAGCAGAGAGAGAATGGCTCTAAGGCCACCAAGAACTGAACTGAAGGTATTAACAAAAGTGAAGAATAAGACGTTTTGATGTTCAAAGGAATAATAGAAAAAGGGTGAGTCACTGAAGTAGGGTTTTATAGTAAATCTGACCCATCCACCTTCATTACAGAGATAGCCAGATGCTATAGAAACTTGAATGGAATCTAAATTTGAATTTGAATTAATCCCCTCATTCACATTCCATGCAAATTTGGAGGCTAGGAGTCCAGACTTGGGAATTAGACAGATACAAGTTCAAGTGCTTCCTCTACCTCATCCTTGCTAATGTGACCTTGGGTAAGTTACAAGCTTCAGCCTGCTCATCTATAGAATTATAATAGTATTGGTACCAGAGTCAGAAGTTGCGAAGATAATATACGATGACTCATGTAAAGCGCTTAGCATAATGCTTGCCACCTAGAGTGTCAGTAAACATGAGCTATGATTAGAATAGCTCAATGAGCACTCTAATTACCATATGACTTCTCGGACAATGTACCTATGTGGAAAGAAGCAAGCACAGCTGTCTCATGAGCAGAAACCTTGCAGTTTCTTTCTATGAGCTAAGAAGAGTTGACCTAGTTTATGCAGCAGCCTTTGGGGGCTTGGTTCAATATAAGATTATCTCTCCCTATGACTGCCTCATGCCTGTGGGATTAACATGGCAGATTTTGCAACCTCCAATGTCTAGAAAGCCTTCCCCAGCTAATACCCCAGGTCCACCTTGTTCTGCATTTATGTCTTCAAAGTTCTACACACCCTTCCATTATCATTTCTTATTATATACTTTTTTGTAATTTTTCTGTGGCTATATAAATTTAGAGTGAATTTTGGTTCCTGATAGATTAACGTCACCAATATGAATTTGATTCAGATTGGTTCATAGCTATGCAACTGTATCACCTTTGGTGAGGTTTCCTCAATTCTGAAGGCTATATAATGGAACCAACTTCACTAAATGATGGTGTTCTCTCCGTGTTCCTAGATCCTATCACCTGACTCAATCTTGTCCAGAATTCCACGTTTTCCTCTTATTAAGTCAGATCCCAAGCCAATCTCCTCCAAATAAGTTACCTCTATCTTAGAACTTCCAGATATAGCACCTCTCTATATCCACCCATCCATTCATCCACCCATATAGGAGTTACAGGTTGCCTGCTAACATAGATGTTGCTGAGCAAGCTCTTTAGGATAAACTGATAAAAAAAAAAAATCATGGTCCCTGAGTTCACATTTATGTCTAACATAGAGAAAAGATAAAACGAGAAAAAAATACAAGGAAAAGAAAATTAAATGTGCAAACACAGAATCCAGAAGTAGGCAATGCCCATTAGACATTGTAAGCTACCCTAAACCTATATTCATTCAAGCCATTGTTTCTGGCATTCTACAAGATTTGCTTCTCTAAAGGTTACCAAAAACCATGATATTAGCAAGTCTAATAGACCTTCTTCAACCCACTTTTCACTAGAACAATCTGCTGCATATGGCACAATTTATCATGAATTATCTCTTAAAATTCTCAGCCATCTTGGTAACAGCGATACTACTCTCTCCTTGTTCTCCTTATACTGTAGTCTGTTCCTCTTCATCTCTTTTATAAACTTCTCTATACCTTCAATGGTGATATATCCCAGAGTTCCACCCTTGGCCCAGTATTTTCTGTCATCATCTTCTTGATGACAACAGTCATGGTTATTGGTTTAACTAACCCCAGATTCTGATGATTTCCAAATGATAACCCACTATCTGAATCTCGTACTCCTATTTCCAAATGTCTGCAAGACATATTACATTCAACATGTTCAAAATGGAATTCTCCCTATTTCCTCTTATTCTCCATTCCTCAACACAGCTTCTCTGCCTTGTTTATGTCTAAACTCTTTTAATACCATCATTATTTTGGTTTTAGACATGAATTTGATACATCTAAGGGTCAAGTCATAAATTTAAAAGTTAAATTACTCTCTTAACTTCTTCATGTCATTAACCAAGCCCCAGAGACCTTAACTCCTAAATTTTATCATATATTTCCTGTCTACTATAATCCTATTATCCATACCCCAGGTTCTTATCACCTTTTGCAACAAAATACATTAATAATCTCCTTATAAACTGATTATATCCAAGAATATAAACAGTTTGAAAGAAGGAAAGAATAGATAAAAGTAGGAAAAGAAAAGAGGAGTCTGGAACGTCTTGATGTACCACTAAGCAAGAAAGTACTCAAAGAAAGATAAGAACATTTTAAAACATCAGAAGAGTCTACTTGGAAGGGTTTCTGTAGCCAAACCTGGGACACTTTGATCATTAAACTAAATAATAGTGGTAACATTGTTCATTGAATAAAACAAGAATCCATGAGTTCATGCCAATATAAGAAATACAAATAAATTGGGGGAGAAGGCAAAGTTTTTTCTTAAAGTAGAATGTCATCTAATAAATATAAAAGGAATGATGGAATGAAAACAAGTCATTAGAATGTTAAAACCAGTGCATGGAAGTATGATGAGGAATAGGATATTTACATAATGTTCAAGTATCTTCCCACAAATTACTCATTAGTTAAAAGTGAAATATAGTAATGTTACAGTAGAGAAACCTGGTAGACATTGTCTTTTCTTTGGTTCCTTTTATGGTCATCAGATACTCTCTAACATACGTATTGTTTCATTTTAATTTTGTGTACATCCTTTGTCATACTTGATGTTCTTCTTTTTTTGTTTGAGTGTTTATGACCTGTCTTCCCCATTAGAACTTAAGCTCCATGAAGAGGGGAAGATTGGCTTGTTAATTACTTTATCTCCCACACATAAAAGATTCCTTGGCGTGAGATAGAAGGTCAAGAAATACTTGTAGAAGAAATGAAGAGATGGGAGGAGGAAGAGAGGGAAGGAGAAAAGAAAGAATGAGGGAGAAAGACAAAGAAGGAAAATGGGTAAGTGCAGCAGATAAGTCAACAGGTAGATTAGTTAGTTGGCTCAGGTGAAAACTAAAGGACAGACAACTTTAAAGATAATTGAGCAACTGAGGGAAAAAATGGAATTGACAAGACTGAGTATAGGTGACTATTATAGTTGGACATTAAATTCTAGTAAGTATAATTACATGATATAAAATAAATAAGCACATGTAGGAAGAGACTCAATGTAGAAAAATGGTTAAGCAAACTCTAATACATCTATTCAATGTTTAATGTTATAAGGACATTTAAAATGATGGTTATGAAAACGATCACAGCATGGAGGAGGAGAGCTTATGATATAATGAAAATGGAAAAAGTAAGATATAACATCACCCATGTGCTAAAATTACAACAATGTAAAAGACAGAAAAAATAAATATAGCAAAATGATAATAGCAATGGTGGAATTAAGATTAAACATCATTCTATTTTTCAAAATTTTGCAACATGGTTAGAGTTGAGAATTTTTTAAAGTATATAAATACAGAAAATACATGAAACTCATAGAAAACTAAGATATAAGTTAGCATAATTTTCTCAAATGTTGTAAGTATGCTCCAGGTATATAATATGCTTATTAACTACATGGCTAATATTTATTTGCTGTTTACTATATTCAGCTCTTCCATACACATTATTTTATTCAATCCTAACATCATGCTTATGAGAGAAATATCACAATTACTATCTTTATTTGAAGGTCAGATAGCTCAGTGTGGGCACTTGGCTCTGAGATGCCCATCATGTGCACTCATGCTATTTCTCATGGAGAGATGGCATCGAATCCTTCTCCTTCTCTCTGCATTGGGGCTGGCCCCAGGAACTTGCCTGACCAACAGACTGTGGAACCAGTGAAGCTCTGGGGCTGCCTAGATGTCTGAAATGCTCACACTGGAAGGATTGCCCTGCAAATAATTGCTCTGGGACATGTCAGAAGCCAGATCAAGTGTCTGGCTACCTTGACTCCACCACGCTCAGAGACCCTAAGCCACCTGGAGAATCGTAAAGGCAGTGAGAGAGAACAAAATCTGCTTCTGTGGAAAGAAACACGCCCAGAAGCAGCTCCAGATGGTAACTGAAGCAACCATCTTGGAGGTGGATCCTCTAGCAATGGCTGCTTCCGGAATCTATCTGGCAACAGATACTTGCAACTGCAACGCAAATGAGCTAAGGAATTACCAAAGTTTACACAGCTCCTAAATGGATGAGTTGGGATTTGGACCCAGGTTGGCCCACCTGAAGATTCTCTGAACGGATATGTTAGAGCAGCGGTCTCCAACATTTTTGGCACCAGGGACTGGTTTCATGGAAGACCATTTTTCCACGGACGGTGGGGTGGGATGGTTTCAGGATGAAACTGTTTCACCTCAGATCATCAGGCATTAGTTCTCATACGAGCACGCAACCTACATCCCTCGCAAGATCAGTTCACAATAGGGCTCCGCTCCTATGAGGATCTAAAGCAGCAGCTGTTTGGACAGGAGGCGGAGCTCAGGCACTAAAACCCTCTTGGCCCACTGCTCACCTCCTGCTGTCAGCCGGTTCCTAACAGGCCAGAGGTATCGGTTCTCTACCCAGGGTTTGGGGACCCCTGTGCTAGAGAGTCTCTTTGCCAGTGTTAGCCATTTATTATTAAAATATCATCATCATCTTCACCTTAAAATTCTCATGCTACAATTCTGTGGAACACATACTTAAGTCTGTAAGTAAAAGTAGTTGTCACCACCCAGCAGAGGTGTAGCCCAGGACTGACCTGCCTGGAATTCATGACACAGGTGGAGATGGAGAGACCAGCTTGGAAGAAGGCAGGAGGAGGCAGGTAGGATAAGAAAGGCCAGAGATTAGATGTGGGAGAGTTGGGGAGCAAGTGTAATATCCTCTCCCAACACAGTTAATTCAAAAGACCAGTCCCCGTAAATGGGTCCGTATGCCATATTTCATTATGATATCCTGTCAATGTCATATGAAAATACACGGAGGGTGGGTAGGAGAAAATTGAGAACCTTGCAGATGGTGTGAGAGAACAAAATCTGCATCGTCCACATCAGGAAGTCAATAGATGACATCTAAAATAGGAATATCAAGAAACAGCAGATAAGCATGATGTAAGTGCAATACTTGGAGACAAGCATAATATTGAGTGCATTCGTTAGACACTTGTAATAGAAGAAGCAAAGGGAATTGTGAGTAGCTACCTCTAGGCAGTAGGACTTAGAGGTCTGAGGGGATTGACAAGGGACATAAGTATAGCACTGTGACCTTTTGAACTATTATATTACTATGCTAAAAATATAAATTGTGTAACAGATAAATATCCAGAATTTACAAGAACAAATAAATGCTTTTATATATTCTAGATTTTACTATATAGGTGAAAGAAATTCATTAACCTCACATCTTTAAAAATAATTATATAAATGAAAAGGGGAAACAAAATAATTATTTCTATTAAATTAATAAAAACATGGATAATATTAAATACATATATCAGCAAGCCTGTGACATAAGAGTTATACCTTTCAGCATGCAGTCTGTCAATACATAAAATAGGCTTTTAAATTATTCTTTCCTCCATTGCTAGAATTTCATCTGGGGAAAAAAATGTCCCAGCCAAATATCTCAACTGGAAACAGAGGTAACTCATACAAATCTGCTCAGAACAGTTATATTCATAATAACAAACGTAATTAAAAACACCTCCAGCACCAAACAATAAGGTTGCATTTAAAACACATCAATAGGAGGAGGTTTCAAGACGGCCAAATAGGAACAGCTCCAGTCTATAGCTCCCAGCATGAGCGACACAGAAGACAGGTGATTTCTGCATTTCCAACTGAGGTACCGGGTTCATCTCACTGGGGCTTGTTGGACAATGGGTGCAGCTCACGGAGGATTAGCCAAAGCAAGGGGGGCCATCACCTCACTCAGGAAGCACAAGGGGTCAGGGAATTCCCTTTCCTAGGCAAGGGAAGCCATGACCAATGGTACCTGGAAAATTGGGACACTCCCACCCTAATACTGTGCTATTCCAACAGTCTTAGCAAACAGCACACCAGGAGATTATATCCCATGCATGACTTGGAGGGTCCCACGCCCATGGAGCCTCCCTCACTGCTAGCACAGCAGTCTGAGATCGAACTGCAAGGCGGCAGCAAGGCTGGGGGAGGGACGTCCACCATTGCTGAGGCTTGAGTAGGTAAACAAAGCAGCCGGGAAGCTCGAACTGGGTGGAGCCCACCACAGCTCAAGGAGGCCTGCCTGCCTCTGTAGACTCCACCTCTGGGGGCAGGGCATAGTTGAACAAAAGACAGGAGAAACTTCTGCGGACTTAAACGTCCCTGTCTGACAGCTTTGAAGAGAGTAGTGGTCCTCCCAGCATGGAGTTTGAGATCTGAGAATGGACAATCTGCCTCCTCAAGTGGGTCCCTGACCCCTGGGGAGCCCAACTGGGAGGCACCTCCCAGTAGGGGCTGACTGACACCTCATACAGCCAAGTGCCCCTCTGAGACAAAGCTTCCAGAGGTAGGATCAGGCAGCAACATTTGCTGTTCTGCAATATTTGCTGTTTTGCAGCCTCTGCTGGTGATACCCAGGCAAACAGGGTCTGGAGTGGACCTCCAGCAAACTCCAACAGACCTGCAGCTGAGGGTCCTGACTGTTAGAAGGAAAGCTAACAAACAGAAAGGACATCCACACCAAAACCCCATCTGTACGTCACCATCATCAAAGACCAAAGGTAGATAAAACCACAAAGATGGGGAGAAACCAGAGCAGAAAAGCTGAAAATTCTAAAAATCAGAGCGCCTCTTCTCCTCCAAAGGAACGCAGCTCCTCGCCAGCAACGGAACAAAGCTGGACGGAGAATGACTTTAGGCAAAGTGGAGAGAAGAAGGCTTCAGATGATCGGTAATAACAAAATTCTCTGAGCTAAAGGAGGATGTTTGAACCTATCGCAAAGAAGCTAAAAACCTTGAAAAAAAATAGACAAATGGCTAACTAGAATAAACAGCGTAGAGAAGACCTTAAATGACCTGATGGAGCTGACAATCATGGCATGAGAACTAAGTGATGCATGTACAAGCTTCAGTAGCCGATCAAGTGGAAGAAGGGGTATCAGTGACTGAAGATCAAATGAATGAAATGAAGCGAGAAGAGAAGTTTAGAAAAAAAAGAGTAAAAAGAAATGAACAAATCCTCCAAGAAATATGGGACTATGTGAAAAGACCAAATCTACATCTGATTGGTGTACCTGAAAGTAATGGGGAGAATGGAACCAAGTTGGAAAACACTTTTCAGGATATTATCCAGGAGAACTTCCCCAACCTAGCAAGGTAGGACAACATTCAAATCCAGGAAATACAGAGAATGCCACAAAGATAATCCTTGAGAAGAGCAACTCCAGGATACATAATTGTCAGATTCACCAAAGTAGAAATGAAGGAAAAATTGTTAAGGGCAGCCAGAGAGAAAGGTTGGGTTACCCACAAAGGGAACCCATCAGACTAACAGCAGATCTCTCAGTAGAAACTCTACAAGCCAGAAGAGAGTGGGGGCCAATATTCAACATTCTTAAAGAAAAGAATTTTCAACCCAGAATTTCATATCCAGCCAAACTAAGCTTCATAAGTGAAGGAGAAATAAAATCCTTTACAGACAAGCAAATGCTGAGAGATTTTGTCACCACCAGGCCTGCCTTACAAGAGCTCCTGAAGGAAGCACTAAACATGGAAAGGAACAACCGGTACCAGCCACTGCAAAAACATGCCAAATTTTAAAGACCACCAATGCTAGGAAGAAACTACGTCAACTAACAAGCAAAATAACCAGCTAACATCATAATGACAGGATCAAATTCTCACACAACAATATTAGCCTTAAATGTAAATAGGCTAAATTCTCCAATTAAAAGACACAGACTGGCAAATTGGATAAAGAGTCAAGACCCATCAGTGTGCTGTATTCAGGAGACCCATCTCACGTGCAGAGACACACATTGGCTCAAAATAAAGGGATGGAGGAAGATCTACCAAGCAAATGGAAAACAAAACAAAACAAAAAGCAAGGGTTGCAATCCTAGTCTCTGATAAAACAGACTTTAAACCAACAAAGATCAAAAGAGACAAAGAAGGCCATTACATAATGGTAAAGGGATCAATTCAACAAGAAGAGCTAACTATCCTAAATATATATGCACCCAATACAGGAGCACCCAGACTCATAAAGCAAGTCCTTAGAGACCTACAAAGAGACTTAGACTCCCACACAATAATAATGGGAGACTTTAACACCCCACTGTCAACATTAGACAGATCAATGAGACAGAAAGTTAACAAGGATATCCAGGAATTGAACTCAGCTCTGCACCAAGTGGACCTAATAGACATCTACACAACTCTCCACCCCAAATCGACAGAATATACATTCTTCTCAGCACCACATCACCCTTATTCCAAAATTGACCACATAGTTGGAAGTAAAGCACTCCTCAGCAAATGTAAAAGAACAGAAATTATAACAAACTGTCTCTCAGGCCACAGTGCAATCAAACTCGAACTCAAGATTAAGAAATTCACTCAAAACAGCTCAACTACATGGAAACTGAACAACCTGCTCCTGAATAACTACTGGGTACATAACGAAATGAAGGCAGAAATAAAGATGAGAAACCAATGAGAACCAATGAGAAAAAAGAAACCAATGAGAACAAAGACACAACCTAACAGAATCTCTGGGACACATTTAAAGCAGTGTGTAGAGGGAAATTTACAGCACTAAATGACCACAAGAGAAAGCAGAAAGATCTAAAATTGACACCCTAACGTCACAATTAAAAGAACTAGAGAAGCAAGAGCAAATTCAAAAGCTAGCAGAAGGCAAGAAATAACTTAGATCAGAGCAGAACTGAAGGAGACAGAAACACAAAAAACCCTTCAAAAAATCAATGAATCCAGGAGCTGGTTTTTTGAAAAGAGCAACAACATTGATAGACCACTAGCAACACTAATACAGAAGAAAAGAGAGAAGAATCAAATAGATGCAATAAAAAATGATAAAGGGGATATCACCACCGATCCCACAGAAATTCAAACTACCATCAGAGAATACTATAAACACCTCTACGCAAATAAACTAGAAAATCTAGAAGAAATGGATGAATTCCTGGACATATACACCACCCCAAGACTAACCCAGGAAGAAGTTGAATCCCTGAATAGACCAATAACAGGCTCTGAAATTGAGGCAGTAATAGCCTAAAAACCAAAAAAAGTCCAGGACCAGATGGATTCACAGCCGAATTCTATCAGAGGTACAAAGAGGAGCTGGTACCATTCCTTCTGAAACTATTCCAATCAACAGAAGAAGAGGGAATCCTCCCTAACTCATTTTATGAGGCCAGAATCATCCTAATACCAAAGCCTGGCAGAGACACAACAAAAAAAGAGAGTTTCAGGCCAATATCCTTGATTAATATCGATGCAAAAATCCTCAATAAAATACTGGCAAACCGAATCCAGCAGCACATCAAAAAGCTTATCTACCATGATCAAGTGGGCTTCATCCCTGGGATGCAAGGCTGGTTCAACATATGCAAACCGATAAATATAATCCAGCATATAAACACAACCAAAGACAAAAACCACATGATTATCTCAATAGATGCAGAAAAGGCCTTTGACAAAATTCAACAGCCCTTCATGCGAAAAACTCTCAATAAACTAGGTATTGATGAGACGTATCTCAAAATATTAAGAGCTATTTATGACACACGCACAGCCAATATCATACTGAATGGGCAAAAACTGGAAGCATTCCCTTTGAAAACTGGCACAAGACAGGGATGCCCTCTCTCACCACTCCTATTCAATATAGTGTTAGAAGTTCTGGCCAGGGCAATCAGGCAGGAGAAAGAAATAAAGGGTATTCAATTAGGAAAAGAGGAAGTCAAATTGTCCCTGTGTGCAGATGACATGATTGTATATTTAGAAAACCCCATTGTCTCAGCCAAAAATCTCCTTAAGCTGGTAAGCAACTTCAGCAAAGTGTCAGGATAAAAAATCAATGTGCAAAAATCACAAGCATTCTTATACACCAATAACAGACAAACAGAGAGCCAAATCATGAGTGAACTCCCATTCACAATTGCTTCAAAGAGAATAAAATACCTAGGAATCCAACTTACAAGGGATGTGAAGGACCTCTTCAAGGAGAACTACAAACCACTGCTCAACGAAATAAAAGAGGACATAAACAAATGGAAGAACATTCCATGCTCATGGATAGGAAGAGTCGATATCGTGAAAATGGCCATACTGCCCAAGGCAATTTATAGATTCAATGCCATCCCCATCAAGCTACCAATGACTTTCTTCACAGAATTGGAAAAAACTACTTTTTTATGGAACTTTTTTATGGAACCAAAAAAGAGCCCGCATTGCCAAGACAATCCTAAGCAAAAAGAACAAAGCTGGAGGCATCACACTACCTGACTTCAAACTATACTACAAGGCTACAGTAACCAAAACAGCATGGTACTGGTACCAAAACAGAGATATAGACCAATGGAACACAACAGAGCCCTCAGAAATAACACCACACATCTACAACCATCTGATCTTTGACAAACCTGACAAAAACAAGAAATGGGGAAAGGATTCCCTGTTTAATAAATGCTGCTGGGAAAACTGGCTAGCCATATGTAGAAAGCTGAAACTGGATCCCTTCCTTACACCTTAACAAAAATTAATTTGAGATGGATTAAAGACTTAAATGTTAGACCTAAAACCATAAAAACCCTAGAAGAAAACCTAGGCAATACCATTCAGGACATAGGCATGGGCAAGGGCTTTATGACTAAAACACCAAAAGCAATGGCAACAAAAGCCAAAATTGACAAATGGGATCTAATTAAACTAAAGAGCTTTTGCACAGCAAAAGAAACTACCATCAGAGTGAACAGGCAACCTACAAAATGGGAGAAAATTTTTACAATCTACCCATCTGACAAAGGGATAATATCCAGAATCTACAAAGAATTTAAAGAAATTCACAAGAAAAAATCAAATAACCCCATCAACAAGTGGGTGAAGGATATGAACAGACACTTCTCAAAAGAAGACATTTATGCAGCCAACAGACGCATGAAAAAATGCTCATCATCACTGGCCATCAGAGAAATGCAAATCAAAACCACAATGAGATACCATCTCAAACCAGTTAGAATGGCAATCATTAAAACATCAAGAAACAACAGGTGCTGGAGAGGATGTGGAGAAATAGGAACACTTCTACACTGTTAGTGGGACTGTAAACTAGTTCAACCATTGTGGAAGACAGTGTGGTGATTCCTCAAGGATCTAGAACTAGAAATACCATTTGACCCAGCCATCCCATTACTGGGTATATACCCAAAGGATTATAAATCATGCTGCTATAAAGACACATGCATACGTATATTTATTGCAGCACTATTCACAACAGCAAAGACTTGGAACCAACCCAAATGTCCATCAATGATAGACTGGATTAAGAAAATGTGGCACATCAACACCATGGAATACTATGCAGCCATAAAAATGGATGAGTTCATGTCTTTTGTAGGGACATGGATGAAGCTGGAAACCATCATTCTGAGCAAACTATTGCAAAGACAGAAAACCAAACACCGCATGTTCTCACTCACAGGTGGGAATTGAACAATGAGAACACATGGACACAGGGTGGGGAACATCACACACTGGGGCCTGTCATGAGGTGGGGGGAGGGCGGAGGGATAGCACTAGGAGATATACCTAATGTAAATGATGAGTTAATGGGTGCAGCACACCAACATGGCACATGTATACATATGTAACAAACCTGCACATTGTGCACATGTACCCTAGAACTTAAAGTACAATAAAAAATAAAAATAAAAAATAAAACACATTAATAAACTTGACAATGCAGTTGTTAAATTATAAAAATGTAGGCTCAGGCACTATATGAAGGATGTGTACAAAACTATATCTACAAATAAAACAGTCTATATCTCTATGTTTCTATGTTTATTTTACATTGGCAAAAATGACAGATGAATTTTATAAATGTAGAAGATATATTTGGGGTAATCTGACTTAAGATAGGTTAGGTGGCATTTCTTAAGTTTAATTTAGGAGGCTCCGGAAGACATTTTAATTACATTTTTCTTTCATATAAGAAAAGACTGACATTTGAAAGCCTCCAATGAGGTGAAAATGTCATATATCTTTGGATGTTGCTATAATTTTGTAGATAAAAAACCCTCCAAATGTTCATTATATTTTTCAAAGTGTCAAATCTTAATGTCTACTTGGCCTACAATTAAGAAATTAAACTACATTTGTCATCCCAAATATGAACAATTCTTGCCAAACTGGCCAAGCTTGAGAAAATCTCATCTCTGGAGTTCGGCACTGCTTCCTTCAGTGGAGTCCCAGCCTCTATCTCCTGTTCTGTGGAGATCCAGCTCAGTGACCCTCTGGGGTCTAAAAATCTTGGAAATCACCAACACTGACTGCCAAAGGCGGGTGGGGGAGCTCATGCTATGGGAAATTCCACCTCTCCTTCCAGGTTAGGGTAAGGGATGGAAAACAAAAGCACTTTATTCTACCCTGGTGAATCTTCAACAGGAGAAAAAGAAAAAAAAAAGGATACTAGCTATTTTTTTTTTGCCATCCAAGGAAAAACAGTAAAAAGCAAAACGATTTATTTTTACTTAAGCAGGTGGGTTGAAGGTGTACCCCCATCTTCCTCCTCTGTCACCTCAATCCCTTAAAATTAAACAAAAGTACATATTTGCCAGCAGATAGGATGCATTCTCCATTCCCACTATCCCCCTCCACCGCCCTTACCAAACAATCCTCAGGCTACCCTACACCCAGTTCATCCGTGTTAAAGCTGGAAAGCAGAGCACAAAAAGACCTGTTCAGGTAAAAGGCAGGAGGGGGGTTGGCCTGCAGTTTGCCAAGCTCAAAAAGACAATAGTGACGATGCTGCCCTCTAGTGGTACATAAATAAAACAAATCACACAAACAGAACTCATACGGTGTAAGAATACTTACTTCACAAAATTAACAAGCGCTGGACAACCCAGCCAAGAGTCCCAGTTTTAATTATTTCTTTGGCATTTTAGATAGAAACTTCATTACCACAAAACATGGACATACAGTAAATTTTATTATTCCATTTGTTCACAGGAGAACAGGGCCGTAAAACGTTAGCTGGGAGAGAGCAATGACTCCATTTCTAATGCAGAAAAATGCCAATGATGAAAAGCATCATCTTGATCCCAGGACTGAGGCCAGGTTTGATGACTTTGGTAATGGTAATTTTTGAGAATGAAAAATAAAAATATATGATGTAGATTTATGTAATTGTTATTAAAGAATCTTAATAGTCACTGGAATATCCATTTTTACCCTAGTAGGCAAATAGGCTAAAATCCACCATGACCTAAGTAAAGTCCTCCTAATTTCAGCTATTAGCAGATGGCATTGGGGTGGGGAGAGCAGCTTGTCTGCCTCTATTCCATGGCCCTGCACTCTAAAGTGAAGTCTGCTAGTCAGCACGCCCCACCCACTTGCAGAGTACACAGTGGCTCTGCCAGGCAGGCTGAGGCTGGATAGGCAAGCAGAACCTCACAACTGCAGAATAAGTCACACAAGCCACCTAATACACCAAATCCTTTGTGACTGTAATCAGACACCAAATGTTACCAGACATTTAGAGAAAAATAGCACAAGATAGAAGCCTGCAAAATAAAACAGAAACCTCAGATGAAGAAGATAATTCAGGGGATGAAAAAAATTGACAGCAAAAAGTTCTAACAATTATCTCCAAAGAGATTTCGAAGATATCTCATCCATAAAATAAGAATACACACCACAGGAATGACGCAATCAGAACATAGAAGTTTAGAAGAATAAAAAGTATGGCCAAAATTCACATATACACCATGGAATACTATGCAGCCATAAAAAAGGGTGAGTTCATGTCCTTTGCAGGGACATGGATGACGCTGGAAACCATCATTCTCAGCAAACTAACACAAGAACAGAAAACCAAACACCACACGTTCTCACTCATAAGTGGGAATTGAACAATAAGAACACATGGACACAGGGAGGGGAACATCACACACCAGGGCCTGTCGGGGGTTGGGGAGCTAGGGGAGGGATAGCATTAGGAGAAGTACCTAATGTAGATGACGGGTTGATGGGTGCAGCAAACCACCATGGCACGCGTATACCTATGTAACAAGCCTGCATGTTCTGCGCATGTACCCAGAACTTCAAGTATAATAAAAAAAAAGTACGGCCAAAATAAAGAGTTAATTGTAGATGGACTGAACTATAAAATGAACAGGGATGAAAAGAAAATGATTATTTGGAACTTGAATCTGGTGAAATGTTTCAAAATGTACAATATCAAGAAAAATGGATTTAAATAAAAGATGCAGGTCAAAAGGCACAAAAGATCAGTATAATACTACTAAAATCCAATTGAAAGAAGTTCTTGGGGAGATTTAAAAAACACAAAAGAAAGTTATTGGAAAAGATAATAGGTAGATGGATGGATAGATGGAAGAAGGAAGGGAGGAAGGAAAGAAGAAATGGTAAAAATGTAGTTGTCAACGAATAATTCTCTATCTGGGAAAACTCTCCTTCAAAAATGGAAAATAAATTAAGATTTTTTAGATAGACAAAAATGAGAGTTTTTCACTAACAGATCTATGCTACAAGAAATAGTAAAGAGTGTTTTTTAGGCTGAAATGAAAAGACACTAGGGAGAAACTCAAATGCATTTGATAAAATAGGAACAATTACTAAAGGTAACTATATAGGTAAATATAAAAGACAATATAAATTTATTTTTGTACCTATTTTCTTCTCCTAAATTATTTAAAAGATGGCTGCAAAAAGAAATAATTATAAATCTATGCAAATAGGCACATATTATATAAAGATGTGATATGTGACAATAACAGCATAAACGAAGGGAGGAAAACTAAACTATACAGGAGCAAAGTCTGTATACTATTGAAATGAAGTTGGTATGAATTTGAACTAGATTGTTATAAATTAAGATATTAATTGTAATTCCCAGGGAAACCACTAAGAAAATAACTCAAAAATATACAGTAAAAGAATAAGGGAATTAAAACAGTACACACAAAAATAACAAAAATGAAAAGAGTAATCCAAAAACAGAACAAAGTAGACATAAGATATATAGAAAACACATTGCAGATAACAGACACAAATTCTGCCTTATTGCTAATTACATTAGGTGTAAATGGGTTAATCTCCCAAATTAAAAGGCAGAGATTGACAGGATAGATTAAAAATCAAAACACGATTCATCTATATGCCTTTTAAAGAGAAGCATTTTAGATTCAAAGATAGAAATAGTTGGAAAGGTAAAAGACAGGAAAAGTTATACCATACAAATGGTAACCAAAAAGAAAAGGAGAGAGCTGGAGTGACTATATTAATACCAGACAAAATAGACTTTAAGGCAAACATTGTAACTATAGACAAAAAAGGACATTTTATAATAATAATAACATAAATTCATCAAAAAGATAAAAATATTATAAACATATATGCACCTAAGAGCAGAGTCCCAAAATATCTAAAGCAAAAACTGACATTATTGACACGAGCTAGGGACAATTCAACAATAATACTTGGAGACAGCAATAACCTGCTTTTAATAATAGATAAAACAATTAGAATATCAGCAAGGAAATAGAAGAGTAGGAAAGAAAGAAACAAAAGGCTAGACCTAACAGGCATATTTAGAACAATAAACCCAAGAATGGCAGCATGTACAATCTTCCCAAATGTACATGGAACAGCCTCTAGGACAGAACAAATGTTGGGCCATAAAACAAGTCTCAATAAGCTTAAAGTAATTAAAATCAAAGAAAGTATTTCTTTCTTTGACCTCAATGGAGTGAAACGAGAAATCAGTAAAATGAGAAAATGTGGGAAAGTCACAAAGATGTGGAAATTAAACAACACTGCTATATAACTAATAGGTTAAAGAAAAAAATTGCAAAAAAAAAAAATCAGAAAATACTTTGAGATGAATTAAAACAAAAGCACAACATATCAAAACTTAGATGCAAAAAAGTAATGCTCATAGGAAAATTCATAGAATTTTATTTATGGCTCCATAAAAAACAACGACTCATATCAATAACCTAATTGTCTGTCTTAAGAAACTAGAAAAAAGAGAAAACACAAAGAGAAAGAAATAATAAGGATTACAGGGGAAACAAACAAAATAGAGAATATAAAACAATAGACAAAATCAACAAAATCAAAAGTTGGTTCTTTGAAAAGATTGACCAAATTGACAAACCGTTAGCTGCACATTAACCAGAAAAAAAAGAACACTCAAATTTAGTAAATCAGGAATGAAAGATGAGACTTTACTATTGACATTAAAAAAAATGAAAAATATAATAAGGGAGTAGTAAAAACAACTGTATGGTAAAGAATGAGATAACCTAAGTGAAATAGATAAATTCTAGAAAGACATAACCTTCCAAAACTGAGTCAAGAAGAAATAGAAAATCTGAATAGACCTATAATAAGAGATTAAATTAATAATCAATAAACTTTCCCAAAGAAAAGTCCAGGACCAGATGGCTTTCCTGGTGTATTCTAACAAATATTTAAAGAAGAATTAACACAAATTTTTTACAAGCTCTCTGAAAAAAATCGAATAAGAAGCACTTCTCAATTCATTCTATAAAGGCCCCTACTATCCAGACAGTAAAACCAAAGACACCTATAGGGAAAACAAACAAACAAACTATAGACAAAACTAAGAACAACTGTGCCTCAGAGGCCACCATCATGAAAGTTGAAAAGAAAACCCACAAATTGGAAGAATATATCTGCAAATCAATTATCTGATCGAAGTCTAGCATCTAGAATATATAAAGAACACTTGCAACTTAACAGTAAAAAGACAAATAATATAACTAATTTAAAAATGGGCCAAACCTTTGAATAAACATTTTTCCAAAGAAGATATTCAAGTGGCCAGTAAGCACATAAAAAATGCTCAACATCATTAATCATAAGGTAAACGCAAATCAAATCAGAAGCACAATAACATACCACTTCACACCTATTAGGGTAGGATGGCTACTATAAAAATAAACAAAAATATCTTCCTATCTTAAAAAATATTGTTTATAGAAAGTATTAGTGAAGTTGTGTAGAAATCGGTACTCACATGGACTATCAGTATAAGTACAAATCGATACAATAAATATTTTGCAGAACAACTTGGCAGTATCTTTCCAAATATGCTGATTTAAATGCAGGAATTCCATTTCTAAGTGTCTGTCCTAGAAAAAACTGTGCACATGTACACAAAGTAAAATGTAGAAGGAGGCTTACTGTAGCCATGCTTATTATAGCAAAATGCTGGAACGCACCCAAATGTCCATCTGCAGACAGATGGTTAGATAAATCAGTCTACAATGATTCCGGTACGTAGCCCCACGCCCCCTTTCCTGGATATCAAAAAAGCAAGGTAATTGTAGGGAAGAAACTAATTTTCAAAACAATACTCATAGTATGAAACCATTAATAGAAAGCAAAATGAAACAAAACCACCTTGTATATACCCAAGTGTTAATTCTGGCTACCTCTGAGGAGGCTGGGTTAGGAAAGAGTGAAATGGACTTCCATTTTTGAATTTATGTATCACCTTATTGCTTGAATTTTTATAAGAAGAATAACTATAAGATGTATGTAAAATGTTAATTTTAAAAGCGTACCTATTTTTATACAAGACTGTTTAAATCTAACTTTTTTCTTTTTGGGGAGGACGGAGTTTCGCTGTTGTTGCTCAGGCTGGAGTGCAATGGCGCAATCTCAGCTCACTGCAACCTCCGCCTCCTGGGTTCAAGCGATTCTCCTGTCTCAGCCTCCTGAGTAGCTGGGATTACAGGTGCATGCCACCACGCCTGGCTAATTTTTGTATTTTTAGTAGAGACGGGGTTTAATCATATTGGTCAGGCTGGTCTCGAACTCCTGACCTCAGGTGATCTGCCCGCCTTGGCCTCCCAAAGTGCTGGGATTACAGGCGTGAGCCACTGCACCTGGCCTTCTAACTTAAAATCTCAATTTTAATTCATAATAGCATAATAGAAGAAACAGTCTTACCTTCCAAGTTTTCTATTTTTTCAATGTTGTTTAAAGCTAAATTCAAATATTCAAGTTTCTTGAGTTTGCTAACATTTTCTGAAATACAAGATAATGTAGTTAAGATAATTAATCTTCAAAATAAAGACACTTTTATGTAATCTATTACTAAAATAATAAAGAAAATCTAAAGATTATTATTATGGTTATCAAAACCATGTCACTTTTCCAAATCTATACCTGTACATCAGACACGGTGGCTGCCTAAGGAGGACCCATTTCTCCCTCCATCCTTCCTAATGACACCCAGTTTTGCTCATGTCTTTACCTAGCCCTAACTCCAGGCAGTTAGGTTTAGCCAAGCTGGGCCAGTGCATGACAATCCAATCTCTCTTGCTAGTGGTGGCTCAGGAACCTAGGTTTAAGCCAAAAAGCCATGGCAGTCTTTTGGCAACCGTGTGATACAGGAGAGGACATGCACACCCAGTCCTCCTAATCAGATAAAAGGGAAGGATCTATATTCCATGCTTGGAGGGTTCTTATCTCTTTTTCCTGCTGGATGTTAATAAGGAATTACTATCTCTATTGATACTTATACTCAATCATAAGGGAAACAGCTGCAGGACAAAGCCTGAGAGCTGGTAGAGCAGAGAGAAGGAATCAACCAACCCTGACTGACTCTGGAGTCTGCTCTACCTGTAGACTTAAAGTTGGGTAAGATAATTGATTTCCTTACTGTTCTACCACATTTAGTTGGGTTTCTTTGACTTGAAGCCAAAATCAACCTGATACAGGATTATCTTATTTAATAAACATGAAAGCCAATACAGGCAAAACAACAAGCATAAACAAGTCACAGAATTGCTGCAGAATGGGGCCTTTGAAAAATAGTTAATAATACCATAGCAACTATTGCTGAGTGCTTATCACATGTCACACAATGTTCTCAGCATTTAGTATATATTACCTTATTTAATCCTCATAATAACCCTATGAGGTCAAAACTATTGTCTCCTTTTTACAAATCAGAATACCAAGGTACAGAGAATTAATTCACTTGTCCAAGGTTAAGTGGTAGAGCTAGGAAAGTTGACTCCAGAACCTGGAACTAAATCATTATAGTACACCTTAAAAGAACAGTCCTTTCTAAGATGACAGGAATGTAGAAAACTTTGCTAAGGAATGTGCACTGGGGGCAGCCTCATTCAATTAGTGCCTCCTCTGCCCATTTCTCAGGTACACCATGAAGCTCAAAGATGGTGATTTATAATCATCACCCCTATCACCACTAATAGTTAATCTAAAATGTACAAAACATCATATATTTGTTTCCATAGACCTGAACATAACAGTTCACATCTCTGAATCTCAATTTATGCATTGTTTAAATGGAGGATTTGGGGGAAAAAATTACAAACATTTCTCTCAGAATTTAAATTATTCTAAGTAATCCTAATGTTTGAAAAAGCTCTTTAGAAACATCTGAGCATTCAATAGTCAAAGATTTGGAGGTTTCTTTTTTCTTTTTTTAAGAGACAGAGTCTCACTCTGTTGCCCAGGCTGGAGTGCAGTGGCCCAATCTCAGCTCACTGCAAGCTCCGCCTCCCGGGTTCACACCATTCTCCTGCCTCAGCCTCCTGAGTAGCTGGGACTACAGGCGCCCGCCACCACGCCTGGCTAATTTTTGTATTTTTAGTAGAGATGGGGTTTCACTGTGTTAGCCAGGATGGTCTCGATCTCCTGACCTCGTGATCCAGCCGCCTTAGCCTCCCAAAGTGTTGGGATTACAGGCATGAGCCACCGCTCCCAGCAGATTTGGAGGTTTCTATGTGCTAAGAACTATGAGAGTCTCGTCCACATCCTGAACAAAATACTTTATTATTGTTAAAATGGCCAGCCCACAATAAAATACCTCTTCAAAACAGGATTTCCCTTCCCCACCTTTGTTATACGCATCACCCTCTAAACGCTAAAGGAGTCATATGATAGAAAAGTAAGAATTTGCTCAGGGACGGTTTCCTAAGCTAACTCCTCAAAACCCCAGGGCCCAACTTGGACACAGCGGGTTAAAAAAAAGGCTCTGTAAGTCAAAATGGAAGAGCCTCTTGGGTAGGGAAAAGGGAGTCTGAGTTCTAGCCAGACCATTCTAGTAACAGTTCTCATCAACTAAGCAGGCCCACAAACTTGGAGTAGACCCTCTGCCTTCTCGGATTTAAGCAGCTCTGTAGCCCTCAGCTTGGCCCAGGCATGCAGCCCACTGGGAAGCTGTTGAAAGGGTTGATTCCAGGAGCCCACAGGTTCTGATTCAGTAGGTCTGGGGACGGGGCACTTGACAAGACCCCACATGGCCCCTGGGCTCCCTCTTGGGTCACCTCTAAGCAGTGCCTTCCTCCGCAGACCATCTGTGTCTTCCCATGGGCAACAGGGCTTTAGGAAAGGCAATTGCTTCACAAACTTCTACCTCAATGGCACAAGAGCAAGTCTGAATCCTAGAGGGGTGGTTTTACTTGCTAAATAAGTGCCTAAATGCCTATGGGTGGAGTAGCACTGAAAAATCCCATTATTAGGATTTAAAAGAGTGTTTAATTTAAGAGTACTTTGGAAGCAAAAATTTAAGCTTTCTCACAGTTCTGAAAAGGACCGAAATACCATGCTCCTAATTAGTAATTGTGATGGACCCAGCTGTGGAGATTAAAATTTTGGGAACTCTTTTAGATCTGTACAATTAGAACCGTTCTTTCATGCCCCCATGCATAAAAGCTGGTGGTTTTCTGTAATAGCCTTTTTAATTGAACAATGTGCCAGAGTTTCTAATTTCTGGTCAAGTTAAAGATGCCAAAAATAATTAACTCAAAAAATACAGAGAATTTTAGTAAATCTTCCAAAAATGATGCAAACCTAGGCTTTTTGCAAGCCTGAGGCTAATTTTCAATTATCCACGAAACTAGAAGCAACCACATCACCAGGGTTTCTCAACCTCAGCAATACTAACATTTTGGGCTGGATATTCTTTCTTGCGGGGGGTGGGGGAGCATCCTGAGCACTGTAGGATGGTTTGCAGTATTCCTGGCCTCTATACACTAGATGCCAATAGCATCCTCTCCCCATCCTCCCATACACATGCGACAACCAAAAATATCTCCAGACATTGCCAAATGCCCCTGTTGTGAACCACTGCACATCATCACGGGAAGTTAAATATGATCCTGCAAGCTGACCTCTGGGTTCTCGTGCCAGGGCACACAGGGGTTGGCACTCACTCTGCCTCCTCAGCCCTGACTCCATCCCTTTTCCTCCAACTCCACTGGCTTCTCCTTTCTGCTCCTACCTTCATTTGGCTAGCCTGGGGCACAATGAGGTAAATGATCAAATTGGTAACAGCAGCAGCACAGCAGCTATCCTGTAATGAGTACTTATCTTTTTTTTTTTTAATTATACTTTAAGTTTTAGGGTACATGTGCACATTGTGCAGGTTAGTTACATATGTATACATGTGCCGTGCTGGTCTTATGGTGAGCAAGCACTAAGCATATCATTTCATGTAATCCCTATGCCAATTTACATTTTAGGCATTATTAGCCATTTTACAGATGGCAAGACTAAGACTTGGGCAAGTAACTGACTTGTCAAATTTCACACTGCATAGAGGGAGGCGGGAGAGGCAGTGTTCTGACCCAGGTTTACCTGATGCCAGAGCCTGTGCTTTCTCTTTCCGGGTGCTGGGGATTCTCCTTCTGTGTCCATGTGGCAGGACCTCCATTAGAGTAACTCCACAGGCCTCCCTTCCCTCTTCCCTTTAATTCATCATTCTTCTGTGAGAGAAGTCAAGTGTGGTGGGGGAAGGAAGACCAATTTATCTGATAGGTTAATCAGGAGAAGAAACTGAGCATGCCCAGTCCTACCCTCTTTCCTGGTTTCTGGGATCTTCCTGCCAGCAGAGAGCACATGGTCTCAACCTACCTCCTGACATAAAGCAAAGGCCCACCTGGGGAGGAGAAACTTGTGGTTGTTCAATTCTGCATGTAACTGGGTGGGTAGGTTAATTCTGAGGGCAATATTAGCAAGCCCACTTGGCTGCAAGTCTACGCCACTTTCTTAGAAGAGCTTTATCAGTTATAATACTGATATTTTTATCTTCATTGACCTGATCCCTGCATTTACCTCTAATTTCCATTCCAAATCGGAAGCCCCTCAATACCCAATACTGAGCCCAATGCCTTGCACATATATGGTCACAATAAATATAGCAAAACTAGCTATTGAATTCTGCAGTAACCTGACAAGGACTCCCTCAATTCTCATATAAATTTGTTTTGCAGTGTGATGTAAAATGATGACAAATGCCTCCTCCCTTTCAAACTTAAAAAAAAAAAATCAGGTCTGATGTGTTCTCTGTCTTTTTAGATGATCAGGTCAACTAATGTGTTCCTCACCTTTACCTGCTCTCCCAACTCCTTGCTGGAAATTGTTTTCACTACACACAGAAATGTTCAGGGAAACGCCCCCCACACAACCACTGAGAGATGGCTGTGTCTGTTTTCCCATGGAGTTTTTTTTTCAGTGATTGTCTTCTAAAAATAACACAGCACTTTCCAAAGTTCTCTCATTCACAATGTTCAAGAAACCATGAGAACTAAGTACTGAAACTTACCAATTTTCCCAATAAGATTATTTTGAAGATAGAGAATTTTTAAATCCCGGCACCATTTATCAATGTGTTCTAGTCTTTCTATTTCTTGCTGATGCAACGAGAGTTCCTCCAGGGAAAAAATGACACAGTCGTTGTGTTCAGCATTCCGTCTAATAAGATCTTCTGTGACTGGAAGAAAATGTGTTACATATTACATTTCTGTCCCCATTGTTCAATATAAGATTATTGTGTTGTTAACGCATTTGTGTTTTTTTTGTTTGTTTTTGCAGTTGAATGTCAATTTTCCAGGCCCAAGCGATTTTCAAAGTGAGAGAGAAAATGGTACCTCCTCCTGGAGTTTTTGTGATGCCATGATGTGAGCTGGAGAGAAGAAGAAGACATGATGATATTGTATTTGCCTTTGAATGTGAAGGGTCTACATACATTTTGCTGTATGGATGGAGATGGAGTTGAGAGTTAATGGCTATAAAAATGTTTACATGGAATCTTATGGTGGTACCATGTTAAAATGGATGAGATCCACTAACTAATCTGAGACAGAGCAACTTGCTACTGAGAGGCACAGTTGAGCTGTCAGAGGGCAGAAATATGAAAGCATCTTCTACCATTCAGAAAATAAAGGTCACAGGTCATTCATTTAACCAATGTTTATTAATTTAACTAAAGCTTAAAAGAAAGAAAAGGAACGCTTTAGATCTTGCACTGCATTCTTATAAAGCAGCCACCACTTGTTTTGTTTCCAGGAGAAGTATTTTTGAAAGCTGCTCACAGAAGGAGGTGTAATGGGAGCTCCCACCCCTCTGACAAGAGTGATGTGTAGTGCTGGGTTCACCTGCCACAGAAGGTCAGCAGTACGTGAGGAAGACGGCGCCAGGAGACTGGACATAGCACTATCTATGGTCCACAGTCAGAGCCAAGCACAAGATCATGAATCATCTTTGTAAAGATGCATTGAAACCAAAAAGGTAATGACAAGGAGGAACCAGGCATTTCCCACTGCCACTAAAACTGGTATTTGTTGAACCCTCACATCTTCTGTAGGATGTGGAAATATTGTATGTCTACCCCAGGAGATAATAAAGACTCACTGTCACTTACAAGGTGCCAGGTAGTATTCTAAATTCTTTGCATGTATTAATATATGACTATCTGGAGTTATTACTGCCATTTGTCAGATGAGGAAGTAAAGCACAGAGAGTTTAAATAACTTACCTGGGTCTTGGTGATAAGTGCTAGAGCCAGGTTTTAAATTCATGGTTTAGTGCCAGACCACCTGCTCTTAACCACTATGCTCCACTGTCTCAAGCATAAGCAAATAACAGCCTCTAGAAATTCCAGGTTTCCTGAAGGTGCAGACTCCTCTAGCTGAGACAGAGTTCTTCACAGCAACTTCTGCTACCACACCTCTATGTCACATCCTTAAAAGTGGAATTTGCCTTTTTATTAAATGTAAAAACATGTACGAACTTATCATTCATGTGGAGTTAGCTAAACTCTCTGCTACTTCTAGTGGTAGGAGATACGGGTGCTTGCAATGACAGTTCTTTATAAGAAGGACCAGAGCAATGTAGAGGTTGAGAGATTAAAATACCATACATGGGGAAAGTCCTTGCTGCTCTAAGCTTTGGCTCAACTAACAGGCAGAGATGGTCACAAACCAGATCCTGGTAAGGGACAGCCCAAAGCGCCCAGGAAGGAGGCTAACAGTACACCACCACCAGCCTGGCTCGCTGGGAACCCTGCTGCCAGCACCATTCAGCTGTCCCTGGAATTCCAATAATGGTTTGTGAACCAGCTTAAATAGGGTGCTATAATCAAGGAAAAGAGAAAAACCAAACCTGTAAGAGAAGAGCATTAAAACTACTCTCTATCCTCCTAACCAAAGTTGGTTCTAACAGCTTAAATCAACTGATAATGAATAAATGGGTACAGCCAGAGGATAGAGCAATGCTCCTGTGTAAAGTAAATGTATGATCTAGATCTGTAATTTACCTATAAGAATTCTCTTAGCAAGGATGCAACATGGGTCAAGGGGTTGAGATTGCACAACCTTGTTATCTGTACATTTAACAAAATGTGGAAATTACTGACCACTAGTAATAAGACCCTCAATGACTAACGGTATATCTGTAACTTAAACTACTCAAATCCATAGAGCAAGGGGGTGGATTGTTGGAGGCCTTGCTACTATTAGAACTGGAGTCCATGGGGCCAGGAGGACGTGCCCATCCAGAGCCCAAGTCTTCCTCTCTAGACCATGGCCCATGGAAGGAACAATGGGATTCTCTGTTCAAGGGGCTCCAAGCCTTACTCTAAACCTTGCAATGGCAGCTTCTCCAGGTTCGTTCCTGAAGACAGACCATGACATCAGGTACATATCCCAACGCCTAAGGGATGTCCAAGGGTCAGCTGTTTGTCAGGGAGGTGGATGGCATGGATGTATAGGCTGGAGTGTCCATGCTCATACATGGGTGTTAGGGGCCAGGACAGAGTCAGAGATGGGAAGAAAAGGGAAGAGTGGGCCAGAGGGCAAGATTTCCCCAATCCACCATGCTCTGTCATAGAACTCCAGCATAGGAAATGCAGCCCTCAGGTTGTTAGGAAAGTATACTTGTCAAGGTAAGAAGACATATTTTATTTAGCAGTTTGGTTTATAACTTGATACATAGGCCTTTACTTATACTCTTGCCCCAGATTCTAGTTGAAGGCTTAGTTTTGTATCCATATTGAAGATATAATTTGAACTCCAAAGGAGATGTCATCCATGGTTAAGTCGAATGTGTTCAGGGGACTTCTGATAGAATCTTAAGCATCACTTGGTCTCTGGCCTCATACTGCCATGTGGGACTTTCTGACTCTCAGGGCTGCTCAAGGTATCACAGGCGCCTCTAGTCTACACTGTGAAAGGCTTTTCTAAATTGCCCACTCTTAAAGATTTCCAGGGTTGACAAAGTTTCTACTGGTACCAAATATCCTTGTAGTATTCTCTTGCTATACCTCTGAACATTTAAGAAACTCTTTCTTCCTTTGAGACACGGTCTCACTCTGTCACCCAGGCTGGAGTGCAGTGGCACGATTACAGTTTGCTGCAGCCCAGGATCAAGGGATCCTCCTACCTCAGCCTTCTGAGTAGCTGGAACTACAGGCATGCGCCACCACACCCAGCTAATTTTTTTTTTTTTTTTTGTAAAGACAGGGTTTCACCATCGTGTCCACATTGGTCTCAGACTCCTGGACTCAAGCGATCCACCCACCTTGGCTTCCCAAAGTACTGGGATTACAGGTGTGAGCCACTGCGACCAACCAAGAAACTCTCTTCATCAAGGTATTACGTGTGTAAAACCAATCACTTCATGCAACTGTCAAATCTTCTCTTTCGAAGGCATGTAAGTATTAGGAAAGAATTATATTGATTCATATCTTCTAACCATGAGAATTAAGATGAGAAAAATCCCTATTAATTTAAAGAGGTGGAGTTTAGGGAGCCTCCCTTAGCATGAATAACTAAATTACACACACACACAAAGGAAAGAAGGGACACAACAGAGAAGTTTGCCTGGACAGCAATGATTATATACAATTAGGATACATTAAAAGAAAATAAATAATTGCAGAGGAGGACAGAACTGTGAAGATGTGGAAATTTCCCAGCAGATCTTTTCTAAACTCTCCTATGACAAGCAAACTGCCGTGTGGCTTACCATTTTATAGCGCTGAGGAAATTGTTGTTACACAGTGCTGCTTCACCTGTAATGGCAAACATCAGAACAAAAACCAGAGCCCCCGAGAAGAAATGTGTAAAGATATCTTCATGGTGCATGGAGATTATAGTGTTTCATGCTTTTGAACAGGAAAGCATTTTCGGTTTTATATACTGTCTAATTTAGAGCAAACATTCTTTAAGTCCAAGGAGCATTATTCGCCTTTAGAAATTTCTACTCCAAATAATATAGCACTGCAATTACGTGAGATCATTCTAGAGATTTAAAAATGCTTTGGGAAGACACAAAAGTGCCCAGCAAACTTTAAAAAAAAAAGCTCCACATCACTAGTCATCAGAGAAATGCAAATTAAAACTACAATGAGATACCATCTCATACCAGTCAGAATGGCTATTATTATGAAAGTCATAAAATAATAGACGTTGGCAAGGATGCAGAGAAAAGGGAACACTTATACTCTGTTGGTGGGAATGCAAATTAGTTCAACCCCTATGGAAAACAGAATAGAGATTTCTCAAAGAATTAAAAATAGAATGAACAATCAACCTAGCAATCTCACTACTGGGTATCTACCCAAAGGAAAATAAATCATTCAATCAAAAAGACACCTGTACTCGTGTGCTACTGCAGCACTATTCACAATATCAAAGTAATGTATTCAACCCAAGTCCCCATCAACAGCGGATTGGATAGAGAAAATTTGGTACACATATACCATGGAATACTATGCAGCCATAAAAAGAAAAAATCATGTCCTTTGCAGTAACATGGATGCAGCTGGAGGCCATTATCCCAAGTGAATTCATGCACGAACAGAAAATCAAATACTGCATGTTCTCACTTATAAGTGGGAGCTAAACTGTGGGTACACAAGGACATAAAGATGGAAACAATAGACCCTGAGGACTCCAAAATGGGCGAAGGAGGGGAGGCAAGGGTTGAAAAACGACCTACTGGCTACTATGTTCACTGTTTGGGTTAGGGGTTCACTTGAAGCTCAGACCCCAGCCATCATCCAATATACCCATGTAACAAACCTGCACATGTACCCTCTGAATATAAAATTAAAAACAATAATATATAGTTTGAAATAGCTAGAAGGACGATATTGAAAGTTTCCAACACAAAGAAATGATAAATGTTTTAGATAATGGATATGCTAATTACCCTGATCTGATTACTATACAGTATATGTATTGAAACATCACTATGTATCCCATAAATATGTACAATTATGTCAAATAAAAACAAAATTAAATTAAAAAGTAAAAAAAAAGATACAAACTCTGCCCTCAAGGAATTTTCTGTCCAGAATTAAGGAGAGGCAGTGACAACAGTGCAGGATGAGCTTGAGAGAAGAGCTGGATACCATGAAGCATCTAGGAGAAGCACCCAACCCAGCTGCGGCTTCAGAAGCAGGCAATGTCGACAGAGATACAGAGCACACATGACAATTAACCAGAAAAAAAGAAGAGAATGGAGCAGAAGAAACAGCACAGTGCAAAGGCCAGGAAGCAAGTGTATCTTCTTTCACTTTGCAGCAACAATATAGTAATGATGTTGTAGACACAACGGCAGACAGTCCTTGCTTTCATGGAGGTTGCCTGGTAGAAGAGGCAGGAAAGAAGCACAGTGTGCATACCACTCGGGTCATGTGGGTGGTCAGGGATACCCACAGCTTCTAATCAAGACTTCGGAGAAGATGGCAAGCTTCCTATCTTCAGCTGAGACACAGAGGATGATTAAGATTATTCAAGAGAATGGGGCAGATAAAAGACAATTCCAAGAAGCAAGCTCAGAAGGAGAGAGGCCATAGAAGATTCTGTAAATTATGCGGCATTCATTATGGCTACAGCACAGCACTGAAGGAATTGGGAGATATAAAAAAGCTAGGCAAGTTTGAGTCCATTGTAAAGAGCCCTGGAGAGCTAAGAACTTAGAATGAACTTCTACTATTATTTAGAACTGGAACATAACCTAAGGGATGGGATGTGTAGTGTTGTCATGAAAAGATAATGTCAAATCTTTGCCCCACCATTCTCTACCTGTTTATGATACGTAGATTTGGGCAAAACTGTTCATCTATTTCAGTTTTCTCATCTGTAAACTGGAGATAATGTTAGCATTACTTCTTAAAATTTTTTTGAGGATTAAATAATTAAGTAAAGCCCTTAGCACAGTGCCTGGTATACAGTCATTGGTCAATAAATGTCAGTTCCCTTCCTTCTATAAATAAGTAAAGAAATAAATAATAAAATGCTTTGGAAGCATTAATATGTTATCATAAGACTATTTCAAGAAAAATGGTATTATAGTACCTATTATGTGGTATAGAAGAAAAATATGCCAAGGCACAATATAAAACATATTGCTTTCACTTCCTTATTTTAGGAAATTTCAAACAGCAAAATATAAGATGCAGATGGTTGAGTGCTAACCAATATCTGTCTGACTGGAGAAATAAGCTCTTGATGAAGGATATTGACAGCTTCAACCACAGATACATACTCCCCTCACTAAAAGATGCTGTGGAGGAATCCAAGGGTTTAATCAAAACACATCAGCTCACCTAAGTTTCTTTCCAATTCCTTAATATGAATGAGTTCTCCAAAATTTGAGGCTGTATCAGCAAAATGACTTTGCAGGGAGCAGGGACAGAGGGCACGGTGAGGAGGTTTCTGGGATACTGGAGGCTGTCCTGCTGTGTTTGTTTCTAAAGTTTTTCATTACATTGAGCAAAGTTCTCAAAACTCCCAAAGCCAATAATTTAGTGTTCATTCCTTCAGGCTTTACATCATGTTTTGTAAACAACTCTTTTTTTCCTACTAGATTAGAATAAAATCAACTAATATGTATTTATTGAAGATTTTGTAGCATTCAGACATCTTGAAAGACCTATCAGATATGTATATGAAATTGAGAGTTAATAGAAATAAAGGGGTTACAAACAGGTGAAGGTCACCTCTTGCAGCATCTAAAATATTTTTTAATCATTTTCAATGGAAACTCTTAAAAGCAGGATTGTACACTTGCCTGTCTTTTCTTGCTGACCCAGGCTCATCATAATGAGCGGCAACAGCCGTACTATATCCCAATCTAGTGATATCTTTAGGGACGACTTACTGGAGTGTGCTACTGAAAAGCACTAAGTGCTATGGGGCACTGAGAGAAGAACATAGAAAGTATGATGAGTGCACAGGAGACAGTGATCGGTGCTACTGAGAAAAAGGAAGTCAGAAGAAGCTTCATGGAGGAGGAGTCTGAGCTGAATCTTTTTTTTTTTCTTTGAGACAGAGTCTCGCTCTGTCGCCCAGTGGCGCGATCTTGGCTCACTGCAAGCTCTGCCTCCCGGGTTCACGCCATTCTCCTGCCTCAGACTCCCCAGTAGCTGGGACTACAGGCACCTGCCACCACGCCTGGCTAATTTTTTTTTTGTATTTTTAATAGAGACGGGGTTTCACCGTGTTAGCCAGGATGGTCTCGATCTCTTGACCTCATGTTCCACCCCCCTCAGCCTCCCAAAGGGCTGGAATTACAGGCTTGAGCCACCGCGCCCGGCCCTGAGCTGAATCTTGAAATGTGAGTAGATGTTTGTTAGATAAACCAGGAAAGGGCACCTTAGGCCATCGTGGATGACATGATGCACTTCTCAGGTCCCTCTTCAAAACTGAAGGATTAATTCCTCTAGCTGCTGGGGGCTCTGTTGACAGACAGCCCTCTGCTGCCCACCTTCTTCATGAGCTGTCTCAGCGAAGAGATTGTTCAGCCAAGGTCATGGCCTTTCCTTTCCTGGGAAAGTCCACATTCAATGACTGGTTGATGTAGGGGCTATAAAGGCCCAGTTCTTCACCCCAACTTGGGCAAGTCAGAAGGTTCATTCCAAGTTTAGATCTCCTGGTTGGTTTCCTAAGGCCTTTGTTAGACATATCACAGCCCAACTTCCCCCTCTGCTCAATTTTGATTTCTTTCCTACCCACCCCAACAATGCTCCCTAATAAACCTCCTGCATGCTAATTCCCACCTAGATATCGGCTTCCTGAGGAGCCTAAACTGGAAGAGTTGATACCAGAAGTGGTGCATGAAAGCAGATGCTAGCTAAGATAGGATTTTGGAGTCAGACTACATGTTGTCACAGTGGCAAGGACACTGTTATTCCTGGTAGGCAGAACATAGATAGTGCCTGGCCCAAGGCAGTTATGCAATTGTAAAGACTTGCACTGGTGTTGAACAGAGATAGGATACAAGTGGAAGGGAATGTACTAGTAAGTGTAACATGTCAGGTGTTAGAGAAATGTGAGAGAAACTGTAACTTAAAGGACAATTATATTGTATTGTATAAAGGCTGCTGCTAAACACAACTGATCAGGAAAGGCTGAGAGAGGAAGTGTGAAACCAGAGGACTGGACTGGGAGCACTATGAAGAGGTTTTCATTTCCTGAAACCAGAGGACAGAGAAAGCTGAGGGCTAGGACCAGTACTTCATCATAAGATTAGCAGTGACGTCAGGTTCTGGACATAATAGAGTAATAAAACAGGGTTTACCCTCTAGCCTAAAAATCTATACAAAACATACAAAAGTAATTTTTTAAATTTGGGCATAAGGAAATAAAAAGGAAAATTAGAAAGTATTTTGAACAGAGTTAAAAATTACAAGGAGGCTGAGGCAGGAGAATGGCGTGAACCCAGGAGGCAGAGCTTGCAGTAAGCTGAGATCGTGCCACTGCACTCCAGCCTGGGTGACAGAGCAAGACTCCGTCTCAAAAAAAAAAAAAAAAAAAAAAAAATTACACAGAAAAGCAACATATCAAAATTTGCAGGATACAGCTAAAACATTACTTAGAGGTAAATTTATAGCATTAAATACTTATAGTAGGAATAAAGAAAGGTCTCAAATATTGGCTTCCACTTTAAGGATCTAGAAAAAGAACAAATTAAACCCAAAATAAGCAGAAGAAAGTAAATAATGAAGATTATAACAGAAATCAATGAAATGAAAAGCAGAAAAAAATAGAGAAAAATTAATAAAAATTAAAGCTGGCTCTTTAAGAAAATAAAATTGGTAAACTTTCAGTCAGACTTATCAGCAAAAAAGAGAGAAGACACAAACTGCCAATATTAGGAGTGAGAGAGGTAACATCATATGTATTCTACAGATATTATAGGTAACTTTATGCCAATAAATTCAAGAACATCAATTAAACGGGTGAATCCCTTAAAAGACACAAATTACAAAAGCTCACTCAAGAATATATAGATGAGCTGAACAGCCCTATATCTACTGGATATGTAGTTAAAAACCTTTCTTTCCACAAATAAAACTATGGCACAGATGTCTCCTTTGATTAATTCTACCAAAAACTTAAGGGAAAATAATACCCCATATACACAAACTCTTGTAGAAAATTGAAGAGGAAATAATACTTCCCATTATATTCTATAAGGTCAGAATTACAACCAATCAAATGCATTACAAGAAAAGAAAACTACAGATCCATGTACCTCATGAACACATATGTAAAAATCCTAAGCAAAAAAATTTTGCAAATCAAATCCAACAACATAATAAAAAAATTATACATTATAACCAAGGGGGGAGTTATCCAATGTATACGAGGTTGATATAATGCTCAGAAATCCAAGTAACATACAATATTAATAAACTAACAAAGTGATAATGTCAGTAGAGACAAAACAGCAGTTGACAAAATCCACCATCCATTCCCAATTTTAAAAAGACAACAACTCGGAAAACCAGAAATAAAAAGGAACTCAACTTGACAAGGAGCATCCACAAAACACCTATAATCAACATTATATCGAGCAGAGAAAGACTCTTCCCGTAAGAATCAGAAAAAAAGGCCAGGAAATCTGTTCTCACCACTTCAACATTATACTGAAGGTTCTAGCAATAGGCAAGGAAAAACAAGGCATCCAGGTGGTAGAGAAGTAGAATTATTTCTATTTGCAGATGATATGACTGTCTACAGAGAATATCAAATGGAATTCATATAAAAAGCTAATTGAATAAGAAAGTTTGAAAAGATTGCAGAATATAAGATCTATATGAAAAAATCAAGTATACTTCTATATACTCAACACTTACAATGGCATCAAAAATATGAAGTACTTAGAGATAAATCAGAAAAATATGTGCAAAGTCTGTCCATTGAAAACTTCAAAAATATTGTAGACATTTTGTAATATCTAAATAAATGGAGATATATCCCTTGTTTTTGGGTCAGAAGATTCAATATTGTTAAGATACTCATTCTCCCCAAATCGAGCTACAGATTTAACACAATTCAGGTCAAAATCCCAGCAGACTTATTTTTGTACAAATTGACAAGATACTACTGAAATTCATATAGAAATGTAAAGGATCTGAATACAACTTTAAAAGATTAAAAAATTTAGAGGAAAAACACTACTGGATTTCAAGACTACTTATTACAAAGCTCCAGTAATCAAGACAGTGTGAAATTGGCACAGAGGAAGACAAATAAATCAATGAATCAGAAAAGAAAGTCGAGAACACACATATACAAGCCACTGGTTTATCCAAAGGTTCAATTCAATGGAGAGAGCATAGTCCTCAACAAGTGGGGCTGGTACTACTGGATTTCCATATTAAAAAAAAAAACACACACAACAACAATGTAATCTACATCTCACATCATATACAAAAATTGAGTCAAATGAATGATGGAATAGCATAAAACCAAAAATTATAAAATTTCTAGGAAAAAAAAGAGAAAAATCTATGTAAACTTAGCAAAGATTTCTTGGATATGACATCAAAAGCAAGATCTATAAAATAATAAATTAAACTTCAAAATTTAAATCTTCTCTTTCAAAATAATTAAGAGAAGGAAAATATAAGCCATAGGTGGGGAGAAAATACTTGCAAATCATGTATCTGATGACCTATATCCAGAATATATAGAAGACTCTTAAAACTCAAGGATAAGAAAACAAATCAATGTATAAAATGGGCAAAATATTTGAAGACATTTCACCAAAGAAGATCTATAGATGACAAATGTGTCCCAGTAATACAAAATGCATTCAATAGTATAAAATTTAAGAATAAAGACACTAGATCTTCTCTAAATCACAACACACACCAGATTAAATGCACAGAGAGGAACTAATTCATTTTCCTCTTGCCACCATCCCCAGGCTCAATATTGGTCCTCCTGAGCAGACACAAACATCAAAAATAGTGGTCTCTTCAACTTTACATGAGAATTTGCACCATGACCTCTCCTTTTCTCACCAAACTGTCTCTTACTCCTAAGAGACAATATAGCAAACATACACAAGAGTGCGGGCTCTGCTTACCATCCCAGATATACCACTTACTGTGTGGCACTGGGCACGCTGCTTAACCTCTTTGTGCTCCAGATTCCTCATCTGCAAAATGGAGGTGATGATACTAGTGTCTACCTCAAAAGATTTTTGTGAGAATTCAATGAGTACACACACAGAGAAACTTTCAGAACACTGACTAGAAGGCAATAAGCAGCTCAATAACTGTGAGTGAGCTATTATTATCATCCTTTCTCAGGAGCCCAAATTTCTCCTTTAGTTGAAGGAGGTTGAGAATTGTGGAAAGAGCCGCGAAAGCCGGGAAGCTCGTATCCTAGGTTCGACGTCTCTCCTGACTGACGGGATGTGACACTGGCTGAATCAATGTTCCCCTCCTCATCTCTAAAATGAACAGGTACACTAGATGAACTCTCGAGCACGGTCTCTCTAAAACCTGTACTAATGACATCCCTGCGTCTTTTTTTGGAAAATACAGGAAAGGCAGCGGAAAAAAGGGCACACAGGAGCAGTCAGGAGATGTTAGCAAGAGGCAGAAGGCCATTTATTGGGAAGCACGGGGGAGAGAGAACATGTAAAAAGGGTTTGTGGCACAGCAAAAGAGGACCACTTTCTCCACCCACATCTTTCAAATCTGTCCACTCGCCTCAGTCCTGTGGGCGGCAGTGCGGTGTAATGCAGGACCCAGAGGAAATCTTCGTGGGTTCTGTTCCCAGCCCTGATAGTTACTGTGTGATTTACTCTCTGTGCCTCACCAAAGAAATAGAGATGTCAGTAATCCTTCCCTGCCTTAAAAGGCTGCTGGGAAGATCAAACAAGAGAATGCAGGTAAAGCATGTTAACCAAGCCTGGCACATCAGAGCTACTCATTGGAGGAGTGCTTGTCATCTGTCCTGTTGCCACGACCTCAGTTCAGCCTACTATCTCCCACTCGAACTCCTATAGGGCCAAGCTATGCCCATGAACAAAACCTTTTGGTTTCTCTGTGGCTCTTTTGATAAATTTCTAAATCCTAAGTACAAAACCTGTATGAGCGGATCCCTGCCTACCTGTCAGGCCTTCCTTATCTCTTTGCTCTCCACTCCTTCTTTCTGTCTCACACCAGTTCCTGTCAGTGACAATTAGCCACCAAGAAGCCCTGCTCTTTCTCACCTCTGGGCAATTCACTGAGCTTTCCTGTTTCCTTTCCAGACAGCACTGCTTCCTCAGAGAAGCCTCCACCCACCTTGGGGTTAGGTCCCCTACCCACACCCTCAGGGCACAGGCACCCCTCTCTCTCCTGGCTGTAACCACTATACTTCTGTTTGTCTTCTCCCTCCCTAGGAGGGTAGGCCCACATCTGCCTCCTTCCTCACTGTATCCTGCATTCAATACCTGATTCAAGGTAGACACTCCGATGCAAGTCTGACAAGTTAATGATTTAACAAATCAAAGTGGGCACGACTCAGAGAAAGAGGGCAAAGGAAAATTCCCGACATAAAAAAGCGAAGAAGAAGGAGAAGGAGAAGGAGGAGAAGGAGCAGGAGGAGCAGGAGCAGAAGGAGCAGGAGGAGGAGGAGCAGGAGGAGGAGGAGCAGGAGGAGGAGGAGCAGGAGGAGGAGGAGCAGGAGGAGGAGGAGGAGGAGGAGAAGGAGGAGGAAGAGGAGGAGGAGAAGGAGAAGGAGGAGGAGGAGAAGGAGGAGGAGGAGAAGGAGGAGGAGAAGGAGGAGGAGGAGAAGGAGAAGAAGAAAAAAACCAACTAGGGTGAGACCAGGGGATGGGGAGACAGCCCTGAGAAGAGAGGAAGAAATATCAGTAGCTGATTTAGGAAAGGAGTTTCAACATTTACAAATCACTCCCCCCCGACCCCCACCTCTCCCACTTGCAGGCTGTCAGGTCTTCCAGGGCAGAAAGCCCATCATCTGGAGCAGTCTCTTGATTTAAAAAAAGTTAATTATGACATTTTTACAATGATAAGTGATCAATTAGGTAGAGCTGTACAAAACTGCCATATGGGGAGCTCAAAAACGTTGTCGATATCAAAATGGTTCATACAATATAAATAACTTACCCGCATCACCTTGCAGTTTGTTAGTATATTCTTAAAGAAACACGTTTACTACCGGGCGCAGTGGCTCACGCCTGTAATCGCAGCACTTTGAGAGGCCGAGGCGGGCGGATCACCTGAGGTCAGGAGTTCGAGACCAGCCTGGCCAACATGGCAAAACCCCGTCTCTACTAAGAATACAAAAATTAGCCTGGCGTGGTGGTGCACGCTGTAATCCCAGCTACTCAGGTGGCTGAGGCAGGAGAATTGCTTGAACCCGGGAGGCGGAGGCTGCAGTGGGCCGAGATCGCGCCGCTGCACTCCAGCCTGGGCGACAGAGCAAAACTCTTGTCTCAAACAAACAAACAAAAACACGTTTATAACACTTACTGTGTCTAAAACAGTAGTATGATTGCCATTATTTTGGAGATGAAGAAGCTGAGGCCCAAGGGGTGAAGTCACTCGCTCAAAGTCACAGGAAGAGGGAGGACTTCAACCCTGGCTCCAGAGTCGGAACCCTCCACCATTAGGCTACACTGCCTTCCGGAATGAGTCCGAAGATTGCGGCTTGGAGACAGTGACTGGCCCACGTTCACAGCCAGTAAGGAGCCACTTGGCCGGAACGTGGTGTGTCTGGCGCCAAAACCCCTGCACGTTCCCCGACCCCTTTCCTGGAGTCCAGTGCCTTTCTGCCTCTTCCTCCCCTTCCCACGGCCCCGCCCATTTTACAGATTAGGAACCTGAGCTGGAAAAGGCCAGGCTGTCCGGCCAGTCTGCAGAGGACCTGGTGCAGCCGGGGCTGCGGTGCGGAGGGCCGGGTGGGGTTAGGGTCCGCCCAGGCGCGGGGGAACCGACAGCGCAGGGCGGGAGCGGGCGGCGAGGATCCCACGAGACCCGGGACTACTTCCACAAGGGGAACGATCGAGGACGGAAGGTGGAGGGGGGCTTACTCCAGCCCATGGCGCCTCTCCAGTTCGCTGACCCCGCAAGCCGGACCCGGACCTCGAATGACGCTTTTCACCCTTCACCCCTGCTCCTCAGCGCGTCCCCGTCGGAATTCAGGAGCCATGGCAACGGGGACTCTACGGCGGCCGCGCGGGACCAAAACAAGCCGCGTTTCCTGAGCTCCGCGGAGCAAGCAGAGGAGACCGCAGTGAAGGGGCTCAGCAGACAGGGGTTCCCCAACCCAAACCCAGTCTTCGTCCTCGTCGCACTTCCGACTTGCCACAGACTGCTTCCCTCTCCCTGAATCAATGGTTTAGAGTGAACAAAGTATGAGGACGCTTCTCTTTTCTGTGCCTTCCAGGCTTGCCTTCCAGACCGCCTTTGACTTTTTCCTTTTTGTGTTTGATTTACAGCTTCCAGAGCCAACAGATCTGGATTTGGCCCCCAACTCTACCAGCGGCGTGACCTTACACTTCCTTCTCCTCAGTTTGCACATCTGTAAGATGAGAAATAACCTAAGAGGATCACTGTGAAGCTTTAATTAGATAATTTGAGTGAATGAAAGACACTATGAAAACAACAGGCTCACTATAAAGATTCGTTGTCGTTGTCATATTCCAGCTTTTTAAAGTCACTCTCCAACACTCGTTTCCGGCTAACAAGCTTTCCAGAAACGCCACCCATTACCCCCTCCATCAATTTCCCTATTCTCCACTCTCTTAATTGTAAAATGTAGGAAGTATATCTCCTACAGCCCCACACTCCCCTCACGTTTCCCCAGACCCTTCTCCAAAAGTGTGCAACGCGCCTTCTCCCATTCTAAACTAGGAAGCACATCAGCAAGCTCATTCACCCTCAGATCTTAGTGTTAGCACTTTAATGCGTTAGCTTCCCAAGAATCTTTAAAAGGTACCATTATTATGAAAGTAATTATTATTCTTTACTCCATTTGCAGAAAAAGGAGGGGGGCAATATGTAAAAGGTAAAACCTTCTCCCATCCCAGTCGTTTTAAACAGTATGGAGTGCGTGCTTCTTATCTTGATGTGTGTATTATGTTTGCATTTTAAAAGAAGATTCCTAGAGCAATGCTGAGTGCAAAGAAATTAATTTTTCTAGCGAATAGCTGTTAAGCATTTACAGCTGGCAATTATTAGAGTTTGCCAGGTAGAGACAAGGTCATGAACTTGGACAGAGAGGCAGGAAAGTCTAACAGAGTGAGGTGATGGGGGGAAGCAGAAACATCAGTTTGGCAATAAAGAGAGCTAGATAGAAGGGATCTTCGAACAGTAAGAATGAGAGATTAGATCGGGGGTAATGGGGGCCTTAAATGCCAGGCCAAAGGAACTGAACTGGAAGAGTGGGATTTCAGGCACTATTTCCCTGAATATTTGGATTTCCAAGGAGGCCTCCCAAAAGGCACTCAAACTATAAACTTACCTGACATCCACTATTATTTTTCTGAAAGCAGGTTAGTGTGAGGTGAACAGTATTAGCTCTGGCATTGGAAACATAGATTAAATACACAGATTTATTACTGTGTGGCATCAGACAGATGACTTCACCTTTGAAAGCTGAAACTTCTCTATTTCCACATGATGATGACAATATGGGTAAACATCTGTGGTCGTGCCACTGACACGCTGACACTGACACGTGACACTGAGCACTGATGTCTGATTACTCACAAAGGAGATGAAATGCTATTAGCAGCAGGCAAGTTTAGCAAATTCGCCTGTGCTTGAATTGTGCATTTTAACAACAAGGGGTTCATCAAGGCTAAAAAGGATCTAGCTTCTAGAAGGAAGCTACTACTGGGCAGAAAGATTAGTTTCTAAGCTGACAAAAGCATGAGGTCAGGCCTACTATAAAGGATCTCAGCTTGCAGTGAACTAGGATTGTGCCATTGCTCTCTAGCCTAGGTGACACAAAGAAACGATGTCTCTTAATAAAAATTAAAAAAAAATAATAAAGGATCTCAGCCTCTGGATCAGGAGACAAAGGGAGCCACTCCAGAACCGCAGAAAGTTCTCAAGAGCAATTGCAACCCAGGTATTTGACATGTTGGCTCTAAGCTTCTATCCTCACTCTCAGACCTACTCACTGTTGACTTAAAAAAAGAAACTGAGGTAAAATTAATATATATAGTCCCAGCTACTTGGGAGGCTGAGGTGGGAGTACTGCTTGAGCCCAGGAGTTCGAGGCTGCAGTGAGCCATGATCACTGCACTCCATCCTGGGCGACATAGTGAGACTCTGTGTCTAAAAAAATCGGGGTGCTGGTGCGTTGGGTGCCTGATGAGAGCCTGGTCTCCACTTCCAAGATGGTGCCTCATTGCTGCATTCTTCTGAGGAAAGGAGCCCTCTGTCCTCACATGACAGAAGGGATAGAAAAGGTGAAAAGGGGTGAACTCCATTTGGCAATCCCTTTTATAAGGGCATCTAATCCTATTCATGAGGGTGGAGCCCCTGTGACTCAATCACCTCCTTAAGGCTATGCCTCTTAATACTGCTACATTGGGGATTAAATTTCAACATGAATTTTGGAGGGGACAAAAACATTCAAACCACAGCAGCCCCTTTGACAACTAGAGAGTTCAAGAGTAAGATTGAGAGTTTAAGAGTGATGAGAAAGAAAATAAACTTTCTATCTGAGGAATGGGAGCACCCTTTAAATTATCAGGCCCAGAGAGGCACTGAAATGTGACAGCAGTCAAGTTCCAGTCCCCCATCCCCTTAAGCTAAGTAATCGTTTCAAAGCTGCCTGCCGTATGGACCCTAGACTGCGTGTTGCCACCAATGGCTATAAATAAACCTAACAATGCTGTACACTGGACATCATAACTCATTCCCTATAGTTTAACAATGTACAACCAATAACTAATCAATGTTATTTCTGTAAACCAGTGAGAATTCCTAACAAGCAACTTTCGTAGTCACCCGTTTCCTGATTAGTCCTTTTTTCTTTAAAACTGGAACCTCAACTTTGTTCTCCAGAGCACTTCCCAGTGTTTCCCAGGTTTCAGTCTTCAACCTTGGGACTATGTGTGTGCACCATCATGCCTGGCTAATATTTTTTTAGATTTTTTTATAGAGATAAGGTCTCACTGTGTTGCCCAGGCTGGTCTTGAACTCCTGGCCTCAAGAGATCCTCCCGCCTGGGCATCTTAAAGTGCTGAGATTACAGGTGTGAGCTACCGTGACTGGTGCCTAGTGCCCTTATATTGAACTTCCAATATTGGACTTTTATCAAGAATAAAAATAAATTTTTATATAAAAATAAATTTATAATTTATTAATATTTATAAGAATTTATAAGAATAAAAATAAATTTTTATTCTTGAGAAATGACTTAGTCTTAGATATTTCACTATAGAAGTAACAACAGACTAGGACATGTGCCTTGGATTTTTCCTGTGAAATTTTATATCTGTGGGACTCAAGTATTCTGTTCATTCATTCATAAGTGAATAAACAATTGGGCTGTCATTCTACTGGAGAAAAATCTCTAAGATACTTTTAAGCACTGTGCGCTCAACACTGCCCATGTACTTTGAAATTACTAACTCAATTCTCACAGTAACCCTCAAGCAGGTCATATTGTCATGAATATATTACAGATTAGGAAACTGAAGCCCAGTGATATTATTTTACTAAAGCATAGTGAATCAGAATTTTGTGCCTAAACCTTAATTCTATACTGCATCATTTTTTTAGACTGAGAGCTACTCGAGGGCAGAGAGGGAATTTTGTTATTGTTGTTTGTTTGTTTCCATCCCTGAATCCTAGCTCTCGCAAAATTCCTGACACTTATTGGGTGCTCAGTAAATATTTGTTGAATGATTGAATGGAGGAGTCAGTGAGCCAATTTCTTCAAGAGCTTGGCTGTCTTTGGTGTAAGGCCTACATCTTGTCACTTCAGTAGGATCACCAACCACAGAGGTGTCCCTGTTGTAAAGGAATCTAGCAGGCTTACCAGGAAGTGTACCTCATTCTCTGGTTATTGGACTGTTCTTTTTCTTGGGACCTTTTCACCAAAATCTAGGATAAGATCTGGTTCCAGGGGCAAGGTCTTGACAGATTGTCCTGACACTCTGGTGGAGCAGTGTTTGGCTCTGTGTTCCCACCCAATTCTCATCTTGTAATGCCCATAATTCCCACGTGTTGTGGGAGGGACCTGGTGGGAGGTAATTAAACCAGGGGGTGGGTCTTTCCCTTTCTGTTCTCGTGATAGTAAATGGATCTCACAAGACCAGATGGTTTTAAAAGTGGGAGTTTCTCCGCACAAGCTTTTCTCTTTGCCTGCTGACATCCACGTAAGACATGACTTGCTCTTCCTTGCCTTCTGCCATGATTGTGAGGCCTCCACAGCCACGTGGAGCTGTAAGTCCAGTTAAACCTCTTTCTTTTGGACATTGCCCAGTCTCAGGTATGTCTTTATCAGCAGCATGAAAACAGAATAATACAAGCAGAGAAAAGCTTTGGATGATAAAGCAGGGAAATCAGCAATATCTTCTTTGCAGTTTGTCATAGGCCAGGCTGGCTGGTTATGATGTGTCCTTCCTCAACCCAACATCACAGTCACTGTGTTTCTTAGAAACAGAGGACCCAGGGGGTATGAAGGACATGTGTACAATGTGCTGTGATTGTCACAGTCCACTGACAGGGAGGACAACTGGGAAATCACGATGTGACAGCTCTAAGTAAAGTCAAGTTCATTTCACTCAAAGTGGATGAAAGAGTTTAAAGAGTTGTGGTGTGTGTCTGTTTATGCAAATCATTGTTCCAAATAGACTTATTTCTTTGGCTGCTGGAACTATAGCAAGATGAGCTATGCTTCCTGAAAAAACAGGTGTGACATTTTGTGTATACAAGTAGAAAAAATAAATCTTAAAGAGAGTGTGTGTGCTTTTTTTTTATTCCAGTAACAGCAAAATAGTCCTCCTACTTCTTTTATGCTGGATAAATTCTAGGGACATTTGCCTAGAAAGCAATTTAGTTCTTTTTATTTTCATTTTAACTTATATAATTTCTTATTTTTTTATGATATGTAACCAATATTGTGACTAGAATTCCACCATACTTTGCATTTATTTTTCTTCAGAAAAGTTTCTACATTGCAACTTTATGAAAGGTAAACCAAGCTGCCAAGTTTACCAGCACGACTACAAGTCTCAGTTCCTTCCTTTCATTGTCCTGTTCCCTTATCCCTTTTTCCTTACCCCTTTCCCCTCCTCTCTTCCCTTCCTTCCTTTCTTTTTTACCCTCCCTTCTTTCCTTCTCTCCTTGGTTCATTTCTTCCCTCCTTCCTTCTTTATTTCCATCAGCATGTATTTATTGAGTACCTTCCATATACCAGGCACCTTGAGGACTAATTGGCACATTACATGTAAAACCCTTAGAAGAGTATTTGACATGTAGAAAGTACTCAGTATGAGCTATTAGGTTGGTGCAAAAGTAATTGCAGTTTTTGCCATTTAAAAGTAATGGCAAAAACCGCAATTAGTTTTGCACCCAATAACTATTCCTTTTTTTTTTTTTTTTTTTTTTTTGAGACAGAATTTCACTCTTGTTGCCCAGGCTGGAGTATAATGGTGCAATCTCGGCTCACTGGAACCTCCACTTTCTGGGTTCAAGTGATTCTCCTGCCTCAGCCTCCCAAGTAGCTGGGATTAAAGGCATGCACGACCACGCCTGGCTAATTTTGTATTTTTAGTAGATATGGGGTTTCTCCATGTTGGTTAGGCTGGTCTTGAACTCCTGATATCAGGTTATCCACCTGCCTTGGTCTCCCGAAGTGCTGGGATTACAGGCGTGAGCCACCACACCCAGCCAACCATTCCTTTTTTTTTTTTTTTTGGCAAACAAAGCAATCCATAGATGGTTACCCTAAAAAGTGGGTACAATTACTGTCTCCATCTTACAGATAAAGAAATTCAGTCTGCTTTCTACCAACCTAGTGAAAAAGATCTGAAAAAATCAAACTTAACTGTATCGCTTGTGACAGAGAAGACTGGAGGAGGGCAGCATTACTTAAGTTGATCTACTGCATCCAACATAAGGGGTAACTTCTTTTTCCATCTGGAAGAGAAGTGGAATATAAAGAAAGCACTGGAAAATTCCAGTGCTTTCTTTATCCATATCTATAGGTATAAATTTGTATTGTTGGATATGAATTCTCCAAACATCAGACATTCTAGTAATCAAGTGGAAGTAGAAAAGCATGTCTCAAAATCGAAGATGAAATTAATTTTAAATGATTGTCTTAATTTATTTGTGCAAACTTCTGCCCATCTCCATTAGTTTAAGAAAGGCAAGAGGTGATGTTTTAGTTAGGACTTTACTGATTTGAATATACTCAGGAGAGAATAACTAGGATATCCTACTCCACCGTTGAGGGCTCAAGTATAGGAGTCTCAAGCAAATTGCTTACCCTCATTGTTTTTCAGTTTCCTCATCTATAAAATGGGTAACACTAAAGTGTTTAGTTGATTGAATTTTGCCAAGATTTAAAGGGATGGTGTGTAAAATGTTTGCCCATAGTAAGTGCTTGATACATCTCAGTTTGAGATGTGAAGGTTTTAAAACATGACAACAAATTATTATACATTCTTTTCAATTGAAAGATGGTGCCTGTTCCCCTTCCCTTGAATCTGGATGTGCTTCTGACCACTTTGACCAATAGAGTACAAGGGAAGAAACACTAAGTCATCTGCCAAACTAGTTCATAAAAATCCTTGCAGCTTCCACTTTGATTAACTCTGGTTCTTGGACCCCTGAGGCTCCATGTTAAAGTCTAACCACCCTGAGGCCGCCGTGCTGGAGAAGCCAATGTAGATGCCCCCTCCAACCCAGCCCCAGCCTTTCAGCCCTTCCTGCCAAGGCACCAGACACATCAGTGATGCTGTCTTGGACTCTCTGAACCATTTCATCCATCAGCTTAATATCCCTGAATGACTGACCACTGTCAATGCCACAAGGAACAGAAAAATCATCCAGCTGATCCCTGCTAGTATTTCTGACCCACAGAATCATGAGATATAGTCAAATATCTGTTTTAAATATGGGACTAATTTTAATACACTGACTGACTTGGGAAGTGAACAAGCACCTTTCACTACTGTGTTTAATAGGATGGGTCAGTAGTATGGACACATTACTCTTCCAGTAGAAGGTGACACTTTATTTAGGTAACAAACTAGTGTCTTAGTTATTTTGTGTTGCTATAAAGTAATACATGAGGCTGTGTAATTTATAAAGAAAAAATACTTATTTGGTTCATGATTCTGATGGCTGAAAAGTTCAGGGTTGGGCATCTACATCTGGTAAGGGCTTCAGGCCGCTTCCACTCATGGCAGAAGATGACGGGGAGCTAGCATGTGCAGTGACTACAAGGCAAGAGAGGAAGCAAGAGAGACAAGGCTTTTTTTAACAACCAGCTCTCTCTGGTATTAACAGAGTAAGAATTCACTCACCCCCAAGGTAAGGCACTCATCTATTTATGAGGGATCTGCTCCCATAACTCAAACACCACCCATTAGGCCCCACCTCCAACAATGGGAATCAAATTTTAAAAATGAGGTTTGGAGGGGAAAAAATCAAATCCACATAATAGCAGATGGATTCCATGGTATTTGAGCTTTGATTTAGCAGCCTAAGTCTTCTATTCAAATCCTAATATATAGGACAAATAAAAAAGGATCTTTTCTGGTTGAAGCAGGGGTCAATGACCATGAGGACCAACCTGAGGAGAACTGAGACAATCTAATCAATGACTTGTCTATGTAGACCTGGGAAAAGAGAAGTATTGGATTTTGTTTGATGTTGAAGGTGGAACACATGAACCCAGCTCATGAGATACTCCACAAATTAGGGTTGGAAAATCATTGAGCTAAAGACTCCCTTTGGCCCCCTCTGAGCCCATTGAGGCACGTCCTCAATGTGACCAGAACGACCCAGCCAGCACAGCCTCCCACCAGGTCAGCTGCTCTTGTATGGGCACCTGGAATAACATGCCCTCCCTCTTCCTTTTTGGTCTTCTGGCCTGTTTTCTTATTTGCCCCTCAGTTTAGCCTTCTCCTTTGCCTCCCAGCTCCATCCTGCCAGTGCCCCTGGGGGTGAAGGCAGCTGTTGTTTCTGGCCCCTACACAGCCTCAGTGGGAGGAGACCAAGCCTTCAGGTTCTTCTGCATAGAGTATCTCTAACACAAAATGAAATCTTGCTGCTATTGATAGTTTCTCATGTGTTACTTTTGAAGTAGAAATTTGCCATGTTTGGTACCCAGCATCTTTTCTCCTGGATCTCTTTGGAGGGCAAGTCCAGGTGCCAGTTTTCTGCTGGAGAAGCTCAAGTGACCCCTCCCTCCTATTTTCCTCCCACCCCTGGAAGAATGGCCAGTGTGAGAATACATGACCTTACTTTGCTCATATGGTGAGGTCATGTAAGTCTTCTCTTTAGGGAACACCTGTAGACAGAAAGATTAGTGGAGTCATCCCCATGGCATCCTGGCCAGACTGTTTTACCTGGTTGATATGCCTCTTGATTCTACCTTCTTGGCACTCCATGGCACCCCCTGTTTTTGCCTATTGCAAGCTTTGGTGCAGCTACAGCAAATTTTTAAGACCAACTACAAAGTTTTAGAGGGCACTTTCTCCATACAACACTTCCCTCACTTCTGACACCAACTGCAGTTTCAGGGGTTTTGAAAAGCCACCCTCAGTTTCATCAGTTCACTAGATGAACTCACAGAACTTCCTGGAAGTTGTTACAGAAACAGCTACAGTTTATTAAAGAAAAAGGATGTAGATTAAATCAGCCAAATGAAGAGATATATGGGATAGAGTCCACATTACTCTCCTAGCACCAATGTTTGATCACATGTATGGAGCACTGCCAACCAAGAGAGCTCACCTGAGTTTCATTGTCCAGACTTTTTACTGGGGTTTCATCACATAGGTATAATTGATTGACTGATTGATAGTCCATGTAGTTAATCTCAATCTCTTGGTTGATTGATATCATGTGATCCAAAGCCCTCACCCCCCACACTAAGTTACATGATTGGTCTTTCTGGCATGGAAAATCCCCAACCTAAGACTACATGAGTCTGCTTAGCACCTGCCCTAGATCACATTGTTGGACTAACCACTGTGACCCAATGTCCCCAGATAAATAAAGACACTAGAGATTGCCTCCTAGAAACTGATGACAAAGGCCAGTCTTTCTCTTTGGTCAAGGACAAATTCTTTGCTACAAACCTACTCAGATTTCCATAATTCATGTGAGCTCCCCAGTATTCTTCTAATCCTTTTGATTCTGTTGCCAGGGTCATTTTCATTGCTAACAACAAAGAATGCTAAGTGATAAAACATTGATGTCCTATGATGCTAAAAAGTAGCACCCCCATTGTGAGAAGAGAAGAACCAAAGGGTGAAGGAAATGGAGAGTTCAATCCTTTCCCTCTTACCATGTGGTGTCTCATCCATTACACACATTTCCACACAATGAAGACCCTATTAATCCGAGAAGGGTGGTGTTCAGAGTTTTTACTTAGTTTATTTGCTTCAAGTCCGAGGTTTTTGTCATTTTCTGGTACTTCGTAGCAGACAAGTGGTAGCAGGTGCTAAAGGCCTAAAGAAATTATAACAGAAAAAAACTAAGAAACATATCCACTAATTTAATTTTCTCTGAGAAGTGAGTAAACAATAGCTTTATTCAGTTTTAGTGTTAGAACACCTGGGTCCAGCTCATAGAAAACGTGGTATCCACAAGATTATTATTTCAGAACCATTAAGTTCAACTAATTATGAATAGGGATGTGAGTACATGAAATCCACAAAAATTAAAACCATATCTCTGAACACATTAATCCTTTTTAATATAATCAACCAAGATAAACTTGAAATGAGGCCCCTGGGGAAATTGCCAGTAACTGCCAATTTTGCTAATGATAATGAGTTTATTTTAATTGCTAATATATTCCTAATTACTCTAGTTTTAAAATGTTTACTTCACTGTCAGTCGTCTTCTTTGATTTGAGTTTTTTGTGAGAAGACTTTGTCATATCAGTCAACCCTTCTCACGTTGGCTGGCATCTGCTAAAAATGATCTCACCTTTTTCTGTCACACAGCTCTGTTAGGCACCATTTGTCCAAAAGCAGAGAGAGGTCTTAGCCAGAATCTTCTACAGTTCACACTTGCCCCTTCCAGCTTAGAGAGAATCGTATTTTCAAGGCTTTCATTGCCTTAATGAAGAAGACTGACAATATTTATTCTGAGCTCTACTTTTAATCTAATTTTCCACCTGCGCTGTATCTCACCTACTTGAATATGTGTGTGTGTCCAAATAATTGTGTTTCAAGAACATGGTGTAGTTAGTGTAAAGATTTCTAATTTGGGTGGGCATAAGGGTCCCATTAATCCAATGACCCTTTTTTTTCCCCAGCAAATAGTATTGAGTCCCTGGGGGCTGGGAATAAAGTGGTAGCCAAGATTGAAAAGATTTTGATCATCCTGAAATTTCTATACTCATTCAGAGTGAACATACAATGAACGAGTCAACAAATAAATACCACAAGAAAAGACTGAAGATGATGATATGGGCTATGAAAGAAAAGTGGAGTGATGATAGAACGAGAGTGAAGAGCTTATTTGGGTAGTCAAAGAAGGTCATCAAATGTCATCTCTGAACGGATGACAATTGGAGTGAGACCTGAGAAGGAGAAGGAAACAGTTATGTGAAGAACAAAGGAAGACTTTTCCCAGAGAGAGAAAAATGCAAAAAATTATTAGACTGGGAGAGCCTGGTTTGCTCAAAGAACAGAAAAAGGAGCCCAACATGGTGAGGCAGGGGAGCAGGGAGGAATGGAAGGGTTGGTCAGGAAGCAAATAATCATGTTTGTAAGGAGACAAGGTGTCATTCCAAATGGGATGGGACATCTTTACATGGTTTAGAGATGATTTGTTCTCATTCACATCTTTAAAATATTGTTTTACTACACAATGCAGTATTTCCACAATACTGGATTGTGGAGTGCAGTATTCCAACACTACTGCATTGCGGAAACTGGATTATGCTATGGTGGTGGGTATGAGTGGAAAGGCTGGGAGGAGTGAGAGCAAGAAAGAAGCTTCTGCAGCAGACACCCAGGTAGATCATGAGTCAGCCGGACTAGGAGGATAGCAGTGGTGATAGAGGGAAGTGGGGATGTTTAGGACAGTTTTGAGAGAAGAGACCCTGGAACTTACTTTGAGAAAAGAGGAGGAATCAATGAAGCCTCCTACTTTCTTGCTGACTGTGTTTCCTGAAATGAAGATTGAAGGGGAAGAATGGAGAAGGAATGGATTTGAAGGTGTGTAAATAAAGATTTGGAGCATGTTAAGTTTTTGATGCCTGCCTCTGTCCTCCCACTGGCTCCTGTATTGCTACTATTATATGTAGCATTGATCACATTTGGCTTATTAACTATCCCATCACTAGTCTGTCTCTGCTGAACTGTGAACTTCATGATGACAGAAAACTTTGCTTTTTCCATTTTCACTTCCCCAGCACCATGCACAGTGCCTCACCCATAGAAGACACTCAATGAACCAGGAAACATTTGCTGAATGAATAATTAAATAAAAGAATACATGAAGGAGTCTACTCCCAGTTGTAGTCTAACTGTTGCAAAGCAGATATCAAGAAGGGAAAGCTAATAAAAATTACAAAGGATGATATACTGACAATATATTTAGATTTTGGCTATATATATTTACAGTTATTTCCATTTAGTGCCTGCTTACATGAGTGATCAAATATCAGAATGGAAATGATTCATTCAACATATAATTTCCAAACAGCCACTTTGTGCCAGGCACTCTTCTAAGCACTTGGGGGCATCAATGTATAACACAGAAAAAGATCTCTGCCCTTTGAAAGCTTACATTCTAGCAGAATAATGAAGTCATAATTATCCTGCTCTCCAGAGAGTCTTTTTTCTTATACCTTGATGATGCCAGGTGACTCTGCCTTCCCAGAGCAAGGGTTGCCTCATCTCATCGCTTCAGACAGACAGCTGTAACAGGTTCCGTCATCAGAAGGCGGACCCACACCTTCGTTGAGTTCTCACCAGGTGCTGCAAGCTTCCTGTGCATTCTCCTGTTTAATCCTCACCCATCGTGTGGTTGGCATTGTTGTTTCTGTTTTGCAAATGAGGAAATGGAAGTTTAAGGGATAAGTGACTTGCCCAAGGTAAGAGCTCAGGGCCTGAACTCAAATCTGCCTGACTCCAAAGCTCATGCTTTCAATCACTAAATTATGCTGCTTTTGGCTTTGATATTGACCTGCATTAACTGTATGGTAATTTACCACAGAGCCCATTACACAGCAACTGTGAAGCAGTCCCCCAGGAACTGCATGGTTTTCTTAGCTTTCTTGAGAGTATTTAAGCTAGATACAAATCATATAGGACATTAAATTACCGCTAAGTTAGGATACTAAGTTACTTCATGTAAACAATGAAGCAATATAAAAATTTAACATCCTGATATCTACTCCATTACCACTCATATTTGTAATTCTTTTTTTCTAATTCTTAATATCATGCAAATAATAAAGTTTTGGTTCAAATCTGGTTCAAATGCTGCGATAACAGCATTAATACATAGAGCCCTCATGACCTGATCACCTCATAAATGTCCCGGCTCTCAACACCGTTGCATTGAGGATTAAGTTTCCAACACAGCCACTTTGGGAGACACATTCAAACCACAGCAATTTCTCTTTCACACTTTAGATATTACCCAACCCAGTAATCTAGACATCTGGTTCCCTGTGGGGAATATTTTACACTCAGTATTGAGGACATATCTTGGCTCTGCCTACCTGGCATCCATTCTGTCTTCTGGTAACAGAACCCTGAATTTTCACGAAGGAGCTTTCCCTCTACTCTCCATGAGGGTTTGTATGGCTGACCCCACTCCAGGCTGCAGAAAAATACCCTCTCTAAGGCCTGGCCAATAACAATTCTGCCTTTCTTTAATGACAGTATTTGGTTCACGGGTGAACACATGACCCAAGCTGGGACAACAACTCAAATAATGACAACCAATGAGGGTCAAACCTGAGACTATTGCTAGAACTCTTAGGGACACTTATTTTCTCCTGAGGTTGTTGGCAGCTCTCTGACCACTGAAGTAGAGAAGCCTGCATGAGAATAAAGCCAACATATGGGAGAGAAGAACAAAAAGGTGGAGAGAGATCCCTGAGGACATGGTGTGCACATCTGGATCAAGCTGTACCTGAAAGTCACTCTTGGACTTTTTGTATATATGAGATCTTAATGTTCCTTCCCTTAAATTAGTTTGAGTTGGATGTCACTAACTTGCAACTGACAGATCCCTTATTAATATACTCAGAATCACTTACGTTAAAAATACCGTTTAAAAGACTGGTGGATATTTATTCTAATTCATGTAAGGAAACTAAGAGTGTTTTGCCAGTTTCCTTAGGAGTTTAATTCAAGATAATTTAAAATAGCATTGCCTGTTTTTTCTAGAAGATTTTGAATCTGTCTCAGAAATTGTTCTTTATTTTCTGTTGTATAGGCTACTAGGAGGTATTTGTGCCTGGGTGATGTGATTAGAGAGGAAAGATGGCACATGTCACAAAATCTACAGTTACTCCTTGTTCTCCAACTGATGAGTTGTAGAGCAAGTCCTTGAGTAGCCTCTTTTGTAAAATGGGATGATAATAAAACTTATTTTTAGGAGCTGGTTGGACATTAGAGTATTTCTATTGACGGGTTTTAGAAGCTATGAAGTACTTACGAATGTCAGCTGCCCTTATTTGTACTTGAAATCATAGAGATGGGGGGAACTAGAGTTTTGGTGCCCAAACCTGATTATCAGAATCATCTGGGGTTTTGCTTTCTTTGTTTATTGACTTTAACCAATTTAAATTGATATATGCTTATTATATCATGTCAAAAATACAAAGATACACAAGGAAAAAGTTAATAATATCACCTCAGCAATTCAGTGTCATTCCCTGAAATGAAATGAACTGTATTGTTTCTTGTGTATCTTCCACACTCTTTTTATTGTTTTTATTACAATAGGAATATACTATATACATTAATTTAAAATTTGCTTCTTTAAAAAATTAAAATATACTATGACCATTCTCTGTGACAAGAAATAGTGATTTGACTCATATACATATATGTGTGTGTGTATGTACGTGTGTGTGTGTGTGTGTGTGTATGTGTATATATATACAGAGAGAGAGACAGTGTCTCACTCTGCCACCCAGGCTGAAGTGCAGTGGCACAGTCATGGTTCACTATAGCCTTATTCAAGCAATCCTTTGCCTCAGCCTCCCAAGTAGCTGGGACTATAGGCTCGCACCATTGCATCCTGTGAATATTTTTTTTCCTTTTTGTAGAGATGGAGTCTCACTGTGTTGACCAGTCTGTTTTCAAATTCCTGGCCTAAAGTGATCTTTCTGCTTCAGCCTCCCAAAGGGCTGGGATTACAGGCATGAACCACACACTTGACTCATATTTTTAAAAACTGCTTAATATGCATTAGTTTGAGTTATGTTACCTGCATTATTTTTAATTAAATTTTAATTTTTAGATTTTCAGTTTGAGATTTTTAGAAAAATTGCAAAGATAGTGCAGAGAGGTCCCATTATATAGGTATCCTGTTTCCTCTGTTATTAAAATCTTACATTGGTGATATGGTTTGACTCTATGTCCCCATGCAAATCTCATCTTGATTTGTAATCCCCACATGTCGAGGAAGGGAGTTGATTGGATCATGGGGCAGTTTCCCCCATGCTGTTCTCGTGATACTGAGTTCTCATGAGATCTGATGGTTTTATAAGTGTTTGGAAGTTCTTCACTCTTCTCTCTCCTGCTGCCTTGTGAAGAAAGTGTCTGCTTCCCCTTCCACCACGATTGTAAGTTTCCTGAGGTCTCCCTACCCTTGCCGAACAGTGAGTCAATTAAACTTCCTTTGTTTATAAATTACCCAGTCTCAGGAAGTATCTTTATAGCAGTGTAAAAATGGACTGATACAATTAGCATACTATATTTGTTACAATCAAATAATCAATGTTGATACATTATTATGAAATAAACTCCACATTTTATTTAGATTTCCTTAGCCATTACCTAATGTCAGTTTTGTATTTCAGGATCCAACCCAGGTTACCACATTTCATTTAGTCCATCTCCTTAGGCTCCTCTTCGCCATGACAGTTTCTCAGGCTCCTCTTGTTTTTGATCATTTATTTGCCAGTTTTACAAAGTACTGGTTAAGTATTTTGTAGAATGTCCTTCAGTTGGGATTGACTGCTGTGTTTCTTGTGATTAAACTGGTTAATGGGTTTCTGAGAGGAAGACTGCAGAGATAAAGTGCCATTTTCATAACATCACGGGTATTGGCCACATGATGTGTCACTGCTTACGTTGGCCTTGATCACCTGGCTAAAGTAGTATTTGTCAGATTTCTTCTCTGTAAAGTAACTCTTTCCACCTCCCTCCTCCCTGCCTCTTTTCCATTCTATATTCTTTGGAAGAAAGTCACTATGTGTAGCCCACACTTAAGGAGTGGGAAGTTGTGCTGCACTCCTCAGTGTGTAGTATCTGTAGATTATTTGAACTTCTTCTCCATAGGAGAAGAGTTTATTCTTCTCCATTAACTTAGTTATTTCATTACTTATTTATATCAGTATAGACTCATGGATATTTACTTTATACTTTGGGTTAGAATCCACTATTATTTTAATTTATTGTTCAAATTAGTTCATCTTTGACCATTAGAAACTCTTTCAGTTGGTTTCTAGGTCATTTTGACCTATACCTGTCATTATGAGTTTGGTTATTTGTTTTGTTTTGATCACTTCCTTAATTTCTGGCACTACAAGACAGCCCAGGCTCATCTTGTATGTTTCATATCTCCAGTCCTAGAATCAGTTATTCTCCAAGGATCCTTGGTTTCTTTCATTGGAGAATGGTATTGGAAACCAAGATGGGTTCTCACACTGCTAAAAAGACATACCTGAGACTCGGCAATTTATACAGAAAAAAGTTTCACTGATTCACAGTTCTGCATGGCTGGGGAGGCCTCAGGAAACTTACAATCATGGTAGAAGGGGAAGCAGGCACAGTCTTACATGGCAGCAGGTGAGAGAGAGACTTTTTTTTAAATAAACTACCATTTATGAAACCATCAGATCTGGTGAGAATTCACTCATTATCATGAGAACAGCATGGGGGAAACCACCCCCATCATCCAGTCACTTCCCACCAGGTCTCTCCCTAAACACCTGGGGATTACAATTCAAGGTGAGATTTGGGTGGGGACACAAGCCTAACCAGAGGAAGGCCCATGTGGCTGGAGGATTATGAACAAGGGGGATGAGTGGTTTTAGATGAGACTACAGAGCAGACCACGTGGGAGATGCAGCCGCCTCGCCTATGATCCATATCAAAATGTTTGGAGATCATTTTTTGGAACATGGAGAAACAAACCCATGGTCTAAGTAGAAGAGTGATGTAATATAATTTACTTTGAAAGAGACTCTTCTGGCTGCTATATGAAAAAGAGAGTAGTAGGGGGCTGGGTGAGAAAGTAAGAGTAGAAGTAGGGAGACCAGTTTGGAGGCTAATGATACTGTTTTACGGAAGTAGTGACAGAGAAAATAGTGACAAGTAGTGACTGTTGTATAAACTGGGGTGGGGGGTAGAGAGCCAACAGGGCTTCCTGATTATTTGATTGGAGGTTAAGGTAAAGAGAGAACTCAAGGATGACCACCCAAGTCATGGAAATGAACTAATTTCCTTTTAAAAAACAATTTGTATCATAAATATGCCTAACTCTCCCAGGGACGTTAGTCATTCAATTCCCCTGCTGGGCTTGAGTTTCCTCATCAATAAAAGAGGAGGTTGGATCAGATCATTTTAGAGTGTCCATCAGCCTGATGAGCTTCCAAGCTGGCCAACCTGCAGAACTGCATGCAGCCAGGCACAGCTCTTAAATTGTTAGCACTGAGAGATTTTGATCCAGGAGTAAGGAGTCAGTGGTGAAGACAAATGCACGCAGAACAAGTGGTATTTCTGACATGTAGGTATTGATATAGCCTAGTCATTAGGCAGCCAAAATCCAGCTCTGACCCAGTGCCTTGTGAAGGTGCTCAAACCCTTGAACCACTTCTTCACCCTGTGCAGGTCTTCTATCTCCAACCTGACCCTCTCCCAATTCCCAGCTACCTATGTTCCCAGGTCCATTCGCAACCTCCACCTTGCCAAGGGCAAGCATTACTCATTCCTGACTTTCCTTTCCTCCCTGTTTCCCTGAGGGGAGGAAAGTGTCCATTTGAACCAATCGTGTATGATGGCAGAAGGAATAGAAACATGCTAAGCTGATTACAACACATGAGCTTATTATAGCTCAGAACCAAAAAAGCATTCCTGATTTCTTCTCATCTACAAATGCATGTATCTATAAGGAGCAGCTTCCATCAATGGAAAATGGACACATCAACAACTCTAGGACAGAACCACATCACAACCTGGTGACTCCAAGTCCATCATGCTGGTGAGTGAGCCAGGTGGGGACGAAGAATGCAGGTGGCTGCAGCAGCAGGCTGGAAGTGCCCTCCCTCTGATGACTGCAGAACCAGGAAGGAGAATGAAGGGCAATGGAGAAGGGGACCCAGGGACAGAGAGAAAGCAAGACATGGGAGATGAAAAAAAGCCACAGATTCAGAGTGAGCATATGCACACAGGAACAAAAGACAACGGAAAAATGGAGGGAGAAAGCATTTCACTACTATTGTTTCATTCTTTCCATATGGACAGATGCCATTGCTTTATTCAACAAATATAGAATACATACATGTGTATGTGCATATTTATGTATATCCACAATACGAATGTATGTAAGTATATAAAAACATGTTTTATGTAAATGTAATGTATGTGAGTGTGTGTGTGTGTGTGTGTGTGCGTGTGTATATTACATAGTTATACTAGGTACTGGGCACTGTTCTTGGTGTTGGAGATACAGCAGTAAGACAACTAGAACAAAAAAGAGTGCCTGCCCTCAAGAAGCTTATATTAATACAGGAAGATATAGCCAACTAATAAACAGGTAATTTCATGGCATGTCAGGTACTACTAAGTGCTATTGGGGTGGGGGAAAGCAAGCAGAGGAAGGAGATGTGATTGCTGGGAGGGTTGCTTCCTTATTTAGGAGAAGGTGACATTTGAGAATGGACAGTATGGATGTCTTGGGAGACAGTTGCAGACAGGGGAGCAGCAAATGGCAATGCCTGATGAGGAGAGTGCTCAAACATGCCCAGGGAAGGGCATGGTGACCCACCTGCTTAAGTGAGTATTGGATGAGGACAGAGATGGAGCTGGAGCCACAGCATGTGGAGACTTGAAGGCTTTGAGAACTTTGGCTTTTCCTTGAGGGACATGGGAGCAATTGGAAGATTTGAGCAAAGGAATGTTATACTCTGATTTTTATTATAACGGGATCACTGTGGCTACTATGTTGACAGTATGCTCTAGGAGCAAAGATCAGAAGCAATGACATCAGCTGAAGAGGCAATTGCAGTAAATTAAACAAGAGGGGATAATAACCTTGAAGTTGGTAAGCAGGGGTAAGCTATATTTTCAAGGTGGACCCAACTGAAGGATCCTGTGCATCAGATGTGGATATGGAAATTAATATAGAAAAGAAATTAGAGTGGATATAGGTTGTAAGAGAAAGAAAGGAATTGTTGTGGACTCAGTTGTGTCCTCCCACCCAAATTTGTACAGAGTTAATGAAATTAAGGTAAGATCATCAGTGTGGGCCTAATCCAATATGACTGGTGTCCTCATAAGAAGGGGAAAAATTGGACACAGACACAGACACATAAGGGATGTGAAGATGCAGGGAGAAGATGGCCATCCACAAGCCAAGAGGGGAGGCCTCAGAAGAAACCAACCCTGCCAACACCTTGATCTCAGACTTCTAGCCTCCGTAACTGTGAGAAAATACAGCTTTGTTGTTTAAGCCACTCAGTTTATAATACTTTGTTACAGCAACCCTAGCAAACTAATACAGGGCAAAGATGAATCCTAAATTTTTAATTTGTAAAATTGAATGATGCCACTGCCATTAACTAAGATAGTGAAGACAGTAGAGGGACAGATTTGGAGGAAGTGGGAACTACAAACTCTATTTTGGACATGTCAAGTTTGAGATATGTCTTAGCCATCCAGATGGAAATTTTGAGAATTAACTTTGGCATATGCATGAGAAACAGAGGTCCAGGCTGGAGATCTAGTTGGAGGAGTCATGGTTTACAGAGGTGTTTACAATCGTGAGTATGGATGGCACCACTCTAGAAGTGAGTTTAGGCAGAGAAGAGGTCTGGCATACTCCAAAATTTAAATGCTGAAAACATGTGGAAGAATTACCAAAAGAGATATAAAATGAGTTTGGTAAATTGAGAAGCCAAGTGGGAAAAGTGCTTTAAGAAGGAGGGAGTCATTACTTCAAATACTGCTAGGTCAAGTCAACATGTGGACTAAGAACTGACCATTGGATTTAACAACATTGAAGGTTGTTGACGTCTTTAACATGGGCTACTTGCATGGACGGTAGGAGTCAAATCCTAATTGGGGTGGGTTTGAGAAAGACTTGAAAGAGAAGAAATGGAGACAAATAAGCACAGAACTCAAATCTACCAAGGAATTTTGCTGCTACTGTAAGCAGAGGAATGGAGGAGGGGAATTGTTCTAAGCAACGAAGAATCAAAAGAGGTCTTATTTAAGACAGGTATTATTACAACACGCTGGCATGCTGCTGCTGTAGGAGGGAGGGGACAATTCCTGGAGCAATTTTTATAAGTAGATAAGAGAGGGTGGGCTGCAATGCATGAGTGGTAAATTGGCCTTAGACAGCAGCAAGAACTTTCCTTCTATAGAAACAGGAAGGAAGGCAGAGTAGGAACAGATGCCCGTAGGTGGGATATATGAGGTGGCAATAGCTAGCTGTATCTTCATAATTGTTTCTATTTTCTCAGTAAAATAGAAACGAAGGACATCATCTAAGAATGAGACTGGGCGAGGAGGTACTGAAGCTTTGAGGAGAGAGGATAAGTATGAAATAATCACCCGGGGAATGGGAGAGTGAATTAATAGGACTTAGTAAGATGATTGCGAGGCACCACCAAACACACCATGAGGCTGTGGTTATGAATTCAAAGAAAGGCCCGGATGTGTGTTTTTTTCACAAGGCATGTTTAGCATGTGGGTGAAGCTGAATAATAGTTAGAGTATTCGATTCAACCAGAATTAGAGTTTAACCCGGAAAGTACAATGAATGAAGAGAGATACAAGGGAATGATTTTATTGACAGCACATGGAATCTAAGCTGAATAAGAACACAAAGGAATATATGATTGAGGATAAGTGAAAAGGTGTCAGGACCAGTGGAATTTGATCCCAGTCATTGAAAAATTATTGGGAGAAAGAATGAGCTGGAAAGATGGTGATGGTTAAAAGTGGAATGTTCGATATTGATGGCATGGGGGAGGTGCAGTTATGGGAATGACAAGGTCCAGGCTTGACTGTGAGTGCATATGCCTAACTTGGGGTTAGGATACAAAGTTATAAGCAGGAAAGAAGCAGAGAAAGTGGGTTGCCAGGAAAAATGCACATGAAAAGATAATCAACATCATTATCCATCAGGGAAATACAAATCAAAACCACAATAATATACTACTTCACATCCACTCAGAGTTGGCTAGAATAGAAAAGATAGATATTATGAAGCATTGGAGAGGATGTGGAGAAACTGGAACAATCACACGCTGTGGCTGAGAATACATAATAGTACACTCACTTTGAAAAGCAGTTGGCATTTTTTTTTAAGTTAAGCACAAATTGACCATATGACCCAGCAATTTCATTCCTAGGTATCTCATAAAGTCATGTATGTGAATTTCATAGCAGCATTTTTCATAACCAAAGGGTAGAAACAGCCAAAATGTCCATCAATTGGTGAATGGATAAACAAATGTGATATATTTACACAGTAGAATACTATTCTACTATAAAAAGTAATGAAGTAGAGATTCATGTTGCAGCATGGGTATGCCTTGAAAACATTATGCCACATGAAATCAGTGACAAGATTGGGTAAAGAAAATGTGGTGCATATACACCATGGAATACTATGCAGCCATAAAAAAGAATGAGATCATGTATTTTGCAAGAACTTGAATGGAGCTGGAGGCCATTATTCTTAGCAAATGAATGCAGAAACAGAACACCAAATAACACATGTTCTCACTGATAAGTGGGAACTAAATGATGAGAACGCATGGACCCAATGAGGGGAACAGCAGACACTGAGGCCACTTGAGGGTAGAGGGTGGGAGGAGGGAGAGGAGCAGAAAAAATAACTGTTGGGTACTAGGCTTAGTACCTGGACACAAAATAATCTGTACAACAAAGCCCCATGACATGACATGAGTTTACCTATGTAACAAACCTGCACATGTACCCCTGAGCCTAAAATAAAAGTTAAAAAAGTTAAAAACACAAAGACCGCATATTGCATGATTCCATTTACATGAAATGTCCAGAATAGGCAATTTTATAGACTGTTAGTAGATTAGTGGTTAGTAGCCTGGGGCTGAAGGATGGGAATGACAAGTGACTGCAAATGGCAGAGGGATCTTTTTGGGGGTGATATAAGTTTTCTAAAGTTGGACTGCAGTGATGCCTGCATAACTGTAAAACTAAAAATCATTAAATTGTATACTTGAAACAACTGAATGTTACCTTGTATAAATCATAACTCAATAAAGCAGTTTTTAAAAAATATCCAAAATAATCCCAGCACTTTGGGAGGCCGAGGTGGGCAGATCACTTGAGGTCAGGAGTTTGAGACCAGCCTAGCCAAGATGGCAAAACCCCATCTCTACTAAAATTACAAAAATTAGCTGGGTGTGGTGGCATGCACCTGTAATCCCCGCTGCTTGGGAGGCTGAGGAAGGAGAATCACTTGAACTTGGGAGGAAGAGGTTGCAGTGAGCTGAGATTTTGCCACTGCACCCCAGCCTGGGAGACAGAGCGAGACCCCATCTCAAAAAGAAAAAAAAAAAATCCAAAAATAAAAATAAAGAAACTGATGGGCCAGAGTATGAGAGGAGACATCAATGTGTATGTGGAGCTCACCAAGAATGACTGGAATCGTACTAGAGAGATTGACAATGAGAGAGATGCTAAAGTCTTCAAGAAATGAGGAGTTAGTATTTGCACGTAGAAGCAGCAGCAGATAGTGCAGTCTGGTGTCATGAGCTTCAAAACTGGAGGTTTTAGGGGAGAAGAGGGGATAATCATCCAGTAGGTGCAATGAGAAGCAAGGAGGACCTCAATCTTACTTCTAGGGCCAGTGATACAATAAGAATGGGACAGAAAATATTAATAAAATGTATGTATTTATAACTTGTCTTTAATTATCACAACACCCCTGTGAGATAGGCAGGGAAGCACAAGTGGAAAACATCCTGGACTTGGAGGCAGACCTCACCTTGACTCCTCCAGTGGTTGACAATTGACCTCAAGCAAGTGACTCACCCTCTTGGACCCTCACCTGTAAAATGGGAACTATAATTCCTATCAACCTCGCAGCACAACATAAGGCAGAGTGTTCTGAGCATGAGACTAGAGTAAGTATGCACAAACCTATCCCACACTTCGTAATAGACCATGGAAAGCTCTTATCCTCATATACTCTTCATTTGTGCTAACGAGAAACCTGAATTTCAGAGAGGTTAGATGATTTTCCCAAAACCACACAGCACTACAAGAGAACATAGATCTTCTGACCCCTCCCAGCCAGCTGCCACCCCTTGCAAAGCTGCTTCTCAGGGGCAACTCTCTTCCAGGGTTTCTATGCTGACTCTGAAACATAAATAATAGACAAGCATTCAGTTCCCTTTGGTACTGTGAAATCATCACACCAGAGAATTTCTAAAGCTAAATTACAATGTGCCTGGTATAAAGAGGGCATCTTGAATAATCTGGGCACAGTCAATATTTCCACCACATGCCATGCCACCTGAAGCTCTCTTTCTCTGCACCAGACACAATATATTCCTTGCCAGTTCACTAATGGGTCATATCCAGCCATCCACTCCTTAAGCAATTACTTATTTCTGGAGCTTCTGTTCTGGTGAAAAAAATAGGGCAGAACAGAGAGGAACCAAGAACCAAACCAAACCAACAAAAATCACACACCACAAATGAATAAGAATGATAATTTCTGACTGGGCACGATGGTGCACACCTGTAATCCCAGCACTTGGGAGGCCGAGGCGGGCTGATCACCTGAAGTCAGGAGTTCAAGGCCAGCCTGGTGAACATGGCGAACGCTGTTTCTACTTAAAATATATATATGTATACATATATATATATATATATACACACACACACACACAAAAAAAATTAGCCGGGCGCCATGGCAGATGCCTGTAATCTCAGCTATTTGGGAAGCTGAGGCAGAAGAATTGCTTGAGTCCAGGAGGCAGAAGTTACAGTGAGCTGAGATCACACCACTGCACTCCAGCCTGGGCAACAGAGTGAAACTCCGTCTCAAAAAGAAAAAAAAAAAAGAATGATAATTTCTGATAATGAGATAGTTGTGTGACCAGGGGTGGCGTGCCTGAATAGGGAGAACATCCCTAAGATGCTAGGGACATCTTCTCTGTGGGGGAGGTATTTGCATGATGAGAGGAAGTTGGCCCTGAGAAGTTCAGAAAGAAGAATGTTTCTGCCTGAGTGTCCTACAAGTGCCAAAGCCTTCAGGTAGAGCTGAGCTTGGTGATGTTATAAGAACAGAAAGGGGAGCAGTGCTAGGCGCTGTGATGTACTAAGCAAGAGGAAATGTAAGGTGGGATTGAGGGTAATTAACAAGGAAGCCAAGTGGCCTGATGTCAGCTTTAGAGAGATCACTGTAATTGCTGTGTGGAGACTGCAGCCTGGAAGAGTGAAAAGAGGGAAGGCCAGGTAGAAAACTTTCTCTGCCCTGGAATAAGTTGCTCCCTTTCCTTCAAATATCCTTTCCCATTTTCCTTACCTGCCAAACTCACTCACTCACTCTTTTTTTTTCAAGAGCACTTCACAACCATTTACAATAGCCCCAAAAGTGGTAATAACCCAAACATCCACCAGTGGATGAATGAATAAACAAAATGTGTTATATCCAAACAGTGGACTATTATTCAGCCATGGAAAGGAAAGAAGTGCTAATACATGCTAAGATGTGAGTCGGATAAACATACAAACATTATGTTAAGTGAAACAAACCAAATGCAATAGGTCACATATCATATGATTCCAGTTATATGAAATAGACAAAATAAATCCATAGACAGAAGACTAGTGGCTGCCAGGGGCCAGGGAAGGGCAGAATGGAGAGTGACTGCTTAATGAGCACAGGATTTTCTCTTCAGGTTACAAAAATGTCTTGGAACTTGATAGATTGTGTTCTGGAACCACAGTGTTGTGGTTCACAACACTGCAACTGTACTAAATGACGCTGAATTGTATACCTTGAAGTGGTAAATGTTATGCCATATGAATTTCACCTCAATTAAACTTCTTAAAGGCAAAAAGAGCATATTAGATATATATTATTTTCTTTTTTGTAGCAAGCAAGATAAATGTGTTCTGACTAACTTAAAAGGAGAGATTGTTGGGAAAGGCAGTGAGGTTCCTCAGAGACTCCTTGACAGACCCAGTCAACCAGGTTTTGGGAGAAGCCAGCAGGAATGAGTGCAGCCCTCAATCCCCTGGACTTGGTCATGGCCTTCCTCTCATCACCAGCTGGCTCTGGGAGAAAAAGAGTCTGATTGAGAGCTGGGTGCAGCAGTTCATGTTAATGAATAACATGTGTAATCCCAACGTTTTGGGAGGCTGAAGTGGTACCATTACTTGTGGCCAGGAGTTGAAGACCAGCCTGGGGAAAAAAGTAAGACCCCCACCTCTACAAAAAAAAAAAAAAATTAGCCAGATGCAGTGGTGTATACCTGTAGTCCCAGCTACTTGGGAGGCTGAGGCAGGAGGATTGCTTGAGCCCAAGGGTTCTAGGCTGCAATGAACTGTGATTGTGCCTCTGCACTTGCACTCCAGCCTAGGTGACAGAGGGAGATCCTGTCTGTAAAAAAAGAAATAGAAACAGAATCTGATTGCCCAAGCTTGTGTCTTATACATCCATCGTCCCCAAGGTTTGGGGTCTGGGTTTGAGATCAGTAGCCTTACCAAAATGTATGGACTGAGGAGGAGTGATTGCCCAAAGAAAAGGGTGTTATAGGAATCAGAATAGAAAACGAAGTGATAGAGTGTCTTCCTCATTTTTATGCTGCCATGACAGAATACCACATACTTGATAATTTAAAATGAACAGAAATTTATCGGCTCACAGTTCTGAAATGTGAGAAGTTCAAGATCGAGGGGTTGGTATCTTGCAAGAACTTTCTTGCTGTGGTATCCATGGGGGAAGATGGAAGGGCAAGAATGAACAAGAGGGGGCTTGCTCTTTTATAATGGCACCAACCTTGTCTATGAAGAGGGAGCCCTCATGGCCTAATCACCTTTTTTAAGGGTCCCACCTCTTAGCACTGTTACAATGGCAATTACATTTTAACATGAGTTTTGGAGGGGATAAACATTCAAAACATAGCACTGGGATACAGAACAGGACAACAAATGTTCACTACAAATACCACCCGGCTCATATATTCTTTCAATAGCAGCAGTCTGATCAACAGTTACTGAGTGCCTCCCCAGAGGCACTGGGAATAGAGTAATGACCACAGAGGAAATGATCTTTTCCCTCCTGGAGCTTGTAGTCATGAGGAAAGATGGACACTGGACTTAGACCAGTGTGCTGAGCACTGTGCAGTGAAGTACAGAGGATGCCTGGGAAGCTTTTCTGTCTGCCTTTCTGTTATTCAGGCAGAGGTGGGAAGGGCTACCTGGAGTTGTCTACATCTTGACTGTGAGCTCCTGAGCTGCATGGACCCCAGAACTAACAAAGGCCTGAGAGTTGAAACAAAAAATAAGGGAGGAAGAAAAGGAAGGTGGGAAGACACACCGAATGCACTAGATTTTAGTTTATGTCCTGCTTCCCTTTGGATAAAGTGTCTTTAAAACTAACTTATTGTGTGGCCATCTTGCCCCCAGGTTGGGGATGGGAAGTGGGATGACACTGGTGCAGTGTGACAGCTGATGGCACTTCCCTTACAATAAATCATAGCAGGGGGTTGAGCCTGTCATCTGGTAGAGCCCTCTGCTTCCACCAGAGCAATGGCCACATGATTGACCCCAGATGGTGGCAGCTCCTAGGCCCAAAGTCCCCCTCTCTAGGTGGCCTGCTTTCATATCTCATCAACCTTGCAGCCAAGATAATTTTCTTGGATAAACATCAAGATGTTGGCCTTGGCTATTCTTGAGTTGAGGGATGATGTGTAATTTCTTCTCTTTTGCTTATTTGAATTCTTTCCTTCCTATTTAAATAAAATGATGGTGAGTCACTTTCAAAATAAAGAAAATTGAATTAAAGAAGTTATTTTTAAAGCCAATCTTTTCTCATGCCACTATATAAGCTTACTTTCTCTTATTTGGTCTTCTCTATGACAATAAAGCCATACGATCACTCCACACTGCAGCAAGCACTTCAGAGACGGCCACAAGTCATGAAATTAGGTCTGTTTTATAAATGAGCAAAGTGAGGGTCAATGAAGTTGACTAATAGGTCCAATATCACAAAGCTAGAAATGGTGGAACTGCCAGAGTCTGTGTCTGTGTCTAAGTCTACATATATGTCTATCTGACCTCAAAATCTGTATTTTTGCCTTTATACCATTCTAACTTGTGTTAAATATTGGAAGAAGTATTTATTCAGCTAGATTAACACGGCCGCAGCTAAGCCTCAGCCCACAGTTAGTCTCTCCTTTCTATCATCTCACCTAATAACTGAAAAATTTCCGTTGTCCCAGAGGTCATAAATACTACTACTACTGTCACCACTACTATTATTATACAATAATAATGATAATAATAATAATTGCAGCTCCCACTTCAGAAAAGCTTATGATCTAGCACTGTTTTAAGTGTTAAGCATTTTGCCTGCATGAACTTGTTTAATCTCATAAAAGTTAGACGAATTAGGTAATATTTTAGTCTCATTTTAAAGACTGGGAAATTAAAGCTTAGAAACGTGAAATCGCTTGTCCAAAGTGAAAGCAGTTAAGTAGCTGGATCACAGTCTAGTCCCAGGTCTCCTCTGACTCCAGAGCTGAAGTATCATGCTATACTGCGATGCTACTCTTCGAAGGACACAGCAAGAGAGGAAACAAGGAAGATTAGGAAGGCGGAAGGCTCTAGAATGTGTTTCTTGACCTTTTCTTTTACTGAAAAAGAGAAAAGAAAATGAGAATAAAATGGAACTGCCGGCAGTGAATTTCAGCTGTCTCCCCCACAGCAGATCCCTTGCAGCCTGAAGATGAGCTTCACCCACACAAAGGTATGTTGTTTCAATTTGGCCTGGGCTGGAGGAGGGACTACCTTCCCTCTCTACAATGCAAATGCAAAATTTCATTTTGCATTGAAAGTACAAGTCCTGATTCACCAGCCTTTGTTTTACCCTTTGCATCTTATTTTCTTTTTTAAAAAGTTTCCTTTAAGGCTACAAAAGGATAAGAAAATTTTTGCAAAATGTTTCCAGCTTTTAGCATCCACCTGCTAAATTGCCCTCCACTCCCAAGTTACCCTGTCTGGCTCTCTAGCAGGTGTAGCTTGCAGCTGTAGCAGATTTTACCCTGCATGGGACAGATGGAGGGGATACAGCCTGCACAGTAGGGTAGATTTTTTTTTTGAAATACATGATCAGATCTTCATCAAAGCCTGGTAGGCAAATGTGGCATTGATGCAAAGTATGCCAAGTTGGCAGGTGTCTGTGTCTGCTGCATTGTGTTTGCAGTAGTGGGATTCCTTTTGGGGGTGGTGGTTGGCCTCTCCTGCGGCACAAGCAGATCATTTTGCATCTGAGTTGTTTTGAAGTAACTACCGTAGATACCTGCTTGGAGGAGCATTGCAGTGAGGGTGTTGGGGAGGGGGTGGAGGTGAGTGGCACAGGCGCCTTAGAGACCTGCAGTGTATGACTCAGGGTGAGCAATACATCCTCCTTGAAGTTTGCCTTCCTCACTTTTAAATGAGAGTGGGTGGCAGAGCTGCTAAAGCTCGTCAAAGTACACGGATCGTGTACTTCCCTGCTTTCTCCACCACCTTGCATAAGTGGGTCATATGACCAATCCTATAAACGAAGGGACACTTCCCAGTCAGAGAAAATTAAGACAGAATACGCCAGGCAAGCTTGGAGGCCATACAGCATGGTTACAAGATGAAGGACGGCTGGCTGATCCCATCAGAGATGATGTGGGTTTACATACTGTGGAAGCTGACCAAACCAAGGGTAGTCCTCAGCAGGATGGTGGCGATGATTACAGACAAAGAAGATAAATCACCTGGCATATAGTAGATGCGCCAAAACAAAACAGCAACTCTTTTTATGAGCTCTGTAGCTACATCAGCCTCTATGAACAGAGGCTCTAAAGCAGACCGGACAATGTTAGATAATTCCTCTCTTTATATTGCATCTCATTCATGCCAATTCTCCAAGAAACTAGATTTGAGAACCCTGAGATACAAGAAAAAAGGTGAAGGTCATCATTGTCTTTGAAAGATGACTCTTTTCATTTAATGTTTCACCTCATGGAAAACTTTCTCCTGAGTTAGCATTTCTGGCGAGAATGACTCACACAGCCTTTGATCACCAAGGCACCATGCCCCTCTCATGTGACCTTCTCAGCGGCAATCAGTAGTAGGGGAAGTAAGGGCTGTGGGTCAGATAGGCTTGGCTTTGAAATCTAGATCTCCCACTTACTTATCATCTTCGGAAACCCTTAGGAAAGTTATTCAACCTGTCTAACGTTATTAAATGTATAAAATGGCAATAATCATATCTGCTATATTAGACAGGGTTGTCCAGAGATACAGAAACAATAGGATATATGATATATTATAAACATATATATTACATATGTCACATATATTATACATAATCACATATATTATATGTCCCATTGGTTATGTGATGAATTATAAATATACATTTTTTGTATATTATATGTAATACATGTATATCTATATTACACATCCTATTGGTTCCGTTTCTCTGGAGAACCTTAACTAATACAGTATATATACACTATATATATATGGAAAGAGAGAGAGAGATTTTAAGTAATTGGCTTACACAGTCGTAGTGAGCTGACAAGTCCAGAATCCATACGGCAAGATGGCAGTCTGGAAATTCAGGTGAGAGATAATGTTACTGTCTTGACTCTACAGGCTGGAAACTCAGGCAGAATGTTTATATTGCAATTTGGAGGCAGACTTCCTTCTTTAGTAAACATCCATCTTTGCTCTTAAGGCTTTCAATGTGTTGAATGAGGCCCACCCACATTATGGAGGATAATCTGCTTTATTTAATGTCAACTGATTGCAAACATTAATCACATCCACAAAATACCTTCACAGGAACATCTAGACCAGTTTTTGACCAAGCAACTTTTCATCATGATATATCCAAGTTGACACATAAAATTAACCATCACACCTGCCTAGCTAAAGTGGTTGTTATGAGATTTAATAGAACATGCAACGTGAACTTGTCAGGGGCAGGATCAGGCACAGAATAAAAGTTCCCCAGTGATCGTATTTCCTATTACTGTTAACTTATTGCCACTGTAATCATTTCTTTTATTTTCTTCTCCTCACTACCTGTTTCTGATACTTTGGTTCTCCCTTCATGTCTCATCCCTCTCTGCTCTCAAAAAGAGAAGACAATACCATAATTCCCATTAACCCAAAGGAAGAATTCATCTAAATTACCAGAGAATCTGACCTTGTAAATGTTTTCAAAGAAATGCATTTTTTGGCTCTAGAGTATATTTGACACTTGTAATTACATGCTTAGCTGGTTCCCAGTCTGCTATGACATCTGCTCCTTGAGAGTAGAATTGTATTTCCTTCACTTAAAAAATCCTTGGTTCCTAAGAAGTGCCAGGTAATTATCAGGTGATCAATTATAATAATGATTGATTGGATTGATTGAACTCATGGATGAATGAGCTAGAACAACTACAAACCATTTATACTTTTTAGAGCAGCAAAATAATATCTCTAGTAAAAGGCGTTAAAAGACCTGTAAGTCAAAACAGTGATGTTCAATTCAGAAGTATTGAATCTCTAAAATTTATTAGGCATACATTTTTGGTAACTGAGTATTATGTACTGAATGTTTTTGTCCCTATAAGATTCATATGTTGAAGCTCTAATCCCCAATGTTATGGTATTTGGAGGTGGGGACTTTGGAAAATGATCTGGTTATGATAATGGGTCCTCCATGAATGGGGTTTGTTCTCTTATAAAAAGAGGAGGAGACACTGGATCTTTCTTTCCAACATGTGAAGCTGAAACAAGAAGACAGCCATCTGCAAACCAGGAAGTGAGCCCTCACCAGACACCAAATCAGCTGGCACCTCAATCTTGAACTTTGCAGCCTTTAGAATTCTGAAAAAAAATACATGTTTGTTGGGTAAGACACTGAATCTACAGTATTTTCTTATAGCAGTCTGAGCTATGACAGTGGGTGAGTGGAAATCCTCTACAGTCCTTTAGCATCTTCCATCAGTATTGGCCCCATGGTCTTACCCTTCTTGTTTCATGCAATGCCCTGTTTCCCCTATTAGAGAGCAAGTTTGTTGAGGGCAGGCACCATATTTTAAAACATCTGTACCTGACTCAGTTCTTACAGGTAGTAGGCTCTCAAAAAATAAATGGTGGTTAAATTTTTAAAGTTGAGTTATTATCTATATATCTCCCATACTTTAATTTACTTTCTCAATCTTTTTAGCATCTTGATGAGGTACAAAGTATATAGAGTTTGGAAGTTGGAGGGTGTGCCTTTTGGGAAATTTTATATATTAAACATGGTTCCTTCATATATATAAATGCTGATTATACATAGCATCCTGGCCACCTTTAAAAGATATTAAGAAATAAACTTTTTGTTTTGAAAATTAGCAAATACAGGAAAAGACTCAAGCATTCATCTCTCCTTTCCTATAAAATCTGAACCACTGGGCAATCAGACGGTAGATGTTTCCTTGCACAGATATATTCCCAATAAAGAAGATGTGATCAAACTGGAATATCATCCTTTTCAATCTCTAATTAATTAGATATCTAACCACTGATCAGAAATGGCTGCTGACAACACAAAATGACATAATGTCACTCTTGACAAAGAATATGACACCACCTAGGAAGTAATTGTTCCCCACAAAATTCAAAACAAAAAACGATTAAGCCTCTGTAATCAACTTTCAGTTGGCAAGAAATACAGAAGACTAAGGAAGACATTAAACTTTACCACAGACATGCGATCAGCAAAATTCCAATGGAGTAAAGTCTACAAGACAAATGATGCAGTTTTCAAAGAAACAAATTTCAAAGGTCAGGGAGGAAGAACTTATGCATTCAAAGAGACCCAATAGGCATATTAAACAAACAAATAAAACCAGGCAGAGCTATACTATAGTATTTAGAAACGTAATTGGTAATAAAAACTATAAAGCAAGATGCAGAGGTGATTATCATAAACTCAGCCATAGTGGTTATTCTGAAGGTGAGGATGTTGGAAGGGGCAGCTGGAGGGCTCCTGATACAGCTAGCAAGATTTCGTCTCTTTTTATTCTTCGGTTCTTAAAAGGGCATGCTATGGTTTGAATGTGACCTGAAAATTTCATATGTTGGAAACTTAATCCCCAGTGCAACAGTGTTGAGACATGGGACCTTAAAGAGGGGATTAGGTCATGAGGGCTCAGCCCTCATGAATGAATTAATGTTATTATTGTGAGAATAGATTAGTTATCTCGGGAGTAGGTTCCTGATAGACAGATGAGTTTGGCCCCTTTCCTCCCTTTGGCCTTCTCTCATCTTCTCACCTTCAGCCATGAGATGATGCAGCAAGAAGGCTCTTGCCAGATGCCAGCACCTTGATACTGGGTTTCACAGCTGCCAGAACTGTGAGAAATATGTTTCTTTTTAAAAATAAAGTACACAGTCTGTGATATTCTGGTACAGCAACACAAAACAGACTAAAACAAGGCATTTGCCTTATAATAATTTTTACACTATTTTCTGTTTTTCTCGTATTTGAACAATACAAGTTTTTAAAAACAGCTGTTCTGCCTATTTCACAGAATGAATGGTGCCTACATAAACATGACATTTAATAAGTACAGGAACCTCGTCTGTATTCTTCACCGTCATACTCCCAGGGGCTAGACTGGCTCTTGGCACATGGTTGGACTAAATATATATTTACTGAATGTATTAATAAATGAAACTATAAAATCAAATATATACATGAAATCATATTATGATGATGACTATTAAATTCAGCAAAGTTACAAATTCCCAAGGAGTGCATTCCAGATCACTGAGAATCTTTTGTGTACAGCAGACGTGGTTCTTTATAACAATATTGCCCGCTGCTAGACTACAATAACAAATAGGACCTGAAGAGGATTGAGGCTGGCCATTGGCAGAGAGCTGACATCCAGTGATGTACAAGTCTTCCTGGCAGCACACACATCACTAGTCAGGTCCTGTGCACCTCTGTCACAGATGGATCTGCAGGATATTAAGGTTATACTCTCCACTCCAAGTAGTGGGGCTCAAGAGCAACCATCTGGCTGGAGCCCACTGCTAGGGGACATGTCCTAAAGTCATTTTGCACAGCAACACACTTTATACACTTGGAGGAGAATCAGTGGATGTTGTGTTCATTATCTATCACCATGTAATGACATTAGCACAAGCTTAGCAGCTTAGAACACACATTAATCTCAGTTTCTGCAGAGGTCTTTAACTGCGTCCTCTGCAAGGTTGTAAAGAAGGTGTTGTCCTGCACCGGCCTCTCATCTGAAGCTTTCACTGGGGAAGGCCTTAGCCATTGGGTCCTGGAAGATATCTGCATTCCAGAACTCTGGAACCTATGACTAGATTACCTTATGTGGCAAAAGGACTTTGTAAATGGGATGAAGTTAAGGATTTTAAAATGGAAAGATTATTCTGGATTATCTGGGTGGGCCCCATGTAATTACAAAAATTATTTAAAGAAGGAGGCAAGATGTCTAAAGTCAGAAAAGGAGATGTGACCACAGAAGCAGAGGCTAGAGTGAAGTGGTTTGAAGATGGAGGAGGGGGCCAGGGGCCAGGGAATGCAAGCAGTCTCTAGGTTTTACCCTTGTAAGGCTCATTTTGGACTGACCCCCAAAACTGTAAGATAATAAATTTGCATTGTTTTAAGCCACCAAATCTGTGGTAACTTGTTACTGTAGCCATAGTAAGCTTATACAGCCGGGGAGAAAATGTCCTTGTCAACAATGAAGCATTATATGCACGTAAACAGTTAGTACTATTTCAGTATCTTACTTTGAAAAACATTATCATTTAAATCAAATGACTCTGTAGAAAAATGTGTGTTACACATAGACAAAGGAAATGTAGAAATTCTCAATGGAAGTTCTCCTAATAGTGTATTAAATGAAAGGCTCCATATGCATTTAGTTCTCCATTAAATTCATTTTAAATCCCACTTCAAAGCATTCATGCACGTGGATTGTGGATCACTTTGTGATCACTTAACCTACTTGTAAAAATGGCAAAGGCATGGGACATATCCCAGACCTACTAAATTATTACACGAGGCTATTTCAAATACAACTGTGGTAAGCTTACTAATGGTCCCCCAAAATAGCCAGGTTCTAATCATAGGAACCCATCAATGTTACCTTATATGAAAATAGGGGCCTTGAAGGTGTCATTAAGTCAAAGATTTTATCTTGGATTATCAGAGTGGATCCTAAATGTAGTCTCAAGTGTCCTTTAAAGAGGGAGGTAGAGGGAGATTTTACTGCAGAAGAGGAGAAGGTGATGTAATGATGGAAGTAAGAAATCAGAGTGGTGTGCTTTGGAGGTGGAGGAGGGGGCCACAAGCCAAGGAATACAGACAGCCACTGGAAGCTAAAAAAGGCAAGGAAATAGATTTTTCCCTAAAGCCTCCAGAGGGAAAATAACTCTGCTGACCTTTATTTTAGACTTCTGAGCTCCAGAACTGTAAAACAATAACTTTGTGTTGCCGTAAGCCACTTGGTTTAGGGTAATTTGTTAAGGCAGCAATAGGGAAATAATACAGTCTTCAATGAATGATGTTCTGCCATGATTTCTCAAAAAAATATATATATACATATATATATACACACACACAAATATAAATTTGCTGATGACTTCACTTATTTATTAGTTTATTTTTTAACCAAAAATGTACTAAATGCAAATTATATATAAAGTTATATTTTGGCATTATCATTTCGAGCAAAGACAATTTTCTGCATGTATGAGTTTTTACTCAGAGAGTATCACATAGAACAAATTTGAATTACAGGCCATATTTGCTTTGTGAACACGCACCAAGTGTGGGGGGTGGAAAGGGAACATCTACAGCCCTTGAGTCAAGGCTCAAGGGTACAACTGCACCATTTTCATGCATTTGAAAGCGCATTGGTGTTTTGCCTATATTTTGCCCTCAAGGCATTTTTCTGTGTTATATCTTTAAGTGACATTAAAGTGAAAGGTAATTACGAGCCCCAAGAAGATTAAAAACTTGGTTTAGAACGTGGTTCAAAAGAATATAACTTTCAGAAAATGCTTCTTTCCTGTCCATTTTCATATTAACCATCATCTACGGTTACCACCTAATATCAAGTCACTCCACTGAGGTGAATGACAAACTTTTGCAGCATTATATTTTATGTACAAATTGCATTTATTGTTATTCAAGTTGTCAGGTTGGTATTAGTTAGACAAACTTGCTCTCATTATTCTATTAAAGCAATTCAGCAAGAGATAGGTGCATGTGGCAGACCCAGAAATCTGGTTACAAGCTCCTCACAGAATTTCCTAATGAAAATTCAAGCTCGAGAACCACTGCCTTAAAGAATCATAGGGGGACATTTATTCCAGGCGGTCTCTTTTCCATCACATTCCCCGTCCTTTTCCTTTCAACTGCCGGTGTTTGCAAAGGGAAGGCAAATTAATATTATTTTCATGAGCATATTATAATTTTGATGGAAAAACTGAGATCATTTTAAAATCACATAGTCAAACTAAAATGGCTTTTTCTCCATTACTCGCTTACTCCCTTCCAATAAAACACTTGATTCCAAGTAGACTGCAAGTTGGACAATTTCCAGATATTCAGATGGAGGACATTCATCGAAGGCATTCCTAAATGGTTGTCAAATTTTGACAAACCTAGATTGGAGAAATAAGAAAAGAAATGCATAATTCATCCCCATGCACAGGAAATGCAGTATCTAATCACTGCATACCCATTTGCGCATATATAAGCACACACCCACACCCATACCCACAACGGGCCTGAATTATCACAACTAGGAAGAGTGCAGCCTCAACTAAGGGTACTTTTCGTTTTTGCTTTTATCCCAGCAGTTCTTAGTGCTCTCCTTTTTGTCTGAAAGACTATAGAGGTTTTGACCCCTCAGCCCAGCGTGGTACTTAGTTAACTAATATTTCCTATGGTTTCCTCTTCCCACCTGCCCTTATGGCATTTTTCTGTATTATATCAGTATTTTAATTGCACTTTAAGTGAAAGGTAATCATGATCCTCAAGAAGATTAAAAACTTGGTAAAGAAAATGGCTCAAAAGAATACACCTTCCAGAAAATTGCTCTCTCCTGCCCCGTAGAACAGCCTGTAGGGTAACAGGTGGATTTTCCCCATATTTTTATTCCCTAAAGTTTATTCACTCATTCATTAAGTATACGAACATACATTCCTTCATTTAAGAGAGAACAGATGTGACCCATTTTGTTACTATGAAATCATAAGTGTGCAAAACGTGTACCGCTGATGCTAACACATCATTACTAACATGAGATACCTGTGCTGACCTTCATTTGCAAGGGACACTCAGGCCAGTGGTGGACAAGACAGATAGTCCCTATCTTCACAGGCTTTAAATTTAATCAGGAAAGCAGTTGACTAAGAATTTCATTATGTTATGAAAAGGGATATGATGTGAGCCGTGTGAGGTGCTAAAGAGGCACCTAATCTAATCTAACTTGCACAGTGCAGGATGGGTGTGTGTGTTGGGGGGAGGGTGCTGCATTAATATTTGTTGAACTGAATTCAGTTCCTTAGATTCTCATCATTGATTGTTAGAGGAGACTTATGAGTCATTCTTGATTCTCGATATTAATAACCATATCTTTGGTTTATTAGTTTCTCGGTATGTTTATATAAGAAGGAGAGGGTTGCAAAATCTTTAATATACACGCAGAGCTCTTGGCTTTCAAGGAAGTACTTCAAGAAATGATGCAGTAAATACATTAAATTTAATGAATATGTACAGAGTACATACTATTTTCAAGGCTTTGGTTGTAGATACAAAAATGAAGTCAATAGTCCTTGTTTTCACAGGTCTTAAATGCAAATGTGTGTGTATATGAGGCTGGTGGGCAGGAAACAGGAAAAAATGGAGTTGGGAACAAGAGAAGAACAAGTCAAAGTATGTACACAAATAATCAAAGAAAGGATCTCCTTCCATAAATGAGTCAGAAGATAAAAGTGTTTGTTCAGGATAGAAATATTGTCCTGATGTAATTTCTTTTGGGAGAGAACAAACAATGAGCTCAGAACAATGGGAAGTTCTGAGAAAACAGCAGGTGATATAACCCCTGCAGATCGGATATTGGCTCTTCCAGGAGGCCCTCCCTGAACATACTCCCCACTCCTCTTAGTCTGGGAAACTGACCTCCTTGTGCTCCCCCTGGCTCCTGTACTAACCTGATATTTGCACTTACCATATTAAAAGGCAACTTCACCTTGCCCCTTACAAGTCCTTTACTCTAATGAGATGATAAAATCTCAAAGCCAGCCACATGCTGGGGCATTCACACCCTGGTACCTAGTGACTGTGTCTAACCCATGGTAGACACTTCATTAACAGCAACTGAGCTAAACTTGGTACCCCATACCGTATAGAACATATTGTAAATTCTTAATAAAGATTTGGTAACTTAGGTGGTGCCACTTTAGAAATCAATAATTGTTTTAAACAAATGTCATTAACTCCTTTTTCTTTTTTCTTTTTTCTTTTTCTTTTTGTTTTTAAGACAAATTCTCTCTCTGTAGCCCAGGCTGAAGTGCAGTGGCATGGGCACAATCACAGCTCACTGCAGCCTCCACCTCCCAGGCTCAAGCAATTCCTCCATCTTAGTCTCCCCAGTAGCTGCAACTGCAGGTGCGCATCAGCACACCCAGCTAATTTTGTCTATTTTTCGTAGGTCTCACTATGTTGCTCAGGCTGGTCTAGAACTCCTGGACTCAAGGAAGTCTCCTGCCTCAGCTTCCCAAAGTGCTGAGATTACAGGTGTGAGCCACCACACCCAGCCTTGTCATTAATTTCAAGGGCTAAATTATAAGGATTTCTTGAGCTACCCAGAGATTCGATTTTCTAAATATCAGGTTGAATAAAACTTAGCTGTATGTGCACCCCCAGAAACCAGAAATACCCAGAAATTATGGGAAGCATCACTCAAAATGTCAGTAAGTCAATATTGGCTAGAATCCTAACCAAAATAAATTTTCACTAAACCCCATTGTGATTTCAGAATTAGCGCAGATTTTGTAAGAGTGCCATGGTGAATTACAGACCTCAGTCTCCAAGCCATGTGAGTTTGCCTCTGGCAGCCATATTGAAGTGAAGGTAATTAACACAGTCCATCGTGCAATAGGATGGTGCTATCCAGACTGTTTGAAATTCTATGGGCATCCCAACCAGACCCCAGTAACCCTTTGAAATATGCTGAACCATGGCAGTTAACACACAAGGGGATCATTAAATGAATAAGAGAAGGCACAGAAATCACAGTTTGTAACTGAGATCATTTCATGGGCAGTTTGCCAGCTATTTGGGAACGTCTAACACAAAGGTTTCTTCAGATGAGGTATTTATAAAGTGTAGTGCTATGAATCTACAAAATCACTTTAAAAATTATTTTAAATGACATCGCCTTTCAAATTATTTTCTAAGTCCTGTGCTTAACAATTATTTTGATGTAAAAATTTAGGAGGCAGGATGATAATACTATTAAATTTTAGCAGTAACAGAAAGTAGTCTTCAGGACGAATGATCAGGATGTTTCCTGTCATTGCCATCTACTATGCAGCAGAAACCATTCTCAGATATCAAATTATGATCACCTTGGTCCAGACAATAATGATGACACAGGCAACACTTACCGAGCACAGGCAGTGGTTTTGAAATAGCTGGCAAGGCTGAGAAACAATGATTTCACATCTTGAGTGAAACAGAGAAAATATTTTAAAATCATTTTAAAGTGACCAAAATTGGAATGAAATACAGGCATCATTGCAGTAATCTGGGAAACAGTTACTTACAAGCTACAGTTATCATCAATGAGCATGTGAAGACACTGGCTAATATTTCTCCCATAAACCATCTGAAACAACAAGATTGCTCTGATTTAGCATACTAATTGTGCATTTCCAACCTGTGTGATTTTTTTAGACTTACTATAGAATTATGATTTCAAGGTTTACTATGAAACTACAGTAATAAAGACAGTGGTATTGGAAAATGGACAGACATACAGATCAATGAAAGAGAGTAGACAGCCCAGAAGTAGACTTATGCAGATAGAGTAAACTGATTTTAATTGAGGCGCAGAAGCATTCAAAGGAGAACATACCGTCTTTTCAACCAATGGTGTTGAAACAATTGGATATTTACATGCAAAAAAATGAACCTCCACATGTATAACATACCTTACACAAAATTTAACTCAAAATGGGTCATAGACCAAAAATGTAGATCGTAAAACTGTAAAACTTCTAGAAGAAAACATGGGGGAATATCAATATGACCTTGCATTTGGCAATGAGTTTTAAAATGCAATACCAAATGCACAATCCATGAAAGAAGAGAAAGGAATAATTGGACTTTATCAAAATGTAAAACTTCTGCACTGTGAAAGACACTGCTAAGAGAATGAAAAGACAAGGCGCAGTCTGTGAGAAAATATTTGCAAATTATGTATCTAATCAAGGACTTCTATCCATAATATATAAAGAACTCTCAAAATTCAATAATAAGAAAATAAGCAACCCACTTGAAAAAATGAGCAAAAGATCTGAACAGACACTTCACCAAAGAATATATACAAATGTCAATAAGTATAAAAACAGATGTTCAACATCATTCCTCATTACAGTAATGCAAATTAAAACAGCGAGATATCACTGCATACCTAGTAGAATGGCTAAAACCCAAACAACTGGCAATACAAAATGCTGGGAGGATGCAGAGCAACAGAAACTCTCATTCATTGCAGTTAAGAATGAAAAGAGTGCAGCAGGGCGCGGTGCTCATGCCTGTAATCCCAGCACTTTGGGAGGCCGAGGCGGGCGGATCACGAGGTCAGGAGATTGAGACCGTCCTGGCTAACACGGTGAAACCCTGTCTCCACTAAAAATGCAAAAAAAAAAATAGCCGGGCGTGGTGGCGGGCGCCTGTAGTCCCAGCTACTTGGAAGGCTGAGGCAGGAGAATGGCGTGAACCCGGGAGGCGGAGCTTGCAGTGAGCCGAGGTCACGCCACTGCACTCCAGCCTGGGCGACAGAGCAAGACTCCGTCTCAAAAAAAAAAAAAAAAAAAAAAAAAAGAATGAAAAGTGTGCAAACAGTTGGAAGATAGTTTGGCCCTTGCTTACAAAGTTAAACATAGACTTACCATATAACCCAACAGCTTCACTTGCTTACAAATTTAAACTTAGACTTACCATATAACCCAACAGTTGCACCCCTTGGTATTAATTCAACTGAGGTGAATTCTGTGTCTGTACAAAAATCTGCATATGATTCTTTGTAGAAGCTTTATTCAAAGTGGTCAAAAACTGGAAGCAACCAAGACACCCTTCAATAGGTGAATGTATAAACAAACTGTGGTACATCCATACAATGGAATATGATTCAGCAACAAAAAGGAATGAGCTAATTGTAGAATAGCACATTTGTTATTGCTGTGGGTTAGTATATTTTCTTAGAGGAGGTGAATAGTTTTCTGTATTAATCATATACAAGCAAAATATTCCGTGAGAGAAATAATTTGTTCTGACAAAACAAGAAATTAAGGGAAGACAGAAATGGTGGGAAAAACTGAAGTCCCATAAGCGATGGCAGCAGCAGCCCATCTGGAGTGGCTGCTGCAAAGACGCCAGCTGCAGCAGGGGAGGCCTGGCCAGGGTTGTGGGCTTCGCAGAGCCCGAGGGAGCCGAGAACAGGAGGGAGCCCGGAACTGGAGGGGGCCCCGCCCTCCCAGGTGCAGCTGCAGCCGCTCAGCCATGGCTCTGAACCCAGGCATCCCTGCACTCTTGGGGGCCTTGGAAGCCCCCCTGTGCCTGCAGGCTTGGAAGCGCCTGCTCCTGCCCCTGGCCTCTCCCTGCTCCTGTTGCCCGCTCTGATTTCGGAGCAAAGTTGTGGCTAGGCCCGGGTGCTATCGCAACCTAGCAGTGACCAGACCCCACATTTGTTTGCTCACACGCCCCTCACCACTCCACACCTTGCTTGTAAAGGCTCAATATATTTCTGAATCAGAGTCATGGCAGTGAAGAGATGGAGATCTAGATCACCCACACTGTATATTCCATAGCATATTTTGTCTGTAAAAAAGCTACTCAGACCAGTCAGACCTAACACCCCCTTTCAAAAACAAGCATTTCATTTAATAACAGTGATGCCTCTTTTTATCCTGTAATAAATTTCATAAGTAATATAACCCATCTACATAAGTAATCTAGAGATGATTTAAACTATATGGGAGGATATACATACGGTATATGCAAATACTACATCATCTTATATAAGGGGCTTTAGTATTCAAGGATTTTGGTATCTGAGGGAAGCTCTAGAATCAAACCCCCTTCGGTATTGAGGGACAACTGTATTCAATGCTTGTACTTTATAGTTATGAATAATTTATAACTTGAAAGATATAAATTATCCTCTCTCTCTCTGTCTCTCTGTCTTTCCCACCCCATCTCTAACTTTATTACTACATCTATCTCTATGGCACTTCACAACTGCACATTGTTCTGTGGTGTGAATTTATTTATTCAGTCCTCCATTTATGACATTTGGGTTGTTTCTATTTTTGCTATTACCAAAATGATGTGCAAGGGACCCAAAATAGCTAAAACAATCTTGAGGAAGGAAAACAAAGTTGGAAGGCTCATGCTTTTCCACTTCAAAACTTACTACACTATACGCAAAAGAATGAAGTTGAAGCATTACTTTATGCCATATACAAAGGTTAACTCAAAATGAATTAAAAACCTAAATGTAAGAGCTAAAACTATAAAACACAACAAAAGATGGGTGAGAAACTTCATGACATTGGATTTGGCAATGATTTATTGAATGTGACACCAAAAGCACAGACCACAAAAAAAGAAAAAAAGTAGAGAAGTTGGGCTACATCAAAATTTAAAACTTCTGCACATAAAGAATACATTCGACAGAGTGAAAAGGCAAACCACAGAATAGGAAAAACATTTGCAAATCACATATCTGAGAAGGGGTTAATATGCAGAATATATAAAGAATTATTTTAACTTAACAACAAAAAGCAAACAGCCTGGTTTAAAAAGTGTCAGAGTACTTGAATAGACATTTCTGTAAAACAGATACACAAACAAACATCCAATAAGTGCATGGAAAGATGGTCAACATCATTATCCATCAGGGAAATGCAAATCAAAACCACAGTGAGATATCACACCACACCCACCAGGATGGCTCTAGTCAAAAAGACAGACAATAACAAATGTTGAGGATGAGGAAAATTTGGATTCCTCATACATTGCTGGTGGGGGTGGGAGTGTAAGATGGTGCAGTCCTATTGGAAAACGTTTCAGCAGTTTCTAAAAATATTAAATATGGACTTACTATATGCCCAGAAACTCCATTCCTAGATATTTAACCAAGAAAAATGAAACTGTATGTCCATACAAAACTTGTGCACCAGTGTTCATAGCAACATTATTCATAATGGTCAAATGGGGAAAAACTCAAATGCCCATCAACTGACGAATGGATAAACAAAATGCAGTATATCTATGCAATGGAATATTATTCTTCCATAGAAAAGGATGAAGTACTGATACATGCTACAACATGGATGAACTCTGAAAACATTATGCTACATAAGTCATACCAGACACAGAAGTCCACATATTGTATAACTCTATAGGAAATGTCCAGAATAGACAAATTCACAGAGACAGAAAGTACATTAGTGGTTTTCAGGAGGTGGAAGAGGAAGGAAAGGAGAGTAACTGCTAATGGGTAGAGGGTTTCTTTTTTCAGTGATGCAATTGTTATAGAATTAGAGTGGTGATGGTTGCACAATTTTGTAAATATACTAAAACCACTAAAGGTGCACTTAAAAATAATTTTTAAAATCTGTTTAAAAATACAATGAATAGCATTTTTTAAAATGCAATGAATAGCATTTTACATATGTCATTTCACACAATAAATTATTTGAAAAGGCCTGGCCAGGTCAAAGGAGATATGTAACTTTAAACTTGGTCGACATTATGGAATCTCCCTACCTGGGGATTTTCTCTTTTTTTTTTTTTTTTTGAGACAGAGTCTCGCTCTGTTGCCCAGCCTGGAGTGCAGTGGCACAATCTCGGCTCACTGCAAGATCCACCTCCCGGGTTCACACCATTCTCCTGCCTCAGCCTCCCGAGTAGCTGGGACTACAGGTGCCCACCACCACGCCTGGCTAATTTTTTATATTTTTAGTAGAAACGGGGTTTCACCGTGTTAGCCAGGATGGCCTCCATCTCCTGACTTCGTGATCCATCTGCCGCAACCTCCCAAAGTGCTGGGACTACAGGCGTGAGCCACCGTGCCCAGCCCCCCTACCTGGGGATTTTAAGAATAAATTGTTAAAAATTTCACAGCAATGATGGAGCATGTCTGCTATTTCACAACCTTGTCAAAAAAGTGTGACCAAGCATTTGAATTTTTGCCAATATGATGGGTGATGATGTCACTGAGTAGATTTATTTCAAAAAAGAATAGTATTTTTATTGTTTTTATTTTCAAAATGTGAATCATTTGAAAGAGATTACGAATAAATACAAAAAGGAAAAGAAAATATCATCAGAAAAATCCCACCATATGGAAGAAGTTATTAATAAAATCTGGTGAATATCCTTTGGAAATCTCTTTATATGCATTTTAAAACTGTTATTCTAAAATGAGCTCTAACATAAATACAGCAAAGCCTATAAAGTGTACAACTTGATTTTGATTTTTTGTATAAACACCTGTAATTGCTACCCAGATCAAGATATAGAATATTTCCCGCGCCCTTTAAGGTTCCTTGGTTGTCCTTTTCAGTATATACCCTCGGAATTAATCACTATTCTTACATCTATAATAATTGATTTGTCTTGCCTTTTCTTGAATTTTATATACACAGGTTGAGCATCTCTAAATAAAAAATTCAAAATCTGAAATGCCCCAAGTTTGAAACTTTTTGAGTGTCTACATGATGCCACAAGTGGAAACTTCCACACCTGACTTCATGCCACAGGTGCAGAAAATTCCCTAAAATATTGTGTAAAGTTACCTTTAGGCTGTGTGTATATGAAACATAAAGGAATTTTGTTTAGATTTGATTCTCATCCTCAAGATGTCTCATCATGTATATGCAAATTTTCCCAAATGTACAAAAAGTCCAAAATCCAAAATACTTCTGGTTCCAAGCATTCTGTATGAGGCATACTCAACCTGTATGTGCAAACATATCAACTTTCCTGTCTGTCACCTATCACTTACTATGAGAAACATCCATGCTCTTGCCCACGTCTATACAGTTTTAGTCAATTTTTAATTCAAATAAACATTATTAGAATAATTTTAGATATGCAGAGAAATCAGAAAATTAGGACAGAGGGTTCTCATGTGGTCTCCAGTCAGCTTCCTCTATTATTATTACTGTGGTATGTTTGTCACAATGAAGGAACATGGTAATGTACCAACACTGGTACATTACTATGATCTCAACTCTACACTTCATTTGGATTTTTCCTTTTTCTATTCCAGGATCCCATCCAGGTCACCACATATGTTTAGTCATTGCGTCTGCTAGGCTCCTCTGGGCTCTGAGAGTTTGTCACTTTCCCTGGTTTTGATGACCTTGACAGTTTTGGAAAGTCCTGCTCAGATAATGTGTTGAATGTCCCTTAATTTTTTTTTTCTGCTATTTTTCTTTTGGCAGACTGGGATGTGGAAGACCACAGAGGTAAAGTGCCATTCTCACCACGTCGTATCAAGGGGACATGCAATCAGTGTAACTTATCTCTGTTGATGCTGACTTGTTCACTTGCAGCAGTGTTTGTCCTGTTTCTCCACTGAAGAGTTACCTTTCTTACCCCCTTCCTTACTCTACTCCCTGGAAGAAGTTTCTAAATGCAGCCCTCCCTTAAAGGATTAAGAGTTAAGCTCCGCCTCTTAAGGGAGGAGTATCCACAAACATTAACCTAAGAAACATACCATTTACAGTCCTGTGAAAGAAAAGAAAGGGCTCTGCGATCAACTTGGAGGTGCGGAAAACACGAAGTGAAATAAAGCTAGACGTGTTCCTTCACCACATTATTTCACTGATTATTATACTAATGCACATCATGGTCTTCCAGTTTGGGATATAGAATGCAGAATTTTGCAAATTTATTTTTAACCACAGAAGCACCCCCTCCGACACACACACACTCCACTTTTGTTCTTGTGGTCCCATTGTGATCTAAAAATGTTTTGCAAACCTCATAATTATCTGGGAAGCTTATTTTAAATTACCAATTCTCAGTAAATCTTAATTAGAATCTCAAGAGATGGGATCTAGGACTTTGTATTTAAAAAAGCACCTCCTCCAAGTGATGCTGCTGTATTTGACCCTCAAAATGTGGGACTCGAGAGCAGGCAGCCCTTGCTGGCCAGAGTTCAAGAACCATAAAGACCCCTGGACTGTTGTATTCACCTTTGTTTCATTGATTCAATAAATATTGAAGAACCCCTGGCACTGAGGATACTGAAGTGAGGGAGACGCACAATGTGTCTGCTGTCAGGCAGCTCACATTCTTCTAGGGAGAGGCAGATCCCATTAAAACTTCAACAGCTAATCATGTCACAGGTCAGGGGGTAATAAGTGCTCAAAAGAAAAGTAAAGCAAGGTGCATGCGACAAAGAGTGGCATGCTATTTATAAAGGATTTTCAGGGAAGATCTCTCTGATGATGTGACATTTGAACGGATTTTGTAAAGAAGTAAGGTCACAGGTAATGAGGCTATCTGGAGGATTCTAAGAGGCAGAGTGAAAAGCAAGTGCAAAGGCCCTGAGACAGGAGTGGGCCTAGCACCAAGGAACCTGATCACTGCCCTGGAGACTTGAATAGGGAAAGGAAAACAAGGCAGAGGAAGAACATACAGGTCAGAGGGTAGAGAACAAACATACCTATAAGAAGGCATGAAGAGACAATTTATGTGGGGATATACAAATACAATGGGAAGGGTGGAGTCTCTGCAGGGACCCTAAATCGCACAGTGGGAACTTCAAGTGGCTTTAAACTCCAGCTATACTTAGAGTATATCTGTTAACAGGAGCCACTTCTCTTTGGAGAAAAAGCAATCCACTGTAAAATACAATTTTAAGCAACGTACACTGGGTTTTGTATGCTTTCTAGGTGGTTTTCTTTTTCTTTTTTTTTTGTCTTTTTTTTTTTTTGGCAGAGCTTTGCTCTTGTTGCCAAGGCTGGAGTGCAATGGCGGGATCTCAGCTCACTGCAACCTCTGCCTCCCGGGTTCAAGCAATTCTCCTGCCTCAGCCTCCTGAGTAGCTGGCATTACAGGCATGAGCCACCACGCCTGGCTAATTTCATACTTTTAATTTTCACCATGTTGGTCAGGCTGGTCTCGAACTGCTGACCTCAGGTGATCCTTCCACCTTGGCCTCCCAAAGTTCTCGGATTACAGGCATGAGCCACCGTGCCTGGCCCACTTTCTAGGTTTTGTATGCTTTGTGAGAGGATAGAGGTGGGCAATGAGAGATAAAGGGAAACTTATCATGGACAGACACATGAACGAATCTCAACCACAGAGCTACCTAAAATGTTTTGTGGAATAAGGCAAGGAAATCATCAATCAGCTATAGTTTCACTAATTATGAAATACCGCTGCATGAAAATAAAACGTGAATTACCTTGCACATGCAGAAATGATTAAGCACACAGCAAGCAGGATTGCCTGAAAGAAGACCTCTTGCAACAACCTGGTTTCTAATAGGAAGAACAAAAACAAATAAATTAGAAATCATTGCTGATTCAATCATCTTGGAAGAAAAAATCATCTCAAACTTCCCTTGTACCCACCAAAAAAAAAAAAAAGTTTTGGAATGTATGTCAGTTCAAGCAATGTGTCATAAATAACAAGATAAAATTACCTACTGTTATACAGGGCTGTCATTAGAAAATTTCTGCAAATAATTACTTTCTTCAATCACTATAAAATAAAAGACTATGCTATTTTCACAGTTTAGGGCTTGCCTTTTGATTTAATGTTGGGGAAAGGCTTTGTAGAGTTTATGATAATGTAAGAAATCTAATTCTGTCATTGTGATAATAATAATGTCTAAAATCTGTAAAGTGCCTTATAATTCACAAAGAGCTTGTATACGTTAGTTCACTTAAACAGCACAACAACGCTGTGAGGTGGATGCCATTATCTTAGTTCTGCAAAGAGAAGAAAAAGACTAAGAGAAATGATGAACTTGTCCAAGGTCACATAGCTATGAGGTGTCACAGCCAAGATTTAAAAACCACATCTAGACAGAACATAACATTTTGTCTGAAGTGGGCAGGGAAAGACAATTGCAACTTTGCATAATGGAAGTCTCTAAAGACAAAAAATGAGAACATATATTATGAAATATTTGTCTTTGAAAACTCTTTGCAATCAGTACAATATTTCAGTACTGCCAAGCCACAGTAGAAACTACAAATTATCCAGCAATTATAAGCATAAGAGTTAATTCAATCATGAACCTCAGTATTATTCTAATCACCTTAAATAAATTAAAGCTGATTTGAGGATTACCACATAAAAAACCTAAAGGAGAATATAAACAGACCTCAACTTAATTTTTGCCAAATGCTTCAAAAGCTCAATTTTGCAACAGTTGTTTAAAACTTGGAATGACTTTATGTTATGAATGCATTTATTTTTGCTATTTATGCCATGAATGAGGATTGAGTCAGCTAACAAAACCTACTTAGCCCATAATGCGGGTGGAATGCTGAAGATTGGCAATTCAAAATATCACAGTAGTAAATTATGTCACTGCAAATGTACAGTTGTTCATGTACATTGTGAATTCAGTTATTGTGGGTTCAACTGAATACTCAACCATCCTTCTAAAGTGTGTTTCTATTCTTAGCCTCCCCTGATTTCATGTGGAATTTGGAAAACATTTCCTCAGAAACAAATCTAGCTTGAAAAACTGCAAAGATCACTAGACTTGGATACTGAAGGATGAATGGGTTTAGATTTGAGATCTACAAAGATATGAGTTGTGTGATTTGGGATGAATTATTCATGGATTCCTTCCTTAAGTTGCCATTTGCTGAATACCTTTTTCAGCTCAGCTCAGGTGTAACCTCCTTTAGGAAGCCTACCTTGATTCTACTGGCTCCTCCTTGGCCCTTAGCTGCTCCCTCCCTGTGCTCCCATTATACCTTGTTCATATCTCTGCTAACTCTCTTTTCACATGGAATTAAAAATTCTATAATATTTCTCAATATTCCCCCACTAAACTGCAAGCTCATTGAGAAAATAGCATTGATTTCCTGTTCTCTGGGGACAGTGCTCATATTTTCCTTGAGGAATCACCTCTCCCCCTCTCTTGGTACACAGTTTAGGTGAAGTGACTGATTTTTTCTGACTTTCCTCCTAGCATTTGATTCCTTTCAAGCTTTTCGGAGTTTCACATATATCAGGGGAACCCACCCCCAACATTTCAACGTAGGTTCTCCCTATTTTCCCTAAGTGTCAGCCAGTCTGAGAAATAAACAGAAAGAGTACAAAGAGAGGAATTTTACAGCTGGGCTGCCGGGGGTGACATCACATACTGGTAGGACTGTGATGCCCACCTGAGCCGTAAAACCAGCAAGTTTTATTGAGGATTTTAAAAGGGGAGGGGGTGCAAGAACAGCAAGTAGGTCACAAAGATCACATGCTTCAAAGGGCAAAAAGGAGAACAAAGATCACATGCTTCTGAGGAAACAGGGACAGGGCAAAATCAGAAACTCCCAATAAGGGACTATGTTCAGCGGTGCACATACTGTCTTGATAAACATCTTAACAGAAAACAGAGTTCGAGAGCAGAGAACCGGTCTGACCTCAAATTTACCAGGGCTGGGGTTTCCCAATCCTAGTAAGCCTGAGGGTACTGCAGGAGACCAGGGCATATCTCAGTCCTTATCTCAACGGCATAGGACAGACACTCCCAGAGCAGCCGTTTATAGACCTCCCTCCAGGAATGCAATTCTTTTCCTAGGGTCTTAATATTAATATTCCTTGCTAGGAAAAGAATTTAGCGATGTCTCTCCTACTTGCACATCCATTTATAGGCTCTCTGCAAGAAGAAATATATAGCTGTTTTTGCCCGACCCCGCAGGCAGTCAGACTTTATGGTTGTCTTCCCTTGTTCCCTAAAATCGCTGTTATTCTGTTGGTTTTCAAGGTGCACTGATTTCATATTGTTCAAACACACATGTTTTACAATCAATTTGTACAGTTAACGCAATCATCACAGTGCTCCTGAGGTGACGTACAGCCTCAGCTTATGAAGATGACAGGATTAAGAGATTAAAATAAAGAGAGGCATAACAAATTATGAAAGCATTATTAGAGAAGTGATAAATGTCCATGAACTCTTCACAACTTATGTTCCTCTGCCGCAGCTCCAGCTAGTCCCTCCATTCAGGGTCCCTGACTTTCTGCAGCACACATACTTATCAACAAAGTTTTGTTCATGTGAAACATGCCCTTCCAAAACCAATAAAACTCAATTACTGGCCTCTTGTCATTAGCCTAGACAGATGTAATCTCTTTCTGCAGAACTGGAAACTGGAAAGGTGTAGGCACAGAGCCACCAGGATCCACCATGTATGGAGGGCCTTTTTTTCTTTTCTTTTCTTTTCTTTTTTTTCTTTTTTTTTTTTAACAGGGTCTCACTCTATTTCCCAGGCTGCAGTGCAGTGCATGATCTTGGCTCACTGCAGCCTTGACTTCTTAGGCTCAGGTGATTCTCCCACCTCAGCTTCCCAGCTAGCTGGAAATTCAGGCATGCACCACTATGCCCAGATAATTTTTTGTAGAAATGGGGTCTCACCATGTTGCCTAGGCTGGTCTCCAACTCCTGGGCTCAAACGATCCTGTCACCTCAGCCTCCTGAGTAGCTGGGACTACAGGCATGAGACACCATGACTGACTAATTTTTGTATTTTTTGTAGAGACAAGGTCTCACTATGTCACCCAGGCTGGTCTGGTACAACCTTTTAAAGAGTAACACAGACACAGAAGAGAAGAGACAACAAAAGACAGAGAATGCCAGGATCCTGCACTGTAAGCCTGGAATTTTCATTAAGATGAGCCAATAAATTCTATTGATTAATCCACTTTGAGTTGGGTTTCCATCCATTGGAACTCAAAAATCTTCAACTGATACAACTGATGTATCTGCCTATATCTTTGGCACCTGGAAAAGAACACACATGCAATACCTACATGTGAAGGGCTTAATGGAAGATGGAGACCTTGTCCACCCAGGACTTCATAGCTTAGTGAGAAAGAGGAAAATAAACAGTTTCTATAGTGATATATAGAGTGCTAGGGAATCAAGGCGAAGTGAAGCGCTACCTCCACCAGCCAGAAGGGGGTAGAGAAGGTGCATAGAGGTGGTCTCATTTAATTTGAGACTTGAGGAAGAGTAGGAGGCCACCCAGGTATAGCAGGTGGGAGAGAGATTCCAGACCCAGCAAAGAGCTTATATTTGTTCTTACAAAACTCTTGGCAAAGAGTACAAAGGTTAACTTTACCTGTCTGAATCTGAATATTCTTATGTGTAAAATGGAGGTAGCACACTTATTAATTGGTCCACCAGTAATGAAGCATCATCTCTGTGCCTATGTGGGCATTTTGGAATTCACAGATGACAATGACCTAGTGCTTATCTTTAAGGAGCTCACAGAGGCAAACATGCAGTGACAGTGCAAATAATGGGCATGAGAAAGAGAAGTCCTGGGAGCTAGGGGAGCACCAAGAAGGGTGGGCTCCCTGGAGGAGGTGGCTATTGAGCCTTCTTAGGTGTTGATAACCTGTCATTTCAACACCTGGAAAGGGAACTATAAAAAAACAAAAACCAAACCAAAACAAAAAAAACCCTTGAACACTTATCTAGTAGCTGCACTAGGAACAAAATGTACAAAGCATATTGATCTTCAGGACTAGAAGAGTGATGGCCAGTGAAGTGAATATTTATGATTTTTTGAAAGCAAATAAACAGAAAATATTTTTTCCATTTAACTTCAATGTTATGTAACAATAACTTCACATTTACTGAGTATTCAATAGACATGACATAGTATGCTAAGTACTTTACATGAGTTATTTTAGTCATGACAAGGTAGGAATTATGATCCTCTCCATGTAGAGATAAAAATGAAGTTTGAGAGGGTTTGGTAAACTGCTTCTGAGTTATAGCTAAGGAGTAGGGATCTGGGCTTTTAATCTCAGCAAGCCAATGACAGAGTGGGCTCTTTCACCTTGGTGCAGCACCATGTCCAAACATGCTTAATCTGACATTAGCAAACCAGAGACTAAGGGACATGCTTGTTGAATTTATTACAGCTTTGCTCCTGCCAGAAAATACCAATGCCTTTATTATCTTTTGACTTTTCCTTGTCAGAAGCATAGCATTAAAGGATGTTCTTTTTGTTGTTTCCTCTTCTTCTTCTTCTTTTTTTTTTTTTTGGAGTCTTACTCTGTCACCCAGGCTGGAATGCAGTGGTATGATCTCGAGTGATCTCGACTCACTGCAACCTCCACCTCCCAGGTTCAAGTGACTCTCCCTGTCTCAGCCGCCAGAGTAGCTGGGATTACAGGCATGTGCCACCATGCCCAGCTAATTTTTCTATTTTTAGTAGAGATGGACTTTTGCCATGTTGGCCAGGCTGGCCTCAAACTCCTGACCTCAGGTGTTCCACCCGCCTCAGCCTCCCAAAATACTGAGATTACAGGTGTGAGCCACTGTGCCTTCTTATGTAGTATGTCCAATACACAGCTAAGAATTAAAATAGCAAACATCTGTGTATCTTCCACTTTGCTTTATTGAAGCCTAACATTTTACAAAATATTCTCAGAATTTTTTTTTTTTTTTGAGATGGAGTCTCGCTCTGTCACCCAGGATGGAGTGCAATGGCGCGATCTCAGCTCACTGCAACCTCTGCCTCCTGGGTTCATGCAATTCTCCTGCCTCAGCCTCCCGAGTAGCTGGGACTATAGGCACCCGCCACCATGCCCAGCTAATTTTTTGTATTTTTAGTAGAGACAGTGTTTCACCATGTTAGCCAGGATGGTCTTGATCTCCTGACCTTGTGATCCGCCCGCCTCGGCCTCCCAAAGTGCTGGGATTACAGGCCTGACCTGCCGTGCCCGGTCTCTGAATATTTTTTAAGTAAAACACTGCAGATCCAGTTACTGATGCCTCTAACATGACACCCAAAGGCAGTCATCTCCTCTGCAAAGGGTCACCTGGGCTTTGGCAGAGGCCCCATGTCCTCCCTTCCTCGCACAGGTTGGTACCAGCTCCTAACTGCATTTTAGTCATCTCCAAGTCATTCTCAGGCTCTGAAAGGAAGAATTCTTTGGGTGTGGCAAATATTTAAAACACCTGAACTCACCTGAATGATCCGAACTATTCTCTTGGAAACGTTCAGAAGCTGTCAACTGGGACTGAAGAGACAAGCTATGGGAGTTTCCTCCAGGAGGCTGAGATATGATGTGGCTGGAAGAGGAGGTGATCACAGACTCTGCATTCATCTTCCCTGACTCCCAGTCATCAGTCAGAGAAGAACAGTCTAAATCATCTGCTGAAAAAGCAGAGGGGTTCAGTGTGAGTGTGTGTGTGTGTGTGTGTGTGTGTGTGTGTGTGTTCAGTGACTGCTCAATGCACAGTTAGTTCCTAATAATCACAAAAATAGTAATATTGATACGGTATTGCACTACCATAGTGGGATGGGAGAAGGATTTTTGGATGAGATGAGATGATGTATTCGTCTGTTTTCATGCTGCTGATAAAGACTTTCCTGAGACTGGGTAATTTATAAAGAAAAAGAGATTTAATGGACTCACAGTTCCACATGGCTGGGGAGGCTTCACAATCATGGTGGAAGGCAAGGAGGAGCAAAGTCACATCTTACATGGATAGTGGCAGGTAAAGAGAGAATAAGAGTCAAGTGAAAAGAGAAATCCCTTGTAAAACCATCAGATCTCATGAGACTTATTCACTATCATGAGAACAGCATGAGAAAGACCCATCACCATGATTCAATACCCTCCCACCAGATCCCTCTCACAACATGTGGGAATTGTGGGAGCTACAATTCAATATGAGATTTGGGTGAGGACACAGGCAAACCATTTCAAATGGCATTTCAATTTGTCTTCATACTTGAAGGTTGAAGAGAAATATCTTCAGTGCAGAGATAAACAAAGGCCAGAGGCATCTTCAATGACACTGAAGTTTGTATAGATGGATTTAAAGGATATGTAGTCAGTATATGAACCTCACATCTTTATAGGACCAAACTTTACAGCAGTCAACTCTTTCTACTTCTGATTCATTTATTCATTCAACATTTATTGAATGTGACTATATATTAGAAACTGACCTAGCTGCTGGGATATAGTGGTGAATTAGAACAACATCTCTGTCCTTACATATTGCTGAGTGGCAGGGAAGAAAATATCTTGTGATAAGTGTCATGAAGGAAATTCTGCCTCTATAAAATACATTGAAATGCCTAGATAAAATATAGCAACCATCTGTTTAAATTTTTTTATTCAAAGAGGCTATTTCATACACACATAGCTTCAAGAACATGCACCCATTTTCTCCTATGATGATTCATACATAAATATATTTTACTTGCCCTAAACTTAGCCTGACATTCTCACAAAAAGTCAAGTTTATTGCAAAAGCATGCATGCAACTTCAAGTTTCAAACATGCTAAGATGATTCCTCATAACACTTGGTGTCTTCAATGTGAGGTCACCAAGGAATGAATTTTAATCCTTGATTCTTAGTTTGAGTCAGAGATTAGGGGATCCAAAACTCTATAAGCCAAAGCTTCCTTGGAAAGGATGAATGTGTTAAGAATGCCTTTCAACCACAGGGATAGTTAAGCACCACACCTCTGACTCAACCACTGGAAGTCTCCCATTTGGCTCACCTGGCATAAATGTACCTAGGAATTCTCTTGGTTCTGTCTTGAGTGGTCTGTGTCACATTCCAGGGTTTAACTTTACTCTTATGATCTTGGGTAAGAATTCGTGCCAGTTTAGAGCTCATTGACTTGGAAGCAAAGCCACTCAGAAAGAGTAGCCAGAGTCCTGCTTTGGGATGTAGGTGTTTTCTAAGCTGACATCTAAAAGGGACTGCACATGCCCAACAAATGTACTTTTCTTTATAGCTGAGCTCAAAAGAAGGAAATATTCCCAAAGGCCAAGCCAGGGAAACCTATAACTCTAAGCATACGCTGTGGACAAAGCTGCCAAAAGGGGTGGGGAGAGGGCCTTAGAAGTCATAGTAGTCAAAGGTCTATGGATTAAATGACATTAGGGACAGAAAAAAGGCCTTGGTCTCAAGAGAGGCAGAAAATTAAAACCGAGTTTCTGTAGGGACTCAAAATGCTATTTCCTCAATGAAAGGATGGCTAAGAAAAAAAATCTGCCCACTAGTTCTAGGAGAAGGCATGAAAGCTTATCTGTTTTGGCCTATGTAGTGGGTGGGAGGAAAATGTCTCCGCCAACACTTTATAAGTAAGTGGGTTTTCAGTTAAATTTTTTTTTTTTTTTTGAGACGGAGTTTTGCTCTTGTTGCCCAGGCTGGAGTGCAATGGCGCAAGCTCAGCTCACAGCAACTTCCACCTCCTGGGTTCAGGCGATTCTCCTGCCTCAGCCTCCCGAATAGCTGGGATTACAGGCATGTGCCACCATGCCCAGCTAATTTTGTATTTTTAGTTGAGATAGGGTTTCTCCATGTTGGTCAGACTAGTCTTGAACTCCCGACCTCAGATGATCCACCCACCTCGGCCTCCCAAAGTGCTAGGATTACAGGCATGAGTCACCATGCCTGGCCTTGAGTTAAAATTTATACTAACCTGGGAAATTAATATTTTAAAAAGTCTCAGGCTGGTACTAGCCCTGTGATATCTGCCAGAAGCCAACATAAAAGCTCTCTGTGGAAACACACTCTCAGCCCAAGCTGCACAGATTTCCCCAGATAAAGCCCAAAGGACATGAGCTCACAATCTAAAATTATAAATTATGCAGGGAGATAATCTCCTATGGGTAAGGAGAATAAATATGATGCTTCAGAAAAAGATAATCCTGCAGTGGGAGATGATGGGAGTAGCCAGGATGTTACCGTCTGGCTTTAAGCTTTGAGCAGGAGGCATGATGTTTGGAGAAATTGTCCTAATTTATTTTACCTTGGGGAAACTCTGAAGACCTGTAAAATTTGTGTTTTTTGTTTTTTTGTGGTTATTTTATACCCATAGTATGTCCTTATTTTTGCTTCTTGTCTAAACAGGACAATTACTTCTATGGTCCATCTAAGCCTTGATTTCATGACTAAGGGAAATATGAATATCGACTGGGCAAATATTTGGTAAACTTATGAACTGTAGGACACTTAGGAGGGAAACAAGGGAGAATAAGACACTGTCCCAAAAGAAGTTGAAATCTAGGGTGTGTGTGTACATGTGTGCATGTGTGTGTTTGTGTGTGTGTGCATGTACACATGAGTCAACAGTGGGAGGCAATAAAGAAGGCATCACTTATGGACAGGGGAAACAGACTATCATTTGCTAAAAAGAGATGAAATATGGTTTTGTGGAAATTTCAAGGACTTTGGCATCAGAAAGACTGAAACATACATTCTAATACTAGTAACAGGGCACTTTGCTTAATTTTTCTGATCCTGAGTTTCTTCATGTAAAATAGGATAGTAATGTCTACTTTTTTACAGCTGTGATAAGTGAAGGAGAAGAGACAAAAATGTAAACATACCAACATATAGTTTAGATGGAGAGAATTGAAACTTCTATTGCTAATAGACATTATAATAGATATAGACCCTAGTTACGTGACCAAATGTGATAATCAACTTCATGGGGAGTAGGGGGTGGTAGAAGGGTGCTGATGAGTCATCAAACGATGTTTCAAGGTGGAAGTGATTTTTAAGAATTTATCATTCAATAATAAAAGAAGCTTATTACTTGACCTTGGGGAAGGTAATATTTACTTTGAATTAGATATGCAGGAATTTGCTATACCATGAAGGGACTCCTAAACCTGCTCCAGACATTTCTAGGCACAGGGTTTATCCCATATGGCTGCTTACTTGCCCCGACTTCACCATAGGACAGGGTCCTCTCTAGAAGAAAGTGCCCCAGCAGAGGGTAAAGACTGTAATCTCTGCCCCCTGCCTCATCACAGAGCTGAACAGGCATAGCAAGAGGGCCTCTGGGAAAGACCAACCTGACCTGGTGGGGAATAGCCACAGTTCCTGAGAAGGGTTTAGAGACAGGGACAAAAGAAAAACAGGGAGGAAGAAAGGAAAGAATCAAGAAGGTGATTTTTACCATGTAGTAGGAACTTCAAGGGGAACAAGCAGGGGAATCTGAACAGCCCCAGTTAACAAATAGAAACTTTCTCTGCCTTGATTGCTGTCATGGAATGTCTGGAACATAAAATGACTAAGGAAAGATACGAAACCAGCTGGGAGGAAAGACTGAAGCAGCCCCCAGGTGACATACCCAGAGAAGACCCCCAAGCCAGAGGAATTGGGAGGTGGAGCAAAAGTAAGGCGGGAGGCAAAAGCTGCATGGATACGGGCCAGGCAGATCTATTTATTCATTCAATGCAGTTATTGTATATACTGCAAATGCTGCTCTGGAAGAAGGAAGTCAAATTAGATATTGCTCTGCCTTACTCATGATCTGGAGAGGGACATACATGCAAATGAACAATTAGGATGCAATGAGGTAATTGCTACAACAAAGGCTGGAACAAGTTATCCAGTGGGAATCTAGGAAGGGGTGTCTGAGTCTGTCTGAGGGAAATCCAAGGAGGCTTCACAGAGGAGGCAGCGCTTCAGTGGAAACTGGAAGGATGAGTAACAGTTCTTCCAGAGAGACAGCAGGAAGAGGACAGGCCAGGCAGAGAGGAAGAGAGTAAGTGGGGATGGGGAGAAATTACAATACCTCAATCTATGAGAGACCAGGGTGGGTTCCCAGAAGAGTCCTCCTGTGTAGCTAGACAAGAGCATGTGCATGAGGTCAGTCCCAGGAGATGATTCTGTCTGGGCTGCTAAGCAGAGGTCACATTGTGTGGGGTCTCATGTCACACTCCAAGCTAATATTGATTCTGTGGGTGATTTAGAGTCATTAAAAAAATCTGAGCATGAGTGTAACATGAGTTGCTTTGTGTGTTAAAATGCTCACTCAGCAGTGAGAGATTTGCGAGATTCCCAGTCTCCCATTCTAGGAGCTGAGTGACTATGGGGCTCCAAGAGACATTGGGGTCCTCATACAACAGTAGTTCTTAATAGGGGGTGATTTCTCCTCCCCGGGGACATGGTGCAATATCTTGAGACAGTTTACGTTGTCACAACTTGGAGTGAGGTGAGGGGTGTTACGGGCATCTACTGAACAGAGGCCAGGGATGCTATTAAACACCCAACAGTGCACAGGGCAGGTGCCACAACAAGACATTACCTGCCCACGATACTGTGATGCTGAGGCTGAGAAACCCTGTCATTGAGAGAGCTGACCTAACCGTCTAAGGCAACTGGATCATTAGAGTCCTTTCGACAACTCTGGTAGGTGCTTCAAGTGAGAATCACGTGTCTGTATTTTCCTGGTTGTACTTAATCTAGTCAAAACACTCTGTTCTCTGCCTTCAGAGGACAGATCATAATTTATGATTTTATCATTGTTACAGAAATACAGACAATAGAATACATAATTTCTGTGTGTGTGTTTTTTTGTTGTTGTTGTTTAGTGTCTGTCTCCCTCACTAGACAAAAGGCTCCGTGAGAAAAAGGTCACTTCATCTGTCCCAGACACCAGCAATTAGTACCCAGCTCATAGTTAGCATTCAGTAAGTTTTACAGAGAATTCGGTAAGGGGTAGGAGGCTAAGATATGTAGTGTTGTTATTTGCAAAATCTAACGTAGGCCTGTTATAACAGGGTACAGTAACTATAGAGAAAGTGGGTCAGTATTTGCCACCACGGAGGCTAAGTTTGAGCTAAGACTGCGACTTCAAGAGAGGAGAATAGCTGGTGGGCTGACTTCACCTGTGGTTCCCCTCAGCCTGGATACTGAGTTGGGGGTTTTGGACTGGGAAATTCCTACTAACCCTGCAGGCTTCCTTGCACTGCCTTACACATAGCCTTTGGCAGCTTGACAAAGCAGTCTGTGGATGCATCCCTGCTGGTTGCCATAGAGAAAGGAGTGACAGAAAATGAAACACGCAGATCATCCAATAATGACCAGGCTCCTGAGGGGGCCCTGGACCATGCCCATCCCAGCACCATGCATGGTAGCCAAGATGCGGAAGCAGCCTAAGTATCCTTCCACAGATGAGTGGATGATGAAAATGTGGTATATGCATCCAATGGAATATTATTCAATCTTAAAAAAAAGAAGGAAATCTTGCCATTTGCAAGAACATGGATAAACCTGGAGCACAGTATGCCAAGTGAAATAAGCCAGTCACAGAAGGACAAATATTGCATGATTCTCCTTCTATGAGGTAGCCAAAATAGTCAAACTCATAGGAGCAGAGAGTACAATAGTGGCTGCCAGGGGATAGGGGTTTGGGTGGGGGAAATTGGGAGCCATTGTTCAATGTGAATATGGTCTCAGTTACGCTGGAAGGATGAGTTATAGAGATCTGCTCTACAACGTAGTACCTGTAGTTAACAACATGGTATTTATTAATAAGGTAGCTCTCATGTTATGTTCTTACACACACACACACACACACACGCATACACATACACACACACACAGAGACACAGGCACCTTTGGGACATGTTGGGTATGTCTATTACCTTGATTGTGGTGATGGAATTCACAGGTGTCTGCATATGTCTAAAGTCATAAAATTGTACACATGAAATATGTGCAGTTCTCTGTATAGCAATTACACCTCAATAAAGCTGTTAAAAAAAAGAGGAGGCTAGCTGATCAAATCAATGTGGAAGTGAGAAAGAGATGGGAACTTCCACGGCTAATTATGTAGTCATGAGTGCCCCTTAACTACAATCTGGGTAGATGTGGACGAGACTGTAACAACAGTAAAAAGATGTGCTGTTTCCCAGGGCTGCCCAGTTGAATATAAAGCTTTGCTGCTGAGAGTTGGATGAAATAAAAAATATGTAGAATACTGGAAATTGTACATAAAATTTTCTGAAAGAAAATATGGTATTCAACAGAGAAACCACAAAAAAGTCTTAACATTCAAAAACGATCAAGGAGATTTTTCATCTCTGAAAAGACATGATTTAACCCAAACTCACTTTCCCTAATTGACAGTGAATTTTCTTCTCCAAACTTAATAACAAATAAAAGGATTATAAGGCAAAAAATATTTTACCAAATAGCTCTAGTTGTATTATTGTTGAAGGTATCTATTTCATTCTGTTTAACTTGATTTCTAAATTTGATGTACTTTACCTCTGTTGGGAAGATTCTGTATCTTCTAAGCACATCTTCCATATCCTTTTATATAAAAATGGGCATTATTTGCTATAAAGAGAAGCCCAAAGCCACATACTGATGTTGCCATCTCAAAGATATTTATGTGACAGGCATGAGTTCTAGAGAAAGGCATGCACCTCAAGCTCAGGTGACTTGCCTGGAGTCAGCCTGCCTTTTCCAGGACTGGCAGAAATAGAGTCCATCCTGTTCAGTCCTCCCTGCGTGAATCCTCTGCTCTCTTTCAGTATGACTCACAGGCTCTGGGAACACATCCCGAATTGCAGTATTGGGGCCTGGGTAGCTGCAAAATTCCGTGGCTCAAGAATGAATTGCAACTAATGAGGAAAGGTGTCAACACAGCTGGGAAAGGGGTGAACTGAGGACAAACAAAACAGGCAAAAACATCCTCTTGCCTGAAAAATGAAGCACAAGAAAATCAGGGGAAGTAATGTTTGATTGCATCCATTGCTCAGAGAGAAAACAGCAAAACAATTTAATTTTGATTTCTTCTGGAGTCTTCTAACTAGGCATTTCCAGAGAAAAATAAATTGCTGATAAAAGTCACGGGGCCTTGGGTAAATCTGGAAAGCAAGAAGTCTGGGGAAGATGTGATTACTCTGACAGCAGAGATGAAAGATTTCAAAGTTCTGTGTGCGCCCAGGTTGACTAATTACTGATTTTGGATGGAGGTAGTTTGATTTGTTATATTTAGAGGATATTTGGAAACCATGAGAATTTTAATAAGATACCTCATGCACGTGCAGCATTGCTGTGGTCCAATCCCTTTGAAATTGTTTGGACATATTTCAAAGAGACAACGAAGGAAAAATTAGATGTTAATTTCTAAATATGTGACATACTGTCTTTAGAACAGTGATTCTCAGACTTTAGTCATCCAGGCATTATTTTCCTGATTTTTGCCAAATCCCAGAACCTGCTTGCTCTCAGCCATTTAATATTTTCTTAAGATTGTCTCATTTTACATTTTTACTTTAAAGCAAACTTTATAACAGTCACGTAAATGCCCTAAACAGAAAGTAAAGGTAAAAATAAGTACAATGGAAAATGTAACCTTATTTAATACGTGTGAAATACTGGTGTAGCAGAAAGCTCTGAGCCTGTTCTTGGTTAAGAAGAACTTTGTTAAAACCAAAGAGATTGTAGCAAATGTTAGAGAATCTGACAGCTACCAAGGTTCTAAACTGAGCCTTGGTCTTCTTGGTTTTATCAGAAGGATTGTAAGGGAATTGGAAGAGGAGCCACAACTTCTCTCTTACTGTGTGATTCAACGTTCACTGTTGCTCTGTGCTAGCAGCATTTCCTACCCTACCCTACACCTTAGAAAACATTGCTTTAGAACTGAGAAGACACTTGCCTTGTTGCTCCAGAAAAAAACAGGGGAGAATCAATGGATGGACACTCCAAAAGGCACATTAGAGGTGAGCCTGAGTAAGCCATTCCTGGAGCAGCAGTAACCACTGAGAGGAAGAGGCAGCCTCAGAAAATCATGAGTGGGTGGGGTAGGAGATGGGGAGATGTTGGTCAAAGGGTACAAAATTCCAGTCAGACAGGATGAAAAATGTTCTGGAAATCTATCCTATATCATGGTGACTAGAGTTAATAATAATGTGTTGTATTCTTGAAAATTGCTAGGAGAGGGCCAGGCATGGTGGCTCACACCTGTAATCCCAGTACATTGGGAAGCCAAGGAGGGCAGATTACTTGAGCTCAGGAGTTTGAGACCAGCCTGGCCAACATGGTGAAACCCCATCTCAACTGAAAATGCAAAAACTTAGCCAGGCATGGTGGCTCATGCCTGTAGTTCCAGCTACTTGGCAGGCTGAGGCAGGAGAATTGCTTGAGCCCACGAGGTGGAGGTTGCAGTAAGCCAAGACTGGACCACTGCACCCCAGCCTGGGCAACAGAGTGAGACTCTGTCTCAAAAAAAAAAAAAATTGCTGAGAGAGCAGTTCTTAAATGTTCTCACAACAACAATAACAAATGGTAAGTATACGAGGTGATGGATATGTTAATTAACTTGATTTCCCCATTTCACAGTGTGTACATATGTTGAAACATCACATTGCCCACTTCATCAACAACACCTTAATTAAACATTTTATCAAAATGAAACAAAATAATGAGAGTCCAAAATAGGCAAATCCACGGAGACTGAAAGTAGATGAATATTGGTCGTCAGGGGCTGGTGGGGAAGGAGGAGTGACTGCGAGTGAGTATCAGGTTTCTTTTTGGGGCTGATGGAATGTTCTGGAACAGGAAAGCAGTCGTGATTGCATGGCCTCCCTGTGACTATACTAAAAAATCGCTGAATTGTATACGTTAAGTTGGTAGATTTTAAGGAACGTGGATTATATCTCAATTAAAAAGTAACGAGAGCTCTGTACTAAGATATTTGTGCCACTCTGTCAGAAAGAGTCAGAGAGATAACTTCTCCTTTGCCTTTGGAGGGAAGATTCCACACATAACACATCTACCAGGGACTACAGAATTCTTGAGTTGACCTCCTTATCAAGCTGTGCTTCATTAGCCAGTTCTTCATATTCTTTTCTTTCATAACACCACACTCTCTTGCTTCCTTGCCTGAGAAACTTTCCCCAAAGAGCTTTTTCCCAGGATTAAGAGCACATGCTCAGACTTTTCTCTTCAAATCCTGGCTATGCGACTTCTTACCTGTGTGGCCTCATATATAGTACCTAAGCTACCTTAGCTTCTTCCCCTGGAAAATGGGGATAAATAATAATAACTCAGAGGCTTTGCAGAGAAGTGATGACGTGACATGTGGCTTTCTTGGAACTGTGCTTGCCCCTAGCACTCACACAATTAGGGATCATTATTACTGGGGCTTCTGTTCAACCTCCTGAATTCCTTTCTTACCGCTCCTTTCTTCTCATTCACTTGTTTTCCATAAGTAGACTTCTTTATTCCAAAAAACTGTATTGCTTCTCAGATTGGCTTATGTATCAACTGTATTCCTTCTCAGATTGGCTTATGAATTACTCCTGAACCCCCTTCTTATGTTTCCAAACCTCTACTGGTTATCTATTTCCCATAAGATATCTCAAATTCAACCCATAAGAAATACAATTCATTGTCTGTTTTGATGATCCTCAGCTGTTCTTTTCTGCCTTTTTAGAGCTAATGTGTATTAAGCAGAATACCAGCCCCTGGTATTCATAAGAGATATTAGAAGTGTGACATTTTTCATGAATTATTGCATTTCATCCTCCCCATTCTATATGCTATTTTTTTATTTTATATATAAGAAGTAGAGGATCAGAGAGGTTAGTTAATAACTTGCCCAAGAACATTCAGGTGGGAAAAGCTGGTTCTAGGATTTGAATTCAGGTTCATCTAGTTCAAAAGCTCATTTTCCTTATCACTCTACCACACTATCTTCCAGCCCTTGGTGACTTGCAGAATTTTTTATGCAGTCTCCCAAATTAAATACCTCAGTTTTCTTTGATTCTCCCACGTTCTCACTACTATATTCTATCTATCACTAACCTGTCAATTCTACCTTGGAAAATATTCTTTAAGTCTCTTCCTTCCTCCCTATTTCCTGCCACTTCCTTAGGATACTGGTTGATTTTAATTGCCTCAGAGCTCCCATCCAATCCTCAATTGTGCTACTGCAAAGATAACTTGAAAATTCCAAATCTGATTGCATCATCACCCTGCTTAAGAGAATCAAAAAATATTCTTGATTGATTAGATAAAACCCCAAATCCTCAATATGGCATAAAAGGTTCTTCAAATATCTACAATTAATATTTCTGGCCTCACCCCCCACATCCCTGCTCTTTCCCCTCTCCTCTTCCTGCTTTTACACTCTTGTTATTGTGGAAAACTAGAATCACTCAATTTAAGTAATCCTTTGATCATATTAAGAACTGTTTCTTCATTTAACAAGCACTTATTGCATTCTTAAAACTAATCTAGTATTACATGCACACACACACACACACACACAGGAATATATGTAAAAATTGGTGGAATCTTCATGGCATTGTGCCAACGTCCATTTCCTGGTTTTGATAATGTGCTATAGCTGTATAAGTAGTTATCAGTGGGCAAAGCTGGGTGAAGCATACACTGACCCTCTCTATACTATTTTTTGTAACATTTTGTGAATCAAAGTTACTGAAAATTAAAAAAAAATGTTACGTGTGTCTTCTGTCTAGGAAGCAGATTAAGAAAAATCATAGCCATGTAATTATTATACACTTAAGTTAATAGATTATTGCATTATACGACTCCTCTAGCTTGCTCTTTCGGCCTGCACTATGAGGGACATGATGGATTTCTCCTTGAAAAGGAAAACAAAGCCCTTCCGGGCAGCAGAGCAGAGTCTGGACTTTTAAATCAGATAGACCTCGGTTGAATTCCAACTCTGCTGTTTTTGTTTTTGTTTTTGTTTTTGAGATGGAGTCTCGCTCTGTCACCCAGGCTGGAGTGCAGTGGCGCGGTCTCCGCTCACTGCAAGCTCCGCCTCCCAGGTTCACGCCATTCTCCTGCCTCAGCTTCCCGCATAGCTGGGACTACAGGTGCCCGCCACCATGCCCATCTAATTTTTTGTATTTTTAGTAGAGACGGGGTTTCACCATGTTAGCCAGGATGGTCTCGATCTCCTGACCTCGTGATCCGCCTGCCTCGGCCTCCCAAAGTGCTGGGATTACAGGAGTGAGCCACCGTGTCAGGCCCCAACTCTGCTGTTTATAAGCTAAATTAACTTGGGCGAGTTCCTTAACCCTGAACTTCAGTTTTATCATAATTATAATAAATATGATAATATGACCTACTTCTTATGAGTTTTGGGGATATTTAAACAAGATAATGTATGTAAACAAGCTAATATATTTTAAAAAGACAAAATGTGAAGTGCTCAGCATGGAATAAGCACCCTTGACTTCTCTTTTTCTCTCACAGCCACGTAGGCAAATCTTGTTGAGTCTACCTGTAAGACGAATCTGGAATCCTACTTCTCATCACCATTCTGCTATCATCTCAGTTCAAGCTGCCATTATCTCCCACCTGAATCACACCAATAGCCTCTTAACGTGTTTCTTGCTTCTGCTCCTAATAGCGGACATCTAATCTGAACTCAGCAGCTGGAATAATCCTTTTAACATGTAAATTGAAACAAGTTATTCCTCAGCTCAGAATCCTCCAGTGGTTTGCCCTCCACTCAGAGTATGAAAGCAAAGCCTTTGAAATGACCCCACAGCTCCCCTTGTTCTTTCCCACTTGCATTCCTGACACACCTTTCAGTCTTTTCCCTACTATCCCCCCTCACTCACTCAGCCCAGTGCAGGCTCTGAGACTAGAACTTGTACACCAGCATTTCACTTGCCTGGATTGTTCCTCCCCCAGATATCCACAGAGCTGTTTTGCTTTTGCTTTTAAGCCAATGCTCAAAAGTTCTTCTCAATGAGGCCTTCTCTAACCATTTTATTTACATTTGCAATCCCCATCACTTCCCCTTTTCTTGTTTCCCATACCACTCACCACTTATTAACATGCTACATAATTTATTTATTGTCTATCTCCCCCAGTAGAAATGCAAGTTCCACAAGAGCAAGTCATTTTGTCCATTTTATTCACCACTATGTCCATTGTGTAGGATAATGCCTGGAACATCATTGGCCCTCAATAAAATCTTCCAAATGAATTCATAAATGAATTACAGCAGAGTGAGTGACATAAGTAAAGCCACAGATGTGTGGAAGAGCAGGATCCATTCAGGAAACTGAAAGATCAGTGTGATCTGTGTCAATTGCATGTAAGGGAAAGGACAACGGTGGAGTTGAAGACGCGACCAGCCACACGGACCTTTGAAAAGTGCCATTGCACAGGGCTTCTTGCTCCCGAGGGCCTTTTTCTTGGTTTAACAGTTTTTCTTGGTTGACACTTGAGATTCTTAAGCATTTTTGAACAGGGGGTCCTGTATTTTATTCTGCACTGAGCCTGAAAATTATGCAGCCAGTTTGGGTTGGAGAAGTAGGAAATATTCAAAAGGCCTTGCATGCTGTGTTAAGGAATGATGACAACGCCACATTTATGCCTTAAAAAGGTTAGCCTCACAGCAGTTTGGAAGATAGAATGGGGAAGCTGGGAATATCATCCTAGCTCATCTCTGCCTAGCCATCCTATTCATCCTTTAAGACCCACTCAGGGCTGGGCACAGTGGCTCACACCTGTAATCCCAGCACTTTGGGAGGCTGAGGCGGGTGGATCACGAGGTCAGGAGATCAAGACCATCCTGGCCCACATGGTGAAACCCTGTCTCTACTAAAAATACAAAAGTTAGCTGGGTGTGGTGGCGCGTGCCTGTAATCCCAGCTACTCGGGAGGCTGAGGGAGAAGAATTGCTTGAACCAGGGAGACGGAGGTTGCAGTGTGTAGGGTCCAGCCCCACAGGGTCGGTGGGTCTCTCCCCATGTGTGGCGACGAGAGAGTGTAGAAATAAAGACACAAGACAAAGAGATAAAAGAAAAGACACCTGGGCCCGGGGGACCACTACCACCAATGCGCAGAGACCAGTAGTGGCCCCGAATGTCTGGCTGTGCTGTTATTTATTGGATACAAAGCAAAAGGGGCAGGGTAAAGAGTGTGAGTCATCTCCAATGATAGGTAAGGTCACGTGGGTCACGTGTCCACTGGACAGGGGGCCCTTCCTGCCTGGCAGCCGAGGCAGAGAGACAGAGGTGACAAAGAGAAAGACAGCTTATGCCATTATTTCTGCATATCAGAGACTTTTAGTACCTTCACTAATTTACTACTGCTATCTAGAAGGCAGAGCCAGGTGTACAGAATGGAACATGAAGGCGGACTAGGAGCGTGACCACTGAAGCACAGCATCACAGGGAGAAGGTTAGGCCTCTGGATAACTGTGGGCGAGCCTGACTGATGTCAGGCCCTCCACAAGAGGTGGAGGAGCAGAGTCTTCTCTAAACTCCCCGGGGGAAAAGGAGACTCCCTTTCCCGGTCTGCTATGTAGCGGGTGTTGTTCCTTGACACTTTTTGCTACCGCTAAACCTCGGTCCACCTGGCAACGGGCGTCTTCCCAGACGCTGGCGTCACCACTAGACCAAGGAGCCCTTCTGGTGGCCCTGTCTGGGCATAACAGAAGGCTCGCACTCTTGTCTTCTGGACACTCCTCACTGTGTCCTCTCAGCTCCTATCTCTGTATGGCCTGGTTTTTCCTAGGTTATGACTATAGAGCAAGGATTATTATAATATTGGAATAAAGAGTAATTGCTACAAACCAATGATTAATGATATTCATATATAATCATATCTAAGATCTATATCTGGTATAACTATTTTTGTTTTATATTTTATTATACTGGAACAGCTTGTGTCCTCGGTCTCTTGCCTCGGCGCCTGGATGGCTTGCCGCCCACACAGTGAGCCAAGATCGCGCCACTGCACTCCAGCCTGGGTGACAGAGCGAGACTCTGTCTAGAAAAACAAACCAAAACAACAACAAAAAAACACTCCGATGTTGTCTCCCTCTGAAGCCCTCCCAGCTACCTCTAGGTACAGCTAACACTGCCTCCTCTGCTTAAACTTCTGACATTCTCTCCACATACTACTCTTAAATCTCTCATGCTGTTTCAGGCATTATACTCAAATTATTTGCAAATGTATTTATCTACCTGTTTTAAACCAGGAATTTCTCAAGGTTAGGGTCATGTCTTACTTAGCTTGGAAGAGTGTTGTGTTTAGTACAGTGGCTGGCACATAGCACATACTCAGTGAGTTTGATGAGTGAATGAATAAATGAAAGAATGACTGTTAAATGAGTATATAACATATCGAAGTAGACCTGCAAACCCATTTTTAATTCAGGCCCATTTGTTGATGAGTGACATGTATTAGTCCGTTTTCAGGCTGCTGATAAAGACATACCCAAGACTGGGCAATTTACGAAAGAAAGAGGTTTAATGGACTTACAGTTCCACATGGCTAGGAAAGCCTCACAGTCATGGCGGAAGGCAAGGAGGATCAAATCACGTCTTACATGGATGGCAGCAGGGAAAGAGAGAGCTCGTGCAGGGAAACTTCCCCTGATAGAATCATCAGATCTTGTGAGACGTATTCACTATCACGAAAACAGCACAGGAAAGACCTGCCCCCATGATTCAATTACCTCCCACCAGGCCCCTCCCACAACATGTGGAATTTCAAGATGAGATTTGGGTGGGGACACAGCCAAACCGTATCATGACACATGCTCAAATTTCCCCTCTTGTTGATAGGAGGAGGAGAAAGGGGAAGAAGAGCCGCAGGGACTCACTCAATCTTCTCATTTGCTTTCACCCTCCTTCACCTCTCCCTTTCCCTTCCCAGCAGACATCAAAGTCTTCTATAGGCCATTCCTTTATTTCCTTACCTCTCATTCTCTCTTCATTGTACTCCTGGTTCTCTTCTGCCACTTTCACTCCACTACCAGTCACCCCCAGGCAAATGAATCTGTTGAACACTCAGTCCTCATCCTATTTACCTTTCTAGCATGATTTGCCATTGCTGAGTACTCCCACCTTTTATACTACTATTATCCCAGGAATTTCATTACACAGCACTCTCTTGTTTTTCCACTCACCTCCATGAATGCTTCCTTCCTAATCTCTTTTGCAGGTTAATCCTGTCCTATTCACTTATTCAATGTTTGAGTTCACAACATTCCATTTTAGGCTCCCTCTTTGGAAAACTGTATACCCTCTTTCTAATCCATCTCATCCACTGCAAGGCCTCAGTAACCACCTAGACTGATATGACTCCCAGATGTATAACTTTAACTCAGATTCCTCCTCTGAGCTCTGGATTGCAAATACCAACACCATCTTGACATTGTCTCTTGGATGTCCCAAAGAAACTTAAACTCACTGTGTTTCAAACCATGCATGCTATCTTCCCCCACCAAGCACGTCTACTCACTAGGCAACTCACACTCCAGACTTTTTTGTCTCCTCAGCACAGAATGTTCTTACCTTTCCCCTTCACCCAGCAAAATCCTCTCTCATTGTCTAGCACTGATCTCCATTGCCAGTTCCACATGGAAGCTTTTCTTAAGTTTCCAAATGAGTCGAATTCCCCATTATATCATATAATTTTTTTTCATGGCACCTACCACAATCATTATGTCATGTTTGTGTACTTATTTAACAAAGAGCTGAACCACAGTCCCTGCTCCAGTAAACCATAAGGCCCAAGAAGACAGGGGTTATTACATTGTTTATATTCATCTTTCTATCCCCTGACCTACCACAGTGCCTGGAAAATGGTAAGTGTCCAATAAATATCTGTTGTTTCCATTCTAGTAATAAAAATAATTATAACTACAACTTACTGAGCACCAGACATTGAACTATGACTGATATTCATTGTCCCATTTCATCTTTAAAATATACTTTGAGAATCAACGTACAGAAATCAGTAGTCAATTCTGTACCCTAATAACATTGTGTACACTGACAACATTCAAGCTGAGAGCCAAGTCAAGAATGCAATCCCATTTACAATAGCCACAAAAAATAATATAACTGGGAATACCTCTAACCAAGGACATAAAAGATCTCAACAAGAAGAACTACAAAGAACTGCTTAAAGAAATTATAAGTGACACAAATAAATGGAAAAACATCTCATGCTCATGGATTGGAAGAATCAATATCACAAAAATGGCCATATTGCCTAAAGCAATCTACAAATTCAAACTATTCCTATCAAACTATCAATATTATTTTTCACAGGGTTGGAAAAACTATTTAAATTTCATGTGGTACCAAAAAAGAATTTGAATAGCCAAAGCAATTCTAAGCAAAAAGAACAAAGCCAGAGGCATCATACTACCCAACTTCAAAATATACCATAAGGCAATAGTAACCAAAACAGCATGGTACTGGTACAAAAACAAATTCATAGACCCACGAAATGGAATAGAGAACCCAGAAGTAAAGCTTCACACATACAGCCATCTAATCTTTGACAAAGTTGACAAAAAATAGCAATAGGGAAAGGACTCTCTATCCAATAAATGGAGCTGGGATAGCTATATGCAGAAGAATAAAACTGGACCTCTACCTTTCACCATATACAAAAATTAACTCAAGATGGATTAAAGATTTCAATGTAAGACCTCCCTTAACCTATAAGAATCCTAGAAGGAAACCTAGGCAACACCATTCTGGACATCAGCCTTGGAAAATAATTTATGAATAAGTCCTCAAAAGCAATTGCAACAAAAACAAAAATTGACAAATAGAACCTAATTAAACTAAAGAACTTCTGCACAACAAAAGAAACTATCAACAAGAGTAAATATACAACCTACAGAATGGTAGAAATATGCACAAACTATGAATCTAACAGAGGTCTAATATGTAGAACCTATAAGGAGTTTAAACAATTGAATAAGCAAAAACCAAATAATCCCATATAAAAATGGGCAAAAGATTTGAACAGACACTTCACAAAAGAAGACATACATGCAGCAACAAATGTATGAAAAAATGTTCATCATCACTAATCATAGAAATGCAAATCAAAAGCACAATGAGACACTATATCACACATCAGTCAGAATGGCGACTATTAAAAAGTCAAAAAACAACAGATGTTGATGAGGCTGCAGAGAAAAGGGAATGCTTATACATTGTTGGTGGGAATGTAAATTATTTCAACCACTGTGGAAAGCAGTTTGGAAATTTCTCAAAGACCTTAGAACCACGATTTCATCCAGCAATCCCATTACTATGTATATATCCAAGAGGAAACAAATCATTATACCAAAACAACTCATACACTCACATTTTCAGGAGCACTATTCACAATAACAAAGACAAAGAATCAACCTAGGTTTCCATCAACATTGAATTGAATGAAGAAAATGGTACATATACACCATGGAATACTACACAGCCATTAAAAATAATGAAATCATGCCCTTTGCAGCAACATGGCTGCAGCTAGAAGCCATTATCCTAAGCAAATTAACACAGGAAGAGAAAACCAAATACCCTATGTTCTTACCTATAAGTGGGAGTTAAACAGTGGATATTCATGAATATAAAGATGGCAACAATAGATACTGGGGCTACTAGATGGGGGAGAGAGAGAAGGGGGCAAGGGTTGAACAACTAACTGTTGGGTACTATGCTTAGTACCTGGGTGATGGGATCATTCATAACCCAAACCTCAACATCACATAATATACCCAAGTAACAAACCTGCACATGTACCTCCTGATTCTAAAATAAAAGTTGAAAAAGAAAAATAAATTTTAAAATATATGCTTTGAGTTCCCATCACTGTGTTTATATACATGTATATACACATATTTACCTGTATTAATATTAATGTTATTACACAATATGTATATATTATATGTATTGAATATATATTATATTTCAACAGTTATGTGTTTATATACATACACACAAATATACACACACATATATATACATATATATATACATATATATATACATATATATATACACACACATATATATACATATATATATACATATACATATACATATATATATACATATATATATACATATATATATACATATATATACATATATATGTATATATATATGGTTTTATGAAGAAATTGAAACTCAGCAAAGTTAAGTACTATCCAAGTGTACTCATACTGGGACTTGAACCCTGACTCCAGTACATTTTTTCCAATGCAGGTCTTCTAAATCTGACTCTAGTATCCTTTCTCCACCAATATCCCTTACAGAAAAAATACAGTGGAGATGTGCAAATATTTTCCCAGCATTATCAACTTAATAATTTACACATTTACATTAGGCTATTTTGCATGACATAGACACATATGTGTTTTGATCACACATGTAATATAGAGAGAACTTTAAGTGAATTTTAAAAATGTGGCCCATCTCTCCATCAAAATGACTGTCATCCCTGGAACTGACATTGGTTGAGGACCACAGGGTTACCACTGCCCACTTGGAGATAAAATTTTACTATGGAAAGGAGGACTCAAACTCACCATTTCCATTGCAATGGTCTGTGTCCAACCTCCTGGTCCCCTTCAACCAGTTGTCTTCACTTGGAGAAGAGTTGATGTCACCAAAGATACTTCCATGCAGCCAAGATTTGGAGGTACTGAGGTTGAAGAGAGAAGAAAAGGAATGGCAGATTCTCTTTTTCTTTCTAAATATCCTAGAGAGAAATGAAAGCATGGTGAACAACGAATAATAGTTACCTTTAGTTCAAAACTGTGATTTGAAGCGCAGAGTACATTTCTACAACCCAAGTCTGCTCACTGCATTAATTCTACAAAAGTTTCTCAAAATTCTACTGTGTGCCAGGTCCTTGGCTCAATGTCAAGAGTACTGAGGTAAAAGACAAAACTTTGTGTGTGAAAAGTTCACAATGTATTATAGGAGAAAGAAAGAAATAATAATGCACATATAGGTAATGCTTTCCTAGAGTTTATTCTATGCCTTGCATCTTTCTTAGTGCTTTACATAGATTAACTCACATTATCTTCAGAACAACTGTATGAAATAGATACTATTATTATCCCATTTTTCTGATCAGGAAACTTAGGCACAGATAGGTTAAGTCACTTGGCTGAGGTCATGCAGCTAGTAAGTAACATAGTTGGGATGCAATCCCAGAGAGTCTGCCTCCACGGTCTTTGCTTTTGATCGCTATGCTATATAGGGGATAAGTGCTCTGAAAGGATTACCTAGAGGCTGCTGTGAGGGCACCAGGAGTGGCAGTGCTAATTGATAATCAAGGGAGTTTTTCTGGGAGAAGTGAGTTCTAAGCTGCATCAGATGATCTGACCTGTTTATTGAGGAACCAGTAAGTCTGATTAGGTCATGCCAAGAAATGAAGCTGGACAGGTAAAAGGAAGGTAAGTAATGATGAACTTCTTATATGCTACAAGGGAGTTGGAATTTAGTGTTGGAACAATGGGAGACCTCTAAAGCATGGCTACAGGGAACAGATTAGTGATGACATAATTCGGTTTGCATTTCCAAAATTGTTGGTAGCAGAGGGTGGCTCAGAGGTACAAGATTGAGGTCAGAGGGGTTAATCGAAGTGCACAGGGGATTCACTGTTGCGTATCTGCCTGTGATGTGTCAAGCCCTGTGCTGAGCACACTGTACTGGCAAAAAATACTGAGGGCCTGAACCAAAGGTAATGCAAGGTTGAGTGGGACAGCTTTCCCATCACAGGCAAGGTGGGCATGGAACAGTTTTCCCATCACAAAATTCTGCTCTTTAGCTATAGCTGCTATCAGAAGATGCATTTTGAATTGTGCTTTCCCTTGGTGGTTAAGATGAATTACAACAAGCCTTGTGTGTTCTTTATCCTGATGGTTCTCAACCAGGTTGATTTTGGCTGCAGGGAACATCTGGCAGGTTTTGGAGACATTTTGTTAATGTTACACCAGGGAAGGAGTGCTCCTGGCAGATGGTGAGAAGAGGCTAGAGATGCCATTAAACATCCTACAATGCACAGGGCAGTTGCCCACAACAAATAATTATCTGGTACAAAATGTGAATAGTGCTACTGTTGAGAAAATCTGCTTTATTTGAACTCTCTCTGTCATAGGTTTCAGGAACAACAAGTTGAGAAAAATGGTAGAGTTCATGACAATGGAACACATTCTTGTGAAAATGAACCAAATTTTAAAGATTCTTGTAGGCTCTAAGATGAGATCAATTAAAATTGAATAAAAAGGAATTAGTAATTTTTATTCATTTATTATCATATTCATTAATTCACTAAACAACTCCTTATTAAGTATGTATTATGGGATGGGCACTCATCAAATTTGAGAACAAAAAGTATGGATGAGACATCTTTAACATCAAGAATATCTATATAACAAGGGCTAGAGTTAAAAGTGGTGTTTCAAAACTGATTCGCTAAAGTCAGACCATCTGAGCTGGAATCCTATTTCCACCTAATAGCCCTGTGAGCTTGGGAAAATTACTCAACCTCTCTGAACTCATGTTTCACCTTTGTGAAATGGGAATGGCAGTAATAAAATCTACGTCATAAGATTCCAGAGCAGGAGTTTGGAATCAAATGGTAGTATATATCCAAAACAGTTGAGATAGTCCCTAGCACACAGAAAGCAATCAATAAATTTATTTTATTTTTTTATAGCAAATATTGGCAGTTATGTAAGGTGAAATGAGAAGAAAGAAAATGGAGTAAGACTTTCCTGAAGGAGGGTGCCTAACCAATGTAAGAAAACCACCTTGCAATAGCCTGGCCTGGGGAATGTACTGGAAGGTAGGTAATCCAGGAGGCATCAGAATCAACCATGGCTGAAATCTAAACAGGAGGTGATGGTGGCCTGAATGAAGAAAATAGCTATGGGAAGAAAGACAAGAGGAACAATTCAAAATAATTTTAGGAAGTAGATTCATTTGGTCTTCACATTTGTGGTGGAAACAATAAACTTCTCACCAAATACACTGTACCTGGACACACAACTGAACTAGATCTTTCTGCTCCCTTGCCATTAGGTGTGGTCATGAGTCTAAGGTCTCCCCAGTGCAATGTGAGCAGAAGTGATCTGTACCATTTACGGGCTGGGGAAAGAAGATGTTCCTTCAGCTCACATTCTTTCTACTTTTACCAGTTGGCTCCAGGCAATTCCACCATGGCACAGCCTCTACAAGGCTCGCATGTTTAGCAGAGGCATATGATGAAAGAAAGAGGCTGGGTCTCTGAGTCTCTGCTTCAAGGTGGGTCACCAGTTAAGCTAGAACACTCATGCTGGACAATTACATGAGCAAGAAATAAAATCTGGGCCCGGCACAGTGGCTCACACCTGTAATCCCAGCACTTTGGGAGTTTGAGGCGGGCGGATCACAAGGTCAGGGGATCGAGACCATCCTGGCCAACATGGCGAAACCCCATCTCCACTAAAAATACAAAAATTAGCTGGACATGGTGGTGCATGCCTGTAATCCCAGCTACTTGGGAGGCGGAGGCAGAAGAATCGCTTGAACCAGGGAGTCGGAGGTTGCAGTGAGCAGAGATAGCGCCACTGTACTCCAGCCTGGCGAAAGAGCGAGACTCCATCTCAAAAAAAAAAAAAGAAAGAAAGAAAGAAAAGAAAAGAAAAAGAAATAAAATCTGGTTTGTTTGAGTCATTACATATTTAGATCTATAGGTTACTACCTATACCATCTTATCCTGACTGACTGACTAAAATGGATGTAGGAATAAAAAGGTCAAGTCTAGAGAGACTCACAACGGAGGATAAGTGGTGCTTCTTTTCATTGAAATAGAAATCATGTGAGAAACATTTTGAAAGAAAGGTGACCTTTTCTATTTTGGACATACTGGGTTTGAGATGCCTGTAGGAAATCCCTCCCTCCCTCATCAACAAGGGTAGAGTGCATTTCCCTGACCCTTATTACAACTTGCCCATGTAAGTTGAATTGACCAATGAGATGGTAGAAGACTGATGCACACAGAGGCTTGAAATGTATCTGCTGTTGGGGTATGTTCTCTTGCATTTATGTAATTACAATGGAAAGAACATTTTTCTGTAGTCCAATGGTCTCAAGGGAATGACCTATATAATGCATACTTGATTCCAACTGAAGCCAACCTCAACCTAGTTCAGACTAAACCAACCTACTCCACTGACTTCCAAACATGTGTGGACTCATTATTTTATATCATTAAGATTTGATAGTTATTTGTTACACAGCTTTATTGTGTCAATAGCTGACTGATACAGTCAGCATATGGGTGGTTTTGAAGCAAAAGTAAATGAATGTGATTATCCCAATTTACCAATGCAAAGTGAACTCATCCATCTTCTTTCCTCAGACATGCCCGTCCTTTCTTTCTGATCTTGGTAAATTGTCCTACCATACATCCAGTTGACAGAACCCGAGTCCTAAGATTCATGCAAGTGTTCTTCCTTTGCTTGACCTCCCACATCTTTGGATGATGAAGATTCCACCCCTTTACCATTCTTTTTATCTATTTCCCCACCTTTACTGTTTCATCATTGCTATCACAACTTGCTTTTAATCTGTGGATACCTTGCCTTCATTTTTCCCATTGTACTCACTCTCTACTCACATATTCACACACATCCAACTACCCATCCTTTCCATAGCAGTCACTATTATCTTTCTAAGAATAAATCTGATAATTTATCAATGCCTGCTCCCTCTTTATCTATAGAGTACTGCTCAAACTTCTTAGCCTTAAATTTAACCCCTTTCATCCAGCCCCTGCTCCCATGCTCAGTCTTCTTTCTTACAAAACACCCCTTCCCACCCTAAGTTTATTCCTACCAAACTATTTGCTATTCCCTAAGTTTTACCAGGGTCTCTCAGAACCCCAGACCTGTGCCATCTTTCCAGAAGTTCTCTTTCCTACTTTTATTTTAACTAACATCCTACATTTTTCAAGACTTAAATCAGCCATCACCACCACTAGTGAGTTTATTTTTACCTATTCCCCAAGTAAAATGGATCTCCTTTCTTTTATCCCTTCACTGCACCCTGACGGGTTTCTATCCTGGCACCCGTATTATTTCATTGCTTTCATTTGTTTTCATGCTGGCTATGCCCATTCCCTCTTACCCTTTGTATTTCCACAGTCTGGAGCAATAATGGGCTCCTTATAAAAGACAGTGGGTGAATAAATGAATGAGTGAACAAAATTAATGGATGGATTGACCTGTTGACAGGTCCCCTCTTACCCTTTGTATTTCCACAGTCTGGAGCAATAATGGGCTCCTTATAAAAGATAGTTGAGTGAATAAATGAATGAATAAACAATTAATGGATGGATTGGACTTCAGATTTCTTTCTGTAATATGCTCTGCTTACCTAACTAAGTTCTCCTTATACATAACGCTGGTCTGGGATGGGTTCAGAGTTATGTTGCCATCTTTGTCGCACAGGAAGCTGTCTTCAGTCCAAATATAGTAGCCATTGGTGAGGAGTCTGGGACTTCGGCGACAGGTATAGTGGGAGCCTGTCAGGGGATCTATGGAGCCGCATTCAAAAGAATGGTAACCATCCAGGGAATCACAGGTGAAACTAAGAAGGAAAAGATAACGCACTTTAAATCTCTATTCAGTACATCCAGTCCCAAATAAACCATGTCTCATCACTGTGAAGGAAAATAACATCTTTGCATCCATGACTGTCAATTACTTCTGCAACCATTAGGAATGTCACTCTTAATGTTCTGGGCTTCATCTCCTCACCTATGACAGCGTTGAACTACAGAAACTTTAGCGTTTCTTTCTATTTTAAACTTCAGTGAAAACACGATGGCTAATCACTTTCCTCACCATATGGTTAACCTACGTTTGATGTTAGTCTATTGTATTTTTTTGGATGGGATGGTGGAAGCTCAAAATCCCCTCTACTCTCTTACTTTGAATAGCCCTCCAGTTGCCAGATCTTTAATCTTGTCACTGTAGTGACACATTATAACTATGTAGCCACCAGAAACACGGTGAACATGCAGTCAAAATGATCATTTTTGGCCTTTGCAAATTTCCCTCCAGGCTGGCTGTACAAATGGGCACACAGTTACCTTCCCTGATTTGGTATCCAGGGAAGGCCCATAATTCCTTGAGTAAATCTATATGTGTCTTAGTTTTAAAAAGCAATCACATTGAGTTAGGCGTGGTGGCATGTGCCTATAGTCCCAGCTACTCAGAAGGCTAAGGCAGGAGGATCCCTTTAGCCCAGGAAGTTCGAAGCTGCAGTGTGCTATTCATGCCTGTGAATAGCCACTGCACTCCAGCCTGGGCACCATAGCAAAGACCCTGTATCTAAAGGAAGGAAGAAGAGAGAGAGAGAAAAAAAAAAGGGAGAGAGAGAAGGAAAGAAAGGAAGAAAGGAAGAAGGGAAGGAAGAAAGGAAGGAAGGAAGGAAGGAAGGAAGGAAGGAAGGAAGGAAGGAAGGAAGGAAGGAAGGAATCACATGGCCCTATAATTGAAAGGCAACCAAATTATTGTGAAAATGTTTCATAAATGCAAAGTTTCTTGAGGTGAGCTTTGGTGGAAGCCTGGTGACAATAGTAACAGAGCCATGTTGGAGAAAAGAATATGTTATGTGTTCTTTCTTCAAAACTGCTTGGTTTTTTTCCCTCTTTTCTCCCTTAAAAATTATTTCTCTTTGTCCTAAACCCCAGCTAATCTCACTGTGATTTTTGTGTATGTATGTCTGCCTCAGTAATTATTTTATACATTACTGGAGGGCAGATACTGTAAGCCTAAAAAATGTTCAGTATGTAAATAAACTCAATGCCAGTTACTGAACGAAATCACCTGACAGGCTATGGAAATCTGGTAAAACCTATGAAAATATATATTGTCTGAATATATTTGAATTCTTGGGGTGGTTTTTTGTGAATCAATTAACAGCACTGATAGTATAATAGCTCTCATGTGCTCTTTACCTTGATGTTTTCAGTAATTTCTACATATTATGTATTCCACTTAATTGCATAAATTGGGACCATATGCTTCCAGAAAATCACAGATTCTAAGAATCAGGAGTTTTGGCGGTCATGTCTGCAGCCCCACCAAATTCTGCTTGTTCCATCTGCTGTATTTCCGACAAACATTGTCCCGTCTCTGCATGCACACCTTCAGTAAGAAGGACCCCACACTTACTAAGCACCCCCACAACCCTTCACTGAACAAATATGGACTGCAGCATAGTGGACAAGACAGGGAATCTGAAGTCAATCCCCCTCTAAGCCCATAATTCCAACTCTGTCATTGCTTAGGTGAGTAACATTAATCCAGTCACTTAGCCTCTCAGACTGTTTCCTTATCTGTAAAACGAGAAAAAAATCTCCATTATCGGGTTATCTTAATAATTAAATAATGAAATAAATGGTCTGTGCTTAGCACCTAGTATGGGCTTAATAAATGTTCACTTCCTCCCTTCTTTTCTTTCCCTTCCTTTTCTGTTCCTTCTATCTTCCATTTGAGATCTATTCAGCTATTTAAAGAGAGTTTCCATGTCCTCCCTGGGTCCTCACTTCTCCATACTAAAAGCCCTCCAGTTCATTTAATTCATCTTTACATGACATGATGTAGTTTTGATCCCTTAGCTATCATAGTTTGATGGCTTTTCTCTGAGTATTCTCCACTTTTTAGAGTTCCTCTTAAATATCATGCCAACCATAGAACCCAGCCCTTTAGGTGTGTCTGCCCAAGGGATATAGGGACTATCACCTCCCTCATTATAGAATCCATGTCTTTAGCAATGAAGCTTAAGTCACATTAGCTTGATTCTTTTTTTTCCCTCCAGTTACCAACATATTATCACACTATTAAATAGACTATCAAGTCTATGGCCATACCACCCTGAACGTGCCTGATCTCATCTAAATAAACTATCGATTTCTAGTCTTTTTCCTGTATATTTAGATGTACCTTTCCTCTCTTAGACTTTTGGACCAATTTTATATTACAAGGTCAATATGTAATTAAGACTTTGCAGATAGAGCTAGGTTTATACCCTTGGTTTCAATCCTGGCTCTACCTCTTGCTAATTATTCTCTCCAAGGTTTAGTTGTTGTTGTTATTGTTGTTGTTGTTTTTAACAAATGTGAATCTGTGCAGTAAAGATCAACCAAAATAAACCTCATAGATTTCTATAAATATTTAATGTCATAATTTAATGGAGGTTGTTAATGCCTATGCTTTCCATTGCCTAAGGGTGGTAAGCTAAATATGTTGGCTACTATTTGAATGGCTATTCATTTTGTGCTGTTAGAATTTTGAGGGATTCTGATTATGTTACACAAAACTTTTAATACATTTACATGATGTCATACAAATATGTTATCCCTGGAATCTCTATGTCCTCAATCCAAATCATTGATAAAAATATTGAATAGTACAGGTAGAAATTTGAGACTTTGGAAACATCAAAAGGGACTATTTCCAGACATGCACTGACCCACTTTAACAGCACATTTTGGTTCTTCTTACCCCTATTAATAAATATGAAAATGGAGGCTCCAGTAGGTTAAATTCATTGTTCAATAACTGACGGCTTACAAGTGGGAGAGGCAAGGTAAAAATCTAGATCTTTTTTTCTCCTACTCTAGTGCTCTTTCTTCTACATCCTTTTGCCTCTGTGAGAATTAATGGGGCAACTATATGGTGCTGGACGCTTACGAGGTTTCAGAGTTCTGGACCTGTATTTCTATCTGCACTCCAATTTCCAAGTCTTCAACATTCAACAGTTATCAACTGTAGCCTCCCTAATCCCCTGGCATCTTTCCTTTATAATGCCCCTACCTTTATCTATCCTCTCTTGATTGTAAACGAAATGAAGACACTCTTCCAACACCTGGATCATAGTTTAAAAAAAGGACCCCTCTGAACAATATCAAACCTTTAGAGCAGATAACAAAATTTTCTCTAGATCTTGACTCTTGCTTCATTCTGCTCTAATAAATTTAGTAGTGGATTCGTTTTTAGCAGGTCCTTTCCAATTGGTTTCTAAAGTCCAATCCCACAGCAAAGTCCAGCAACAAGCCCAACTGCCCAAAGACAAAGCCCTTTCTTTTCTTGTGAGGTTACTGACTAGGCCTTAGAAGAGCCTAAATCATGCCTCCTAGGATAGGACAAAGACTGGTTGGTGAAAGGACAAATATCATTAGGACCATTAAAAAATGTTAGATGATTACACACTGATAGATTACAGAAGGTCTCTCATCCTTCTACACATCTGCCAAATGCTCTACTGAATTTCTGATATTTTTACATCTAAAAGCTTATATACAATGAATATATGCACTCAGCCCTGTAATAAAATACTGTTTCAAATTAATGAGAGTTATTGAACACTTAGCATGAGCCTGGCCCCCTATTTTGCCCTTTATCTACTCTTCACAAATCTCTACAAGCTAAGTATCATTATCCTCATCATATAGCAGGAAAAAATGATTTACAAAAACAGCAAATTACTTGGATATTTTACATAGCTAGTAAGTGGCAGAGCTATGATATGAAGCCTAGTCTATCTGACTCTAAAACATGGATTCTTTCCACATGTGCCTCTGTTCATATTGATTCGTTTGCTAGTATCAGGAGGCCTACAATTTACAAGAAGGAGCAGGTCCTAAAATGAATATATGATCTGTTTATGCTATAGGCACATTTCACAATGCTAGGGGAAACATCAACTGATGTCTGTATAAGGAATAAGAGACAGTCAGAGAGTCATTAAAAAAAGAAAGAAAAAAGACTTCCTTGTAGTACTTCAAGAAAATGGTAGACTGCACATGTTTTGGTAGAGCATAAAATTCGGCCATTGGTATAGAATTCTGTTGCTCTTGTAAAACAAGATAGGAAAGCATATTTAAAAAGACATCAGATTGAGACAAAGTAACAATTCATCAGTATTCAATAGTTTCACCACTCACCAGAGAAACAATTCACAACTGCCCATATATTGACACTAACATATATATTATATATATATATATATATATATATATATATTCATTATTCTATTAGGCAAGTTTTTATTTAGTATGTACATGGCACCAAAAAGAAATAACCTTTCAAAACTAGATGATAGCTAAAATAATAATTTCAAACCAATAATACAACAAAGCAAGACATACAGGAAAATAATAATAATAATATAATAATAATTATTATTATTTTGAGACTCGCTCTGTTGCCCAAGCTGGAGTGCAGTGGTGTAGTCTTGGCTCACTGCAACCTCTGCCTCCCAGGTTCAAGTGATTCTCCCACCTCAGCCTCCCGAGTAGCTGAGATTACAGGCACATACCATCATGCCCGGCTAATTTTTGTATTTTTAGTAGAGACAAGGTTTCACCATGTTTTACCCAGGCTGGACTCAAACTCCTGACCTCAGGTGATCCACCCACTTCGGCCTCCGAAAGTACTGGGGTTACAGGGGTGAGCCACCATGCCCAGCGAAGAATGATTTTTTTTTTAGACAAGTCTCTCTCTGTCGCCCAGGTTGGAGGGCAGTGGTGGGATCTCGGCTCACCGCAAGCTCCGCCTCCTGGATTCACGTCATTCTCCCGCCTCAGGCTCTCAAGTAGCTGGGACTGCAGGGGCCCGCCACCACGCAGCGCTGATTTTTTTTTTTTTTTTGTATTTTTAGTGGAGACGGGGTTTCACCGTGTTAGCCAGGATGGTCTCCATCTCCTGACCTCGTGATCCGCCTGCCTCGGCCTCCCAAAGTGCTGGGATTACAGGCATGAGCCACCACGCCCGGCCAGAATGATTATTTTTTTAAAAGAAGCCCCATAGTATACCTTGGGAAAATGCACGTGGGAGACAGCTCTCCAGCATATTCTCTTTCCAACCTGGAAGAACCTGCATAAACAAATGAGAGAGAAGTAGAATGTATCATACCTGATCAACAGTTACATATGTTGATACATGTATCAATATGTATAATTGCAAACAGTGGAGGCATGTAAGAAGATGGGAATAGCTGATGTTCCAGCTTCAGCAGGAAGACTCCAGTAGTGCAGGTACCCTTATCACCAGGGATCTACCGGAAGCAAGACATAAACTAGAGGCTTCTATCTTCTGTTCCTTCATCCACATAACACTCTAGAAGTTCCGGGCGCAGTGTCTCACTCCTGTAATCTCAGAATTTGGGAGACCGAGGCGGGCGGATCACAAGGTCAGGAGATCTAAACCATCCTGGCTAACACGGTGACACCCCGTCTTTACTAAAATATACAAAAAATTAGCAGGGCGTGGTGGTGGGCGCCTGCAGTCCCAGCTACTGGGGAGGCTGAGGCAGGAGAATGGCGTGAACCTGGGAGGCAGAGCTTGCAGTGAGCTGAGATCGCTCCACTGCACTCCAGCCTGGGCGACAGAGCAAGATTCTGTCTCAAAAAAAAAAAAAAAAAAAAAATTTCTTAGTGCAGAATGAGGCAATAATAAATCATTAGCATCAAACTGAGCTCATGTAAGGATGGGAAAAAACGTCTTGTGTGAAGCAGGAGAAAACCCAAATCAATTACCCAATGTGTTGGTTATTGCAGCTTACTCAGTAATCTGAGGAATTCAATCATTGTTCTAGACTCTCCCTCATTAGTGCATATTAAGACACTTCTACTGTAAAATAATGAGCAAAAGACATTAGTGGGGAAGAAATAAAGTTTTGTTTTGTTTTATATAACATTTTTCCAAAGTATAAAGACTGTGAGTATTCTTAATTATAGAAACATCATCCATTCATTCGTTCCATTTTAACCAAAGGCGTGGCAACAGACTTTACTTGGAGAAAGTTGGAGTTGATTAATATTCTAAACTCTAAAGCAGAATTTTATCGTGTGCAGAGATGGTGTCAATAGTCCTAACAGACAAGCTAGTGAAATTTGATTCCATTATGGACAATTAGTATCTAGGACAAAGAAAGGAATTTAGACTTTCAGATTGGGCTGGTTGATTTGTAGGGAGAAAACTGTGGGTGTGTGAGGGAGAGTTAGAAGTGGGGTTTTGGGAGAAAATAACAAGAGGAAGGAAGAAACTTGAAACCACTACCGTTTTAACAGCGCTCTTATTTTCTGCAAGTAGCTATCAAAATCATTCAGCATTTTTTATATACAAACAGTTTTGCATCTTAATAGTAGCTGATAAACAATCTCCTTTCACATTTATGCACAGGCATCTAAAAAAAAACGGTGATTTTTTTTTTTCTACTAGAAGGAAAAATACCACATTTCTTTCAAGGAAAAAAATGAAGTTAAAATCATTGCCAAAGTGAACACTGGCATTTAAGAAGCACAAGCTACTGACAGATGGTTAATGGTCTGAGTATCAGCAAAATCAAAGCAAGGAAATTGCTAAAAGGAGTCTAATCGTTCAAAAGATAATTGCGTATCACAGTTCTTCTACATTTACTTGCTACTGGTGTTGACATCAGTTGAGATATTCGGTACATCTTGGGAAGGCCGCTTGCTCAAACTTCACAGATTCTCTGCAAAAGATGTTAAAAAAAAGGTGGACTATATATTAAAAATAGAAAAATTATGCCAAAACAGATGGCATCTACTAATTGCACTAGTCAGATTTGTTTACTGAAATAATACAGAGATACAGAATTGAAGGTAGGAGACCAGACTGAAGACACAACCCCTCTAAAGTTGTGTCTGCCTCTATGACTGAACATTTTCCATTGCCTCACTCAGTGCATCTCAATAACATTTTTCTGTAAATAAGAACCACACTTTATTTGGAAAATCTAGACTTAAAAAGGTTGATTTGTAATCCAAAGAAAATAATGAAAGTGAGGTATTTGATTAAGAAATCTTAATAAAATGACTGGTTCTAACAGTCATTTAGCCCCAAAACAAACTTACGTGTATTTTAATCATCTGACACAAGTCAACTTCATTATCAAGTTTCAAACAGTGCTTGGAGATTGGTGTCTGTCTTTTTCCCAACAACTTGAACCATTGACAGGTAGTCACAGAGAGTGATTTTAATAGTTTTTATCAGCCTGGACATTCCTAAACAGCATAAGTAATGTTGCACTAAAGATAGCATACCATTGGGAAGATTTTAGAACTTAGTTCCCATGAAGACATGATTTAATTTCTCAATTACTAATTAAAAACATATCAAAGTATGTAAATTATGCAAACTTTGATCATTTACTGTTCATCAAATAGAACCAACTTCTGTTGACTATGAAACTTTGTATATAGTATCACTATCCTAATCGCTTTATAAGGTAGGAGTAAATTATTTTCTGATTCACCACTTATGGCCACATTTTGTAACATGAGAACTAGTAATGGATTGTTTTTGTAGCTGTAATTCAATCAATCAAACCAGGCTAATTCTACAGCTTCAAGTTGAATATTTCAATAAATTATATATAAACCCTATTAGGAAAATATAAACCTGGTTTATAGAGACCTGTAAAGATGTCAGGAGAACTTTCTGGCCTTCCTTGGAAGATTTCTAAATCAAAGCACACATTTACAAATTTCATTTGTTTGGGATATAAAATAATCCCAGTGTAATGTAATATATTAGTATGTTACTTGTTCTTTTCATTTTTGATCAATATTGTACGGGTATGCCCAGCCCAAATTACCTTATTTTAGTGTTCCCCAAGTATTAAGCTTAATTTTAAGCCTATAAATCCTGCAGCAAAAGAAGGTCTTATTGCTCTATCTCACAAGTGCTTAGAAGAATCTACAGGCAGTACACTGACATTCAATAGAAAATTAGTAACAGTAGGAAAAAAAAAAGCCCTTCAGTTACAGATCTAAAACTTTTCAAGAAACAGAATCTGCCAGTTCCATCAAAGCGACACATCTATTCTGAAAAATAATGTGTGCATACGTGTTCCTTCCAAAGGGAGTTCCCAGCCTCTTCTTCCAATTGACAAAGGACAAAATTATTACTGAAATACGAAGCTTCCTGTGGTTGACAGTGGAAAAATTGAGGACTGAGCAGTTCCTCGGCTGAAAAATGTCTGAATGTCAACAGGTGCAGAAGTCTCTTAATAAAGGGAATCCCACCCTACCTTCTTCTCACAGATGCCCACGCACATTGCTGTGCACAGGTGCTTGCAGAGAAGTTTTGTCTTCGGCAGCCTCTTGTTCTCTTGTCTGTTTCCTGGTATAAATGAGTGTATAGTTCTTGGGAAAGTCAGTCTTACAACTTCTCTTGTTTTCTTTTGAAAACAGCCTGCGTAACCAGAGGCAAAGAAGCAGAATGAGGTCACACTTCCTGTTGGGCTCACATCAGTGGCATTCACACTGAGGAGTGTGCTGAAGATTTCAGAGAGTTTCCTGGGCCAGCAGCAGGGAATGTGCAGCCCATGTGTCAGGCCAGCTGGTTACACCCTGGTCACTGGAGGGGTGGTTTTCTGAGCTAACTTGTCACCTTTGGCTGCGAGAACGTGAGAAAGACTCAGCGAACTGACATTTCTTGCTCATCATATGGCCACATTCAGTTATAAGTAGTGCAGAGTAGTGATCTTTGTCCAAATCACTTAAATTTATTGAGGATAATGCACTGATGCTATTAAATTCAGAATACTATTAAATAGCAAGAGCTTGATCTTATGAAAATTTCTATAGAGGCAATAGGTTTATCTAATGAAGGTTGGACTTCACAAAAAACTCTATAGATGGCATTTTACATTTACATTATAGTAGAGCTCAAAGACTTGATGGTGTTTATGGGTTCATACACATCTGTACTACTGTAAGTGATAAAAGAAATGTACATTCAAATATATATTCCAGCAACATTGAGGTACCACTGCATAGTGGAAAGAGTGCGGATTCTGGGGTCACAAGACAGAAATTCAACCTGTCTACCATCCTAGCTGTGTGACCTCAGATTTGTGACTTACCCCTCTGAGTTGCAGTTTTCTCAATTATAAACATAAAAATATATATGTCATATGATGGCTTGAAGAATTAAATGAAATAAAAGAAATGAGAAATAATCGAGTCCTCAGCACAGATGTGCAAGGTGTATTCTTTATTTGTTTTCTTAAATCAAGTTCTCTTCTGAGGCACCAGTTGGTCCGGCTGGCGGAAAAGTTAATCTCATCCTTTCCTGGGGTTCCCTTTCCCCCTGAGGTTCTGCCACATGGCAGGATCTTCTGTAGAACATGTTCTAGGCAGCAGGAACTGTCAGGAGGAGGGCCCATCTAATTTCAAAGTTCTCTGTCTCTGGAACTTCATGTCTATTCTCCATCCCTTGAGTGTAGACTGAGGCTGCTGACATGCTCCTTGTAAATAAAGTAAGGCAAAGGTGCTGAGTTTCCACTACCATGATGAGGCTTCCATCTTGTTGGACTCTATTACTTTCTTGCTTGCCTGCTTTGATGAAGCAAGCTGCCATGGTGGAGAAGCCCATGTGTCAAGGAATCAAGAGTGGTCTCAAAAGCCAGTAAGGGTCTGATGCTCCATCCAACAGCCAGGAATCCAGCCAAAAACCAAGTGTGTGAGCTTGGAAGTGGATCCTTCTCCAGTTGAGCCTTGAGCTGACTGCAGCCCCATCTAATGCTCGATTGGAACTGGGAAAGACCCAGAAGCAGACAACCCAGGCTAGCCCTGCCCAGCTCCCTGGCCCACGCAAACTGGGAAGTGACAAATGGTATTTCAAGCCACCACGTTTTGAGGTAATTTGTTACACAGCAACACATAGCAGATGCATAGTCCTAACACAGGTCACTTCCTGAGCCATCTGTCATTGCTGACTCTCTGCTGCTTTAGTGACTCCTGTAGAATATAGTCACATTTACTCAAGGCTACTCCTGGTCACATCTGCCTAAATTTAACAGACAGCTATTCTGCTTCACAGCTGTCTGGTATTCTCTTTACTGGAATTCACAGTTCTCTTCTTCTCCTTTTCCTGTTTTTCTTATCCCTCATCCTCCCTCTTCCAGCCTTGGCTTATCTCTTCTAGATGAGGGAGGAAAATCTTTCTGACTTATTCGAGACCCTCTGCTCTTCCTGTGCCCACAAATCCACTTTTCCGAAGAGCTCACATCAGAAAGACTTTGGTCTACTTTTTTTTTTTTTAAAGATCTGGCACATATTAGAACCTTATTATTAATGATCATAATAATTGCTAACTTTAAGGAGTGCTTACTATGTACCAGGCACTGTTCTAAGGTCTTTCCACATATCAACACATTAATTGTTACATCAATTCCATGGGAGATGCTGTATTATTATTCTCATTTTACAGAAGAGCAAACTGAGTTTAGAGAGTTGCCCAAATTCACATAGCCAGTACGTGATGAGTAAGTAGAGCTAGGATTCAAACCCTGATGAGATGGCTCTCGAGTTTGCTTTCTTAACCTATAAGTGTAATGATCATATCCAACGTGTGTCAGCATTTTCTACAAACCAGGCACTGCACTAAACACTGTACATATGTAATCTTGTTTCAACCTCACGTAGCCCTAGAAAATAAGTGCAATTGTTATCCACATGCAGGACAGAGGTTTATAGAGTTTGCATAAATCTTTCAAAATTGCCAATGGCCAGAACTAAATTCCAAACCTATGGTTCCCCTCTCAATCTTCTCTCTTGAGACCCACTCATCTTCTTCTTGTTTCTCATACACTAGACACGGGTCTACTTCAAGATCTTTGAGGTTAGTGTTCCCTCACCCTAAGGGTCACAGGGCTTTCTTCCTCCCCTCCCTCAGCTCTTTTCTCCACTGCCTTGCTACTAATTAATTGCCCTCCACACCACTCCCTAGTCTCTTCCTGCTTTATTCTTCTCCTTAGCACTTTTTACCAAGGAATATGTCACACAATTCATTCCTTGTAATAAGAAACGTACTCCTCAGCCAGAACATGAGCATTAAAAGAGCAGAGAATATTGTCATTTTGCTTCATTTTAATAGCCCAAGTATCAAGAGTAGTGCTTCCCATATAGTAGGTTATCAATTAATGTTTGTGGAATTAACAAATAAATTAATTACATCCAGGTAGACTTGCCTTCAGAACCTTTATTCTGCATGTTATAAATCAATGTTTCTAAAAGCATGTTCCACAGAATATTCAGTCCTCCACTGTTAATGGAGGTGATGCGTGTGGATGGGGAAAAGACGAGTGGCAAATTTCAGTACAAAAAGTTCTAGAAAGCATAGGTCTCTAATAGAGGTCACTATAGAATCTTTTAAATGATACTCGGACTTGCTACTATACACAGGAAACATGGTCTCACCATCTGTCAAAATTATTTGCCTTGAGAATCTTTTGGTCACATAATATCTCCCAAGACCCCAGTTCCAGAGCTATGTGTTGCAAACGTTCATGTGTTGCAAATGAATCACAGAGGATCTTACAGAAGTGAGGGAATTGGAGACAGTGTTTCATATCAGCTCCCACGTAAAGCCAAAACTGTTAGTCCCTAAGATACTCTTTGACAGGCGGAATGCTAAAGAACTCATGTTAGGAAATGCTGACATAAATTGATGGACTTGACAAATTTAATTTTAACACACTACAAACAACGAACAAACATGTCTGCATGCTTCCTTAAATCCCTCATGTACTCATGATCTCTCTTCCTACCCAAGCCTCATCCTGCTCTGGAACACTGTGTCCCATTAGATGGCAATATCTTCCACCCAATCACTCATGCCAGAAAACTGGGAGAAATTGCGACTCCTCTCCATGTAGCTTTTGAACACGGACTTGAAATCTTGATTCCTCTTCATGTAGCTCTTAGGCTTATCATCTAAGTCTCCATCTCCACTATCTGCTCTAGGGCTCCAGCTACATCAAATCAGTATGCATAAGCCATATAATAATAGCTATCAATAAGGTACATTACATAATGAAAAATATGAACTGGGAGGTTGTGTGTGTGTGTGTGTGTGTGTGTGTATTGCACTTGTTGCCTGGACTTCCATGCCAACATGCCAAAGTCACTTGGCCTCTCTCCAATACACTCCCCAAGCCATGGTCAGAATGACCTCTCCAATAGAATATCTGATTATGTCACTCCCCTGATTAAATTCATCAGTGCTTGCCCTTGCTCCTCTCTCCTGTGAAGTTCAAAATCCTCTTCATGGCCTGCCAGGCCTGGTAGGGTCTGGACTTGACTATTTTTCAGCCTCATTGTTCCCTCAACAGGCCCCATCTGTCTTTTTAGAATTCAACCATGCTGGCTTCCTTTCAGCTTCTCTAGCTTTGCTCCACCTCAGGCCCTTGGAATGTGCTATTTTCTTCATCTCCCATCTCTTTCTGAAAGAGCTTTTTCTCTGAGCAGCCTCTCTGACCCTCCCAGACCAGGTTATGGATCCCATAGCTGTCTGCGCTTTCCTTTCAGAGGATGCATCACAATTGGAACTAATGAGCCAAGTTTCTGTCCATGTTGGTTCCTCCTGCTACACTGTGAGATCTCAGAGAATAAGGAGAATGCTTTTCTAGTTTGCTATTACGGTTTCTATCATTATCATAGTAGGCACTTAATAATATGTGAATAAGATTTTTTATCATCCAAGTCTGGCTAGGTTCTCTGCCACACATAGCACACAAGGGCCAGAAGGAGATATATGGGCCAAAGCCTGGACAGGCTACTAATCTAGAAGGAGTTGGAAGCTAGCAATTTTATCATAACAGTTATGCCACAGTAAAAATCAACCTTCAAGCCTTAGTGGCATACAGCAGTAAGCTTTTATTTTCCCACTTGATGGCTTTGTAATATGTTAACTTGGCCAAGTGAACCTACATTTCTCAGAATTCCTTTTTTGCATGCTCCTGGTTAAGATAGGCCCTAAAAGCAACTTGTGCGAGATTTGGAAGATGAAAGTGGAGCTGAAGCTGTGTGTATTTTTGGAAGGTCCCCGAAAGTTAGACTTTGCGGCAAGCTCATGCACGTTTCCACAGACCTGCTGGCTTGATGTAAGGACTCGGCCCAAAGCTCCAGTCCCTGCAGATCACTTCCTTCCATTTTACAAGTCCTAGTAGAGGAGAGGGTGTGGCTCTGCAGAAAGAATGCCAGCTTCTGTTTAGAGTATACCCGGCAATGAGGGTAGAGTCTCAGAGATAGGAAAAGGCCTATATGGCTTTTGGTGATAGACAGATGCGTGTTCCAGATGGTTCTTTGTGGATTCCAGTTTTCCCTGCTCTCCTCTGCTTCTTGTCCATCTTTTGATACTGACCAACTGTCTAGTGATTTCAGGCTCAGCACCCCTCCTAAGAAACAGCCAAACTGAGCTCGCTTACCAGTGTCCATAATTATACAAGGTTCAATCTCTATTTTACACAATTGCAATTCTGGATCATTCCTAGTGGTTCTGCTTCTCTACTTGAATCTAACACATCTTTTTATTATTATTATTACTATTATTATTATTATTATTATTGTCTTTTGAGACAGAGTCTCACTCTGTCGCCCAGGCTAGAGTGCAGTGGCACGATCTCGGCTCACTACAGCCTTTGCCTCCCAGATTCAAGAGATTCTCCTGCCTCAGCCTCCTGAGTAGCTGGGATTACAGGCACCCGCCACCAGCTAATTTTTGTATCTTTTAGTACAGATGGGGTTTCACCATGTTGGCCAGGCTTGTCTTCATCTCCTGACCTCAGGTGATCCACCTGCCTCAGCCTCCCAAAATGCTGGGATTACAGATATGAGCCACCGCACCCTGCCGAATCTAACATATCTTGACCTGTGTTAACTGCAAGTTGGCTGTAGCTTTGCTCCTTGTGCCATCATTCCTGGAGGCAGTACCCCTTGTGAGGGACTTCCCTTTCTTGCGGCAGAGGGAAGAGAACAGGAGGGCTGTCAGAAATACATAATGGCTTTTAAAGCTTTTCAGAGCTGACATCTGAAATTTCTACCCATATTTCCTTGGTCAAAGCATATTGCATGGTCAAGTTCAATGCCATCAGGATAGGGAAGTACACACCTCCAGGGGGAAGCACTGTAAGTCATAGGGTGATGGGTAGATGTATATCAGAAGTACATGGGGGGCGGGGGGGAAAGGAAGAACTGGGAATTGTTGTATAATTTACTACAGCCCTCCACATTGGTCACAAATATTTAGATTCCTCCTTTTTACTTTAAAAAAAAATGCTGTATTCAGCTAGGCACGGTGGCTTATGCCTACAATCCCAGCATCTTGGGAGGCCGAGGTAGGCGGATCACTTAAGCTCAGGAGTTCAAGACCAGCTTGGGCAACATGAGGAAACCTTGTCTCTACAAAAAATAGCCAGGTGTAGTGGCTTAAGCCTGTGGTCCCAACTACTCAGGAGGCTGAGGCAGTAGGATCATTTGAGCAAGAGAGGCGGAGGTGGCAGTGAGCCAACATTGCGTACCCTAACCCGGGCAACAGAGCAAGACTCTGTCTAAAAAAAAAAAATAAAAATAAAAAAGATGCTGTTTTCACTTCATCTTTCCAGAGAACACGCCAAAATCTTATTTAATCATGGCAACAGACTTCCAGTCCAGAATCCCATAATAATCTCTACATCAATGTGGTTTCTCTTGATACAAAGACTTCTAAAACATCTTAGCCTGTATGTTCAACATTCAATACCAGAACAGAGATGGAGTAACTTCCATCAAAACTTCTCCTATTTAGCAAAAGAGTAATGGGGCTATTCTGAAACGGAATGATCAGTTTGATCAGTTGTTACAAAAGCCTTGTACCCTGTGAATAGGGAATGTTCCTTGATAGAGCTCTAATTCTGCTCCTCAGGGGTATTAACTCAGGCAACTGTGGCTCTTGTTTCTGCCCTCTGGAAAGTAAAAGTATTCCTTTTCCATTACTCTCCTCGGCCTCCTCTGAAGATTAGAGAATATGCGTTTCTTGGGGGCAGAGCAACCTTCTCAACTTACTTTCTGCTTGTAGAAGTTAGCAAATGGGAAGATAACTTTGAAATTTTTAGTTGTCATAATCTCTTTGATACCAAGCTGGTACCTCTTTGACTGTACATTCTATTCTAAGAACATATCAACAACTTTTCATGCATTTGATTCCAGTCAGCTTCCTGTGTCAATATTCATGCTTATAATTGTTTTGAGACATACCTACCTCTTTGGTTTTTTTTTTTTTTTTAGATAGAGTCTTGCTCTGTTGCCAGGCTGGAGTGCAGTGGCACGATCTCAGCTCACTGCAACCTCTGCTTCCCGGGCTCAAGCAATTCCCCTGCCTCAGCCTCCTGAGTAGCTGGGACTACAGGTGCGCACCACCATGCCCAGCTAATTTTTTGTATTTTAGTAGAGACGGGGTTTCACACCATGTTGGCCAGGATGGTCTCGATCTCCTGACCTCATGATCTGCCCGCCTTGGCCTCCCAAAGTGCTGGGATTACAGGTGTGAGCCACCGCGCCCGGCCTAGCTCTTCGTTTTTGACTGCTAGCAGCTTGAGCTTATTGGACAACCTGTTGCTTAGGCATCTGTCCTGTGTCGGGTGAATAATTCATGGGCATGTCTCTGAAGAACTTTCAAACTCTTTAGCTTTATGAGAAAAAGATTATGTTGGCGGTATGAGTTGTGATGACATTGCGAGATCACAATGCCATTAAGCAATTATGTTACTTATACGTAATATGGGGGTAGGGATGGGGATTACATATACTAGTATTTAGAGAATATGACAATAATTAAATTATAAGTGATGTACTAAGAAAGGACACAGAAATCAGAAAAGTGGCCAAACAGGCTAGATTTGATTTATTTAAACTGACTCACCTCAATTTCCTTGTAATAACACTGGAATAGTTCATGTCCAGGTAGTGATAGAGAATGAGATTTTGGATGCTTTGTCCTGCTTTTTAGAATCTACAATTTCCACATCGTTAAATTCATTGTAGTACTTTCATTATTTGCCTTTAGATTTGATTTTCTTATACTTGGTGTTCTCAAATTTCCTTTGGTCACAAATATTTACATTCCTCTCTTTTACTTTAAAAAATGTTGTGTTCAGCAGGGCACGGTGGCTTACGTCTGTAATCCCAGCACTTTGGGAGGCTGAGGCAGGCAGATCATTTGCTGCTAATGTGTCTTTTTAGGATTTATAGGATATTTCCCGCAACTAGAATTCTGTCCCTCAAAAATGCTATATGTATATCCCTACTGTTTGCTCAGGGTTCATTTTCAATTGTAGCATTTTTTGAAGACAACATAGTTATAAAAAAAAAATAGGAGAGAAAAGAAGGAAAACCAAAGGGTGTTTCTCCTCATTCTGGTGAAACTGGCTCTGTTGAATGTTTTGCAAAATCCAAAAGAGGAAGTAATCCGATACTTGACCACAAGGGTGTGTTGCCTCAATACTTTGACTAAGGCAAACCACGAGCTGTGCAATGCTTGTGCTGACAAATTATCTGCCCCTTCCCTGCTCCCTCTCCCTCCTGCAGAAGGGGAATTATTTCATTTGAATGTCCACAATTACCTTGGAGATAGTGTTATTGCTTTCTGGTCCTGGCCAAGAGGCCAGACATTTAGACAAATTGTGAGTGACCAGTTAGAGCCCAAATGCTGACCCTGCACATTCTTCCACACTAACACTTACAATGTATTGAAGTTATCTGTTTGCATGTTTGTCTACATGTCTACATTGTTAAATGTCTTAACAATGATCAGGAATTAAGCTTATCCCTTATGCTCCCTGAAACTAGTGCTGTGTGCTTGGCACACCACAGATGTTCAATAAACGCATGTGGAAAAGAAATGGAAGTAGAATATTTTCATTTGTCAGTTCTTGAATTGAAACTATAAAGAAGTGTAAGGCATTAATAATTATAAAGTCTGCATAGAACTCTTATTTGAAGCTTACTCATCCTTCAAAGCATATTTTGAATGTTTCTTCTTCTATGCTGTCTTTCTTGATTTGTCGAGTCAGAATGACCATATTCCAATAGTATCTTTATTTCAAAATGATTTATATTTAGCTTCATATTGTGTTTAGTTGTTTCTGTATCCATATCTGCATCATGACAAGTCAACTTTGAATGGGTATCTAATTTTATTTTTCTTCCTGTTCCCTTACTCTACATCACCCAGTCTCTAGCATTAGGTAAGAATTCAAAAAGAGTTTGTTGAGTGCTGTGAACTGACTGTGTGTGTCTCCCTGTCCCCTAAATTAATATACTGAAGCCCTAATCCCCAATGCAATGGTACTTGGAAGTGGGGCCTTTCGTAAGTAACTATGTAATGAAGGTTGAGCCTTCATGAATGAGATTAGTCCCTTAGAAGAAACATGAGAGAGATGATCTCTGTCTGTCATGTGAGGACACAGTGAGAAGGCAGCCAACTGCAAACCAGGAAGAATCCCAGGCACCAAATCAATTGGCACCTTGATCTTGGACTTCCCAGCCTCTAGAACTGTTAGGAATAAATTTCTTTTGTTTAAGCTACCCAGTCTCTGGTATTTTTTAAATAGCAGCACAAACTAAGACATTAAGTGATTAAACAAATAAATTAATGATGAATGAATGCATGCAAATAAATGAATATTGCATGCATGCATGTATGTTGTCTGCCATATTTCAGGATGCCACTAAATTGCTGCTAGCTCTGTTCTCAACGAAAAGAATGATCACTAAGAGAGTAAAAGTATTCACCATTTGGTGACTGTCAATTTGTATAGCTGCTGTGTTCTGTTGCTCACCCTCTCCTGCTGCAGTTTTAACAATCCACGGAAATGGGGATTGTACGTTGTAGAGACTATCTCTAAAATCAAACACCTACAGATTAGGAATGTGAATGTTAGGTCAATCTCTCACTAGATTTGTCTCTCATTTGGCTTGGTTTTCTAACTTTGCAAGCTAGGAAGAGAATTCTCAGCTTTGTTGAATGGCTGTAAATTGTAATTTGGAGTTACAGTTGTGTTGAATATTAGTTATTTTGTTGTCCAAATTCCAGTCTCTTTCTTTTAAGTAACAGCACTCGAATTTTGCATTAAAGAACCCACTCATTCCCATCGCTCAGTCCACGAGGTTTGGACCAGTCTTCACGCTTACCTGCCTGATAGGAATAGGAACCCAGTTTAAGCCGAATCAGTACAAGTCATCCCCATGGCCACCATACTTGGTTCAGATTTAGGCACCTAACTTTATCTCAGCCAGTGAGAGAAAGACTCCTAGTATTTGTTTTTACGGTCGCCAGGATGCTGTAATGTCTTAAGCTGTTGGGGATCCCCAGAATCAAGCTAAACCTTAAGAAGTAGAGTGAAAGATGTTATAATTTTTCACTGAATCAAACTCACACAGAAGGCAGACTTATTCCTTATCTTCTATTAACTCCCCAAACTGAAAAATTCCCTTTTTGCTTAAGCCTGTTTTCATAAAATTTTCTGTTACATGCGACAAAAAGAATCCTCACACACTGCGGGTCTGAATATTTCATGTACGTATGAATTGTTTAGGGTAGCTTGCTAAAATGCAGATTTCCAGTCCCCAAACCTAAGATATAAATCAGGGCCCAGGAACTTGAATTTTATCAAACAGTGTTGCATTTTAACAGACCATCTTGTTAAAACAGTGCCCCTGAGCCATATGCACATCTCCATAATGCAGATAATTGGCAGACCAAAGCTTGAGAAATACTGATATAGTTAATGCAAGAGACACTAGTTAACAATGATAAAAATCAGGAGAGGTGCAAAGTATCACATAGCAGCAGGAAGCAGAGACCATCCTTTGTCCTAAATCAGAAATGTGAAAATCCTTTGCAGTATCACGAGTGGATTCCATATTCAATGTACTTCTATTTATAAAATCTTTACTAATTTCTCATGATTATTTCTTCCTGCTTTATGTGTCATGACCAGATATCTCCGTTTGTCTGGAACTGTCCAGGATCCACCTGTCATTCTGGTATAATTATTAATAGCCCTTCCTTCCATTCTCAAAAGTGTTCAGGGTTGGATGATAAATTTTCTGTTCACTCTCTTGCTTCATGGTAATCTGCACACACACAAAAGAGTTCTTTGTCTCTCTTGCTGCATTTGCTGAAATAGACATACATATTTTTTCTATTTTATGACCCTTAGTAGCAGAGACTTTGATATCTTAGAATCATTATTGCCAAGCCTAAAAGTTTTAAAAATCTCAGAGATCCATGTGGCTCTGAGTAACATGTAAACTGAGTAACACATAAACTTACATATATACATATATATCAAAGTAATATATATTACTTCAATATTATGTACTTTGTATTTATAATATATATGTATTATTATTTACTTTAATAACATCATATTTCTTTATTTTATTTGTATATATAAGTATGTTTAAAGTAATCTGGAACACCCTATCATCCTTAGAGTTGGCTCATTCTAAGAAAGTGGAATATAAACCTACGAATCACAGTGAGGAATACATTAGAGAGGTGAAAAAAATGCTGCGGGAACACTGGGAGAGATGACATCTCTGCCAATTCATACATGGCCTAGAGCTCCTATTGCCAGGGATTAATTCTGGAATAACTATAATTTCTGTTCAGTTGATAAAGGGATATGGTGACAGAGGAAAGATAAGTGAGCTCTTTGGCAGGTGAGGAAAATGATGTCAGTGCTATTTTCAAAGATTTTTATGCACATGGAATGAAGAGATTTGACAGAGGCTATCACAGTAGTTTACGTTTCTGCTAAACTAACCTTAAAAAAAACTTGAACTGCTTTGATTTTCTTTACTAATGCTAATTGTAAATATTAAGTAAACACACAAAAAATAGCTATCTTGTGTTTTATTTGTAATCAAGGAGTATCTGGTATTTAGTAGTAACTTTTTTTCCTACCTTAAAATAGGTATACATTTGTTAAATATTCCAGGAGACATTATGGTTCCATATTCATATTTTTAATGTTGGAGGAATTTAGTTCAGTGATTTCTGCCTAACAACTGTTGTTTCAAGATAATTTGCTCACTGCTTGTTTGGTTCTGCTCAAACACAGCTGTAAGTTCTTTCTTTCTATATTTGGAGATGGAGTGACTGATGGCTGGGCATCAACCATCTGGAACAGGGTGTGCTGGGTGGAAGAGAGGAGAAGGGACAGATCAATGCACGGCTTCACTACATGGCCAGGGAGTCAGTACTAGAATTTTGTATATCCTGTATCCCTACTCTGATCCTGACCTTTGACTCTATGTGGTTAAAAGAGGAAATGACATCCTACCTGAATTTTTTGTCAGTTTTATCAGGCTTAGTGCCTTCCTTTTAGAGTCAATATTATATTCACACCCTCTCCACTTCCCAAAATTAACTTCATAAATAACATAACCAAGCTATACATATATACTTAAAAATCAATATGACTATGATAATATAAAAAATTTATGAAAATAATTCATAAAAATCATATATATTTCAATACTTAACATTCATCCATGTATCACAGAAATATATAATGAAGTAGTGAGGTGCTTGTATCTAAATTTAGATTTCCCTAAATGTAACAGCTACGCAACTAGACTGACACAGGTGCATTCTATCAGTGCCTCAAATACTATGAGTAATTAGCCGTTGGTGGCATGATATTTTAAAATGAGATAGACTCTTGATAATGTTCAGAAAAAAGGTCAGTGTTTCCTTACATTACACAGTTGCTTCATTCCTGTAAAATTTAATGTATATTAAAACCTTCCAAAAATACTTATATGTGAAATGCAGTTCTAGGCAGGGACAATTATAAACAGGTTTTTCACCTACATGAATGTCTGGAAGGACATCTAGAAGTCATGCATGACCTGGGGCAATTCTTCAAGGTATGGAACTGCACTGTGCATTTCAGGATATCTAGCAGCCCTGGTCCCTTCCCACTAAATAGTAGCAGTGCCCTACCCCAATCCTGAGACAATAAAATACCATCCTCCATTTCCAAAGTGCCCTCTAGGGGACGGTATTAACTCCACAGAGGATTACTAAGCCTATACAATTCACTGAAGCTAGGGATCATTTACATAAGACCTTATTTTATTTTTTTCTTTCAAGTGTCATTATTGGAAGACCCATTGTCAAGTTCCAATTAAAATGGAACAATCATCTTTCCAGGGTGGATTCTCAACAAATAGTTGGGAGAATGGACAGAATCTGTTGTTCTTTATGTATGTATTTTATTTAAATTGCAAATAACCTCAAGTTTTTAGTGGTGTATAATAATAGATATTTATTTTTTCTCAGTCACTAGCTTGTGATTCAGCAGGGGTTCTGCCAGAGTTCAGAAAGATTTAACTCCAGGCTGACCATCAGAAACTTGAATACTGGTACTGCCACAGATGTGGGAGAAAAGTTTCCTTATTTTGAACATCATTAGCAACTTCTGATACAAAGTCCTTGGTAAAAGAGTTTTACTTGAGGCTAGAACTTTAGCTGCAAGGGAGACTGGAAACATGAGTTTCTGATATTTTCATCTTATTTAGTGGGAGGTTGATTCTGCATCCAAGATTCATAAGGTGGATGTATCATTTAGTTTGGGTAGGATTATGCCATGTAACAAACAATCCAGCACCCAAATCTCCATAGTTAAAATAATAAATATTTATTTTTTTCCTTATACAACACAGTAGTTGTAGATTATCAGTGAGGCCTTGGTTCATCATAATCTGTCTAGAACCTGGATGGTAGAGCAGCTATCATCTCAAGCAGTGCTTTACACTGTGCCAGAGACAGAAACTTTGGTGAGCTGGCATTAAAAATTACCAACTGGCCATGACAAATCTCACTTCTAATTACATTTTATCAGCCAAAGCAAATCAAATAGCCATACATAATTCTAAGGAGGGTGGAAAGTATAATCCTGTCATGTCCTAAGGAAGATGCTACAAGTATTTGGTGTTCTGAACTAATGCAACCATGATGAGAAATTTCTCAAACATGGAAAGAGAGTTGAGATGCTGGGCAACCAAAAAACAAGATAACAAATATCCACTAGAGACTGTCTTATTTATATCTTTTCTATAACAAATATCCACTAGAGACTGTCTTATTTATATCTTTTCTATGTATCACCATGCTCAGTCTAGCTCAGTAGCTATTAGTGACTTAGTAGATGCTGAATGAATGTTTGTTGAATAAAAAAAGAATGATTGTTTAATTTACCAAATCTTACTATAACTGAAGCTTAAAGAGAGTTACTTTGCTATTTTAACTCCACACTATGAAGCAAGATAAATATAAGTGACATTTGTATGCAACGTTGCACTTGAAAACCAGAGTGGTACAGTGGAAACCAAGAGAAAAAAGATGTTTCATTTCAATATTATTTTCAATGTGTTCACTTATTGGTTTCTCCCCACAGCAAGGATACTGTCTCCTGTGCTTAGTAAAGTTTGGGAGGGTAGGTATTCGATAAAAGCAGTTCTGCTATCATTAGCTGTGTAGTCTTGGGGAAGTGATATCAATGTAGCCATAGGTTAAGGTTATTCAGCTGTGCCTGAGCACGCGCGTACACACATCTTAGTAATATTCGTCTTTGTATTGTAAAGATCTCCAAGACTGGAAAGCAATACAATTGTAATACAGTTGTACAGTTGTGATTGTCATGTGACATATTTACAGCCTAGTGTCTATCACAAAGCATCCATTCAAGGGAGGTTTATTGATTTTGTAGTAGTAACCATGCTCTATTCTTGATGTGGAGTGGGATGGATATCTAAGAAAGCATGTAATGCATTTGAAAAAGTTTGCCAAGGGTCCTGGGTAAAGGGGTTTTGGTGACGTGGTTCCCAACGAATCAAGAATAATAAACAATGCCCTTCGTCCTCAAATCTCAAAGGTCAAATACTTCACAACTACCAATAGGCACCAAGAGCTCGCGTTCTTTCCTCCAGTAACCAGAGCCCCGCCCGCTAGCGGTCCGTCAACGACCGCAAAGCCCCGCCTCCTACGGCGGCCCGCCAATCGGCTGCGCGGCCCGGGCCCAACCCTCGTGAGTCACGTGACAAGGCCAGGCCCGCTTCCGGCACGTCGCGGGCGGCTGACGTCGCCGGGGCCCGGCGTCGCGTCAGGGCTGGCCGGCGGCGGAGGCGGCGGCGGCGGCGGCGATGGCAGCGGACCCTGAGCGAGCTTGAGGGCTCGGACCCAGCTCCCTCCCGCGAAACCTTGGGCGGATCCGGCGCTGCGGCCCCAGCTCGCTCCGCTCCTGCTCCCTCCCCGGCCGCTGCCTGGGCGGAGGCAGAGGCAGAGGCCCGGGCTGGCCGCCCTGCTCGTGCCCCAGCTCGGCCCCGGACGGCCCGGCTGCTGTGCAGAGAGGAGGCCGAGTCGGTAAGAGGCGGCGGCGGCTGAGCCGGCAGGCCGCCTGGCCCCCGCCGGGCCGCCCGGGACGCCCCCATTCTGGTGTCTCTCTTTCCGGCCCGCTCCCCTCCCGCCTCCCTCCCCGTAACTCGCCGGCCCTATTGTCTGGGCGCCGCAGCTCCCTCTTCCCCTCCCTTCCTTACCCCCCTGCGGAGGGCCGGATGGCTGTCAAACCTGGAGGCTTCTCCAGCTCCCTGCCAGCCCTGTCAGCCTTTCCTGCCTGTCTCGTGCCACCCCCTCTCTGTCTGGCCTCACCTCCTCACCTTTTTTGGCCTGGCGGTCATTCTCTGACCATTGCTTTACATTGTCGGTCTCTATGTCTTCTTGCTCATTTCTTCTTCCCTCTAACTTGTCATCTCCGAAAACTTCCACTGTCCTATTTCTTGCCATTCTTTGCTCCTTTCCTTACTGTTTTTACTCCTCTCCGTGCTTTCTGCCTTGTTTTTGCTTCAAGTTTTACTCCCAGTAGACTGTCTTACTTTATGAAAGTTCCTTAATTCAAATCCCTCTTCATCCTTCCCTCTTCGAACCTAAGACAAAGGAAAATCTTGTTTTTTTTCTGGTACTTCATCCCTAAGTGTCACTGGGGGATTATACTCATTCAATCCATCACTTAATTATGGGCTCTAAGTTTGATTCTAGATGTTAGTGTACCTTGTGAACTATCCCTTACTGAATTCTTCCTGTGACAGACAGCAGAAAAGGTTGATTCGATTTCTACACAAACATTTAAGTAACTGCCTTACGTGTTGCGCACTGACAAGACCTCTATTAAAAATATTCATACATTTGTTCTTTTGCACCAGCTACACCCTGGGCAAGCTCCCTGTTAACTTTTTAATGCTCTAATATTTGCTTATACCATAGCAGGAGGATACCCACTCTCCCCCTCCAACCATGGGTATTTGAGTTCGCATATTTTCATGGCCAGTATTGATGCTATTTTTTCCCTTACCTATCAGACTCTTTCAAAGAGAAAAGAGGGAGCAGTTGGAATTTTATGTTTGTTGTTCTATTTTGTCTATTATGAATTGTGACAAAACCATTATAAAAGATGACAAGTGTGTGTGTTTCTTTTTTTCTTTTTAAACTGTAGGGAACATAGTCATTAGTGATCTCAAATACCGAAAGACATTTTACGGATCTCTCCTCGCCCCTGATAACAATCAATTTACATTCTTAATTATGAGTTATGTTTTGATTAGGTTATCTCAAAATGTATTCATATTCCTCACATACCCATTAGTGAAAAAGAGGCCACCTCAAGTGTGCTCGGTGGCCACTGTGGCCCAAAATATAGTACTTTGCATGTGAATGACCTAGGGATACATAGGTACTCCTTTGCAGTTTTTGTTCTAGCATTACAACCACTTTTATTATCAATGTGGACACTGTCTAAATTGAAATATAGTAGAAATACTCAGTTAACAAAAGCATGTTATTATTGCTTGTTGAATGTAAAGTATAAGAAAGCAGTCTCTTTTGTAATACTGTATGTTAAATTAAAATTATTGAATTATGTGCTACCAAGGTGGGAGATCATGGGTAATGAAAAATCCTAATCCCAAGAGGAATTAGTGGTATCTTCACTGGCAGAGGAGTGTGCCTACTGTTTCCTCCATCTTTGTGTGCTGTAGGGCCTTATCTAGTGTTTTGTATTATGAGGCACTCAACAAATATTTGTTGAAATTAAAAATTGATTTTGTTCTCAAGAATTTCAGTAGTCCTATTCCAGAACACTCAGCTGTCTTAATTTTTCAAAGGCAGGAAAGCATTTTCAGCTCTCCCCGTGGAGAATTTTCTTGGGTATCTGGAAGCTCAAATGTAAAGCATTTTTAGCTATTAACAATTTTTAACAGTCCATTTACTCATTCTTTTTAGATAGTTTTCTTTGTTCTTTTTCTTAAATCATTATCAAGATTGCCTGCAGATTGCACAGAACTTTATATAGAGATGTTGGTAATACTCCTTCAAATTTCTTAACAATTTGGCAAGTATTTCATATTCTCATGTATTGTTTTAGAAATTCTGTTTAATTTTAATTTGACCTGTTCCCTTATACTCTACTTCCTATGCATTTTCTGCATTGGAATCTAACTTTTTTCTTTCTCTTGAGGTAGTGAAAAGAGAATACTGAAGAATAGGATCTCAAGATGAGTAAAAAGCCCCCAAATCGCCCTGGAATCACTTTTGAGATTGGTGCTCGTTTGGAGGCACTGGACTACTTACAAAAATGGTATGGAAAATATAGAACTTTCACCTAAATATCACAATATCTGTAGCCTTACATATGTTAATTAAAACAGTAAATTCCACTGATGGTAGCAGAAACATCAGTGTATTCACATTTCGATTACACATATATGTTGTTTTTTAGTTTTCCTACTCTTTAGGCTTTTTAGGTTTAGCATTTAAAAACTATTTTTAGTCAACTGACTAAATTATTTAGAACAATCATTTTTGGTGTTTGAGAAATGAAAATAATTGTCTAGAGTATGCGGTTTATGTATACCTCATGTATACCTCACATGAGCTGTATTGGTGGAAGTAGAGAGAGGAGTAATCCAGAGAACCAACTTCTCATGTTTTGGATAAATTTTGATTTAAATTGGTATTTTTGGTCTGTCAGTGGTAGTCTTTCAAACTACAGAGTATATTAATGGTTAGCATAGCATTTTTTCATAGTGAACACTTTCAAAAACATCTCCACTATTCATTATCTCACCTAAAACCAAAATCACACTTAACCTCCTATTTTCCCTGGTGGGCCTTAACCTAAAGGCAGGTTGTTACTGTCTCCAGTGCAAAATAGGCTGTCCTTTCAGAACTTGTGTGTCTCCCCCTATTCTGGCCATTGTGGTAAGTGGTAAATTTAAACACCTCCCAACATAGCCTTTATACAGTGGTTAGGAAAAGTTGATGAATTGGTATAAAACTACTATCTGGAAAGGAGAGAAGGGGAAGCTACATGCAGGGGTCCCTGGGCCAGAGTAGGAATGAGGAGGATTCTCCTTTCTCCTAAGGAGCGTATTCCTCATTTGGGTTAACTGGCCCCTCATTCTGCTGTCTTGGCAGATGTCTTTTGTTGCCATTTGCAGGCTCCTAACCTGAGAGGGGCATTAGAGGGGTTCCGCTTCTGGGAGGGATGCTGCCTTTGCTCCTCCTGAAGCCCGTTTATTTTGATGCGAGTTCTTGTTTAGCAGCTCTTGGACTTTCCCAGACTTTTTGACATTTTCTCTGATTTAAAACCATACTGGGCATTTTGTAGATTTACTTTTGATTGATTTGTATTAAGTCAACTTCCCGAGTTGGCAATGGCAGGCAGAGAAATCTTGTTTAGTCATAATATTTGACTGTATAGACCAGGCTGGGGTTTCTCTCTTTTAACATCTGGCGTTAGAGCTTGGCACATATCTCTGACCCCAGCTTAATGACCTCTTGTTTTGAGCTCCACTTTAGGACAGTTTGAAGCTACAATTTGAGATGGGGAGGTTAATCGATACTGTCACTAGGTGAAGAATGTACATGGTAATTCTTAGGAGGGGTTTGGGAAGTACCTGGGAACTAGGCAGTAGCATCTCTCCTAGTGACGATCAAAATGTCTCCAGACATTGCCAAATGACAACTGGAATGAGGGTGGGTGGCGGTAAAAATGATTGAGAAACTCAGCATTAGACCATGCAACAGAAAATGCCAGTTGAGGCAGCACTTGTCTATCTTGGTTCTCATTTGACCAAGAGAAGCTTTTTACTCCAAAGGCATACTACTGAATGTCTGTGTGATACAAGGGTATAAGAAATAATACTTGTTACTTCTTTGATATTACTCTTAAGTGATTTATTTATTTTTTAAGTTACTGACTTTGTGACTTATTTAATTCATATTAATATATTAGGCTTCCCAACTGACGGTGTTGCAGTTGAGCTAGCTTCCAGTTTTGGAGAAACACATAGTTGATTAGTTCTGTCAGTAATTTTCAGGGATATTAATATAACTTTGATATTAGTGAGAAATTTTCTTTCAGTAGTAAAATGTTTTCTAACTTAGGAGCTGTTAAATTTATGATCCAGTAGTTCAAAAGACTACAAAAAAGAACTTTTAAAACCATGCTTGAATGTACTTTTAGAGTATTCTGTGTTTTTAGAATACTTGGAATTTCAGAGAACAAATGAAAGTTGTATCTTCTTGCCACAAAATTCATATGTGCTTATTTGAGCGGTGTCATGCAAATGTACTCACTGATGAAGTTTAGATTTAATTTTAATGACCCTGGTAATAATAGTTCTCTTTAATGGAAATAAGCATTAGCCAGGATAATCACATATTATCACTGAAACTTGTTATCAGTTTTATTTTTATAAGCTGATTTATATAAAGATTTTGGCACTCTGTTTCAGGTGGCTCCTTATTTAAAAAAGGATTAAGAATATTGTATATATGTATTCTAGGTAATTTACAAAAATAATTTTCTTATGGTAATTTTGCTTATTAATGTCAGTAGTTTCAAGAACTAGTTAGGCTTAGGTGCCCCTTAAATTTAGTATTAGGTGGTGTGCTCTTGGACCAACTATTTAATTACTAAGATGTATTGAATTTTATATGGGACACAAAAGTTCTGAGATTAGTGCTCTTAACATTTTATTTATAAATAGGATAATAAACTTAATTCTTCATATTATTCCATTTGTAAATGACCATTTTACATTTCATGGAAATTCTGTAAATTTTTGCATTAATATTAAGTAAAATTATAGAATTATTTGACAAGAAACTGACATTCTTGTGAGAAGCAAAATATTATAGTTAATCATTGAAAATATACAGAAATTTCTTTTCTCCCTCTTCTCCCACTCTTCTCTTTCCCTTCTTTCATATTCTATTTTTTGCATCCATATTGAATGCTTAGTCTTCCAAATTTATTCAATTCTCTTTGAAAAGTATTGAGTCATCTTTGAGATAAATGTAGTTTGAACTATTATGGGCATTGGATAGGGAGGAGCAGGAATGCAAATCTTGCTTACTGTCTCTATACTCAAAACATTTACAATAAGCAGTATATTACTGAGAAACTAACTTATCACATGTTGATAAATCACCTTTTGAAGAGAAGTGCAAAAGGAAAGTGGTGCTAGTGAAGAACCCAAAATGCCTATTAAAGGTTTTTCTTGCTTTTTTTTTTTTTTTTTTGAGACAGAGTCTTTTCTGTTTCTCAGGCTGGGAGTGCAGTGGCGTGATCTTGGCTCACTAAAACCTCTACCTCCTGGGCTCAAGCTATCCTGCCACCTCAGCCTCTTGAATAGCTGGAACTACAGGTGTGCACCACAAGTCTGGGCTAATTTAAAAAAAAATTTTTTTTGTAGAGATGAAGTGTCACTGTATTGCCCAGGCTGGTCTGGAATTCCTGGCCTCAAATGATCCTCCCACCTCAGCCTCCCAAAGTGTACTCCTGGCTGGTTTCTCATATATAAAAAAGGAAAATAGTTTCTGGTATGTGTCTAGACATAAAAGGATAAACTCTAAATTTAGTAGGTGGAAATAATCTGAAGTTAAGCTCTCACTTTTAGCTTTGGGGTAGATTTGATTTAACAGGAAGACTCAATCTGTGTTTCTCAGGAAAAGTATGTTATTATTGCTTGAATAAACCATATCGTATAATTCTTACAGATCAGAAAGATACCTTATCTTTGAAAATGCATTGTACCTTTTTAAGTAGTGATTTATTTATTTTTATTTTATCTTATTTTATTTATTTTTTTGAGACAGAGTCTTGCTCTTTCGCCAGTCTGGAATTCAGTGGCGCAATCTTGGCTCACTGCAACCTCCGCTCGCTGCAACCTCCGCCTCTCAGGTTCAAGTGATTCCCCTGCCTCAGCCTCCCGAGTAGCTGGGACTACAGGCGCACGCCACCATGCCCAGCTAATTTTTTTTTGTATTTTTAGTAGAGATGGGGTTTCGCCATGTTGTCTGGGATAGTCTCCATCTCTTGACCTTGTGATGTGCCTGCCTCAGTCCCCCACAGTGCTGGGATTACAGGCGTGAGCCACTGCGCCAGGCCTAAAGTAGTGATTTATTTTTATTTTCAAAGTAACTTTATAGCTACATAAGAACACTCATTGGTGGTTTATTTATCAGTACTAATGGACACAGGCCCTGAGAAGCCATCAAGAGGTCAGTCATCTTAGTCCCAGTATTTGCTTTTTGATAATTGGATCTCTCCTACACTGACCAAACATAACTCCTGAGTAGTGTGGGCTGTTTTAATTTTTAAAAATATTATAGCTTTACAATATTTTAAAAACATTTTCTTTTAACTTTTTCAATCATCTGCATAAAGACTTTGACGTGCTAATGTTTACAGCTAGCACAGTCAACTATTTTTTATCTTATTTTCATGTTTTTCACCACAAACTCTGTGCATCCAAACCTTGATATTCAGTTTTATAATCTCTGGAAGGTAGTAACATCATAAGAATAAAAATGAGTATAGGTGTGTTGATACAGAAGTATATTTGGGGAAGGAGAAAGTTGAGAGTTGAAGTTATATTGGAGACACTGTAAGCGGGTGGGTTTAAATTCAGACTGTTACTTATTAATCCTGTAAATATGGGTAAGTCCTTTAACTTGGTTTTCTTAGCAGTAAAATGGAAGCAGTATTACTGGCTTTTATTTAGAGGTTGGTTTTTAAGGTTCAAATAAAATTATGTATTGCTTTAAGTTCTACAGATGGGTACATAATCATAAAGCATTGAGGTAAATGCAAGGGGAGAGGGAGAATAGAAAAGTAAATCTTTGGGGATCTGAAGAGTTAAGTGATTGAGTTTTTAAAGGTAGCTTTAGTTGACAGGAGAGTGGCTTGGAATCATAGAAGGCAAAACATCTCATTGCAACAAGCTGATGACACTTTTTTCTTTTTCCTTTTTTTTTTGAGACAAAGTTTTACTGTCACCCAGGCTGCAGTGCAGTCACGAGATCATGACTTGAAGCAGCCTGCAGCCTTTACCTCCCGGGGCTCAAGCCATCCTCCTGCTTCAACCTCCCAAGTAGCTGGGACTACAGGCGTATGCCATAGTAACCTGCTGATTTTCTTTTTCTTTTTCTTTTTTTTTTTTTGGTAGAGAAAGCGATCTCTCTGTGTTGCCCAGGCTGGTCTTGAACTCATGGGCTCAAGCAGTTTTTCCATCTGTCTTGTTCTTCCAAAGTTGTAGACAGTCTTTTTGAAGTGATAATAAAATCCTCATGTTTCCACAGAGTTTTATAGAGTTTGCTTGCAAATATTAAAGTATCTAATCATTCTGAATATAGTTTAGTAAGAAAACTGATAAAATCACACTGGCGTTGACTACTGATTTAACTCCTGTTTTTTGATTGAAATTAAAATAGTTATTCTACAGTAAGCGATTGTTACAAAAACACAAGAGATTAAATAACATGCTGTGGTGTTAATCTTAAAATAAATTTGAAATATAGAGTCAATTTAAAACATTCAGATGAGATATGCTCCTCTGACTCTTTTGGAATATTTCTATTTAATTCTCTTCTAAATCTAAAGAAAAGGAAAATGAAAGATTAAAAAATGTGGAGATATCTCCAAGTATCAGAGTTTAATAGAACAGTATAAATTTGAATTGGCAAATGCTGTTTTCACACATTTGAAGTTTTTTGAACTGTATGGAACATTTGCAAATGTGAGTTTTTAAGATGTTCGTGCAGAATTTTAATAGTATAGGAGAATTAAGGAAATTTACATTGTAGCAAGTACAAATACTTGTTAATTTAAATAAAATTATACATTTTCTGAATAAAAAGTTACTTTTTTTCTAATTAGATTTAACTATTCAAAGGAAAATGCTACTAGAGATAAGTTGTGTCATCTATATTTAGAGTAGGAGAATGGTCCTAAAGTGTAACATGTAGATCAAATATAGCATTGTAGGAACACCAGGTGAATACTTCAAAAATAGAGGTTCTTTTGCTAATATTAATATGCATGCAGTTTTTGTCTTTTCATAATTTGGGATTCTTTCAGTTTGTCTATACATAGAAAGTAATGATTATTATTTTGAGTCATTACCTTTGAAAACCAATGCCAGCTGTAGACTTAGAAAAAATATACAGTTGTATGTATACATCAAAATAAATGAATTACATACTATGGTCATAAGTTCATAGAAAACGTATACATGACCTCTAGGTTAAGGACCCTTCTTGCAGACAATTCATTTGAAATCTGTAAGTTTTGTTTAAAAATTCTGAGATAATTTACATTTAGATAGTCACAAATTTTGAATCTTAAGGTCAAAGTGAATCATCCAGTTTAATTATCAAGCAGATTTGTACCAGTGCACAAACATTTTACTTCTTTAACTTTTAAAATTTCCACAAAAGAAAGCCCCGTAAATTCCTTTGAACAATGCTAAATATAAGAAAGCTTCCCTCTACCCCTCCAAAAATGTGAAAAGCATGATTTAGGGACAGAGAAGACTTATTTATTTGAAAACACACCTGGTTTCGGGTTGTTCTTGCTCTAGTGTTCTTCCTTTTTTTATGTTAATTCGTTTTTTATAGAACTCTTTCTGGTTTATAAGCTTTTTCTGCTTATCCTAGTTTTTTTGAAAAACAAAAGTATTGGAAAAAATAAATTAAACTGGAAGTCATAAAATATGGATTTTAAGTGCTATTTTGCCATGAACTATGTGATTTTGGAGAGGTATTTCTCTGCTTTAATGACCTTGAAATGAAAGTCTTACAGTTTAGATGATCTTTCAGGTGCAGTTGAATTCCAAACTCAATTTCATTTTATCAATTTTCACCTATTCAGGGATGACAGATTTTTTTTTTTAAATCATACTTTTAGATGGGTAAATAACACAAACTTGAGGCAGAGGTAAGATAGACAAAAAGTCATAGGTAGTTCAAAACTGCTGGCTACTAGAGGAGAAAATGAGAAAAATGTAGAAAACTGAATATAATTTGGAAAAAATATAGAGGTTTGAGCTATTTGGAATATAACTATATTGGGCATGAAACCTTTTGGCTCCCAATATAGTGATCTCTCCACTATAACCCATTGTCTTGCATAGATTTCCTAAAGCTTTGCGCCTCAGTTAACTAAATGGGCTCAGTGTTCACGGGCCACCGTAGTTTCTGACCAATTGTAGTTGTGAGTATATGTCTGGCATCTAGAAGGGCCCTGAAAGTCTGGCAAGCCTATGCCACTCTTTTTCATTGGAATTAGAGAGCTTGAGCAAGGTAGGTAAATTTCAAGTTTATCCATCCTAGAGAGCTTTCCTCCTAAATTTACTTCATAATCAAACCTCCAAGCTGATGATTTCTTAGCCTCCTTCATCAATTTATAATGAGGGTAAAGTCCAGGAATCTCAGGCTTACTGTGCTGTGCTTTATGTGTGTGTGATCGTATAGTGGCAAGGGTTGGAACAAGAGAAAAGACCGTTTTATTTGCTTATCTGACATTTGGTTGAAGTCCAGCCATCACGTATCACACACATCCAGCTCCCTATTTGTTACATCATTCCTGCCGAATGTTATTATGTATTATGAGATTTCACACTGTCACATCACATTAGATAATGGTTTATTTTTTAGTTGGGGGTTGATGAAAGCCACTAGCTGGGAAACAGTTTATCTGTTGTGGTAGTTAACTCTACTAAAAAGAATGTTTTGCAATTCTAGTTTTGCTGAGTAGACAGAAATGGCATCTGCAGATGCTTCTGTTTTTAATTTTGGTTTTAAGTGATTTCTTTTAAGCTGAGGGAGAAAATACTAGTTTTAATTTTAAGTTTTGAATATCAGTAGTACAATTTTTAAAAGAAATTAACGGAATATTGAAAAGACAGCTTAGTTCTGCTGTTCTTCATTAAGGTCCCAGTTTTTTAGTATTTTTACTGTAACTGTATATTTTGAAGAAGTGTTGACCACTCCCTATCATTTCTTGCTACAGATGGTTAGCACATAAGAATATACTTCTTATTAAATTAGAAATTGGTATGCAAGTATTATGTTATTTCAGTAATTATAATTACCTCAACTTTGAGAGGATTGTTGCAGTAAAGTTGAAGGAAGAGTATAGATATTTACTTAATATTCAGAGTGTCTTGAAAGTCTGTTTTCTTATTGCCAAAAAAGTTACCATGAATTAGAAATAAATTTATTTCTGGTACATCATGATTAGCTAGGGTACTGAAGTATAAGCTACTTATATGAAATGGTGTATCTACAAGGCCTTAACATAGTAACTTACTCATAAAAGGTGCCCAGCAAAGTTTACTGAATTTTGTTGGGTTTAAAAAGGATGAATGAAGACAAAAGTTTTGGGATATCTTGAAATAACCTAGTTACCATTTCAGAAAATTATGGCAAATACATTGTGACTTTTGGATTGAAAACTAAACATAAGATGATATTTGTTAACCTAGATTAGCAAATGTAATTTATTTTTAAAATCACTTTTTGTTTTCCTTAGTTCTGTAACATATCATATCCAAGATTTCCTCTTAATTTAAAAATTTATGAGTTTCAAACGTGATGAAAGTTAAGCTACTTTCTTTACTCCAATTATTTAATTTTAATAATGTGATGTATCATACTTAGTCATAGTTGAGATGTAGTGCCCTTTTGTTTTGAGACATTTTAATAATAAAACAGCCTCTTATCTTTGCTTAGTAATTTTATGCGTGGAGGATATTTATTTTGTACAATTATTTTCCATACTCTTTGGTCTAACACAAACCAACTTTAGGCATGCTTCTTGTATATGAGAGATTAAAAGTAAAATTTTAAGAAAAAAATAGATAACTTGATTTTTGTATTGTTTTATCTGTTTTTAATACATCTTTGGTAAGAGCCCCCTATATTGAAACACTGCCATAAATGTAATAGGAACTGAAACTCATCAGTTGCAAGATGCAGAATCTGTAATGATTGAATGCATGGTCTTTATGGACAGGAATACCTCAGTTCAAAGATCCACCATTCATTACCTCTTTTAACATGAGCAAGTTACTGAATCTTTCAGAGCCTCCATGACCTCCCTTTAAAAACTGGTAACAATATTAGTACTTCATTTAAAGGGTTCTTTGAGGATTTTAGCAAAATAATGCATGTTATATGCCACATGGTAGGCACATAAACATTAGTTTTAATCATAACAATAACATGAACATTCGTTATTTTAAGAAGGTAGAGCCAAATGCAGGAGGAATTGATGTAAATTCATCAGACTTTAATCAGTAGGCATATAAACAAATTAACTATCTGTAGTAAAGTTTTTTGTAAAGTGCTAAATGTTAAGAAATAGAACTGGGTGATTGCAACCTGCTAGATTTTGAGTTTTGCTAGCACCATTAAGTAGTTGTAGCTTGAAAAAACTGTATGAAGTTCGTAAACTTTGAGTCAAATACTGATGACAGGAAGATCATGTTTTAGTGGCGTAGGAAAGAAATTCTCTGTGGTCTAATGGATGCTTGTGGTGGGAGAAGGTAGTGAGTACAAAGGATATGGTACAGGTATTTTGATTTGGTTAGAACTGACAGTGAGAGTGAACATAGGCATGGCAGGATTCAGGTGCTGGGGGGGTGGGAGGAGAGAGGAACAGGAACTTAAATACAGTGATCTGAAGTGATACATTAATTTGCAAAGTACCTGCCACAAGGTTCTAAAAGAGAAGACATAGCTAATTCTGTTCTTCTCTTTGTTGTAAAAGTTGTGGACAAGTAGGAAGCAGGGTGAACTGTCAGCTCATGCCAGATGTGTATTATGGGGATCAATAGGTCTGAAAAGGCCTGAGAAATAATGTGATGAGGTTCTTAAACTTCAGTGTTGGAGAAGATATAATTTTGACCTATGAGCTATCATCTGAATGGTTTGAAATTTTTAGACTATTTTGTATTAACATTGCATTGTGGAATATTGAGTTTGAATTAATCAAGAGTTTTGCTTTCGGTTTGTTGTTTTTAAAGTATGAAGCAAATGAACATGCAGTATCCAAAAGTGCTGAATTTAAAATACTGTAATTGTAGTATGTGATACCGTTATTGCAGTTATAATCAATGGGTGAATGGGAAAACATTTTTGAAAACTATAAAGCTTAATGTAAATTTAAAGTGCTACCAGGAAACTAAAACTTTTAAAGGGTAACTAGGATACAAGAATATTTTGTTTGCTTTGGGTTACATTCTGTGTTAATTTTTGTTATTTGGCAAATAATCCTCTCACTAATAATTGGATGTAAGACAGCTCTTACCCTTCTATTTCTAGTTCTTCTAATCTTTTAGTCATTTTTATGACTACCATAGTTATAGATGAAGTTCTTATCCACAAAACTATTTTGAATTGTTAGTCCTAGATCCCTAGGATTCTGCTAATATTTTAGTTATGTTTAAGTCATATTTTAGGTGTATTTCATACATACTATCCTTTAAAACATAAAGAACTGCCTTGTCCAAGAGAACATCCTTGTTCAGATACTCTTTCTGTGTGCTAGCATAATGTCTTTATTATACTAGCTATCATTATGTTGAATTGTGTTAACTTACTTGATTCTTTTTCTTTGTTGAATAAATGAAATGAATGAGGACTGTCAATTTCTAAATTTACATGAATTAGACATCCTATTGGCTTATCCATATAAACAAGAAAGTGATTATTTAAAATACATAATTTGAATAACTTATTGAGGCAGTTTATAAAATTATGTTGCCATTTTGATTGATATGGTGCTTATTCAAATAATTAGTTAAATCCTAAATCTTTTCGTGAATTCTCATGGTCTTTAGGGCATTTGGCAGCATATTCTGGCCCTGCTTGGTGGATTGCAACCTGTCATTGAGGTAGTTATCAACTCTATCTTAAGTGCAGGAGATTCTAGGTTATATCAGTTAATTTCCCTTGTCATTTTCTCATGGTTGACTTTTTTTTTTTATCAATACAGATAGAAATCTGGGTATATATTTTAAATTAGAAGATAAATCAGAATGAATTCCTTAAATGCAAATGATGTTTAATTGTATTAATGTTCCTATGTTGAATGCAAAGAAATTTTTAAAATTAATCCATCAGATTATATTTCTGGCATAGCTGCATGCCCACCATTGCTTCCCTCTTTTATCCTAGGATAATGAAGCGCTGACAGTTTGAGTTAATAAATCATCTTGTCTTTCAAAAGTTTTTGGTTTTGTGAATGTGGACCACTTTGAAAATCTGATTAAACTTGGGAATTCTCACCTCAAAAGAATACCCATATACATCTACACCAAGCACATAGCATTTTGCATGCAGCCTCAGGGAATTCAGTCTCCTGATCTAGTGGGTGAGTCCAGACCTGCCCATGTAAAGCAGTTAATAATGTGAGCCAGAATAAGAATTCACTGGTAATAATTCCCATTTTAGATTTCTGTAAAATATGTAAAAATAAATTTTAAGCAAAACATATTTATGTTTTGATAACACTTAAGAGTTGATACAACAGGGAACTGATAATGTATGTTTACTGTATAGCTAACCTCTTTGGTCAGTTTCTGTTCTTATGAGATTATGGTGTTAGTCCAGAATCTGTAGATACTGCCACTCTCTGAAGAGTCTTGTACAAGTGGGAGTCATAGTGTTAAAATGACAACATATCAGATAATGCAATAATATGCTATAGGAGTTTAGAGAAGGTGAAAAAAATTTTATTCTTGGTGATGGCTTTGCTCTACTCTAGTTATGGCTATAGTTTGACTTGGCCATTAGAGGACTTTAATTCAAAAGGGTCCCACACGAATTCAGAAAGTGCCTCAAGAAATCAGTTGAGATTAGTAGAATTGAGTATGTGAAAATTCTGTTAAATTCAGCAAGAATCATTTTAAAGTCTTCTCTATTTTGGAATGCTCTTCATTTCCATTAAGCCAAATAAACAATGAAGAATCCATTTTAGAGTGAATTATTTTTCTTGTTTAGTTTTCTGAGGGTAAACTCTTTCCTGGGATTCAAGTATACAAGACATACGAGAGAGCAAGATAGGCTCAGCGGTGGAGGTGATTATTTTCTACACAAGTAGATAACATTTAAACAATGCATGAAGTTTTAAGTGGAATTAGGGAAGGGATATAGCAGAAATTTTATGGTATATTGCAGTAATATTTAAAGGGTAAGAGAGCTCTATGTAGAATTTTGGCACTGAGAAATCCTACTTTTAGTGAAGTTGCCTTCTCTCCATCTCTTTCTGTTGAACCCTTGAGAGATGTCAGCTATGGTTATTTTCTTTTCTCTTTATCTCTAATCATTGTTATCGGCATCTTATCTCTGACTCTTCAAAATCTGAAACTTCAGTCTTCCACTTCTTGAATATTTTTCCAAATTACTCATAAATGTCTGGGATTGTGCCTAATCACTATTCTTTAATTTAACAGCTTCCTATGATTCAACCTTTAAAAAATGACAAAACAACAACATTAACACTACAGCTTCCAAATTCAATCAGAAAAATCTTATGTTTAATTCACAGTCAATTAGAATAAAACATAAATAGTGCATCAAAATCATATTGTTGTAGTTCAGTATACAGAGGCATTTGTGAATACATTTGTGTTCAGCAGCGTTTTTTCTTCACTGTATGTATCAAAACATTACTATGAGCCATCTGCTAGAAATAACTTCACTGTGCAAAGCTATATGTTAAATTACCATTTAATGCATTTCACGGGTATTGCAAAGATCTCGATATTACGATTTTTTTCCTCTCGCAGTGTAACTGGTAACCAAATTAAGTACCAACTTTAAGTCACTCCCTGTTTTCTGTAGAATAAAGGATTGTTTCATTAGTTTGCTATTTCAAAGCCCTTCAAGTTTCAACCAGGCTAACAAGTCCCATCTGATGTCTTACTAGTCTCCTTTACCTGCTTTACTACTTACCATGTAGTCTAGCCAAAAGGACTGTTACTCTTTCCTTTAAGTGCTCCTCCAATCTCTGAACATGAGGTCTTTGAGGACAAATAACCATATCCTACTTATCTTGAAATCCTCCATGGCTGCTTGCCTAACTCAGAGTCATGTGATGGTTTTAAGTAAGTGAACATTGAGTAAATGAGTTATGCTCTGTGTATACACTTTGTGCTGATTAGGTCTATATTCTATATGTCCCCTAGCAAGTCTAACTTAAGTAACATCTCCCGAGAACCTTCAGTAAATTCCCAGATTTTCTATGGACTATTAAAGCATCTTATATACAGTTTTTGTATACACTTACCAGTTTTACTATGTATGAAATAATCACTTAGATGGGCCTTATCCCATTTCTCCTTTTGGCATAGATTACAGACTTTTGTGCCACTTAGTCTTGGTTTTTAATACTGGCTGCACCATGTGTATTCTTAGACAGGTCTTCATCTGTTAAATGTACACTATGTTTTCAATACCTTTTATGATTACCAAGATCAAATGAGAAAACGTATAGAAAGAACAGTTGGCACTCAATAAGTAAAAAACACAGAGCCTGACGTACCTGCAATAGTAAATATTCTGATTCTTCTCTCTTTCTCCTAATCTGACCCTAAGCTAAGCCCATCAGTGATAGGAGTTATTTCCTTTTTTTTTTTTTTTTTTTTTTTAATACGGAGTTTCACTATTGTTGCCCAGTGCAATGGTGCGATCTCGGCTCACTGCAACCTCTGCCTCCCGGGTTCAAGCGATTCTCCTGCCTCAGCCTCCCGAGTAGCCGGGATTACAGGCATGTGCCACCATGGCCGGCAAATTTTGTTATTTTACTAGAGACCGGGTTTCTCCATGTTGGTCATGCTGGTCTCAAACTCCCGACCTCAGGTGATCCACCCACCTCGGCCTCCCAAAGTGCTGGGATTACAGGCATGAGCCACCGTGGCTGGCCGAGTTGTTTCGTTTCCTTTTTATGTACCAATAGTGCCTAGCAAGTGCCTTAGTCTTCTTGGATGTTCAAATAAATGTTTAATGAATGAACAGAAATTTGGACATTTTTGATAATGGTAATATTTTTAACACCTTTAAGATTCAAAATTTGATTAGTGAACATGATAAAAATTAAAATAGAGAAGAATCTTGGGTATCTGTGTTACTTAATTCTTGGCCTTCATCCCAACTGTACATACCAATTTCTAGATATTTATGTAGAGAGTACAGCATGCTATGACTTACCCTAAAGAGGATCCCCAAAACATAATTTTCATTTTGGTTGATGCGTCAGGCATCTCAGCCAGAATAATTTAAAATATTTTAGAAAAACCGTAAGTCGCTTTAAAATGCAATCCAGATTTAAATTATTTGAACTCACTTAGATACTGATTCTTTACTGAATTAAGTCATGTTGTGAAAATAAAGATGTGTTTAACTCTGTTACTGTGGACTATTCTCACTTTGAGAAATGTTTCAAATATATAGAGTTGTATAGATTTAGAATATGAGGGAACCTAAAGAATAAACTCCTTATTTTTTTATTCAAAATGTAAATGATAGGACAAATTAAGCACATGAAATTAGAGGCTTTATGTTTTGAGGGAAACTTACCAATTTTTACAATTGATAGAATATCTTTTTATAGTACTTCAGTGGCTAGCGAATGTTGAAAAATAAGGAACAACCTTGTTCTAGGTTTTTCTTAATACTATTGACAATTTTTATGTTTTAAAAACCAGGGCAACAAAAACAAAACCAGAGCAACACTGCAAAAGACAAGTATTACAGGATTGATTCTAAGTGGGTAGGGCAGGCATGTCCACCTCAGGAAGTATGTTAATCTCCTAAGTTTTCTTGTTTTTATGCCTTTAACACAGGTCTTCCCTCACCTATACTTACTCCCCCCAAAAGACTAAGATCTAACAAGGCTATAATTGGGTCAACTGCCTTCTTAGTTCTGAAGAAATGAGCAAATTGCCTTTCTTTAAAGCGGCTTCTTACGCCTGCAGACATTCCCGCCTTTCTTTAAAGCTGCTGCTTACGCCTGCAAACATTCCCTGAGTAGCAGTTTTGTGTCCTGTCATGGTGCTAGGTCCTGGGGACTACAAAAGTAAACATGACTCATTTATCTCCAGAAGTTCACAGGCCAGAGTAGCATTTCTAACCTCATCTTCCTTAGCTATTTGCTATCTCAAGAAATGTTAATACATTTTCGTGATAAAAGGGGTTACATGTTTTCTTGACTCTAGTAACACTGAATGCTTTATCTCCGTCTCGTTGACTGCACCAAGAAGTCTTTCAATAAAGAATGCAGCCTAACTTTTTTTAATCCAATAATTCCCTAGCTTATTTGAGAAGACCCCTTTTTTCTTTTTTTTTTTTTTTTTTAGTGCCACACATATCAGTGTTCCAAGAGATATAAATGTTCTTCAGCACCCAGTTTGAGTGAGAACCTGTGCAGAGATGATGTACAGCTTTAATGAGATGAGTGCTGTCAGAGCAGCAGGAGCCGGGGAGTTAGGGAAGTCTTCACACAAGCAGTTCTGTGTTTAACCAAGTCTGCAGTGATTTGTATACAAAGGAAGGGAAGGGTGGTTTAGGGCTCGGACGGAAAGAATAGAATGGAGAATAGCATGAATGCTTGACACAGAGCAACATATATTTGAGGAAAATCCAAGAGCTCAATATCATTAGATCAAAGTGGGGTTGAATGTCAAAAGATCGAAGAAGCTCTACCGGAGAATGATCCTTGAAATATCTGAAAAACTCTGAATAGCAAGATTGAGCTATAAAGTAGGTAGTAATCAGTTCCTACATTTCAAAGTTATATAAAGTCCATTGTACTTTATATTTAAAGCTAGTTTTTCACGGGGAAAACAAAGATTCTGAATTTAGCAAAAGCTAGGAAGAATATGGGATAAACTATATGGCTGAATCATCCACTGTGTGCTGCTATTGAGTTCTGAATGTTATTTAATCATACTTTAAAAAAAATTGAGTCATCTGTTAACATTTTAATACAGTACATTAAGAATGACGAAGCAACTTTCCTTGTAAAAGATTTTAAGTTAACTAATTCCTATTTTGGAATTACAGAATTACCACATGTGAAGACAGAACAATGAAATATTTTGTATTTTTAAATTTAAGGTTTTACTGAGCCTTACCATCATTGTTGCTCTTTATAAAATATTGATAAATACAGAAAAATAAGAATTAAAGTGAGCTTATGCCATATAAAGACAGTGTACATGCTGATGTATTTTTTGCTAGACAAAATTTACATATTTATATTTATGCTAAATAGAGTTCTTGTTTTTTACATTTTCCCCACATTGTAAATTCTTTGTAAACACCACATTCAGTGACTACATAATATTTCATTCAGTGGATATATCATTGTTTGTGTAGCTGTAGACAGTCTTCAGTTTTTCCAACCATATATTTAGATGGTTTCCACTTTATTTGTTATTATAAATAATGTTTTCTGTATATAATTCCAGAATTGGAATTGTTGGGTCAGAAAGTAGGAATATGTTTAAGGTTCTTGATGTATGTTACCACATTACTTCACAAAACAGTGCAGTCATTTATATTTCTACTGGGAGTGTATCAAGGAGTTTATTCAGATCTTGAGGACGATCATTTATAAAGACAATAAAGCAGAGTTTTTTGGTTAGTTTTAAAATATGGACGTATTTATTGTTTTCTTCATGGTTTTAATGGTAAGCAACATTCAGCTAAATCTATGTATAATGCTTTGTATAAACAAATATAAGGATTTTCTCTTTATATGAAGCATTTTGATTTTTGAGGTATCCATCACGAATTGAAAAAATTGACTATGAGGAGGGCAAGATGTTGGTCCATTTTGAGCGCTGGAGTCATCGTTATGATGAGTGGATTTACTGGGATAGCAATAGATTGCGACCCCTTGAGAGACCAGCACTAAGAAAAGAAGGGCTAAAAGATGAGGAAGATTTCTTTGTAAGTAGCAAGTTTTTTCTGTTTGCTAGTTTTGCCAGCTATGTAATGACATATTTTAAAAGGATTCTGTTAAATTATACAAAAGCCTGTTTTTGTTAAGAAATGCTTATTTAATATACATGGAATTGATCTTAAAAGTTGTTTAAAATAGGATTTTAAAGCTGGAGAAGAAGTTCTGGCTCGTTGGACAGACTGTCGCTATTACCCTGCCAAGATTGAAGCAATTAACAAAGAAGGTATGTGTTTGAAATGATCTGAGACTTAAAATTAGATTAATAGTAAAATTTCACTGTATTTTAAATTTTAATTAGTGTGTGTTATGTAATCATTACGTATAACTTTTATATTTTCTGTAAGTATTCTTTTTCGGGAGCATTTGATTTGTTATGTGTTATCGAGAATAAAATGCTATATGGTTTGCTACCTAAGTAGTGTTTAAATTAGTAGACAAAAATAGTTGGTTAAAATTTTTCAACTTTCAATTCACAGGCTTATATCATATACATTTTATTTCTACTTCTCTGTTTCTAGTTTGTGGCTAACTTATATTTATGAACATCTACCCAAGAGTGTGAGGAAAGGTTAAAGATTTAGGGGAATTCAAATCAGTTCAATTCACAAGTGAAATACATAGGATATTTTCTGAGGAAAGAGTATGGAATTTTTACCAGTTCGAGGATTTCCCTTATTGTGTCTCTCCCTGCTGTCCTGTCATTAATTTCTACAGATAATTGAGTTAATTTTCTAGTATCTTTTTGTGGACATGTGTTAGAATATTAGATACTGAGCCAAAGTTGCTTAAGTAATCAAAAATGTTGAAAGTAACACAGAAATTAGGCATGTTAGTGTTGCATAAGACTGGGAAATCTATTGGACAGATCATTAATTTAAAACAGAATTCATATGCTCATTAATTTGGAAAGTTGTGAGAATTAATAATTAAATTATTGTTGAAAACATACCTGAATATTTTATTCAAATTTCTCATTTAAAAAAGTTTTGGAATACTTGCACGTGTTTTTTAAATTGAGTAATACATTAATTTTCTACTAAAGTTATTTCTTAAACTTGACCACTTACGGTAGTCCTTCCTTATCCACGGGGGATACATTCCAAGACCCCCAGTGGGTATTTGAAACTTTGGAAACTACTGAACCCTATATATACTATGTTTTTTCCTATACTGTACATGTATATGAATGATAAAGTTTAATTTATAAATTAGGCACAGTAAGAAGTTAACAATAATAAAATAGAATAATCAAACAGTATATTGTAATAAAAGTTATATGAATGTGGTCTCTCTCTTCCTTCCTCTCTCTCTCAATCTCTCTTGTCTCTCTCTTGCAAAATATCTTATTGTGCTGTACTCACTCCTTTTCAGACCGCGGTTGACTGCAACTGTGGAAAGCGAAATCGCGGATAAGGGGGATTTCTGTATTCATTGTTATTACTAAAGAAACAAACATTGAGTGACAGCTTCTTGGCAAGAAGGGCATTTAATCTAAGTAAGGGGACATTTCCTTTAAACTGAGTCTTGAAAGACAACTAAGTTAGCTAAAGTAGTGATCAAAGTGCTTTTCTGGTAGAAGAAATATGTGGAAAATAACAAGTGGGAGAGGCATGCCATGTCATTTTAAGGAACTGCAGGTTGCTTAGAATGAAAGATTCGTTTATAGGTGATAGAATAGCTAGAGTACAGGTTGGAGAGAAAGGCAAAGATTGGTATATGAAGTGTCATGTAATCTTGCTAAAGAATTAGAATTTTATATGGAGGTGATGGGAGCCATGGAAGAGTTTTTAGGCTGAGGATTTAATCTAACAACAAACTTGAGAGAAAATAGGAGGTAAGAGAAGATAGAAGAGGAAAACAGAGATATATTAAGGAATTTTAGGTGTGAAAAAATAAATCATAGTAGTCTAGCTAGAAATCATGATATAACTTTATAAAGACCTTAATCCAATGTATTGTCTTAATGAATTGAAATCATGAATATGGCTATGGTTTTCTTACCACTGGTTACCCCTACAGAAAGAGTTGAGAGACATCTCAGTTGTTAGGTGTGCAGGCTGTTTCTTCTTTTCTAGTGGGCCCTGTATTTCCCTGTACACTTACACTTCTGTGGAGCTGTGTTATGGAGCTTACATTCCCAAGTCTTATTCACATTGGCTTCCGAGTGTCTAGTCCAGAGCCTAGCACATAGTAGACAGTCAGTAACAATTTGTGGAAGTAAAGGAAGAAGTAAAATCTCTTCTGTTGGGTAATAAGATGTACCCAAAACAAAGTGAAATTAAACAGTCATTGCCCTCTACATTAATTCATAACAGTTTCTTTTAAGAGCTTTGGGGCCTTCGTTACATGCTTAAAGTTCCCTGTGTGTGTGCAGATGCAGGTACACACATAGCGCACACACTCAGAACAAAACCACCCTCATTCTTTATTCTATCCCTTTCATCTACAGGCATTTAATACAGAAAATTCAGCTTACCTTAGTGGAAGAGTGTTGATACTGATTGTGATCCCTGGCATTTCCAGAGTAGTTTCAGTGAACACATAGTGAAATATTGGCAGATACTATTTGTTTTCTGAAAGGTATTAATTTTGTGATTTCTGTATGCCCCAAGTGGTGGATAGGCCTGCCCGCTCCCCACCTTGACAAAAATCAGAAGGGCAAAAGAAGCCATCCGTTCAGTGTAAGAGCAAAACAAAATGAACAATTGTGAACATTTAGGCATTTGTAATACAGCATATAGAAGCAAAGAAAAGGGGCCAGTCAGTGTGTACTGGAGTCATTGGGGAAGTTTTCATCTTGGGAATGGTCCTTGAAGAGTGGACTGGGGTTTAGATAGACACAGGGAAAGGAGAAAGGCATCACAACAGAGGAAATAGCATGAGCAAAGGCAGAGAGGTATTAATGCCCAGACGGCCTGGTGTGCAAGCTGAGTTTTTCTGGAATGCTGTATTGAAGAAGGAAGACAGAAAGTTGCAGGAAAGATGGAAGTGCCAGGTGTACACAGAGTTTGGCATTCTCAAAATTTTTCCATTGTCTTTACATCCTTGCTATTCGCCTGATCAGTTGTTTGCATAACTTGAATTTAGATCTTTATATCTGTGAAATTCAACGTTAGGCTAATTATAGAAAGAAATAAAATCAAATGGTGTTATTCAGAGTACCCAAAAAAAAAAATCTTTGCACATATATATTATCGGCTTTGGTGCCAACCCCAAGGACATTAGTAATGATTGTCACATTTCTTGTTTATAATTCTTTTATAAAGACCAAGTATCTGTTTACTTAGAGTGGGACTCTGCCTTCATTGGGGAAATGGTGGAAGAACATTTTTCTAGGAAATGACAGGAAAACATTTGAATTTCCTTAAGTAGGCATTATACATAATTTATATATCTTCTAATAGTACTGGCTTATATTGACTTGAAAGCATGGGGTCTGTAACAAAAAGTGAATATGCTTCATAATAGACAAACAAAATCTTGAGTCCTTCAAGTAGGATGAGTTTGTGGGAAAGACATGGATGACCAGATGAGATTGGAAGTATTAATTACGGCTGTGTTGCCTGCCACTTAGGTGAATGCCATTGGGTGTAGCATTTAGCCTTCCTCTAGAATTCAGTGTTCTGAGCTACTTATGAAGACTTTTATCTAGATGATTTGTAAAATATTTTCTACCTTTAAAGTCTGGAACTACAATTCTTATTTTCCAGTTTGTTGTTATTGCCCAAGGAATAATCCTTTCCAGGGCAAATGATCTTTTTTGCATATCAGCTCCTTCTCTGTATTACTTCTTTTGAAAGAAACATTCAAAAGCAAATGGTAATGCCTATGGAAATATTATATATTTTTGTAAGTAATGATTTTACTTTTGTCAGCTATGTTGAGTCTAAACATTTAAATTACTGCAAAATAAATTATAAAATTTCTTAGTAAAAATCAGAATTACATGGAACTAACTTATCAAGACTTAATTTGTGTACTTGTTAGGGGAAACAGGAGTTCAGAGTTGTTTTTAGAGGGAGGGAGAAAGTAAACTTGATGGAGTCCTTAACAGGAGCATTTGTAGTTTTTGCATTCCTAAAGCATTTATCTATACAAGTCACTACTTGTTAGATTTCAAGTGTTGCTGTAAACTTGAATTATATTTTCTAATGATTCTGACTTGCTCCTGTTTCAGGAACATTTACAGTTCAGTTTTATGATGGAGTAATTCGTTGTTTAAAAAGAATGCACATTAAAGCCATGCCCGAGGATGCTAAGGGGCAGGTAAGAGTGTTCAGTATTCCTAGCTACCCAAAGGGTTATCTTCTTGAACGGTGACTGATCAAAATATATTTATATGTATATTTTTTAAAAATGAACTAATTGTAGGGTTATGTGCTGATAGCCCCAAATAGCAGCAAGAAAAGGAAGCTTAGACTGTAAAATAAATTATACATTTGATTTTTGCTTCTTTGGTTTAGACCTGCTAAAGTTATAGGTCACTAGTTTCTGTTCCAGGTGAAATCCCAGCATCCACTAAGCTGGTGTTGTCCTATCGACCCAGCTGGATCGTGTAACCAGTCTATGGGAAGTGAGGTAAGAGCCTTTTTTTTAAAAATTTTGTTTTGTTTTTCCTGGTATATAATGTCATTTAGAAAGTTAAAAATTTTTAATATAAAAATTTACATTGAGTTCTTATCTTCTTCTTTCCTTCTACAAATCATAGTCATTCATCTTCCTTTAAAAGGCGCTTACCTGACACTCTGTAGGCTGTTTCAGATAGGGCTCTCTGAGTCATGTGATGGAAGCAGTGTATTGTATGCTTTGTCACTGCTCAAAGCAAGAATGGATGGTAAGCATTGGAAGGAGAATCTTGGGTGGAGGTAAAAACCACAATTCCATTTGTTGGCTATGTTTTCTGAAATACTGGAAAGAAAGGTGCCATTAGAAATTTAAAATATTTTCTTTTCTATTCTGCTGTTATTTGGGATTTTCAGCACCTGGACCTACAATTAATTTTAAGAAATTGAAAGTAGTGTGTAAAAATGTCTAATATGGAAATATGCTACGTATTTGTTCCATACCATGCGGTGAAAACTGTCATTCTGAAATGTATTGAAATTACCTGGTCAGCTTCAGTCAAGTGTAAACATTTAGTGCTCTAGAAATGTATATCTACCACATTAAAAAAATTATTCATGAAGAAATAAGTGTGATTGTTTTAAATTGCCTGGTTTTCAAAAATTTAGTTATGAAATGATTAGCAAGCAGATTTCTTCTAATTAATATGTAAATGCAATTTAAAATGAAAATGCTTTTGATCAGGAAGTGGCTTTGTGTCTTCCCACATGTATGTATAAATAAAGTGTTCTTTTAAGCATTCAGTGGTGTGATTTCTTGGTTACTACATAGATTGATTAAAAGGTTGGGAACATTGTATATACCTGCTTAAGCAAAAGTCTCAATTTTTTTTTTTTTTTTTGCTTTAAAACAATTATTTTGTTATTCTGGTTGATCAGATGTTCATGAATTGACATTATATTATTGCCTTAAAACTTTGTTTTTTCAAAGTGGGACACTGAGCCAATTTGGTTTGTGGTAAAATTACAGCTTGTAAAAATTAAATTTATTGGATGTTATGGATGTTTGTTTTTAATAAGTAGTGATTCTTTAGTCACACTATGATGCATTATAACATTAAGATCAGTGCCAAGATATAAAACAACTGAAATAATATTTGGGTAGTAGTATATTTCTTTTAATTTTTCATTTTTTTCTTTATAATTCTTAATCACAGCAACGTTAACAATATTTGTAGAATTGTGTTTTATAAATGACTCTCATTTTATGAGTTGCTTTTTCCCAACAAGCTTTTGACTTGCCTTCATCAAAGAAATATGCCAAATCAGTTGTTATTTGGGCAAAGCTAAGGGGGGCCTATCTTGTATAATATCTTCTAAATTTTGAGTACTTTGAGAATTTGTTTAGAAAGATAATTTTTAAATTAAGCTAGCAAAGAGTAGTGCAACAAATTAATGCACTGTGGAAATGCTCTTCCTGAACCTGTCTAAAATGTGACATTAGTAACACTTTTGTATATGCAAACCTCCGAAGTAATTAATATTCTTAAGCCTAAATAAGTCTTAATTCTGTTGTTTTTGACTTTGAACCCGTTGGTTAATACTGGATAAACTTCTGCTTGCATTAAGAGTTTAGCTTGAGCACCTTAAAGAGCTTTTAATATTACAGTGGGTGCAATGTGAGCTGTAGTCCTTCTAACACTGTATTTGTAGACATTTTTCTCACTGGGAAAGAAGGTAATGGTAGACATGTTATCAGCCCAAAATAAGATCCCCTCTTTTTCTCCCTACCTACAGTTTTTTCTTCTTCCACATAATTTTGTGTGGAATGGTAGTGTTGATACATAAATAGCTATGAAACTGACATATATTATAGGAGGGGGATTGATTCCTTCATTTTATGAGATACCTCCTTGTTCCTTCTGGTTTTCTACCCTAATAAGAGCAGTAGTAATTACAGGGTGAGAGATTGAGCCATTATATTTTTAATTTGGAAGCTTGTAACAGAAGTACTTGCCTTTTCTCTCATTTCTTCTTCCTGAGGGCGTGCTGATACAAAATATACGTTGTGACTCACTAGTGTTAATGGTTGGCTTATAGGTCCTTTGCTATTAATATTTACAAAACATTTTTTGTGTGCCTTGTTTCGTTGGATTCTCATAGTAGATCCTTTGACATAGGTATGGCTAATATTTCTGTTTCACATTTGAAGAATTCAGAACTTAGAGAATCCAGTGACTTAAAATTTTACTCATTCTGTGCGAAGTGATTCCTTTAACCCAAAGTTTCTGATTTCAAACACAGTGCCCTTTTTAATGCAATATTCTATTATGTTATCTACAAAGAGCTCGAAAACATCATTATTAGTTATAGTTCATGGAAAGATCACACTTCAGTTATTTTTAACAATGAAGCTTTTCTATAGAAGGAATAAATTCAGTGTTTGATAGCAGAGTAGAGTGACTATAGTTATTAAAAATGTGTTATATTTGAGTGATGGACACCCTAAATACACTGAATTGATCACTACTAATTATATACATGTAACAAAATTTCACATGTATCCCATAAATTTGTATAAATAAACGTAAAAGCAAACACAAAATAGAACTCAACATAAAAATAAAAGAGCAAAACAGTGGGAGAATTCTTTAATCACAGAGCTACAGTGATTCCCATGCAAGTCATATGATTGAAAAGCATTTTAAAAACATATTTAAATTTAAAAGGTGCAGTATGATTCTCTTTTTAGTTTTTTTCTTTATTGGAGGTAGAAAACAACTTGGGATGGAAATTACTTCTGACATTTTCTAGCAACTCTGACAACTTAAAATTTTCCCCGCAATGTGGAACCCAGGATTAAATGCTCTACTCTTAATAGGTCTGCAAATGTATGATCTCTGTGGCATATAACACTTTCCTTTTGGTTGTCTGATTGTACTTACTCTTGTTTCTCTTCCCACTTTGTTGATTGTTCTCTCTCAATCCTTTTTTTTTTTTTCATTGATGGTGCTTTCTTTTCTTACTGCTTAAATGTTAGTCTGAAAGCTCAACTTAGCCATACTGCTTTTAGCTGCCCATACTGCTCCTTGAACCTTTCATCGCTCTTTCACTTTTCTGTACACTTTTACTCCTGGCCTTTGTTTAATGTTTTTCCTTTTGCTTGGAGTAGCCTTTTCTCTTTTTCCACTACCCCTTTCCCTAGCAAATTCCTGCTTATGTTTAGGGTTCAGCTCATCTATCATTTTCCCTGAAGCTTTGCATTAGTCTTTCTCTTCAGTCAAAATCAATCTTTTCTTTTCTGTTCTATAGTATTTTGTTTATTTCTCCAGTACATCTCCTGTCGCAGCTTATAGCTAATTGTATTTACCTGTGAATTCCTTATGGACGGGACCAGTCTTTTATCAGTTGCGGTCGCTTGAATGCTTAGCCTAGTACCTGGCATATAGGACAGGGTATTCAATAGAAAATTGTTGATTGAATGTGTTAAGTGCAATCACATGATGTTTTCAGTTAGTTGCAATTATGAGAGAAAGAGTTAGAAATACAGATTTTTCTTTTTAATGGCTTATTGTTTTCACCATATATTTTTAAGGCAGTGTTAATCTACATTGTTCATTGCTTAATTTTATTAACGTATTTTGCTTATATTTGTTAATGTAAACCGTGAATTAAATTCATTTGATGTTGTGAAATTTTTAGTTGCTTGGACTAGGGATTTAAAGTATTTTGAGTAAATCTGAACTGGTAGTCTATTTGACAGAGCTTAGTGGTCTCAGCAGATTCACTTTGTAGAGATATTTATATTTGTTTTAAAAACATTTTTATTGTGAAAATTAAAATGTTAGGAACACTTTATACTTCCTTACACCTTTTTTTATAATAAGCATTTTTAGTTAAAAATACAATAGTAAAATGTATTTAGCAACAAACTAAATTAACACAGGAAAAATAAATATTTGTACCTCAGAAGAATGGTACCAAACAGAGACCTAGGATGTTGTATAGGGAGTTAATGTGGAGTTTTGACAGTTAATGCTTTACCTTGGTCAATGGAGCTCTTTTCTTCTTCATCAGTATTATTAAGCTGTTGTGATAAATTGCTATCTGAACTTCAGTAGCTTTAGAAAATAATAAAAATCATACCTTTCTTGATTTCTATGAGATTGACTATAATTTGAATGGTACATTTGTCCTAATAAGGAATAGCAATTTGGTAGGTGGGAATACACTATTTTTAATCTTTGTAGAATTGCAAGATAGCATTTTTCCCTTCTTTTATAGTCCTTTGTATTATGAGAAAGAGATGGAATGCAACATTTGAGCCCTAAAATACTAAGGTAGAATGTCATGTAGTATTCCATATCTGCCATAGGTTTCCTCTGCTATTTTAGATTTTATTCCTGTGAAAATATATCCATGGAATACCTGTTATTGAATATGCTTCCTATTTTATGAGAGGTTATGCAATCTAACTCATTTGATTATTAAATTTGATAACCTACCATGTTCAGCTATCATGTAAATATTGTTATCTCTATATTTATGTTTATGTAGTTACCTGTGAAAGTAGCTTTGAAAATGTGACACATATTTTTATTAGTGTAATTACATTTTAATTAATTTTTAATACTTCACATGTTTTGTGTTTTTCCTTTGGAGGATTGGATAGCTTTAGTCAAAGCAGCTGCTGCAGCTGCAGCCAAGAACAAAACAGGGAGTAAACCTCGAACCAGCGCTAACAGCAATAAAGATAAGGATAAAGATGAGAGAAAGTGGTTTAAAGTACCTTCAAAGAAGGAGGAAACTTCAACTTGTATAGCCACACCAGACGTAGAGAAGAAGGAAGATCTGCCTACATCTAGTGAAACATTTGGTACAAAATACATTCTTACGTTAATTCCTTATGACACTGGTAAACTCATGTAGTAAAGTCAAATCCCTTGGCTTCCTTTGATTTTGAATGTATAATTAAATTTGTAGGCTTTTGACCCTAGCATAATATGATGGCTAACTTTTTTAGCATCTTACAGTTAGACCTGAAACTTAATAGTCTAGTGTGGGTTACTTGATATTGGATGCCCTCAGTATTCTTGAATAGAAATAGGTTGAGATTTTGATTTATAACTTCTTGATAGCAGGTTTTTGTTTGAGATTTTTTCTTTTGTTTTGTGTTTTTTCTTCAACCTTTTAAATGCTTCTGTGTATGCTTCAATATATAATATGGAAAAAGCAGTAAGTTATTTTCTTCCTGCTTTTCTTTAAGAATAACTGCTTTAGTAGTCTTTTATTTCTAATATATTAGTCTGGAGGGATTTGTGTTTTTCAAAGGTCTGTATCAAGTAGTAGATTAAAAAAACTAATGTGCAAAGCATTTTTACTATTTTGCTGTTAAAAAATCATGTGTTTTAATTTGGATTCTAGATAAACTCTCATATATGTGTTCTGTTGAAAGTAGGACTTCATGTAGAGAACGTTCCAAAGATGGTCTTTCCACAGCCAGAGAGCACATTATCAAACAAGAGGAAAAATAATCAAGGCAACTCGTTTCAGGCAAAGAGAGCTCGACTTAACAAGATTACTGGTAAACTACAATGATTTTTTTTTTGAGGGGGGGAAATGGAAGGTTTAATTTTAGAGTAATTTATTTTTAATGAAGTAAAATGGTTTTGATTTAGTGTCATGGACCTGTTAATAACAAAGACAATTACTTTGTGGTTCTTCAAGGTCAATGTCTTTCAACACCGTCAGCTTTTTCTGTTGTAAAATGTGAAAAATACCACATATCTTCTACCTACCTCACAGGGATGTTGTGAGGGTTGATAAGGACAAATGCTACAAAGCTCAGTGATTTTTAAATTACATTTGTGGTAGTAGTAGTTTCTAGAAGAATTATTTTGTCAACTTACGGTGACACAGTTTCTCAGATTTTAAATTTTTTTATACATTCTTCTACTTGACCAGTCTTACTTAAGGATGGTGCCATATATATTGGAAAGATGACTGTCTGACTTACATTTACTTCCTGAATCTGTTAATTTCTGAATTTCTGATGTGAAAGTATTTCTATAAGTTTTTTTTGTTTTTTAATTTTTACTCTTCAGGTTGGTCACAAGAATCTGGGCTTATTTATTTCCATATGATTTCTTATAGTTTAGTTTAGGAAATAGCAGTGTTAGGCTGTTAGAAAACACTGAAAATTCTAGCCTGGTTCGTGTTCATGGAAGAGGGGATTGAAGGATTAGAATTGGGGCCAGTCATACTACATCCTGCCATTTCCACAGTCTATTCAGCCTAGTGATTCTAGTCTTCAAAAGAAATTGTGAACATATTTACCTTTTCTGAGTATATGTTGAAAGGGGAGTTTAAATACTTTCATGATTTAGTCATATGTTCTTATTAAAAGGACAGAATCTTTTTTTAGTGCCTTTGGCCTAATAAAGCTGTAAAAACCTTTGTTTGTTGGCTTCAACTTGAAGAAGCTTGATTTCATGGTCAGATTTAGGAATACATGTAAACTAAACATTTTGACCATTTTCTGAAGAGAGGAAGCTAACTGAAAGGTGACTCTGGAGCTGAGGATTGTTTAGAACCACCATTTCATTTATATTGTTCATCTAAGTGATTATAATTGGTTTTAGCAGGTGAGAATATTCAGTCTCTTTCCATTTGTATATATTATTTTCATGCCTGTCTCTGATAAAGGATATACTTGGCCCCAGGAGAGGAAATATTTTAAATCAATTAACCTGTTACACCTTTTCCTTGTAAACTATTAACCTTGGAGAAAGCCAAATGTTCTCTAAGTGTTTGTTCTTATGGCATGAGACTTCAGTTTTGCCTTAAAATATGGAACCCAGTGCTATGTGCTGGGCAGAAGTGGAATAGTATTTCTAACTCCTGTGATACAAAGATTGAAACAACACTATTGGAGGAGTCGAGATCAAAGAAGACGGAGATGACACTGACATGATACAACTGCCAGCTTTCCAGCATCATGCTTTTTTTCCTTCAATTTGGATAACCTGCTTTAATAGTTTCAATCAATATACTCTTACATATGCCTTACTGGGATATTCAAGCTCAACGTTTAAAGAAGTAAAAAAAACAAAAAACTACAACACAAAAACTCTGCTGAGCCCACAATGATGCATTATTTCTCTATGGCCTTGAAAAGACAGTAGTGGGGAAAAAAAGTACCATTTTACCATGTGCCTCAAGTTTGTAATACTGGTTGCTTAAACACCCTTCCCTTCCACGGTGGGATTTTCTCTTCACTTTCCCTTGGGAGTCTCAAATGAATAAGTTACAGTTTGACAGCAGCAGCAGAGCATAAGATTTTATGAATGTGAAACCATTATGATCTTTTTATTTACTTAGAAAATTTAAGTGTGTGATAATCTTTTTAATAGTTCATTTTTCTACATCTATTTCTGATTTCATGTTGCAACTATGTCATGCAAAAAGACAGTAGATATTGTAAGATTGTCTTCAACAGTTGAAATTCAGGCTTGCCTTTTTACAGTAGATTTCATTTATAGTTTATACAGATAAATGAGAACTAATATAAAATAGTAATTTTGTTATGGCATTATGGTATATTTTAAATTCATCAAGCTCATCTGTATGTGTCTTTTTGTCCTTTTACTACTGAGAGGATTGGGGCTGGGATCATGGCAGCCTGCTCTGATGTATTTCTCTCCACTCTATTTTATTATTTTTTTAAAGAGTTCTAACTTAAATACGTGGACCAGCTATTGGATAACTTTAATTCATATATTTATCATTCTTTCTATTCACTTTGCCACATACACACCATGTGATGATTTTAAACCCGATTTCTGTATAGAGAATGTTAAAAGGATGGCGTTTTTCAGAGGTTCCAAATAGGTAGACATTGACAATATAGTTGCACAGTATATGGAATACGTATATGTATAGACATATATACACACATATACATACAGATATACATATATATTTCTATGTATACACATATACATATATCATATATGTACACATATGCATATTGCATATACTGTGCAATATATATATACACACACAATTTCCCAGTTCGTATTTTTCATTATGTCATGTACCTTATTGATAGCTATTATTATATGGCTTATGCATACTGATTTGAAATAAACAATTTTACTTAGAAAACTAGTAGTCCATACTTTTGGAACAAAGTCACAAACAAATTGAATTTGATTAGACTTTAAACTACAGAATGTCAAGGGAATAAAGGAAAAAAACATCAGCAGTTGGTGCATGATCTGTTTCTAATAGGCTCTAAGAGTTCCTGGAATTTCAGTTAGCTTAGGTGTGTTTCTGTAACTTAAGGAATTTAAAAAGTTTAAAAAATCCTGAAATTTGAATTGACCAGTAGTATGTTATTGATAATAATATCAAGAATATTTGATTCTTAGTCCCAGCAAGAAGATTGTGTTTTGGAATACCTGGATGAAAAGTAGACCAAGAATGTAACCACTTTGCTCTTTCTTTGTTCCCCTTTCCCATTCCAGGGAGCTCTGGGCTCTGTTCTACTTATTCGTATTGGCAGGAAGAGACCAGCTGTGTATTTTATAGCTAATATAGAATACTGGAAGGTTGTAACTTTATTGGTGGGTGGAACTGATGACTATTTGATATTCTTCTTTTACCTAAGTTTAAATAATTTCTTGAAGCAGTGTAATGCATTCTTATTGGGCAATTTTATCCCATAGGGGTATTCTTCTAGAAGAGGGCCTGTTAGTAATACATAGGTAATTAATAGGTACTTGCTTATAATTTCCTTTCAGTTAATTCTTCTCATTTTCTATGGATAGTGCATTTTTTCCTGGAATATTAGCAGGTCAAGATAACAGATTTTGGACTGCCTCTTAAGGCAGAAGTAGTCAGAGTTATTTCTTCAAGTACCTATTTTGTTATTTGTTCCATTTTATTGTTTATATTTAATAACTTTTGTAAGTTGATGTGAATGTAAAGCATGAAAAAACTTTATTAATCATATTTGGGCTTTTAAATTCTCTAGATAACCAAGTATGCATTTTAAAATCTAATTTTAAGTAGTTTTTCTTAAGTCTCATTACTTTTTATGAACACATTGCAATGCTTTATTTTTCCTTCTCAAACCATTAATGGAAAGGGATTTTAATAAACTGGGTCTGTAATATCCTAATGTAAATCCATATGTTATGGGTGAATTATTTTGTTTCTTTTACTACTTGTGGTACCTTATTTTCAGCTTTTTAGTTTGTGATCTATTTCATCTATTGAGTATTAAAAAGTATTTCTACCACCTGTGTGAAAGGAAACAAAGTAAAAGATATAATTATATAATATATTGAATAGCAAGATTTGTCCTGTTTGAATAGTCCTTAGAAATATAACTCTACTCAGTTTCCTGCAAAAGAAGAACTTGATTTTCTAATTATTTTTATTTCAATAGTTCATTGGGCCTTAAGAATGTTAGCTGGAGAATAAAAACCTAATGAATGTAGCTTTAAATGTTAAATATTCAGTACTGTATCTTTTTCAGTAATGTAAAAATATGTTCAGAATATAATTAGGATTGAAGCTGTTTTTGTAAAATTGTTTATATACAGTTGATGTGGTATGAGACTGTAACAAACTATTTAGTTTTTTGGTTTTTGCTTTTTTTTTTTTTTTTAAATCTCAAACTGGGACAAACACCAGGGTTTTGTTGTTGTTTTTTACTTATTTTTTAATATAGAGATGGGGTCTTGCTATATTGCCCAAGCTGGTCTCAAACTCCTGGGCTCAAGCAACTCACCCAGCTCGGCCTCCCAAAGTGTTACAAGCATGAGCCACCGTGCCTAACCTTAAATACCAGTTTTAATACTAATCATAAATGTATCAAAATCATTGTCTTACACTCGGCCTTTTTTATTTTAAAGTACATTCTGAGTACTAGGTACCTTTTGCTTAATTTAGAATTTGTTTGAGTACTACTTTAAGAAGATAATTTTTTTAATTTATTTATCTATTTAGTTATTTATTTAGAGATGGAATCTCACTCTGTTCCCCAGGATGGAGTGCAGCGGTGCCATCTCGGCTCACTGCAACCTTTGCCTCCCAGGTTCAAGCGATTCTCGTGCCTCAGCCTCCCAAGTAACTGGGATTACAGGTGTGTACGTCCACACCCAGCTAATTTTTGTATTTTTAGTAGAGATGGTGTTTCACCGTGTTGGCCAGGCTGGTCTCGAACTCCTGACCTCAGGTGATTCTCCCATCTCAGCCTCCCAAAGTGCTGGGATTACAGGCATGAGCCACTGTGCTGGGCCCAAGAATATAATTTTAATATGTGAATTCCTACCTAGATCACTTAACTTCTTTAGGGTAGCTGTCTGATAAAGTCAAGACATGTTGCCCATGGATACCTTTACATCATACTGCCTTTGAGGGGGCACCATTTTTCTCCTGTTAAATATGTTGTGGACAGCTTCTGTAATGTATGTAGTATAATTGCTGTAGTCAGTTTACTATTAAGTTGTCAGTTGTTAAACATGCTTCCTTTGGAGCAAAGTTTTTGTGTGGCCAACTTTGAAATAACACAAAAATGATTTTTGGTGACCTTTTATGAGCAGGGTGGCCATAAACAAAAACAAATACTTGTTCTAGGCTTATAAACTGGGGTTCACTGAAGGTACCTGACAACCTTGAAATGACACAGAAATGAATTTTGGTGGCCTTTTATGAGCAGGGTGGCCTTAAACAAGGCTTATAAACTAGACTTCATCGAAGGTTACCTGACAGGCTTAGCAAAGAATTTTAACCAAGTAAATGCCTATATTTTATTAAAGCAGAGTTTTAATGTCTTGGGATTCAAATTAATAATACAGTTATATATTACAATAAAATACTGTCTTTTTTTTTTTTTGTGGCGGAGTCTTGCTCTGCCACCTAGGGTGGAGTGCAGTGGCAGGATCTCGGCTCATTGCAACTTCTGCCTCCTGGGTCTAAGTGATTCTCCTGCCTCAGCCTCCCGAGTAGCTTGGATTATAGGTGCCTGCCACCACGCCAGCTAATTTTTGTATTTTTAGTAGAGATGGGGTTTCACCATGTTGGCCAGACTGGTCTTGAACTCCTGACCTCAAGTGATCTGCCCGCCTCGGCCTCCCAAAGTGCTGGGATTACAGGGGTGAGCCACTGCGCCTGGCCTATTCTGTCTTTTAAATTTGAGAATTAGTGACATACATAGAAGAAAACTGGAACTTCTAAAAATTTTTGTCATTTATAGACAAAATGACAAAATGAACTATAATATTAAGTTCAGATGTTCTAGGAAAGACCCACACTTTTTCTCTTAACATAAAATGGATCCATCTGTGTTTAAACTCTTATAAGAAGGTAAGGTACAACTGGACACACATAAAGCTTAGATTAAAAGGATCTAAATGAACTTAAGAATTGGTAGCTTTTTTAGTTACTAAAACAACAGAAAATCTTTTTTTATGTTCTGGATGTTTGGAAGGATTTCTTCTGTCTTATTCTGTTTTTATAGCTGTATAGACAAAACCTGTATTATAAGTATTAGCAACCTGAGCAACCTTAATGTAGACATTAAGACAGAATTTTAACTTTTTACAGAATAAATGTGTGTGTGCAAGTGTGTGTTTTCAGTGATTTAATTGAGTAATATTAAACAACAGACACACAACTGTATAAGCAACTCTCAAGTTCTGATTCAGTCCCTTGGCTTATTATTAAGCATATTTGTATTTTTGAAAAGAAAACATTTGAGATTACTTCCTACGTATTAAAAAGTATAGGAAATTTCAACTGCTAAGATTTTTGCAAAGTTAATTAGGGTGTAAATCAGTATTTTTTCTAATAAGCAATTTCTGTACAATTTTTCTCAAGGTTTGTTGGCATCCAAAGCTGTTGGGGTTGATGGTGCTGAAAAAAAGGAAGACTACAATGAAACAGCTCCAATGCTGGAGCAGGTATGAAATGGTAGCATTTGATTTTTTTCAAGGTTCCCACTGGAATGATCACGGAGCTCTAGTATCTACGTAATTGAAATTCCCCTTTTGATCAGATATGGGAATAGGAAGCTAATTAATTGATGATATATTTTTAACTCTGCCTTCTCCAAGGTATACAGATAACTACAGACTTCATTAGTGTTTGATTTCATAGACTGGCATTAAAGCCTTTGTCTCCAAAATTTGAAGGCCTGGAGACAGGCATCCCAGGGTATAAGCTTCCAGCTGGATCACCTTTAACTAGCTTACAAAAAGACCCTTACACAAATACTTTCCATTTGTGAGTTAAAACAGGGTTTTTTGACATCGAATAAAGCTTCTTTTGTAAGAAGTTTCTTTTATATTGTAACAATTGGTGTTGTTAGACTGACTATGTGTTTTATGAATTGATCAATGAGCCATACATTTTTGCTAGGATGTATATTTTAATAACTACAAAAAAAGAGAGTTTAAAAAACTATTAAGGGTCTGTCTTTAAACCACCTAATAGAGGAATTTAAAAGTGAAGGTTGCAGTTGCTAGATTTTGCCTTGGCTACCTTCAGATTCCCACAATACTTGTACATAATGAACTGTGCATGCTTTTACATTCTCTAAGGGCTTAACTTCTTAGGCACTGTAAGACTATAAGAACGCAGTAATAGCCATAACTGGATTTCCTTGGTTCTCCTGTTTTAAAATCTGAGCCTTAATGTAGTTTTAATATATCCTTTTTGTATTACTTTTCTTTATTAGTAGCCTAATAAAGAAGACTTTGAGTATCTTTTGCTCTCCTCTAGATGCGTTTTAAAAACTATTCCAAATTTAATTGATATTGTATTGAGTTTTTCAGGGTTATTTTAGGCCTGATTTGATAACAATGCGTTGTTTTGGTGCCTCCATTAATGTTGTATTAAATCAATGGGTCTTTTAAATTGATTAATATGTCATTGAATCATACCTTCTGATTTTCTGTGATCATCCAACGGTTAAGTCTTTGCCGTTATTGTCAATATATCAACCAAATTTTAAATAACTTTTTTTACTGTGTATTACTATATTCAACGTCCCAGATATAACAATATTTTGTATTTTCACCACTGTTTATGGTATTCTCAGAATGCGATAAATCAGGGACTTGGGTAATAAAATGTTTCTGGAAAATTCATTACAATGTCAATCTTTGATTATGCACAATCCTGCTGAGGTGAATGTGATTGTGAAAAGTACTTATTAAATGTGGAAGTTAGTGTAGAGGGCAGTACCCGTCTTAGAGAGAAGTACAGAAAACCACGTTTTGAAATTGAATTTAAAAAAGAAAGGAAAATTGTGTAACTCGGCTGTTTCTATTTTCATAATTAAAAACTTTTGAGAGTCCTTGCCAGTTTTGTAACAAAGAGACCAACAATCATTAATGAAAACCTTGTAAATTATTTTAGATTTTCAGGAACACCATGCCATTCCCTCATTTTCTACTTGTCATTCAGGTTGATTTCAATGTGAAAATGTTTTGTGAACAAACACTTATTTTTATCCTATGTGTTAGCCTCGCTTCATAGTTAAAAAGCCGAGTTATAAAGCTCTTAATTACATCTCAATTGGTATCAGCAATAGACCTAAAGGAGAGGTATTGATTGTTACTAACCTCTGTTTCCTAATGAGTTAAAGTAATGTCACTCATGACATAGATTGATAACAGGCCTGTAGTCAAAACTTACTGTGCTAATGGACTTATTTATATTTTTTAAAAATTCAAACTGTGGTCTTGAACCCCAATTCTCAGCTTATTAATTATAGATTATTTAATTGTATTAGGGATATGTCATGTTATATTTACTTTTGGATAAAACTTGCATTAGATGCATAATAACTCAGTAAGTTTTAAAAACAATGTTAATTTTTCCTTGTTTAGAAGTTAAGCACCTTATCAAGATATTAAGTTTTAAAATCTTGTTTTATAACTTTGTAACTTGAGAGTAATGGATGCTGTAGTGATGTCTTTCACATATGTGAAGATGAACAATAAAATTGTTTATTTACAAGTAATGGCTCTAATTACTTTTCTGGCAACACCTTTTATAATAAGGTTAGGAATACTATCCATTTATGAAGTACCTTTTCAAATAATTAATCTGCACTTATACACATTTATAATGAGTAAATTCAATAATAGAAATGATGACAACTGAATGAATGGGACACTTGACACCAGGCCTTTTATGTGGTATGTCCAACATGCTGTCTATAGAGCATTGAAGGTGCCCTACTTAATACCAAATATGCACTTTTCTTCCCCAGCAAAATTTGACTTGTATCTCAGTGGGAACAGAATTATTTATTTATTTAGTCCCCAGAAAATGATCGTTCATATTCCAGAGAACTGCAGACAGCAGACCTGATAGTTATTCTCCACAAGATATGGAAGTAAAAAGATTTCTTGGGGACAAGCATGTTGTTTATAGTGCTAGCAGTCTGATTCTTTATAAAGGCCTATGGTAGAATAGATTTTCAAAAAATGCATATTATATATTTTGCTCTCAGATAAGTATATCAGAAAGAGATAGAAGTATTGCAGAACCATAGATTGCAAATTCATCCAATGTAGTTATTTTCTCTTGTTTTGAAAAATGGACACATTCACACATATTTTAACATATGTAGGAAATTTTACAGCCAAATGAATAAAAATGATCTTTTATGAAAGAACTGACAAAGTTCTAATTTTTTTTTAAAAGTATCAGTTGGCAGGAAGAAGGTAAAAACTCTCATCTAAGAATGCGACGTATTTTGTTTTTAAATCCAATGTTTTTAACTTACACTTTATCTCTTTGGTTTTTTTTTTGTTGTTGTTGCTTGTTTTGTATTGTTTTTTAGTCTTTTAACTCTATATTGCTGGTGGCTCTGATTTCATGATGCATTGTGCTTATGAAACTCTAGCTTTCAGCACTAAAATGAGTTAAAGATAATGTTTTGTTAATTTGGTCATTGTTTTTCCTGTTCAGATCTTTCTTTAAAGGGAATCTGTCTACTTAGACCTTTACATTCAACTTAAAAGAAAAGATTTTATAAGAAAACATCTAAAATCAAAAGCTTAAATGTATTCCTCTAATCCTTTAAAACATGAAAATGCTGTTTATTTTTCGAATTATTGTCATTGGCAATTATGGTTCCTAAAGGGGTATATTTCTATTTAATACTGAAAATATTTGTCCAGTAAGATAACATTTTATGTTCCGAAAATATTATGAATAATATATTTTAAAAAATGAATTTAGACTGAAAGTTGACAGCATCCCTTTAAAGACAGCCTATTCAACTTTTAGTTAATAATTTGTGGGGTTCTTTTTGGTTTTTCATTTGTAATAGAAATGTTATATGTTGCTTAACAATGTTTCTGGATACTAAAGTTGCTTAACAGTCAAAATAGAATACAAGAACAAAAATGAAGAAGCCAAAATAAAAATATCAATTTTTTATTATTTATTCAGGCGATTTCACCTAAACCTCAAAGTCAGAAAAAAAATGAAGCTGACATTAGCAGTTCTGCCAACACTCAGAAACCTGCACTGTTATCCTCAACTTTGTCTTCAGGGAAGGCTCGCAGCAAGAAATGCAAACATGAATCTGGAGATTCTTCTGGGTGTATAAAACCCCCTAAATCACCACTTTCCCCAGAATTAATACAAGTCGAGGATTTGACGCTTGTATCTCAGCTTTCTTCTTCAGTGATAAATAAAACTAGTGAGCACAGATTTTTAAAAAATAGTTATTTATCCTATAAGATACATTAAAAACAGTTTGATTGTAGTTATATTGTATTTTTATGAAGTTGCTTTTTAAAAACTCAAGTGGATATGATAGGGAAGGCTTGAAACTATTTCAGGGGCAAAAACCATAGACATTTCTTACTGATTTATTGCTTAGAGACTACTGCTGGTTGAGAATCCTTTCCATTTAATAACACAGATTCCACTGTAGTTTGACTCTCCTCAACTCATAATCCAAGCATACTGAGAGGCCTGATTCATTACAAAAAAAAAAAGTTATAAAAAGACCCAGGATAGCTATTTTTACTTAAGACTATTCCTGTAGATTTTTTGTCCCCACTTGTCTATAACTTTCCTCTGCAATACATTTTATTCATTCTTATTATAATATTTATAGTCTAGACTTCAGTTTAATCTTTTTAATGAAAAAAAAATGCCCCCATGATTGTATTTTTAAAGATTTTACTGTTTCAGTACTTCTAATTTTTCAAGAGTTAACGCAGTCTTTTTCGAAAACACCTTTCACATGGGTATATCTATCTATCTCCCTATATATCTGTATATATAAATAATACAAGATTTGTGTTGACCCTGAGTTTCTCATATTAGTTTAGTATCCTAAGTTGGAGACATGAATAACAGTTATTTGAAAAGTCAGTTGGTAAATGATGGTTTTTTTTGCTCTTTATGCAAAAAATGAAATACATGATCAGTTGAGTGAATATGACATGTTTCCTTATTCCATATTGTGTCTTCCAGAATAATCAAAGATGTTGGCATTCAGAAGACTTTTATCAAACTTATTAACCTATTTTCCTTCAGTTGCCATATTTTCTACTGAATCATTTTTTCATTTTGATCAGGTTTTGCTTTTTCTTTTTAATAGGTGGAAAGAATGGGAACATAATTCAATTGTTTTCCTAATAAGCTTCATTTCATTATGGCATTTATCATGAAATAGTGTCAGTAGTAGTCACTGGAATGTCATATGACATTAATAAACATTTTATTTTGGAAATTATATCTTGGTATTATAACCACAATATTATAGCAATTAAATTTTATTCTTTCATATTTTTAAGTTATCAGCATGTCTTTTTCGTTTTGATTGTAAAATTACTCTTAAATACCCAAACATCAATGTCTTTAGACTGTTCTTATTTCCTCTTTCTAAATTAACATGAATATATTGGCATATATAATCTTGCCTATTCTAGTCAAATGTGTTTGTATGCCATGTAGAAAGAAGATATCTAAAAGTGTGAGAGACATTTCCAAATATTTATATTATATTGCTAGAAGATGCCTAAATTACTTACCAAGTTGTTAAAAAACACAAGTACACAATGTCATAATCTTAAATATCCTCATTATTTGCTCACAATAAGTATACAAAGTTGTTTTTGTTCATTTTTTTTTTTTAATGAATCAGGCCCAGACATGTTTATAAAACTCCATTTGGGGGGGATGATGATGGGATAAAATTATTTACATTAGTGTAAAGTAAATCACTAACTCTATAATGTTGTATCATCTTTGTCCCTGCCTTTTTTTCCCTTAGAGTTTCTAGATTTGCAATGTAGCAAAAGGAATACATATATATATATTTTTCCTTATCTTTTGCTGTAAAGAGACTATTTTCCCGAAGGAAAAATGGCAATTTACACAACGATCTGCAATTAGAGAAATTAACTGTAGTCTGTCACTTGGGGGAGCTACTTGAAATTAATGTTCCATTTTATTTTCTTTTAGTTCTAGTAGAGTGTAGATTTTACAATTTTTGATTGACTCATTTTGAATGAGGGCACAATTTTTGCCTTTGATTACCTTTGGAACATGCCATTCCTTGTGGATATCTTATAACAACATCAGAGGGAAGAATATAAATCATTTTTTCCCATTTATCTCCTTAAATATTGTAAGATGCTCCTGGTATGTATCTGCTTCGTGAACATTGAAGATCTTTTTCTAGGTCCTCCACAGCCTGTGAATCCCCCTAGACCTTTCAAGCATAGTGAGCGGAGAAGAAGATCTCAGCGTTTAGCCACCTTACCCATGCCTGATGATTCTGTAGAAAAGGTTTCTTCTCCCTCTCCAGCCACTGATGGGAAAGTATTCTCCATCAGTTCTCAAAATCAGCAAGAATCTTCAGTACCAGAGGGTAATGTATATTGATTTCCTATAGAACCAAACATAAAAGAAGATAAAGAAAAAACTAAGAGATAAAGATTATTAAAATATTAAGATATTTCTGCTCTTATATCTTCTGGAGTTATAAGCACTTCACTTATTCTACAAATATTTATTGAGTGCCTTCTTTGTGCCAGGCACTGTTTAAATTATGTAACACTTTAATTCACAGTGATAGTAACTGAGCCATTTTATCTGTGTTAATATTACATTACACTCTTTATTTTGTGTAGTGCCTGATGTTGCACATTTGCCACTTGAGAAGCTGGGACCCTGTCTCCCTCTTGACTTAAGTCGTGGTTCAGAAGTTACAGCACCGGTAGCCTCAGATTCCTCTTACCGTAATGAATGTCCCAGGGCAGAAAAAGAGGATACACAGATGCTTCCAAATCCTTCTTCCAAAGCAATAGCTGATGGAAGAGGAGCTCCAGCAGCAGCAGGTAAAAGAAAAAAAATAAAGGCTCCTATAAGTAGATAAGTAGCTAGGCTTGCAGTTATTAGGTATAAACATTTTGAGGTTTAACTACATTATTTTGATTCCTATATAATTCCTTTTCATAAATACTTTAACATTTATAGGAGAGTTTCATCTCCGTTTTAAAGGTCTTTTGTGTGATCATTTTACAATCATATTCCCTGGACATACATGCTGCTTAACCTTGTCACTTGATCTATTTCCTTCTCCCTGCTTCTTTTTTATATATCCTTATTTCTACTAAATATAAATTATTAGAGCCAAGTATAGTTACAGGAATTCTTACTTTTGAAGCTGGGAAATACTTAATGGGATCAGTACTTTGGTTTAAGGATTTTGATAGAATTTAATATTTAAGAAACACTGAGCTATATGCCTGTATCTTAAATATAATTCCATATTTTGGGGCAGAATCCTCCAAATTGAATTAAATTTGCTGTAAAGTTATTTGAGGAGTGCAATATGTAAAATCAGCCATCCTTAATAACACATTTTTTGCATGATTTTGTGATATTTATTGTAGTTCGAAAGCATTTGGATGTGTATTTTACCAAGCTGATATTTTAAATCTAATAATATCTATTCATGTTTCCCTTATGTGGGTGCATTGTTTTATTTAGAAGTTTTTAAGAATTATAACCTGATCTAGAATACACATAAAATAAAAAGGCCAATACTAGTTACAAATGCACTTCTGGTAAATTACTGTTGGAACTAGATGTTTGAAGGAAGTCTGAATTTAGTTTGTTGTGAGTTGGAGAAAAACATAAGGCAGTTTGTTGATTCGTTACCAAGGGTGTTGGTGATCATTGTGTTTACAGGCGTCTTCCCTGAAACCATTTTATCCATTTTTTGGATGAAGCATAAAATGAAACTTATTCTTTTCTGGTGATGGCATGTATTGAAATAAAATGATTGAAGTAACATAAGAGACATATACTTATTTTTATTAATTTTTATCTTTATATAAAGGTTGAAGTTACTTTGTACATGATAATTCTTTATCATGTTTAAAAAAATAAAACAATACCCAAATGTGAATATTTGTAGATTTTGAAACATTTCCTGTAGTTTCTCAAATCAGATCTATTGTCTTTTGACTCTTGGTCTTTCCTTAAGATAATTAATTTTTCTTTTCCACTTTTCCACAAGATTTCCAAATTGTCATTGACCCATTGAGATACTTTTTTGATAAAGGTCTTATTCGGTTCTTTAACGATCTGGAATTTGTTACCGTACTGAATATATGAAAAATATGTTAAAGTTATAAGGTTGTATATACATTGGGAAAATTATTTTCAAATGTACATGTGAAAATATTTACATTTTTCTTTAAAAGTATTCTAATATTTGTAACAATATTGAAATATAGGCCAATATAAGTAACTGTGTAATAACTAAGAGTCTTACATTAACAGATTATATATCATAAAATATCAATGTAGTGATTGTGCATGGAAGTCCTTGACTTCGATGATTTTGCTTCTAACCAGATTATTAACTTCCTCTTTTCAGAATTTCTAGCATATTTGTGGCAATGTGGCTGACTACCTTAGAGGAAGGCACACGAATATTCTTTCCCTTTTTAAATATTAGCAGTAACTATTGGAAAAGTAAAATAAGTAAGATCGTTTTCTGGGAAAGTAAAAGGTAGAGAGGAGTTTAGCTATAATTTGAATTTGTGGAAGAGTAAGGATTATCTGGATATGATGAGCTTAATAGTACAGTAGCTGTCAACTTTAATTGATTATAGCAAGGAAATGCATAGTTTTAATTGTTAATTACTGAAGATTTATTAGAGGGTTGAACACAGTATTTGAATAGAGGGAGGTGAAATTCTCATTTGTTTCTGTGACCTCTTAATTTTTAGTTTTTGAGGAAAGTAGTGCAATTTAGGTCATGTTCTGACTGAACACCTTTTGATTACAACCTTGTGTGCCTGTCCCACGTGCATTGAAATTCTCGGTGGTCTCTATGCTTTTCTCCTTAACCTTTTTGTTATTCACCCTCTCTTGACTATTTTGCAGTATTTGTTATGCTTCTGTCTGTTCCCCAAGTCCTTTTACATCTAGAGCCAAAGTGCCAGGTTTTTATGTTTTTATTTCTCTGATACATATGTACATATATGCACATACTCATACACACATGTATGTTTTGTTGGTGTCCATATTATAAAAGTAAATTTTCTTACTGTTGAATTTTAAAACTGATAATTGAAAACATTCTTTACAGTTCGTCAGAGACATTTTCTGAGTTATTTTTGTCAAATTGAAACTCTTGGGGAGTTTAGAATGATGAGGGTGTTAGTTGCTAACTGTGAAATTGTTCAACATGGTTAGGTTTTTACTTTTGGGGGAGCAAGATAAATTCACACTGTTGAGTTTAGCATTTGATGCTGAAGGATTGATGAGATTTGCAGATAGTCCAATTATTATATACAACTTTTCTTAATTGTTTTCCAATAGAGATAATGAACTTGCAATAATCTCTCGTATGTTCTTCTGCTGGGGTGGATGCCCACATGTCTAGCCACTGTTAAGAATGCTATTGCTGCCTACATTACCAAACAAGTAATTGGTATCTTTGTAAAAATTGATGCCTTTGTTTTTATTTTACTATCAGGATGCTTTGTCACAGAGCCAGCCAATTTTAGATAAGGATACAGCCTCAGAAAATCTTAATTCTGTTAGTATCTGGGAGGATAGAGTAAATCAAGTTTTTTGAAAAGGGGTCTTTTGAAAAATACTCTTGGTTCAGGTTCTCACAGGCACCTTGGGCCAACAGTTATCTATTGCCCCTTGTCAACACAATTCTCTTTAGGTGGGAAGCACAGTGTGAACAGATGTGGAATCTGCCTTCTGGAAACTTAGAGTCTAGAAGGGACACAAAGCTAATAACTGAAATACAAATATTTAAAGCAAGATTAAGTGCCTGAATAGGTGTAAAGTACTCTTGGGTGTAAAGGAACAAAAGATTGCCCCAAGAGGCCTCTGGTAGAGCCTCTTAAAAACTCTGGAGAGACAAACCATCTGCCTTCTCTTCCTGCTTCCTTGAAACTCAGTTTTTCATCTATATGATGAGATTATAGTAGATGATGTCTGTGGTCACTTTTGGCTCTACAATGTTGATGTTTTACTTATCATTAATCAGGCATTTGATAGAGTCTATGTTTATTCCAAAAAAAGATTATGATGTAGGATTATTTTTGCTTAAAAACGTCAATTAAGATAGCCTTAGAGATGATAACTTATTGTTTGTAACCACTGTGAAGACAAAATTGGCATTAGTAGGTTGTATGCATATAATTTTGAGCCATTTTAAAAAGTTATTCTTGTATTAAAAGAAATACCTTTAGTAACCCATCTTCATTTTTTTTTTATTTTTTAGCAAATTAGTAAATAAGTTTCAAGGAGCATTTTCCTGTTTTATTGCAGCATGTCTTAGTTAGCATGGATAGGAATGTTGGCTTGACGTGGCCATGCAGAGTGTACCTTTATGTAACGTCAGGATGTCCATGAGCAGGTCCCCTGAGTTTTCGGGTAGCATTCGATGAAATGCATCAGGCTTTGCTTCAGTGTCATTCAAAGTCATCTTAGTTTTTGAATGAAATGTAGATGCAAGTAAATGTATTTACTTATTACATAGATACTTACATAGATACTATGATACTATCATAGATGAGATAGTTGGACTCTTCTTAGTGAATATTCTGTAGAGTGTTCATGAATTATATTATCGATTGGTTAATATAATCCATTTTATCACCAGTGAAAAACAGAAGTAGGTCATGGGGTTGGTCTAAGTATGGCAAAAAAGCATCTTGTCAGTTCTACCTCATCTGCCTGTGGTGGGTTTTGAAATGGCCTTCATTTTTATTCCAACATCTCACATCAACTTTACATTTACTATTTAAAAGTCTTTTTGTTTTAAATTGTTTTTCAGTTTATTTTCCAGATTCGTTCAAAACAAAACTACAGCTGGAGACTCTGTTGCCTCCACCCTCATACCAAATGTTCATGGCTTCTACAGAGCCTGGGGTTTCTATGGAGAGTCTCAGGGATTGCCTCTCTTTTTAGTCAGAAGAATCTGTAATGTTTAGCATACCAGAAGAGGCTTGAGAAATCACTCTACATTACTAGTTTTTTGAGTTGTGTGCAGGCAGGCATGGTTCAGAGATCTGCCTCTCTGACTCTAACTAGAGTAGCTCCATTTGTGTTTTGGTTTTTGTTGTTGCGTTTTGTATTCAGCTGCCAGATAATTTTTTTTTAATGTTCTGTTGCTAAAATTTAGTTTAAAAATTACTATTCTACAAACTAATGTTCTGGTACTTTGGTCACCAAATTCTAGCACGTGGTAAAATAAGGACGAGATCGTGAACTTCTTGTAAAACTAAACTTATTTTTCTTGTTGACTTCTGGAATGGTCTCTTTTGTTTTCCTATTTGTGTGTATTTTTTAAAGTCCTGCCGTTGCATATATGAATATTTATTTTAATATCCTTACTTGAGTAAAACATTGACAACCCTTTATGAGTCTCCCAGTTTTACTCTTGAAATTTTATCATTTATGAAATCGAAAGGTTTGGGAACCACTAGAACAAGTAAAAACAGTATCTCGAACTGACTCTCTGGACCCCACTCTGGGAATGACTGCATCTCTTCTGCTGTGTTAACTTCCGTGTTTCTGGTGCAGTCGTTCATAACTGTTTTATTTGTCTTCCAAGTACCTAAGGGGTGCACACATTCCATTCAGTAAAAGTAGCCTAGTAAGGCAGTTCCTTTAATCTGACTCCCTGTCCCCACTCCAGGAGATTCTAAACATCATTGTTCCACCTTTTCCCTAGAGATCCAGTGCTCCAGAGATGTAAGAACCTAAGAGGCAATGATCACTGTTAGCAATATATCTGAATGTATCTGTACTACCACTGAGGATTTGGAAAGCACATGCCTCATGGTTTGCATTGTAAATGCTTTATTGTTTTCAAGGAAATTGCATCAAATTTATAAAGTTCTAATAGTGCAGCAAGTAGTAAACAGAAGGGATGCATTTCTTCAACAGTCTTGCTAATAAGAAAATTTAATTGTATTTCTCTTTGCTGTGATATCCCTTTCATTTTTTCTGTCATAACAAATGGAGATTATTGGTATTCTTATTTAGGTTTAAACTTACTTGCTAGAGCCTTATTGGCACTTGATTTGAGTGGTATTTTTATATTTTTATTATATTTAAATGATAGAAAATATTTGAAGTAAGATGAATGAAATTTCAGATTTTTTGATACTGTTGTAGAATGATCTTAAAAAATTAAACTGGTAAATGGTGACATTAAAGCATAATTTAATAGACTAAAATTGTATTTTAAATGTACTGTAGTATTTTTCTTAGATGAACACTAGCCACAAATAGATATTAGCATTGGGAATGGTTGAATATGAATTGATTAAATGTACCTGTGTCAGCTGCACAGTAATTAAAGGTGCAATATTGGTTTAAAAATGAATTTTGGACTATTAATAATACCTATGTTTTATTGGAATATTTATTGAGATTGAATATTTTAATGTATAAGTATGTCTTTGTATTTTACATTTATATATAGAACAAAAGTGGTTTGCAGAACAGTTTTATTTTGGCTATTATCATTACCTAACAGTGCATTCATGATGGAGTTCAAAGGTACAAGTTTGTTTTAGGCACAAGAGCTTAAATGTTAGTTTTAAAAATGTGTACAGATTGTTGAAAACCAGTATGCTTTAATATGGAGTTTAATATTTCATTTGGATAATCCAGATAGCATTCATGTCATAACTGTCACAGAAGTAGAAATGGTACCTGGAACTACTACTCAGATGAATTTCAGTATCTTTTGGATTGCCGAAGGCTGTGGTGCTAGAGTAGACCTTTACTGATGGCCTAGTACAGTTAACTTTTTCTTTATGGTTAGACCCATATTTATGCTATTTCTGGAAATAGTGTAGTGTCAAATTATTACCCTACCACAAAGGAGAAAATGAAAAAAATTACGTATTTACCAGTCTTTGGACTAGACATCTTCCACATTTTGACTCACATAATCCTTATAACTGCATGAGGTATACAGACTTATTCCTGTTTGACAGATAAGGAAACAGAAGCACAGAGGCATTAAATGATGTCCTCAAGGCCACAGAGCTAGTAAGTGGTGGAACCAGATGTTGAACCTGAGTAGTTTGAATAACAAAAATCACATTTAATTTATTGTTTTGGTTGTTTTTTAAGGTAAGAAATCTCACCGCTTTGTTACCAGTTCAGGCAGTAAAACATGTAGACCGTTAGGAGAAAAAGAGTCTTACATAGAGTTTTATGAGCAATTGTAATGTAAAATATTGTCCCATACTTTTAAGTTTTTCTGATTAAACTTACATATTTTTCCCCTAACCCACAGGAATATCGAAAACAGAAAAAAAAGTGAAATTGGAAGACAAAAGCTCAACAGCATTTGGTATGAACAGAAAGTAATCTTTAAGCAAAAGACTATAAAGCTTGACAGAGAGGGAGGACATAGTCTGCCCCTTACTCTTTACCAGTTAATGCTACCTTAGGTGTAAGTGATCATCTGTTTTAGTTCCTACTAGTGTTAGTCAGCTCCAGATACATGATTTATTAAACACATATCTTGTTTTATATGTAACTTTTTTGTCAAGAGAGTCTCTTGCTTTCTCCAAAGGAACTTTTGTGTTTATGATCATCCCTAGTCAAAATTATGGCTATTCAAAAATAGACCTCGATTTAATATTGTTGAGACTTTAGAGAATGGATGCTAGATTAAAATAGTAATTTTTTCACACTTTCTTCTTCATTATAGTTTATAAAAATGTTATTGAGTTTTCTGCTATACTATTTTCTGTGCTGTAATGACTAAAAGTCACAAAATAATGGATGATAGTCTTAAATATACTGTAGATTAGTTAACTGGAGCTTGAATCACTGAAAGTTGGTCAAATATGTTGGATAAATTATAGGCTAAACCATTGTGAGTTGGAGCAATAGCTAGTAGGATATGTGTGATGATTTAATTTGAAATGTAGGATACTGCTCTAATATTTATTTTTTTAAGTACATATGATTGGGGAAAAGAATGCTTTACAATTTTGGAAAAATTAGTTTAATGAAATATATTTTTTTTTCCTCGTGTTCTTAGCCTTCATTGTTAAACACACAAAGAATGTAAATAAAGACTGGAGGAGTTGTTTATGAATTGATTTAATTATTTTTAAAGCTTATCCAAAGCAAAAAGTCCATCAGGTTTTTTTTTTTTAAATCTCCTAATTTATTCTCTCATTAAATTACATATGGAAATGCTGAGTCTCTTCATTCAGGTCCTTTGTAAATTATGGAGTTTAACTTCTTACCACATCAGGAAATTGAGAATATTACTCATTGAAGGTTTTAACTACTGTCTGTGTTAACTTTAAGGTATCAGGAGTTGGGATTTCTCAGCACTGCTAATGAAGATCCCCTCTTATAGTCCAATAAGCTTATCAGGACTTCCAGAGTCATGACATGAACAGTTTAATTGAACCCATCCACTCTGGGCAGGTGACTGGAATAGCTGATTAAAACATAAATGCTGCTTTTAGGTTAACCACAAAGGAACAACTCAGGATCAGTCGTGATTGCTAAAGTATTCACTTTTATCTTTTAGGTAAGAGAAAAGAAAAAGATAAGGAAAGAAGAGAGAAGAGAGACAAAGATCACTACAGACCAAAACAGAAGAAGAAGAAAAAAAAGAAAAAGAAATCTAAGCAACATGGTAAGTACACTGAGATGATTATTCCCTCTTTTTTTAAAATTTGAAGTTTCCTTTGATTCCCCTTTTCTTTTACAAAATGGAGTCATGACACGATCCCCGTGTCCCGTGTTGAGAACTGAAAGGTTTCTGTAGCTTTCCTTTGACATGAAATTTCAAAAATATACTACTCTGTTTCACTCTGGCCTATAATTGTTGCACTCTGGCCTTTAATTGTTGCAACTGATTAGACATTTTTCCTTCCAGCATTATGGTAGACTCGATGCCCTGACCAAGCACCCTTTAGCATGCTCAAGTAATTATTCTCAGTCTAGAATTGTAGAGTTCCTTAAGTTAGCTTTCAAGAATGAGAGTGAAATAGATATTTTTAGAAGAATTTGAGAAACCAACAGAATTTGGTATCAGCAAAGGCCATGTGAAGATGGAGCAGAAATCAGAGGGATGCAGCCCCAAGCCAAGAAGCCAGAGGAACAAGAAGCTGCAAGAGGCAAGGAAGGATTTGGCCCTGGGGGCTTCCAGAGGGAGCACTTCCTTGTCAAGCCCTGATTTTGGACTTCCAGCCTTCAGAACTTTGAGAGAATAAATTTCTGTTGTTTTAAGCCACTAAATTTATGGTAATTTCTTATGGCACCCCTAAGAATGAACACAACTCCAAATTTATTTTAAATGATTTAAGTAACTTTGCTATCAAAATCAGGAGAGAATAATGTGGGAAAGCACAGCCACAAACTCTTCTTACTTATGGACATAGTTCCAAAATCCATAAATAAATGTTATAAAATTAAATCTAACAATGTGTTAAAAGGATATGACCACATAGGATTGGTATGCAAAATTGTATCAGAAAATTAGATGAAACGCAATTGTTAAAACATAGTGAAGTCTGTTTCAGACGTGCTGTATTGGCACAACTAACCAGATAGGTAATAGCAGATGCTGCTGAGGAAATGAAGGCAACTACACAACTACTGTGGGAAACAGATGGGGACCAGGGAGTAAGGTGACGATGTGTGCGCCAAGTGGCCTAAAAACCCGTGAGGAAACTCACACGGTGCATCAAATATGAGAGTGTTCACAGCAGCACTGGGAGCAGCCCAGCTCTCCATCAAAAGTCATGCATTCCTTCAGTGGAATAAATAAATGAATTACAGCTACAGAATCTCAGGAACAAAATGGTAAGCTAAAAACCAAGTAACTGAAGAAAACATAATATTTCACTTATATAAAGATAAAAAAGTTTTAAAACTAAACAGTGTATTTTTAAGAGATTCAACTGTGTGTGGGAAAAGCATAAAGAAAAACTAGAGAATGATGAACAAAAATTCAAGACAGTGGTTGCCTCTAAGGTGGGGAAGGGCCATTATCAGTTCAAACTGGAAAATGGTGCAAAGGGACCTTCAAAAATGATGATACTCTCTTAAACTGTATGATCAGTACCTAAGTGTTTTGTGCTATTGATATTCTTTGTGTCATACCCATTTTTTTCATATTTATTAGATATTTAATAAAACCAGTTTTAAAAAATACAAATCCAACCGGGCAGTTTTGTGGTTGGTAATCATTGTTGGTAAATTCTTCAGATTTTAGCTCTCTCCATAGTCCAAAAATAACATTTAATTTTCCCACAGAATGTGAAATTTTCACATTCTCGAATTCTAAAGCTGCCAGAGTAAATTTGAAGATACAGGATCAAAATGGGGTTCAAAGCTTGAAACGGCTTTCCAGAGAGTCTTGAACATTTCCGGGCACTTCTGTGTGTGCCTTGCGCCTCACTCCTTTCCCTCCTGCCCACCCCCCCATCACCTCTTCATATGTAACTGTGGAATTCAAGCTAGAAATGATGTAGAGGTAGGAAACTCCGGAGTTTGGTAAACAAAAACTATTCACTGTGAACTCATTTGATTACCGAATACCCTTCTGTGAGTGGTATGTCACAATACAGAAATGAGAAGCTCAGGCTGCAAATAAAACTTCCAGATGAACTCCCACCTGACCAAAGGCTCTGAGGGGATTTGCCTAGCTTAGGTGTTCCAATGGAGACCTGCATTGTCAGTGCAGGAATGGCCAGCTATTTCAGGGTTATCTTACGGCACAGCAACAAACTGTGTTCTGTTCTGATATTTAGTAGCAGACACAGAATCTTACATACAAAATACCTGTGAAAGTGGGGAAAAAGATAACAGCAGCTGATACAAAACAAAATAAGAAGGGGCCCACACTTGGTAGCAAAATATGAGGGCTAGAGCTTAAGAGAAGGCAGGAAATTGTAACTTGAGAGAAGGAGGAGCAATTAGGATTAATAGAGGAAAAATGGCCAAAAAAACCTCACCTTAGAATTGTGACCAGCCATTAACTATGGAACCCTTTACAAAGAGCCATTAAAACGTACTTTAAATGGTATATATTTTTATTTTTTAATGAAAAAGAAAACCTTATATATTTGTTTACATTTTGAAATCAGGCTTACAAATGAAAATCTTAACTTTGTAAATAGAGTCCTAGTAAGATGCACAGAAACATTGCTGTTTATAAACAGCAGGTGTTGAGTTTGATAATCACTGTCATCTTTGTAATTAATTGTTGCATTTGAGGAGAATTTATTCTGAGCTATTTACTTTATCTTAGAAATGGCACTTTTCCCCAGATGGTTAAATTAGAAGAGTGGTCTTTAAGTGGGAAATACAGGATTTGAAGTAACTTTGAAATTTTAAAGACATCTTAATGTTAAAGAATTGACATTATTACTGTATGAGGCTTCTAGTATGTTTTTTAGTCTACAGTTAGCACCATGAGGGAGTTTCAAAATTCTTTCTTTTATTTACCACTCAACATTATTTTATATATCCTGCTGGTACTTATGTACCCAAAACTAAGCATTTTATAAATATTATTACTTCATTTAATCCTCATATTAACCCTTTACAATAGGATCTGTTATCTACATTTTACCAACAGTTAACTGAGAGAGAGTGAGAAAGAGAGCTCTCCAGCTCTCATAGCTAGCTAGTGGTGAAAAGCAGATTCATTTCAAATCCAAGCAGTCTGACTTACAAGTCTGAATTTTTAACTCTAATCACCATGCTATGTTATTAATACCTGAAATACTGTTTATCAAACTGTGTATTCTTCTCTTCAACAAGTTTTTACTTGTTTTTATTGGCATACTAAGTTCTTGTCCCTGTTATTTTAATGCAGTTATGCAAAGTAATTTAGATTAGTTGTTTTTTATTATTTTATGAGGTAGTAGGTTAAGATATGTTTTGATTAACATAATTGGTTTACAAGACATAATACTAACATTGTGTTTAATTTGTGTGTATGAGAAGTCACCATGTTGGGATTTAAGAGTGTCATCTTTGCCAGTTTTTAGCTTTGTTACTTTGAGCAAATCACTTCATCTGTCTTTCATGTGTCTGTAAATATAAGGATACTGCAGGCATACAGAGATTAAAAAGAAATAGAGTTAGAAGTGAAAAGAGAATTGAAAGCATTGCATAGTAAAAAAGATTCCTTCGAGGAGCTTGTAAGTCATTGAAGTATATGGTAAGAGAGATAAGCATACATAAATCTCTACCAGGAAGGTCTGATATTTGTGGTAAGAGTGGTACAAAATAAATATTTAAGCTAGAAAAGTTGGTATGATCAAGGAAGGGACTTTATGTAGGAGACTACTTCTGATCTAAGCCTTGAAACATAACAGACTTTTATTCATAATAGCCAGAGGGAATTGAAGTGGGGAATACAGACAGGGTGCGGAATGCCAAGTTTTACCTATTAAATATCAGCCATGTTTTATTTTAGTACAAAATTGAGATTTCTTTCATTGTTTTTACAATCAGATTCTGCTTCTACTTTTACTTTTGCTGAAAGGACAATATATAATGGAGTTGATAAGAAGGCAGCCTTGAAGGTTTAGTATAGGTATTCAAATCCTGCCCGTAACACTTACAGCTAAGCGACCTTTGACAGGTTATTTAAATTCTCTACATCCCAGTTTCCTTTCTTCTAAAATAAATGGTAATTGATAGTTTTATTGCATAGATTTATTATTCGAATTAAATAAAGTAATCATTGTAAAGTACTTGATACAGTACCTGGCATTTAATAAATGTCCTTTCCATGTCTGGGCCTAAGTAATATGGTGTTGGGCAAACTGTGGTTATGGTGAGGCCACTGGAGTCAGAATAGCGTAGTGCTGCCCAAAGACTGCTGTAATCTGACAGCATCAGCATCATCTGGGAGTGTTTCATTCCCAGTGCACTGGAGATGAGGCCCAGGAATCTGGGGTTTAACAAGCTTGCCAGCTTGTGCACCCTTTAAATGTTGAAATACACCGATATCACTTATTTGTTAAGAGTGTAGCTTCCATAGTCAGGCTGCCTGGGTTTGAATGTTGGCTTTGCTATTGATAGTTGTATATTCTTGGGCAATTTGCTTCATCTGTCTTGCCTCAATTCTTTACTAGCAGTCCTACTTCCCTCATTAGATGCTTGTGAGGATTAAAAGAGTTAATACACATAAAGAACTGAAAATTGCATTTGGCACATAGAGAGCCCTCAATCAGTGTTGGTTGTGCCGTGGTATTTATGATGATGAGTGTAAGTTTCCCATTGCTGCTGTTGCAAATTACTGCACATCAGTGGTTTAAAAAAATATGTATTTATTATCTTAAAGTTCTGGAGGTCAGGAGTCCAAAATGGGTCTCTCTAGGTTAAAACCAAGGTATCAACAGGGCTCCATTTTTCTCTGGAGGCTCTTAGGGACAGTCTGTTTTCTTGCCTCTTCTAGTTTCCAGAGGCTTCTGCATTGCTTGGCTCTTGTCCTGCTCCCATCTTCAAAGTCAGCAGTGGTCCAGTCTTTCTCATCTTGTTTCACTCTCACGTCATCTCTTCTGCCTCCATCCTTTCACTTTTAAGGACCCTTGCCATTACATTGGGCCCACCCATATGATCCAGGATACTCTCCCTGTTGTGAGGTCAGCCGATTAGCAACCTTAATTCCACTTTTCCACATAGCTTAGCTTATTTAAAAGTTCTAGGGTTTAGGACATAGACATTTTTGGCAGACTATTCTGTCTCCCACAGCTGCCACCTTCAAATGGATACTTAGCACAGACCAATGCGTCTCTTATAAGCTCACTTTTCCACTCTCTGTCTTTCCTTTTTCCCACTCGTTTCCATCTCTCATTTCCACCTCTCATGTATTCCCTAACCTGCGTCACTTGACATCCTTTTCCTCACAGAGTTGAGAAGACAGACATCATCAGGTGGGAACTTGCTCATACTCTATCTACCACATCTGCATGCTTACATGAAAATATTCATCATCTTAGCCTCTATTAAAATGGAGGGAATGTCTGCTTTTCTTAATCTAGCATTTCTCACCACTGCCATCCCCCTTTCCCACATCTTAAGGTTCATGTAGGTAATGTGTAAGATTTCCCATCTTACAGAGCCCTCTTCTAAACTTCTGTTTCTTCTCTGGTTTCTCCACCTTGCATTTACTCTTCAGCCCCATCTCATACCCACTTTTGTTGCCTTGTTGCTCACGCATAAACCTGGAAATCAATCTTGATAATGCCGTCTTAGCTCTCGGCCTCCAGTCTATAACAGCACTCCATCTTCCTTAAAATCTTCCCCTTATTTGCCATCACCCAAGTTCTGAGCCACCAACATTTCTTTCCTGGACTACTGCTGTAGCCTCTGAACTGTCCCCCCACTTCTATGTGTGCCTTCCTGCATTCCATCCTCCATTCCACAGCTAGAGTGATCCTCTGGAAATGAAACTGTCACATCTTGCTCCTCCTCCACATAAGCATTGAATGACTTTTTATTGCATTAGGGTAAAACTTTTTAAAAAAAGCTAATCTGGCTCCTGTCACTCTAGCTTTGTTTCTCCCTTATTCACTGTGTTCCAGCCAGTCTTACAGCTTGCCAAATGTGGCATGCACTCTTCAGCTTCAGAGCCTTCCCACATGCCTGGAATCACACCCCCACCTCCTTTTTTCCTTCCCTTACTATACCCTCAACTCTCCAGTAAGCTGCATATGGCCTCTCCCCTTGCACACATCTGTGGGACTCATTACAAAACTGAGAAAAACAGAATTTTTACAGAGTTCTTCCAGGACTAGTTAATTACCTTCAGAGATTTATTACTTGAAAAATTTATTGATCAGATTATCACTGTATAATTGGTGTGCCAGACATCAGGAGAACCTCTTTACGAATTGTGGGGAAGAAAAAAGGTGAATTTCCATCTTGCATATCTTTTTTTTTTCCTCTTCAACTTTTATTAGGTTGGTACAAAAGTACCTCAATTACTTTTGCACCAACCGAATAAGTTCTGGGGTACATGTACAGGATGTGCAGGTTTGTTACACAGGTAAATGTGTGCCATGGTGGTTTGCTGCACAGATCAACCCATCACCTAGGTGTTAAGCCCAGCACGCATTAGCTGTTCTTGCTGATGCTCTCCCCCACTTCCCACAGGCCCCAGTGTGTGTTGTTCTTCCCCATGTGTCCATGTGTTGTCATCTTGCATATTTTACTGCAGACATAGTTGTGATTATAATGGAGAGAAAATGTGAAATAATCCTTTTTCACCTCTATAGTACTTCACAAAAGTTTACAGGTACCAGTTAGAACCTGGTGCCCCCTACTATGTATATATTGTCTGGGGTATATTTGTTTCCCAAGTGTTCTTGCTAAACCCAGTTCATCAGATCCATATGTAGCTTTTCATGGATGAGAAGCGAAAGTGGTAGCATGATTATTTGGTGTATCCTGAAACATGACTTTCGTTATTTTTATAGTGACCTTAATTATCTGACACTTTATTAATATTTCTTTCTGTATCTTATGTTGCAGACTATTCAGACTATGAAGACAGTTCCCTCGAATTTTTGGAAAGGTGCTCTTCTCCACTAACTCGATCTTCTGGGAGTTCTCTGGCTTCACGAAGCATGTTTACGGAGAAAACTACAACCTATCAGTACCCAAGGGCAATTCTATCCGTTGATCTTAGTGGTGAAAGTATGTGTAACCATGTGATGGTTAAAACAAGACTTACAATTCCTAAATGTGTAACTGAGAATAAAACGTACTCTGTTAAGAGCATGCGATTTAAAAACTTGTTAGCTAAACTAATATGAAAGTCTTGATGTGAGAAATTTGAGCTACTTTTTAATTTATATAAAGTTAAATTGGCTTTATACTTATTGGTGGAAGAGAGTCATAAGGAAAATATTACTAGTGTATATACTTCTGTAGGTTTTTGCACATATATTTTTATATTCTTCACTATCAACTGACAGAGTAGGTATTATTCACATTTGATATATAAACAAGCCGAAACTTACAGGGTAAGTAGCTTTTCGGCTTAGCTAGTGTTAGAATTAAAACTCTAACCAAGGTCTGTCTTAACTCCGTAGATAATGCTTTCTTAAATAAACATTTATGGTAATCTTAAAAGTATACTTTGAATTCCTGGTCAGATACATCTGTAACCAAAGTCCTGAGATGTAGTCAGACAACTGATTTAAACACAGGCAGGAACTAAGCGCCCTTAGGTAGTCAGAAGGCCACGTCAGCAGTGAAGGGAGCACTGGAGTTCAAATCTGTTAGACTTTCCTGCAGGTCCAGTCCTGACAGTGGAAAGTGTTGAAGACTCTTACCTTGCTTCCAATATTGTAAGCAATAGGCACAGAGATCCCAGCTGTAGACATTGAGGGCTGTGGCATAAGAGTAGAGCTCTAATGCAATAGCAACCAGAGTCAGAGAGTGAGGAATAAGGGACGGGGCCTTCAGCATAAGTACAACCTAGGATCCTTGTGAGTGAGCTCACTTCCTCCCTTTTTCTTTCTTCTGACTGACCTCGATGGTGGATACTAGGTTAAATGTTTGCTTTTGCACCGTTTGCTTCCAGGTCTAAGTCCTCCCTGGCTCGTTATGGAGAAAGCATTTTCTTTCCTTTATAGCTCATGACACTTGTGAGATTTTATTTTTAGAACCTTGAGGTATGGGAGGGGATTAAAAAAGAAGTTACCACCACCCTTTTCCAGCAAATACAAGTCTACTTTTTCCCATGGTTCAGTGGTTCTTCACCCCCGGTGAACCTTACAATCATTGCTGCGGTTCTTCTAAACTATACTGATCATGGATCCTACCATGAGGCACAATTGAATGAGATTTCTGGAAGGATCCTGGCAAGATACAACTTCTAGGTGATGCTATGGAGAAGCAGAGGTTGATAATCACATTAAGAACATCCTTACTGTGAATCATCAAGATCTGAAGATTATCTCTTGCTATAGAAAGATGGAGAATAGGGGTTATATCTAGGCTAGTTGTGGTGCTGAAACAAGAACCCTTGAAAGAGCATGAAAAGAGCCATAGATGTGTACTCTCTGTTCTTAGTCTCTGCCCTGCCCTTATGATCAAGTACTAAGTCAGGAGAAAGAAAAGGAAAATTAATAAGGCCTTAGGCCAGAAATTCTCAATGTTAGCATGTGTCAGAACTGCCCAGAGAGTGTGTTAAAACACATTTCTGGGCCTCACCCTCAGAATTTCTGAGTTCCAGCAAGTTCCCCGGTGATGATAAATGTTGCTGATCAGGAAACCACACTTGCAAAATGCTGTCTCAGGAAATAGCAATGACAATTTAAGGGGTAGTTGCTGGAAGGCAACAGCTGTTCTTGTGGCCACTCAGTTGGAGCCATTGTCTAGGTGGCTATTCAAGCGTAAGGGGGAACTTTTATTTGCTTCTTACATAACTTTCAGCTCTGTCATCCATTTTACTCAACTTCCAAAACTCAGCTAAGCATAAGTTTAATGCTTGGGAGTTATTCAAACTAGATTTGTGGAGAATATGATAAATTTGCTTGCTAACACCATAAAACTGGTAATCTTTGCCATGCAAGTATATGTGAGATACACTAATTCCTTTCAATGATATAATTTCAAATTAATTTTTATTTATTTATTTATTGAGGCAAGATCTTGCTCTGTTGCCTAGGCTGAAATACTGGTGTGATCGTAGTTCATTGCAGCCTCAAACTCCTTGGCTCAAGCAATCCTCTTGCCTCAGCCTCCTGAGTAGCTAAGACTACCAGCACAGGTCATCATGCCTAGCAAATTATTTTTGCTTTTGTAGAGATGAGGGCTTGCTTTGTTGTACAGGCTGGTTTCAAACTCCTAACTTAAAGTGATCCTCTCACCACGGCCTCCCAAAGTGCTGGGACTAGAGGTGTGAGCCGCTGTGCCCGGCCCATTTAATACTGTTTATATGCTGCAACAGTGTTTGAAACTGTTTTACCCACATTCCAATGAACTTGAGAAAGCCCAAAAGAAAATTTGGATTTAAGCCAGCAAGATTATGGATGGGTGAAATTTTCCTCTTTAGGTTCTTTTAAAACAAGTTATACTGTTCATACTAGATTTTCCATATCTAGTTGATTTACTAGCTCCATGAATATTTTCAGATATTTCTTTATTATCTATTTCTGCTGACCTTCCTTCCGTATGTCCCTGTGACTTCAAAGAGAAGAAAACTTTATTTTTCTATAAAACATTAATCAACAACAAAACATTCAAAAACATTGAATGAAGAAAAAAGTAAGCAAGATTAGAAGCTGATAGAGGAAACACTAAATCATGTGAAAAATGTAGAGTATAAATAGCGTGAATTTTTAAAGTTCAAATCTGTTCAACTTCGGTCCCATCTGATTAAGTCTGAAAAGAAAATATTCTCTCTCTGACTCTCTCCTTAGTTCTTCTACAAACATTCTGGAGTGGCTATATTATATATCAGGCCTCATTCTAATAACTGGGGATGTAGCATTCAACAATGCAAAGTTCTTGCTGTCATGGATTCTGATATTCTAGTAAGAGAAGACAGATGATAAGCAAGTGAAGAGATAACTCAGAATGTGGCTAGGGGATAGGATGTGAGGTAGGAAGGTGCTCTGCTGATTAGCCTCTGTCAGGAGCTCACACAGCATTATACGATGTTCTGTTTCTCATGATGACTCAGTTTTCCTAACATTTCTCCATCCAAACTACTGCAAAAATTTTAGTGTTCCATCATCATTTACTTTCCATTGTTATAAATAAAGATTCCCCCGTGTCTGTCTCAATTTTCTTTTCCTCAGTAACCTGAGCAAAATGGTAGGCTTTGGCATTGTCACTATTATACACACACGCCTAAAACCTGACATGTAAATTGAGTTGTATGTAGTAGTCATCCATATAGTCTTGTTTCTAGGATATGCTTAATCTAAAAATATATTTTTACCAAGACGAAATTAATACATTTTAAAAATCCCTTGGGGAACTCACGGTTCCGGTTTTAAGAAATACTGGTAAAGTCATTAAGAACACAGGCTTGAGAATCAGGCATTCCTGGTATTCAGTTGGTTTTCCCACTCCATGGCTGCGTTTCTCAAGCAAGTTATATATCCTGTGTTTAAAGTGCTTAATATAGCACTGTGTGCTTACTAAGTGCTATAGTAGTTGATGCTGCTGATACTGTCAATAATGCTATTGTTGATTTTAGACCCTAGGCAAGCTCCTTTACCTCTCTGAAGTTGTTTATAGTATGAATAATAAAACCCGTCCTCTTTACAATTCAGAGTTTTTTTTTTTAAGTGATTTTTCAAAAAGCACTTTATTAATCCAAAAAAGAAAGAAGAAAAAGAATGAAGAATCAGTGGTGTGCTAGAGCCAGCTTGTGCTGGCTAATGGGGGCTTACTACACACACCTGTCCCCAGGTCCACGGACAGTGGTGTCACACTGATACTATGAAATCACAAGGGGACAACACAGGGTTTTTATGAGGGTCAGAAGGGATAATGTTTGTGAAAGTGTATGGAAACTGTGCAAATTTATTGACATCAGCCTTAGCCATAAATTCTGTAAGCATGAAGTCTAAAAGACACTTTGAGTTACTTATAATAGTGTATACTATAAGATATAAAGCAGTCATAATTACCTAAGCTTCAAAAATCTTTTGTTTCCATGTCCAGAGACAAGTACAGTACAGTATTCTTATTTGTTTGCTCCCCCTTTTTAAAATGTTTAATAGCTTATGTTCACTTCTCATAGCTCCTTTCTTTATGAAAAATAACATGAAAATAGAAAAGTTGTTCTAAGTATACTTTTTGTATATATTCTAGACTTATCAGATGTAGACTTCCTAGATGATTCTTCAACGGAGAGTTTGCTTCTGAGTGGGGATGAATACAATCAGGACTTTGATTCAACCAATTTTGAGGAATCTCAGGATGAGGATGATGCTCTTAATGAAATTGTGCGATGTATTTGTGAGATGGATGAGGAGAATGGCTTCATGATCCAGGTAATTGGTTAACCTCTCTTCCCTATAATGAGTTAGTTGTTTCAGGTGCTCAGCAAATGCATCACGGTGTTTTATTTCTTTACTGACTGTACTACTGAAGATAGTGGTTTCTAACTTACTGTGTGGAAAATACCCATAGTAATGATTAGGAGATTTCCTCATTAAGTAAAGTAGACAATGTTCTTATTTTAGCATCTCTCTTCCTTTTCTAGGGTATGTAGTTCAGTGCCTTCAAACTGAAACTCTTTAGAGTGATTAGGGTGGTAAACCCTCACACGAAAGGGCAGGCTACAGCAACCTTTCTCTTCCTCATCTGCATTCATGTGAATTATTATAATAATAATTTATAGTCACCCTTCACTTGTCAGTGATTAAAACATAAAAATGTCCAGTATTCTTAAAGGAAAAATTTTGTTGCAGGAGTTAACAACTTCTTCTTGTAGGAAAGATATCTTTAAGATAAAAGGAAAGCATAACCCAAATTTTGTGATGCCAGAAGATTTGGAGATGTTAGTTGAGAGCATGAAGAAAGAGTAATCTTTTTTCCTCCCATTTTTCTGTGGTTTTATGGAGGGAACTATGAATTTATAACTTCACCACAGAAGTAGTACTTTAAGAGATCATTGGTATAGACACTGCTACCAACTTTTTTTTCCCCTAATTTCCGCATTTTAATAAACTATTTTAAGAGTTTTATGATATGATTGCCTAAATATCAGTGAGAATTAAATTAGAGAAATTATGACTTAAGTACTTGATCAAAGCATATTCTAATAGGTGCAACAAAAGAAAGTTCGTGAAGTAGTTGACCATTTCAAAGATAAAATTCATCTTAAGTCATGGCTTGATTTTGTTGTGTCAAATAAGTATGAAACTGATAGTGGCAGTAAGAAGCCAAGCCAGCCAATTCAAAGAAAGGGCATGTATCCTTATTCCTAGCTTATTCCTAGTGAGGATCGGGTGACTGTAATACTCCTCTGTTTTCTGCAGTGTGAAGAGTGCTTGTGTTGGCAACACAGCGTGTGCATGGGGCTGCTGGAGGAGAGCATTCCAGAGCAGTACATCTGCTATATCTGCCGGGACCCACCAGGTAAGGCTTTCTGTGCCGTGCTGATTGCCAGGATGCCTCTATGTCTCCTCCAGGATTCCAGAGTGTATCAGCTGTGTTCACCACCACTACAGCAAGTTCTCACATGATGTCATTGATAGGTTCTTGGAAACTGTGACTCCAAATGAAACAGCATGCTATATGCCATAGGAACTTAACTTGTATGTATCAATTAGCTTATAGTACAATTCATTTCATTATTCAGTGTGCCAGTTTCCAAGAACCTATTGATTACCCTTAGTGAGGACTCACTGTACTTCTTGGTCAATTAGACTCAACTTCCGTATTAAAATTTTAAAATATTTTTTCACTGTTACATTTTTATTTTCCACATTGATTACTTAGACAAATACATTAGCATATATTTATCAACAAAATTACTATCCTACTGGAAGGGAAGAGGTGTGACTTTTTCCTGGAGAAGAATTAATTAGCCTCTGTTCCTCTGTATCCATTTCTAGCTAGGCTTATTTGTGGCAATCGGAGTAGATCTGCATTATGAACTTGCATGCTACTGACCTGGCAGTTCTGCATATTCGACTCATTGTAGAGCAGGTGGGGTCTTAGAACACTACCTGTGATGCCTTTATTTTACTGATGAGGCAGACTGAGATGAAATCTATGCCTTTTGACTCTCAATCCACCATGCTGTCTACTTGGTGCCTTCTTCTATGCTAGAGGATCTTCAGATAGCATATTCTGCATATTGAATTTAACTTCAGCCTCCAGGCAGGAAATAACTAGGTTTTCTCAAATAATAGGCATGTGGTGAATTGGTCCCATGACTATTGGAAAAAAAGAAAAAAGTCACAATAAGTCACAAAAAAGTCACAGTAAGAAGCAAGAGAATTAATTATTCACAGCCATATGAATGTAGACATTTGTTCATTCACCAACATTTATAGTGTTCATTATTCATTGTATTTATTCAATAACAAATGTAGACATTTGTTATTTATTCAGAAGCATTTACTGGATGGCTTCTATTTGCCACTGTGGTGAGATGATTGATTTAAACCATGCCTTCAACTGGCTAGTAGTATAGTATGGGACACAGGCAATAAACACCTGGTTGTAATAGGATCTAATTTATATTAACATGAAGGATATGGAATTTCATAGGATTCTGTGAAATCACAGACATGGGGGAAGGGTTCCTATTCACTCAGCTAGAACTCTATGGTTCATCCAGTTCAAAACAAAGGTTAGTGAGAGAAATAACCCCTGTCTAGTTTTTATCCAGCCCTTTGAGCCTTTTTAGAGGACAGATGATGACTACAAAACATTGAAAGCAGTACACTCAAGGTTCCCTTTGCAAGTGTCATCTGCCACTGACCATGTCCTTAATGGTGTTTCTTCTCCTGGGTGGGCAGGAACGCTGAAGGTGTGGAGGAGCTCTTCCTGCACCAGTTCCTCAGAACGCTGTCTTACTCTTTTTGAATCTGCTCCTAGTGCTAGAGCTTGCCTTGCTTAATGAGCAACGTTAGTAGGTTAGCAGTTGATGAAAAATCCGAGTAAGTGCAGTCCTCTGTGATTTAATATCAACTTCATCTGCAGGTCAGAGGTGGAGTGCAAAATATCGTTATGATAAGGAGTGGTTGAATAATGGGAGAATGTGCGGGTTATCATTTTTCAAAGAAAATTATTCTCATCTCAATGCCAAAAAGATAGTTTCTACACATCACCTGCTTGCTGATGTCTATGGTGTTACAGAAGTGCTACACGGGCTACAGCTGAAGATTGGAATACTAAAGTAAGTGAAGGGCAGCAAAGGGAGGGTCACACTTCAGTGGACGTTTTAATTCAAACCAACACTGTTGGCCTTTTGATGGTCCAGAGTAACAGTTTGGAGGAGAGAACAGGTATTTGAATAAAGTTTCATTTTTAAAAATAAGGAAAGATTAACAACCTTTTGGATGCGTTGGTGCTTCCTGTCTATTCTAGAATGTGTAAGTGTGGTTAAAGGTAGATACGGCATCTAGTATTTCAACACATTTTAGCTCCTGTCCCACTGTTTTGTATGCTTACCGTATGTGCAAAATTAAGTGCAGTTGCTGTGGTGAACCCTATACGTTGTGTCCTCCTTCAGGAATGCTATCAAATGAAATAGATTCTAAGCAGGGTGAGTATTTTTTTTTATAAAGATTGATTTAAAGGTGATGAAGGGAGCCTACAAACCGAATTCACTTCTCTGCTGTGCACCAAATATGTTAGTCATCCCATACAATTTTCTCTTAAACAAGTCTTTAAAGAACGTATCAGAATATTCTTGAAGTCCTTATTTCCAGTCCTTCCTAATGCCTGACTGGAATTCTTCTTTAAAAGAACAAACAAACAAAAACCCACATTTTAGGTAAAAACAGGATGATTCACTGGTTCTTCACAAGATTTTCTTCATTTGGATGCACTTGCCTCGGCCAGACACTTGTCCCATCCTCTCCTTCCCTTCCCATCCTTGTGTCTTTCACATCCTATCCATTGCAATTTGTGGACATTGTTCAGTCTGTTCCTCTCTCACTTCTCACTGGTACTGTCTCAGCCAGGTTGTTACATTTCACATGAACGATTGCCATGCTTGTCCATTCTCTGTGGGTCCAGCCTTGTACTCTATCAGTTCATTCTTTGTACTGCTGCCAGTGTAAGCTTAGTAAAAGATAAATATCAGCTTGTCTTTCTCCAACTTAATGTACTAGAGCATCTTCCTGTTGCCCAATGGACTGAGTCCTTCCATGACACATACTCTGTCTACCATTTTTTGTTGCCACATAATCCCTGTGCTTTTTCCCCCAAACATCCCAGCTATCCCAAACCATAATCCCTAAATGAAGCAAGCTTTTCCATCGCTCTAGGCCTTTACTCACACCCAGGATAAGCTTCTACCACTAGTGCCCCTAGCAGATGCCTTTCATAATTACCTGCCCAACTAGAGTTGACCATGTTCTTCTTGGCAAACTCCACGCATACTTGTGTCAGCCACTTTGGTATGCTTAATTTTTTTATGCTTGTCTCCCCTTACTAAGTCATGGGATCCTTTAAAATAGGGCTTGTGTCCTATTCATCATTTTGTCTCTAATTGATAGTGTAGGGTAAGTACTCAGTAACTATTTGTTGAATAAAATTTGCTTCAGTTTTTTATCATAAGCCTGAATATGAATTTGTTTTTTAAAAGGCCATGTAAGTGCTAAGACTTAAGGGAGGGAATAATTTATTAGGTCTTTTTTTAAAACCTTATTTCCTTCTTGGTATCAGTATGAGTTTCTCTGCATTCATAATTTTGCCAAGGATTTTAATTGGCCCTTTCTGTTTCATATACTTATAGGCCCTCTTTATGTTAATATTTTAAATCATAATATCTGTTAGTATGTACGATTTATTGAAAGTCCTACACGTCATGTGCTTTCATGTGATATTTCATTTAATCCTTATCATAAGCTACCTCATTTCATTGTTGGGTAGTGAAAGAGATTTTGTAACTTGTTCAGGCTTCTCTATGGCACAGCAGAATTCAACCCCTTGGACTATTGGACTGCAGTGCCAGCTTTTCTTCTACTATGCCTTTTACTGATTGAGTGTTTTAGTATTTTCTGAATATTAAACTACTAGGGATTCAAATGATAAAATTTATAATTTCAGAAACAATACTTGAGTATTATTGGAAGAGAACTAATTTGACTCAGTATGTATCTAATTTGGAAATTATTAATATGCAAACATTATTGAGCCTTTTGAAAGGTTTATATCTCCCGAATGCCCTTTCACTTCAGCTCTGATGATTGGATTCCTGTTTTACTTACTGCAGAATTAACTGTACAATATCATGCTTACATGTTCAGTGAGGATGAAGTAAATGGGCATTATCAAAGATTGTTGATGGGGTTGTAATTAGTATAATCCCTTTTGAGGTCACTTGGGTAGTACCTATCAAAATAAATGTGCATGTTATCCAGCAATCCCATATCTAGAAATTTATCTGACTGAAATATTCTGACTTGTGTGCAAAGACACACACAGGTACACAAACATATAATGGTAGGGAATTGGTTGGCTCGACTGGTACATTTGTAACTCTTCAGCCCTAGAGTAAAAGTAAGGGAAATCTATCTGTATGACATGATATGGCAAGATGCCCCTAGCATGTTACGTACAAAAAGGCAGATTGTATGTGTCCTGGATGTGTCACAAGAAGATGTGTATACTTATCCATTTAAGAACTAATTTTAGGTATACAGAAAAAGTCTGGAAGATTATACCTCAGTTATTTATGTTTGCCATGGGAGAGGAAATTTTTACTTTCTGTGCATTTATATTTAGGATTTTTGTCATCAGGAGTTATCACTTTTTGACTGAATAAAAGTTTTTAAAATATGCTCACATTAAAGTTTTTCAAATTTTACAATGAAAATGACAATGACAAATCAGTAGAAAAAGAAATGCATGTATCAAATGATGATGTGAACTATCAACACAATTAAATTTGTTATTGCTTTTCTGAGTATTATTTCTTTAATTGAGAAGATTCAAATTTTGGATGAAATCATGGAGGGAGTTAATTTAAAGATTACCTTTGCTTTTGTCTTGAGTCCTAGATGTCCTCCTAACCTAATTCTGAAATAGATCATTGTATTCAGCTTGTTAATAGATTTTTTTTTTTTTCTGAACTGCTGTTTTTCCAACTTTGTTTTAAGGAATAAACATCATCCTGACCTTCATCTCTGGGCTTGTTCCGGGAAGCGAAAAGACCAAGATCAAATAATAGCTGGGGTGGAGAAAAAAATAGCTCAAGACACAGTTAATCGAGAAGAAAAGAAATATGTACAGAACCATAAAGAACCACCTCGTTTGCCCCTAAAAATGGAAGGAACTTATATAACAAGTGAGCATAGCTATCAAAAGCCACAAAGTTTTGGTCAGGACTGTAAATCTCTCGCAGACCCTGGGAGCTCAGATGATGATGATGTTAGTAGTTTGGAAGAAGAACAAGAATTCCACATGAGAAGTAAAAACAGTTTACAGTACTCAGCAAAAGAACATGGAATGCCTGAAAAGGTAAAACTAGTTCATTTTTCTTTGCTTGGAAACTATGAGAGAAGAACAAAGGAAAATTTTATAAAATAAGGCATACTGAATTCCCAGATTTTAGTTGTATTTCCAAGTTCCCCAGTACCTTGTTAAAGTAAGGAGATTTTTTTGTTTTCTCTACAGGAAAACACTGGCCATTTGAACATTTGATTATCTCCTAATTCAGAATTGTAGTAATTCAATAAACTGTTACTCTAACAAAAGTTTCAATTGTATAAGTACATTTCGATGCTTCTAAAAAATGAACCACATTGTATTCAAAACGAAAATGTCAGTGTGTAAGAATGTGAAAGTACATATGGGTGTAATGATTTGTCTTCCTCTTTATGTGAGTTAGATAAAAGGTGGCACTCTAATTGTCTGTTTAAAAAATTTTAGCATGTTTGTCAATGCATCCCACTATTCAGTAAGGTGAATTCTGACAGATCTATGTGCATTGGACATCTATAAACTTATTTCCTGTTCACTGGGATTATCTTAGAAATGTACCTTTATTTTTTACTGATTTTCAATTAATGAGGCCACTTTAAAATTAGATGTTTTTTTTCTGCATTCCTTAACAAGTAATTACCATAAATAAGTACTTAAGTGAATTGGAACGTTTGTATTTCGTATCATAAAGTTTGTGGTAAGTTATTTTGTTTAATTAATATCCCATGTGCAAAATGAGTTATCTCTGGCAAATCCAAACGCACATTGTGTGTGTGTGTGTGTGTGTGTGTGTGTGTGTGAAGCAGTTTGTACTTTTGAAACTTGTAAAAGGTTTTTGCCTTTCCCTCCCTTCATTGATTTACTGTACTATAACAGTAAAGTCCAGTCTGTAGTTAATTAGATTTTATACTGGTCTTTGGAAACGCTCTTGATTTCTTTTCATCATTGCTTTCCACTCTTATGTCCACTTATATCACCAGCTGAGATTAATTGAGGAAGAGGCCAGTCTAAATTAATCAGGAATTCTAATTACACAATAGAATTAGTGACTTCATTTATTTAGCGCATTTTATTGAAGCCTTCTTGCCTGTGTAGCACCATGCGAGGCATAGTGGAGGGAGGTGGTGGGTGCATCAGCTCTTAAGAACCACCAGCTGGAATTTGGTTATGTAGCAGTACTTCTTTAAAGATACCCCTGGAGTCAGATTGGATCTCACTAACTGTTACCAGTGATGAGGTGTTTCCTGTATCCTTAACTCAATGACTGCATTTCATCCCGTTCTTTGTGTTTATTTTCCAATGGTCCTTTGGAGAAGAATCCAGCTGAAGGGAATACAGTATTTGTTTATAATGATAAAAAGGGCACCGAAGACCCAGGAGACTCACATCTTCAGTGGCAGCTCAATCTCCTTACACACATAGAAAATGTGCAGAACGAAGTTACCAGCAGGATGGACCTAATAGAAAAAGAAGTCGATGGTAATTTAAGAAAGAACTAAAATACAGTTACTATAGTGAATTTATTGTTACTATGAAGAAGTTACTTAAAATTCTTAAATTATGGGATGAAAACTGCAGATACTCTCCATACCGATGGGGCTTTATTACTCCCTTTGTATTGTATTTAACACATTTGGGATCTTTTACGCTTAAAACAATGTGACCGGGTATGACCTTAGGTTGTTTTTACTTTTTTAAGGTGGATATTTATTAAATACTGTCTATTTGCCAGGCTCCAGATAGATCACTTATGGAATAAATTGATTAGTTTCATTGAACTAAGCTTTCTTTGGAAGTCAACATAAGGAATTTAAGCATGTTTGAAATGTGAAAACATTTTGAATATTTTTTACTTTGGTTAGCACTTGTTAAATTAACAAAAACTTCTACAAAGTTAAGTAGGTAAACCTTAAGTGGTTTTCTTTTATATTTTAAAATTGTGTCATCACACAGGAGGCCTGAAAAGTGGGCAAGAAAGATACTATCACTACTTTATAGTTGAGAAACTAGAGTAACTTAGACTACCTGATTCTCAGTCCATGTTGTTCTTAATGCTTTCTGACTCCTGTTTCTTCCTAACATCATAGACGATATTCTGCACCCCAACTTTACTTTTTTTAATTTGGCATAAGCACGTGATACCTCTCCTCTACACTAAGTTAGAGCTCCTACTCCTTTTTTTCCCCCTTGAGAGAAGAAGAGAGAAAATGGAAACCCATTTTAGAAGCCTCTTCCATCTGGGTATAAGCTAACTGTAGAGTTAATGTGATGTTTTGAGTCCATGTTTGAAGAAAAGAAAATGCATCTTGATACTATTTCATATTATTAGGGTAGATTTCCAAAGGAAACATTAATAAAAACTATAGAATATAATCAATTGCATTCTGCCTACAATTTTAATACGCTTGCATGTCTTTTAAAAAGTAGTGTTAAAATAGTGGAACTGAAAAGAACACTGAGAAATTGCTACTTCCTTTTCTTTGTTAAGAAGAGCTTCTGGATTAAAAAATATGATTAGGTATGTTTTATGTAGAGATGACGAGTCTAAATTAATAGAAAGCTTGAGCAAACATAGGGAACTGTTGTTATCTTATTCCAGAAGTGAGTAAAAGGAGACCTTCAAAATGAAGTTAGTGTGTGTATATGTTTATGTGTGTGTGTATATGTATTTTCCCCCTTATATATAAAAATACATAATTCCTATATATATAAAGGGGAAAATTATCTTAAATGACAGATAAAAATTGCCAAGAGGGACTAGAACTCTGTGGGGTGGGATGACAGGACGCTAACCTCTCGGAAATGTCTTGAGTATGTTGGCCTTCTAAAGATGGGGAAGTGAACCCTTAACTCCATCACAGCTCCAACTTTCTGATTGTTTCATTTTCTGACTGTTCTTCCAGTTGCAGTTTAAATTTGTTTATCTTCTTCTCTCTTTTAGTTCTGGAAAGCTGGCTTGATTTCACAGGGGAGTTGGAGCCACCAGATCCTCTTGCAAGATTGCCCCAACTTAAACGCCACATAAAACAGCTCCTAATTGACATGGGCAAAGTACAGCAGATAGCAACTCTTTGCTCTGTATGACAACAGTGAACACTTAATGAAAGAATGTGGCTTTCTTCAGTCAAAGCATTTTTATTATCCACGTGATGGCTAAGTGGATAATTTAAAAGCTTAGTAATGTCTGGTCATTCACTGATTTGTGATGTCAATAGGATGGCACCTTGGAAAGAAAAATGAAGAACAACTTTATCAAGGAAGCTAGTATTTAAAAACAAATTCATGAGCAAGCTGCAAATGAGAATGTGTTATATGCCAAGGAACAATGAAGTAGAATATAATGTATACTAAGGGATTTCAAGTTCTCAGAATTTTTGAGTAGTTGCTTACGTGAAGCTCAAGATACCTGTAGAAAGAAATATGGTATATTTGTATAGTTTTTAATAGAAAGATCTATGTTTATAAACCAGCACTTGGCCAAAAACAAAATTGTAAAGGAAATTTAAATTCTGGAGAATTCTACAGGGTTGCTCTAAGAACTGTCTTCTCAGCAGTTGATCCAGCTGTACGGAAATTTAGGGTATTTAAACTTTTAAAGGATCATGAGCTGTTTCTTGGGCGATGAATGTTCTCAATCAGAAAACTGACAGTAGAAATCTCACTTCTGGGGAAAACAGTTGTGGAATTCTTACTTCATTATGAATGTATTTAAAAAACAAACACCAAATAATTGGAATATATTGCAGGCATTAAGCTCATTAAAAACAAACTGGCTTGCAGAAGGGTCCGATGTGCCAAGTGATCATGATTCTGCTGGAAAGAGGATTTTAAATATTGTGGGAGTTCTCCCACCCTAAGTCTTACATAATGCCACCAGTCCATCCAAAACCTATATATCACCTATACTATATATATCATATATATAGTTGAATGGCAGTATTCAGGCTCAACGTACAGTTTGATCCTGAGTATGCTTGGTGTTTGCCTTCAGAAAAAAAAAAATACATTGTAAATAACCTCAGCTGGGATGAGGAGTGACAGAATATCAAAATAATTTGTGGCTGTGGATTTTTTTAACTGCTAGTAGTGGAATACTGGAAAAGCTTCATTTCTGAAGATGAATTTTATTTTTAAAAAATACATGCACACTCAAAACTTTTAGCTTTGATCACAAGTGGACAAATTTCTGAAACCAAAGGCAACTAAGTTGCTGTGTTAGCTCTTGCTGGATTTTGAGCCTAGGTCCTACTGTCTGCCAGTACTCATGTGAGTTGTATGTGCCCCCAGTGCTACATACGCAGGTATGCGTAAGTGTGTATGCTTGTTTTAAACAAACACTCAACGTACATATGTACATAATCTACACATATTTATATCACATATCTAGTTTTATTACTATAGACTATACGAATTGGTGGTTAACATGAAATGTTACCTTTTAACAGACTGTTTTTAAAAATTAAAAATGTATGTATAGGTTTTGAAATTTTTTTAAAAGGGGAGAAAGACTGTTAAGAGGAGGCTATTTGATGACATAACACTTGAATATTTTATGCCTCATTCTGTTTATCAGTTCTCGCAATCTGTATAAATGCATTTTAGAACTGATAGACAGTAAACTTGAATTTATCTTTGATAAGAATACATGCCACTGTACATTCAGATATTATTTAAATTTGCAAACACATTGTTCTATATGTAAGGGTACTGTATGTAAAACTCTGTATTAAAACTATTCCACATATCCTAAAATTTCAGCTTGCCTTTTTGCGGCCTTATATTTTGATGTAAAGATTAAAAGAATGTGCAAAACAGTCAGAAATTTTTATTGCCTTTTGAGATTCTCCAACTTGACAAATGTGCCAAAGATCAACAGACAGAAAATATCATCCTGTGTATTTACTTGTCATACTTTAACTTTGTGAAAGATCTTACTGATAAATGAAAAGCTTTAGCAGAGGTGGTATTGTGGGGTAATTGCTTAAATTTACATATCAAAGTAAAAAAGTAGTGCCTGTATTCCATGTGTGGAGTAAATTTGCTAATGTCTATATTTTATGATTGATACTATTATTTTTCCTTTGCATTTTAAAATAGTGGCTCTAATATTTTCCCTGTCATGGCTACATTCTAGACATTGAATTTATATCTTCTTTTTTTCAGATACGGAGCAAATAGCATCCTTAACCTATGAATAATGGTGTTGCCTAGATTCTTGTCACACACACAGAAGACCCTTTGTACCTAGTAACATTCATCCTCTTGATTCCTGGTGAACACGGTTAAATTCATGCACATTTGTTCTTGTAGTTTCTAAAAATTAGATCAATTTATTTGTTAGCCAGCAAATTGAAAATTCCATTATTAGATTAATGAAATTTTTGCTCTGCTTATATGTATACGAACTGGAAATCTGAATTTTTAAATTTAGATCTTTAAATCAAATTATTTTTATGCATATTTTCATTTAATATAGAGTATACCAATCGATTGAAGCCTTTCACAAGTAGTGCGCTGAGCTTTTCTTATTGAAGAGAGTGAATTAGTTTCTGAGAAGTCAGTCTATTGTGAAAAGTTTCAGATGAGATTATTTTCTTTTAGTCTTTTTAAATATCACTATATGTATTTAAATAGAAGCAATAAACTAGAGAGAGTGTTTCTTGAAAAGACAATGTTTTATTTGCCACCAGGCAGAACAGAATGAGCATTGGTAGAGAAGGCTCCCTCTTGGTATGTTACTGATAAACTTGTACTTCCTCATACTTGTTTGTGGTTCTACTGACTTATTTCCAAACTTAAGAGTAATGTACTTCGAAAACAACTTGGTTATTCTTTAAATTTCAGGTAAAACCCCTTTTCCTAACACTCATCTTATTTCCACTGTCTTATTTCCTCTCAGATGTTCATATTTCACATGTTCAAAATGAAGCGTACTATTTCCCCTCCAATAAACGAAGTCTCCTGCCAACTTCACTGTCTCTGTTAATAACGTTACCCTAAGAGTTCAGGCTTCAAACACCGAGTCCTCCCTCATATCCATATCATTAAAACAGATAATATTGTCTTCTTACTTCTGAATCCTACTGAAGGTCCAACATTTTTTATAAAATAATGTCATGAAGATACTACCACTGGCCTCTGAAACTGTAACTTTGCCTTTATTCTAATTCATCACAATTGTCACTGCCACACTGTTCCATCCATTGCACATGTTCCATGCATTGTACATGTTACCTGCAGTATCTAATTTGTTCATAAAATAAGGTAAAATGATCATTTTCTAGATGAGGCTGAGGGATAGAGACATTTAGAAACTTATCCTGGATAAGACATAAGGGGGCAGGTTCAGGATTCAAATCCTGTGCTATTCAAGTTCATAGTCTTTCCAGCATATGTGCTTCAACTATTCTTGTCATTTCAGTTTTCTGCTCTGGAATGTCTAGTGACTCCCTGTTTCAAACCATGTCAGGTCTTTGTAATCTGGATCTTTTGCAATTTACATAATCCTCAGTTATTTAAATGTAGCCTTACTGTTAAATGGACTACACTTGTTTTCCTCTATTACCTTTGTATTGTTTTCCTCTTCTGGAAAATTCTCCACTGTTTATTGTCCCTCTGTAAACCCAGACAATCCTTCAAACTTCATTTCTCTTCCTATGAGAAGTAATCCATTACTGAAAGCCTTTCATGGTATCCTGCATTGTACCAACATATGGAGGAACTACATCAGTGATTAATAATATAGTGGAACAGGCATGAACTCTGCAGTCTTGGACTCAAATTTTCACTCTGGCAATTTACTAGCAGTGTGATCTTTTGGAACTTCACTATCCTTGTCTGTAAAATGGGAATAATGCCCAGCTTAGAGCCTTGTTTTGAGAATTAAGTAAAGCAAATAAAGTACCTAGAAACTGTTACTAAATAAATAGAAATTTCATTAGACATTAGGGTTGTCCATGTGCCAGCTATTAAGCTTAGAGGCTGGGGATGGATATGGAATTAATAAGATCACAGCCTATAGACTAATGGAAACATAAAAATATTTTTCAACAAGATAGGTGCTATCAGAGAGTACAAGGAGATGAAAGATAATTAGACTTGTAGGTGGAGGGGTTTTTGGGAAATAGATGATGAATGTTAATTAAAACAGTGGTCTTCTCATGTCTTTTGACTGTGAGTGGCCTCTCTAAAGCATTTCACTCCTGGTACACCTGTCTTTGGGTACTCCTGAAAGTAGCGCAAGAGATAAGACTTGACTGTATTTAGTTTATTCAGGAAATGTTCCAAGGAATTGAAATGAGGGAGAAACAAAGGTGTGGGAGGGGAGGGAAAAAGCTAATATGAATATGCATAATTGAAGACACTGCCATGAGCAATGGGGTTTCGATTCTTCCATTTGAAGTTGTTCATAAATTTATTGCAAAGGATGATTTCCAATTTGCAAATATTGACATATTCAAATAAACCAGTTACATTATTTTTAAATGTATACAATAGAATCAGAGTACAGTTTTGTTCCTTACCAACATGTTTTTAAAATACATGAGCAATCTTTAACATTTAGAAATTTTACATATGTTTATATTCTCCCTTCTGCCTTTCCACATTACTTACTAACAGAATATTCTTTTCTGTAATTATAGGTCTTTATCACCCTCTCATACTTTTGTCCACAAAAAATGGTGCATTGCAATTTTAAAAAGCATCAAAATACACACTGCAAACACTAATATCACTGAATAAATAGAAAAATTTACAATTGTAGTTGAACATTGCACCCCTCCTAATTTAGCACTAATTGACAGAACAAGTAGACAAAGTCAAGATATATTAATAGAAGACTTAAGCAAAAGTGATCACCCAAAATGACTTAAAATGGACATTTATGGAACATTCTGTCCAATAACACAAGAACATACATTTTATTTTTAAGTGTACATGGAACACTAAAGATGATAGACTATATACTACGCCATAGAGCAATATGTCTCAATAAAGGTAGATATAAAACAGTCTCAATAAATGTAAAATAACTGAAATCATGCACAATATGCTCTCTGACCACAACTGAATTAAATTGGAAATCAATACCAGGAAGATAATCTGGAAAAGTTCCCAAATGTTAGAGAATTAAACAGTGTACTTTTAAATAACCCATGAGCCCAAGAAAAAAAATGTTACAGGTAAGATTAGAAAATATTTTAAATAGAATGAAAATGAAAACAACATGCTAAAATTTGTGGGATACACCTCAATCGATGTTAGAAATTATAGCTTTGCTTATATTTATAAAAGTACAAAATCACTGATAAAAGATTTCACCTTAGGAAACCAGAAGATAAAGAGCAAATTAAAGCCAAATAAGCATAATAGCAAGGCAATAATAATAGTGCTGGAACCAATGAAATACTAAATGAACAAAATACAGATATAGATAGAAAGCTGGTTCTTGGAACAGAACAAAAATTGACACTCTTGGAGATTGATAAATAATTAGAATGGAGGAGGGGGACATTATTGTGGATCCAACAGTTTTTTAAAACACAGTGAATACATTTCCATAAATTTGAGGCTTAGCTGAAATGGGAAAATCCCTCAAAGGACACAAATTACCAAAAAACAAATGAAGAAGTAGAATTTATAATTAAAAATCTAGGCTGAGCACAGTGACTCATGCCTGTAATCTCAGCAATTTGGGAGGCCAAAACAAAAGGATCACTTGAGCCCAGGGATTCCAGACCAGCCTGGGCAACATAACAACACCCTGTCTCTACAAAAAGTAAAATAATAATAATAAACAATTGCTAGGTGTAGCGGCACCTGCCTGTAGTCCTAGCTACTCAAGAGGCTGAGGTGGGAGGATTGCTTTGAGCCCAGGTGGTTGAGGCTGCAGTGAGTGGTGATTGTGCCACTGCACTCCAGCCTGGGTGACAGGTCAAGGCCCTCTCTCAAAACAATAGAAAAAACCTTCAGGTCTAAATATGAATTCTATTATAACATTTAAGGAAAATGTATTCTCGGTTTTATGTCAACACTGGCAGAAAGTACAAAAAAGCATTTAGTATCTTATGTCCTGAGATGAACTTTGACCTCGTGCCAAAACCAGAAAAAAAAAAGATATTGGAAGATCAATGCATATTCCTCCTGAATGTAGATAAAAAATCCTCAGCAAAATATTAGCAAACCAAACCCAGCAATATAAAGGATAATACATCAAGATCAGGTTGAGTATTTTCCTAGGAATATGAAGTTGGCTTAATAATAAAAAATCAATGTAATAAAATAGGTCAATAAAAGAATACAAACTATGGCCAGGCGCGGTGGCTCACGCCTGTAATCCCAGCACTTTGGGAGGCCGAGGTGGGCAGATCACAAGGTCAGGAGATCGAGACCATCCTGGTTAACACGGTGAAGCCCCGTCTCTACTAAAAAATACAAAAACATTAGCTGGCGTGGTGGCGGGTGCCTGTAGTCCCAGCTACTCGGGAGGCTGAGGCAGGAGAATGGCGTGAACCCGGGAGGCAGAGCTTGCAGTGAGCCGAGATCGCGCCACTGCACTCTAGCCTGGGCGACAGAGCGTGACTCCGCCTCAAAAAAAAAAAAAAAAAAAAAAATACGACCTATATGTTAATCTCAATAAATGAAAAGTATATCACAAATTTCAACATCCATTCATGATTTAAAATGATCAGAAAACAAAGATTAGAAAGAAATTTATAATTTATAACTATACAAAGGGCATATACCAAGAAACTTAATCTAACATCATAGTGGCAAAAGAATATGTCCCTCCCTAAGATGAGGGGCAAAGCAAGAACGTCCACTATCACCACTTCTATCCAGCATTGTATTGGAGGACCTGCCAGTGTAAGATGGAACTGGGCAATAAAGAAAAGAAAATAAAAGTAAACCAATTGGAAAGGAAGAAGAAACATTTTTAGCTGACGTGTTTTGTACCTGGAAAAGTCTAAGGAATCTACCAAAATGCTACCAGATCTAATATTTCTGTGCATTAGCAGTGAGCAATTGGAAATTAGAATGTAAAAATAAATGCTATTTTCAGCAGTATCAAAATGTAAATAGGGGATAAATTTTTAAAAACGTTTAAGATATATGCAGAAAACTACAAAAACAATGCTGAGGATAATTAAAGATGACATAAATAAATAGGAAGATATACCAGGATAATGGATTGGAAGACTCAGTGTTGCTGAAATGTCAGTTCTCCCAAAATTGACCTGTAAATGTGATGCAATCCTACTTAAAATCCCAGAAGACTTTTTGAAATAGATTATCAAGCTTATTCTACAATTTATATGAAAATGCAAAGGACCTAGAATAGCCAAAGAAATTTCAAGAAGAACAAAGTTGGAGGTAATCCAATTTCTAATTTTGAGGCTTATTATAAAGCTGCAATCATCAAGACAGCGTAGACATGGCATAAAGATAGAGATGTAGATCCATGGTACAAAAATAGAGAATCCAGATATAGACCTAAAAAACATGGTCAACTGAATGAGAGTTTCACTTGCTCCATATCCTTGCCAGCATTTGGTAGTGTTAGTGTTTAAGGTTTTAGCTGTTTAAGTGTGCAGTGCTACCTTACTGTTTTTTTTTTTGTTGTTGTTGTTGTTTTTTTTGAGACAGAGTCTCACTCTATCCCCCAGGCTGGAGTGCAGTGGTGTGATCTCGGCTCACTGCAACCTCCACCTCCCCAGTTCAAGTGATTCTCATGCCTCAGCCTCTTGAGTAGCTGGGATTACAGGCACGAGCCACCACACTAGCTAATTTTTGTATTTTTAGTAGAGACGGGGTTTCACCATATTGGCCAGGCTGGTCTTGAACTACGGACCGCAGGTGATCCGCCTGCCTAAGCCTCCCAAAGCGCTGGGATTACAGGTGTGAGCCACGGCACATGGCCTATCTTATTGTTTTAATTTCCATGTTGATATCCAATTGCTCCAGTACCATTTGTTGAAAAGATTATCTTTTTTCCCTTTGAATTACCTCGGTGCCTTTCTTGAGAGAAAAGTAACCATAGTTATGTTAGTTTATTTCTGCATCCTATATTCTTTTTCCACTAATAAATATGTCTATCCTTATGCCAACATGAGACTCTCTTAATTACTATAGCTTTCTAGTGAGGTTTGGAATCAGGTAGAATAATTCTAACTATGTTGTTCCATAAAATGTTTTTGCTAATTCTAGATTTTATTTTTGCACTTCCACAAACATTTTAGGATCAGCTTGTCAGCTTCTTTTAAAACCTGCTGGAATTTTGACAGGAATTGCACTGAATCTATAGATCAATTGCTGTCTCAACAATATTGAATCTTCTGATCCAGGAGCATGGTATGTTTCTACATTTGTGTAGAATCTATGTATTTTTTTCTCAGCAGTTTTCTTGTAATTTTGAGTGTTCAGATTTTGCACTTATTTTGTTAATTTATTTCTAAGTATTTTTTCTTGATTATATTTTAAATGGAACTGTTTTCTTAATTTCATTTTTACATGTTTTACTACTAGAACAGATAAATATAATTGAGTTTTTAAAATCTTATATCTGCTAAAATCACTCATTGGTCCTAGAATTCTTGTACATTCCCTAAGATTTTCTATATAAATTATGTTTTCTATGAATAGAGACACATTTATTTATTCTTTATTAATGTGTATATCTTTATTTCTCATTGCATTATTGCACAGGCAAGAACATTCAGTCCAATATGAATAAAAGAGGTGAGAGTGGACATTCTTGCCTCATTCCCTTGGGAGAAAACATTCAGTCTTTCACTATTAAAGATGATGTTATCTTTAAATTTTTGGTACATGCCTTTTATCAGATTGAAGTTACCTTTTTTTCTGGTTTGTTAAGAGTTTTTTTATGGTTATTATTAATGGGTGTTGGATTTTGGCAATGTGTTTTTCTGTTTCTGTTGACATGGTTGTATAACTTTTGTATTTTTTAATATAGTGTAGTACATGAATTCTTTCAGAGGTTAAACCAACTTTGAATTCCCAGAATAGACCCTGCTTTGTCATGATATAAAATGCATTTTATATATTGCTGGATTTGATTTGCTATTATGTTGCTAAGGATTTTTGTATTCGTATTCATAAGGGAATATTGTTCTGTAGTTTTATTTTCTTGTAAGATTTTTGTGTGGCTTTGATATCAGGGTAATACTGGCTCTATTAAATTAACTGGAAAGGGTTCTTTTTTTTCTGTAATTTCTGAAGACTTAAGTGAAGTTAGTATTTTTTTTTCTTAAATGTGTAGTAGAATTCACCAGTGTAACCACTGGGATTGGCCTTCACATTTGGAGAAGATTTTAAATTACTGATTACTGATAAAATAAAAATATTTTATCAGTATAGATATTCGGATTTTTCACTTCTTCTTTGAACTCATTTTAGAAGTTTGCATCTTTCTGGGAACGTGTACATTTCATCCAATTATCTAATGTGAGTTTTTGTAATTGTCCCTTAAAATTCTTTTAATTTATGGTTAGTCTGTAGTCATGTCTCTTATTCTTGATTTTATGATTGGCTGCTTGTCTCTCCCTCCCTCTCTCCCACCTTCCTTCCTTCCTTTCTCTTCTTCCCCTCACCCCAAATCCTCAGTCTACTTAGAAGTTTGTCAATTTTGTTACCCTTTCAAGAAGTTGTTGCTTTATTTTAGTTTTTCTGTTGCGTTTTATATTATGTTTTATTAATTTCTGCTCTTGAATTTCCTTTCTTTCTTCCCTTTATTTTTTTCCCTCCTTTAGCTTCTTGAGGTAAAAACTATGATTATTGATTTTAGATCTTTCTTCTTTTGAATCTAGGCATTTAAAGCTGTAAATTTCCCTCTAGGCACTGACTTAATTGCATATCATACTTTTTGACATGTTGTACTTTCTATTTTCATTCAGTTAGAGATATTTTCTAAGTGAAAATATATCTATTTTCTAAGTTTTTCTAAGTATTTTCTAAATTTATCTTGTGATTTCTTATTGACCATGGATTATTTAGAAATGTTTAATTTCCTAGCACATGGGTATTTCTCATATTTCTTCTGTTGATTGTTTCTAATTTTATTCCAATATTGTTGGAGAATATTCTTATATAATTTTAGTCCTTTTCAATTTATTAAGTCTTGTTTAATGCCTAGCATATTAAATGTGCACTTGAAAAGAATGTGTATTATGCTATTGTTATGTGAAGTGTTCTATACGTATCAGGTCAACTTGGTTAAGAGTTTAGCTCAGGTCTGCTATATCTTCACTGATTTCTCTCTAGTTGGTATATCAACTATTAAGAAAGAGATATTGAAATTATCAGCTAAAATGATTGAGTTGTCTATTTGTCTTTTCAATTAAATCAATTTTTATATTGTGCTTTTTGGGTCTTTCTTGTTGTAGTTTGTGTGTGTGTGTGTGTGTGTGTGTGTATTTACAATTTTTTATATCCTGGCATATTAACCTTTTCATTGTTATTAAATATGACTTTTTGTGTCTAGTAGTACTCCTTGTCTTAAAATCTGTTCTGTCTGATATTGATGTACCCAAGAGCAATGAAAACATGTCTACATAAAAACTTATTTACAAATGTTCATAGCAATATTATTCATAATGGCCAAAAAGCAGAAACAACATAAATGTGCACCAATTGATAAATGGATCAATAAAATCTAGTGTATCTACATAATGGAATATTATTCAGCAATAAAAACAAATGAATTACTGATACATGCTACAACACATCTATAACATAGATGAACATTGAAACCCTCATACTAAGTGAATGAAGCCAATCACAAAAGACCACATATTGTATGATTCAATTTATATGAATTTTCCAGAACAGAAAAATCTATAGAGACAGAAACTGGATTGATTGGTGGTTACCTAGGGCTGTGGCGGGGTGGGGAATGGGGAAATTGGAGGATGATGGCTAAAGGGTGGGGGATTCTTTTGAGAATAACATTCTAAAATTTATAGTGATGGATGCAAAGTTATGTAAAGGTACCAAAAGCTGTTTAATAGCTGTACCAACAGCTATTAAATTGTTGAATACACTTTAAATAGGCAAATTGTATGGTATGTGAGTTATCTCACCAAAGTCTTTTAAAAATTTTTTTTAAAGAACACATATACATCAAATTGTTGATTATGATGAAACCAAGGAGATGTTACAGCCAAATAAAATGTTAAATCCTGGACTGGACCCTGGAACAGAAAGAGGAACATTAGTGCAATAATTGGTGAAATTCTATTACAGTATTCAGTTTAGTTAATAGTATTATTCTGATGTGATGTTAACATTAAGTGAAATTGATTAAGGGGTATATAGAAACTTTGTACTACTACTGCGACTTTGGGTAAGTCTGTAATTATTTCAAAATGAAAAGTTAAAGAAAAACTATATGAGACAAGAGTGAAAATGCAACCTATGGATTGTAGTTCAGAATGCACCAATAGTGGTTAATTGTAACAAATACACCACACTGATATAAAATGTGAACAGTAGGGAGAACTGCATGGGGAAGGAGGGTATATGGGAACTCTGTACTATCTGCTCAATTTTCTGTAAATCTAAAACTGTAAAGTCTATTAATTTAAAAAAATTAAAAACTTCAAATTTCTTTCTATTTCTGAAAAAGGAATATGAAAGGATAATTTTAATATGCTATCTTTTTAGTTTGAGAAAGAAAAAAATTCAGTGAAATTATTACAAACCCACAGGCAATTTAAAGTTAATCCTTGCAATACACTGTCTCTAGGAATCAGGCTGGCTCAGTGAATCAAGGAGGAAATGCAGTCATGAGAAAAAGAAGCCGTGAAAGAATGAAAATGAAATGAAGGAAGATAGAAGAGAGTGTTGCTTTGGAGAAACTGTGCAATCTGTGAAGGCAGACTGGTCAGATTTAAATATAAAATAGGGCTTTGAAGGCCTGGGTAGGCTGATACAAGTGGGAAGTGGAGATGCACAGGGAATTCAATTGCTCTGAAAGTAGACACTAGAGAAAGCAGAAACATCTTAATTTTCGCAAATCAAAACAAACTTGGAAATTTTGGACCACACTGCACTCAGATCTTGGAAGATCTTGGCTCTTTTGTTGGATTTCTTCAAGGAGAGAACTAGGATCAACCAACAGTTGAGAAGTTCCATCTTAAAACAACAAATAGCTCAGTAAGTGGGAACCATCCCATGAAGAATGGGCTACTATATGGGATGCTTACAGAAAACCTAGACATATGTAATAAGATTGGACCAAATATACAGAGTACTCAAAGTAGTTTTAGTGAGTTTCAAGGTGAGGCAGCCATCTTCATGCAGAGGTGGAGATACAGATGCTATTTATGACCCAAGGAAACATGCCCGAAAAATTTACAGAATGATGGCTCTAAAGTGAGGCACACTAATATGAGAGCCATTGAAGGGGCCAGGCAAAACAGGATAGTGTACATGTCTGAACTGTTGGTCACATGGCAGAATGACTTGACGGAGACACTTGAGGAAGTGGCAGCGGACAAGATAGGTCTGAATAACTGATGCTTTGGGCAGTCCCAGAGTATATTGATTTTATCTCCTCAGATCTGAGAGAAACAAGTGGACAAAATCTAGTGGCATATGTTTAAAACTATTTCTAGAAAGAACAGAACAAAAAGAAGGGCTCAAATCCAGCAAACCATCCCAGCCCAAAATGAATCAGAGAAGAAAGGAGAGTGACTTAAGCTAGTTAACCTATTGGAAAATAGGCTGGGCCTTTCAGAAAGCGAAAGGGAGAACCACAGTGGAAAACAAAATGCCAATGCTGTATTTCTCTAGAGCAGAAAACAGTGTAGTAAAACAACTACTACTCAAGACACAGAACAGTTGAAAATAAAGAAAAGCAGTGTTTTCGGGAGCAATGGGCTTCTAATCATTACCAGTCCCATAGAGTGACAGCCTTCAAAAACCTCCATAAGCTAAAAATGGTACTTCCACTAAAAAAATTGGGGGACAAGGAGGAAACATCCCCAAGGGTAAGATTTCAGAGGGTTGCAAAATTCCAGGGCAGCAGCCAGTGTGAGACAGGGCTGTACATGGCTGTTCACAAGAGCCAGCAGAAGAAGTATGGCCAGATACGTCCACCTTCAGTGTTGCATATTGGGATCAAAGGAGAAATAGAAATTGAGAGGTTTCAAGGATGTTCAACACAAGGAGATGCATCTTAAATAAGACTAGCATCTGGGGCTGCCACCATTGAAACATTCTCATTTTTTCAAGAAAAATGATAGTCAGGCACTACTATGCATCTTATATTTATTACTTCATTTATAATTACATCATCCTATGAAGTTGGGCACTAACAGCATTTTATATGTATTACTTCATTTATAATTACATTATCCTATGAAGTTGGGCACTAATAGCATTACAACTTTATAGATGAGGAAATTGGGACACAGAGAGATTAAATAGCTTGTCCAAGATCATATAGTTAGTGCTCTTGGTAGAGTGTCATGGAGACCGGCACCACTCTTATGAATGCAGGGTGACTCTGATGGATGGTCTTTTCCTCTCCAAGAGTTAGCCATTCTTTTTTAAATGGTGAAGACCACTGGACTTAGGCAGGGTATGGAGGGAGGCATTTTGGGAAACTTGGGAGTGCTTCTGCCTCATTCCTGATTTTCAATCTATGAGAAGACTCCTTCCCTAAATGCTCTTGGCTTCTTGTTTCATCCCTTTTCCATAGATGTTGATAGTTACCTGGTTGATGAGTAACTTTTCCTCTTTTTCTAATGTAAATGTTTTTACCATAAATTTTTGCTATGAATTTCTCTTTCAGTACTGCTTTAGCTGTGTTCAACAAATTTTGTTATATTGTATTTACATTTTAATGCAGTTCAATGTATTTTAAAATATTCTTTGAGTCTTCCTCTTTGATCCATGGCATCCTAAAGTGCTGGGATTACAGGCATGAGCCATGCTGGCTCTCTCTGTTTTCCATTTAAGCACCCAGGGGACACTTAAAGTATGTTTAGTTTCCAAGAGATCGGAAATTTTCCAGTTGTCTTTCCCTTATTTATTTCTACTTTGATTCCATTTGTTAACAAAACACATTCTGTATGATTTCAATTCTTTTAAATTTGTCAGCATTTGTTTTCTGGCTCAGGATATGGTCTATCTTGGTATATATTCCATGGATGCTTGAAAAGAACATGTATTCTGCTCTGTTGGATGGTATATTCTATGAATGTTGATTAGATGCTACTGGTGTTGAGTTCTTTTGTATCCTTGCTGATTTTCAATCTAGTTGTTCTATCATTTGTTGAGGGAGAGGTGTTCAAGTCTCCAACTACAATTGATTTGTCTATTTCTCCTTTCAGTTCTATCAGTTTTTGCCTCACCTATTTTGCAGCTCTGTTGTTTAATGCATGCACATTAGGACTGCTATGTTTTCTTGGAGGATTAATCCTTAGGTCAATGTGTACTATTCCTTTCTGTCCCTCAGAATTTTATTTGCTATCAAATCTGTTTTATCTGATATTAGTAAAGCCACTCCTTTCTTTTGATTAATATTTGCATGGTACATCATTTTTCATTCCTTACTTTCAATCACCTATGTTATTATAGTTGCCTTTTGTAGACAGTATATTGGTGAGTCATATTTCATTATACACTCTGCAAACCTCTGCCTTTTAATATTTACTAATTTTAACTATATTGTAATAACTGATATTTTGGGGCTTAAATCTGCTATTTTAATTTAAATTTAATTTTATTTTTGAGACAGAGTCTCGCTCTGTCACCCAGGCTGGAGTGCAGTGGCATGATCTTGGCTCACTGCAACCTCCACCTCCCAGGTTCAAGCGATTCTTCTGGTTCAGTCTCCCGAGTAGCTGGGACTTCAGGCGTGCACCACCATGCCCATTTTTGTATTTTTAGTACAGATAGGTTTTCACCATGTTAGCCAGGCTGGTCTTGAACTCCTGATCTCAGGCGATCTTCCTGCCTCGGCCTCCCAAAGTGCCGGGATTACAGGCATGAGCCATGCTGGTTCTCTCTGTTTTCCATTTCTCTATTTTCTTTTTTCTCCCTTTCCGTGAGTTATTTGAACATTTTTTTTTTTTTTAGAATTCTATTTTGATTTATCTATGACATTTTTTGAGTGTATCTCTTTGTATAGCTTTTTCAGTGACTGCTCTAAGTATTACATTATACATACATAACGTATAATGTACTGGTATTGGCATCTTTCCCAGTTTGAGTGAAGTATAGAAAGCTTATCCCTTTTTCATATTTTTACCCTCCATCATTTATAACATAATTGTCTTAAATATTTCCTCTATATATAGTTAGAACCACGTCAGACAGTGTTGTTATTTTTGTTTCAATCATCAAAGATAAGTTAGAAAACTCAGGAAGAGAAGAAAGATCTATCGCATCTACCCATTTCTTTTTCATTTTATTGTTCCTTTTTCTTTACTAATGTTTCAAGATTTCTTTTTTTGTCATTTTCATCCTGTTTTGAAACTTTCTTTAGCCATTCTTTTAGGGAAGTTCTTTTGGTGACAAATAGTTTTCCTTCACCTGAGAATCTCTTGATTCATGTCCTCATTTTTAAAAAATATAGTTTCGCTGGATATGGAATTCTGGACTGACAATTCCTTTCTTTCAGCACTTGAAAAGTGTTGTACCACAACCTTCTGCCCTCCATTATTTTTCATGGGAAATCTGCTATTATTCAAATTGTTTTTCCTCTGTAGGAAAGATGTTGTTTCTCTCTTGCCACTCTCACAATTTATTTTTGTCTTTAATTTTCAGATGTTTGACTTTGATGTGTCTTGGTACTTCGGTTTCTTTGAGTTCATACTCTGGTGTTTACTCAGTTTCCTAAATCTGTAGTTTTATGGCTTTTGCCAAATTTGGAAAATTTTCAGCCATTATTTTTTTTCAAATTTTCAGTTCCACCTTTTTTTCTCTCTTTCTTGCATTCTAATAACATGAATGTTAGATCTTTTGTTATAGTTCTGTAGGTCATTCAGGTTCTGTTTGTATTCTCTTCTCTCTGTTTTTCAAATTGGGTTATTTTTATTGTTCTGTCAAGTTCCTGGGTTATTTTCTCTGTTCCATTTTGTTGTTTGGCCACATATATTGAATGTTTTATTTTGGTTATTTTCTTTTTCAGTTCTAAAATTTCCATATAGCTATTCTTTATGTCTTCTATTTCTTTACTGAGAATTTCTATTTTTTTCACTTGCTTCGAATACATTTATAATTGTTTGCTAAAGCATTTTTATGATGACTGTTTTAAAATCCATATCAAATAATTCTGACATCTGTGTCACCAGATGCTGGCATATATTGATAGTCTTTTCTCACTGAAGTTGAGATTTTCCTAGTTCTTGGTACAATTAATGATTTTTGAACAAAATTTGGACAATTTGGGTGTTAAGAAACTCTGGATCTCATTGTAGAAGAACTCTTATGACATCACTGCATTGGGAAACAGGAGATGCCACTTCATTACTGCCAGGTGGGGCTGGAAGTTCAAGTTCTTACTCCATTGACACTTGGAAGCTGTTGTGCTTTTCTGTACTGCTGGGCAGGGATGGCAATTCAGTCTCTTCTCTCGGCTGATGCCACCCTGCCTGGGAGGGTCAGGGTTGCCTCCTTACTGCTCATCATGTGGCCTTGTTACTGCTGGGCAATTATGAAGGTCCTGATTCTTCACTAGGTCTCTTCTGACACCACCTAAGTGTCAAGGGGGAGAGTGCCACCTTATTACCACTGGATGGGAGCAGAAGTCCAGGCTCCCTACACTCCATTGACATGGCAGAAAGAGGAGGCTCATTACCGCCCAGCAGGGTAAAAGTCACAGCTCCACATTCTGTCTCCTCTGACAAACAAGGTCAGGGGGATTGGGGAACCTCCTTACAGATTGACAAGTGTGGAAATCTGGGCTCCTCACTTGACCTTTGCTGGCCTGGTGGGGTTAGAGACAGATTTTCTGTGATGTTTGATATAGTAAAGAGGTTGTTATCTAAAAGTTTTCTGTCTTACCAGTCTGCCGCCCTTTCCTGGAACTTTGGCTCAAGAGGCTTTTCTGGGGGCTTGTTTTGTCTGTGCTCCCTGGCATTTCTGAGTATCCAGCTCCTCCAACATCTCATCTGAGACATAGGAGGCCGAATAAAATCCAGGAAACTCCTACCATATATCTTGTCCCTCTGATCCTGAGGTTGATAGCCAGTCTTTTTCTCTCTAACTTTCAGTGCCTTCTTATGTTTGTTTTATGTATAATATTCATGGTTTTAGCTATACTTAGTAAGAGGTACAGGGAAAAGTGTATTTTTCACTCTGTCTTTCTGGGATGAGAAATCAAGAACCAGAAATGTTTATTATTGCCCTAGGAACCTAGGAGAAGACGGGTTGTGGCTTTGTGTCCCTAGGTATTTGGAGGATGGGGAGAAGCTGTCCATAAGTGGTAGCAGGGATCCAGCAATATGGTGGCAGGCTGGACTAAAGGAGAGATGACTGGGAAGCAATTTCCTGTGGTGCATGACAGCTGATGGATGGATGTCAGAAACAGTGGTGTCTGATGATCCATTTGAAGCCATTTCCTCCTCTATATTGCTATTACTGTCCATCTCCCCCTAAATTTTCAGTAAGCACCTATTATATAAAGCACCTTAGTATTAAAAAATGAAGGAGATGAAAGAGAAGGTTGTGCAGTTGTATTTTGGGCCAAGAAGAGTGGGAGAGGTGGCAGGGCCAGCGATGAAGAGCCTGCCAGAGTGATGGAGGCCTGAGCAAGGAGCAAGTTGGTGAAGAAAGATTAGGACATTGCCATGTGGAGTCGCTGTGGAAGCCTGTTTGTTCTCAGAGCTCAGTGGAGAAGAGGTAAAAGTAGGGACCAGTAGCTGAGTCATTATGAGAAAGAGGGTTTCATGGTGGTGGAAGTGACACATTGCCTCGATTCTCTTGAAGCTTTCTGCTTTGTTGCTTGAGTGGAGAGAAGCACCTCTGCTATTGCGTATGGAGGGAAGCTCTTTGCATGGATTTTGAAGGCGGCCTCTGCATTTCGGACTACTGGGTGCTCCCCCACAGGCTCCTAACACCTTGCTGCTTCTCCAGGTGGGGTCTGACGTGGAGTCAGCTCACAGACCTGCCATTCCTCTCTCATAGTACTCCTCATTCCAGTGATATCTTGGCCTGCTTCATGAACCCTGAGCCCAGAGTTCCTAAAGCACCAAACCCAGTGAAGCAGAGACACTTCTGGCATGGGTCTGTGGGTTGCTTCTCAGGGGCCAGGCCAGCAAGAATGATTCAGCACACAGGCCAACCTGTGCAAGCTTTATGCATGCATTTTAGGGCAATGGGAAGAGTGGTGAGTGAGGTTTATGGTAAATCTTTAACCACATTCAATTTTTTCTAAGACTTTTCTGCTTTAGAACATGTAGAAATGGAGAAATGACCAGGGGCTGCACAATGCTGTGCTTATTATATTGCTGTAGAGAGAAGGATGCTGCCAGCTCTCCATAGCCTGGGGTGAACTTGGCCTATGTAATGAGGTAGCAGGGAGTCAGGCAGGTGAGTTCTTCCTCTTGTATTGCCTTTTCCAGTAAATGCCAATACACTCCCCAGCTCACCTTTACCTAACATCTAGGTCTTAATCCAAGTTGTCCTCCCACTCCCCAGGGTGAATTGATCTTCCTGCCACGGCACCTCCTGAGCATCTGTTGGCTGAGTCTCCATCCCCACCCGTGAAAACAGCCTTGTGATGTGCTGTTTAATATCACAGAATGGAAACAGTGTTTTGATTCACCAGGATCCAAACACTCTTTTTGTAGAATCTACAAAGTGACATGGATGGCCATATTTTAGAGGACTGTTCCTGCAGCTGGTGGGGAAGCCCTGGTGAGGAGCAGTACAGCAGGCTGTTCTGGCTGGCTCGTTCTGAGCTGTAGGGATGTGACGGAGGCAGGAAGAGTGAGGATGCAGAGGAGGGGAGGACCAAGGAAGTAGAAATGAGCAGCAGCCTGGTAGGACCTGGAGGCTGGTAAGACTTGAGGGGAGAAGCCTAGGATGGGGCTCGGATTTACTATCACAGAGACAGCCAATGGGGTGATGTCAGGAGAAAGGTTGAGGAGTTCAGGTTGGGATATGTTGAATTTGAAATACCTGTAGGGTGTCCAGGCAGAGTGGATCTGAGCTCAAAAAAGTCTGGCTGGAGACTGAGCTAGAGAGAGATGTGGGAGTTCCAGGCATGTGTGGTCCCCAAGAAGGACGGGCAGAGCACGGGTTCTCCCCTGTTTTTAATCCCATACCCTGACACTTCAAATGACTGTTGTGTTTTACTTTCTCTAGTTTATATCAGGAACCCAACAATGATGACAGTAGCTGTTATGGACTGAATTGTGTTCTCCCCCCAAATCCATATGCTGAAGTCCTAAAACCAGGACCTCAGAATGTGACCGCATTTGAAGGTAGGGTCTTTAAAGAGGTAATTAAGTGCACAATGAGGTCACAAGGATGGGCTCTAATCCAATATGACTGGTGTACTTAAAAGAAATAAATATTAAGACACAAACACACACAGGGAAGACCAAGTGAGGATACAGGGAGGAGATGGCCATCTGCAAGCCCAGGAGAGGAGTCTCCAAAGAAACCAACAGTGCTGACACTTTGATCTTGGATTTCCAGCCTTCAGAACTATGAGAAAATAAATTTCTGTTACTTAAGCCACCCAGTCTGTGATAGTTTGTGATGACACCCATAGCAGACTAGTACAGTAGCTAACACTGGATACTTATTATGTGTCAAATACTGTTTTAAGCACTTTGCATATTTTAACACATTTAATATTCATAGCAACCCTATTTGTGGAAGGTAGTACAGTCTACGGCACGGCAGCTATATCGGCCCCTTTATTTTCCCCAGGGTTTGGAGTCTCTTCCACTTTCCAGCTTGTCCTCCTGCCCTTCACTCTACCCGGGACCATATCCTCCAGATTCTCACAGGTCCCTCCATCTCTCCTCAGGTGCCAGGCTCAGCAACCTGCCCTCATTACCTGCCAGTTCCTGACCCTATCTGTCACTAGCTCCTTACCTGGCTGGATTGGTCTTCTGAATACTTGCCATTCCCTGGCATGATGCTTTTGCAAAATAAGAAAATCAATAATAATAATAATAACTGCTAGTGTCTAATAAGCATGTGCTCTTCAATGTCTATTCTCTTACAACTACCTTAACAAATAGGGACATATTATTATTCTCCTTTTAACTTTGCTTTCCAGAGAAGGAGGCTGGGGCTCAGGGAGATGAGGTGAGTTTTTCCAGGTCTCACAGGAACAGGACTGAAGGAAGGAAGCCATGTTTGCCAGGAGAAACCAAATGGACATACAGGCTTTCTGTGGAATACACAGTTCCTGCTATCTTTTGGTTGACAAAGTCTGAGGTCCTAGGAAAGAGAGGAAAGTAATAGAAATATGAATATGAGTGTGTGTGTATTTTGCTTCCCTCACCAAAGTTTTCACAGTCTATATTAATGAGGGCACGATTTTGCCTGTTTTGTTCTCTGCCATATCCTCATTGTCTAGATTAGGTGCCTGCTACTGTGGAGCTCTAAGAGGTTGTTAGAGAAAGAATAGAAGAAAGAAAAGAAGGAAGGAAGGAAAGAAGGAAGAAAGAAAAGAAAGAGGGAAGGAAGGAAAGAAAGAAGGAAGAATGAAAGGAAAGAAGGATAGAAGGGAGAAAGGAAGGAAAGAAGAAAGAAAGGAAGAAAGGAAAGAAGGAAGGAGGAAGGAGAAGGAGAAAGGGTAGGGTGGGGAAGGAAAGAACAAAGGATTGCTTTTCCCTCACTGTGGGCTTGAGCCTGTTCCCTCCAAAGATACAGAGCTTTGGTCTTTACCCATAAAAAAGGATTTTGAAGTCACCCCACCCCGTTCTGTTCCCCCACAGTTTAGACAAGATCCTCATGCTCCACTGGCCACACGAGTGCCCTCAGGAGGAGTAGACACAGGTGGAGGGAGCTCCTTTTGACCAGCAGAGAAAACAGGATGGGGCACTGCCTCACTGAGGACCTGGGGGTGGGAAGGAAAGTGCCAACGGCAGCTCTATAAAAGCTCCCTGGCCAGGGGACCTAGGGCAAGCAGTGGTTTCTCCTCCTTCCTCCCAGGAAGGGCCAGGAAAATGGCCCTGGTCCTGGAGATCTTCACCCTGCTGGCCTCCATCTGCTGGGTGTCGGCCAATATCTTCGGTAAGTTCTGAGGCCATGGAGCCAGGCGGTGGGGAGGGAGCTCCAGTGTCAGCCAGGCTCTGCCCTGGGCCTTCGAACAGGTGCGATCTAATTTAATCTTCACAAATTCCCACATGTCAGTGATTTGCTTTTTTTTTTTCAGATGAAGAGGCAGATTTAGAGAGCCGAACTGAATTACTTGAGGTCACAGAGCTAGTGATTGATGGAGCAGAAATGGGAAATGTGGTTGATCTTCCTAATTCAATTCTAGGTCCTCCTCACCCCACCATTTTGGCAAACTTTTGGCATTGACCTTGGGTTTTTATCCCCTTAGCTATTCCAAAGTCTGTGTCATCCATAACAGGTATTTTAGAAGCAGTAGAAAAAGAAATCTACCTATGAAGTGAAATAGCCCTAAGTTCTGTCTTTGGCTCAGCCACTTACCCATATGACTTCGGGCAAAGTGCCAAGCTTCTGTTTTTTTTTTTTTTTTTTCATTTAAAAAGTAAACAAATAACACACACCTCATGATGCGGTTGTGATTTCTGGGTAGGACCCTATGTGTTACAAGAGTTCTCAATGGAAAAATAAGTCATGTACATTATTAATTAATTGGTATTTCAATGTTTATCTGGAACATGTTACATCTGCAGGGCATGGCTTGATAGATTCAAGAAGAACTTCCTTACGGTTCTCTAACTTACTCCAAATAGCCTCATGGGAATTGCGGCAGGGTGGGGGCGGGCGGGGAACGTGTAGTCCCAGCGTTGATTTTGGGATCCTTCACTTGCCAGTTACGTGACTTTGGGCAGACGACTTTCGCTGCCTGAGACTTGGTGCCTCATGAGTGACAAGGATATATTGCCTGTCACCTCTTAGGAGAATGTTGCACATTAAATGAGCTAATGTCATACTTGTAAGAAAGTGTGCTTAGCTGCCAAATTTTAAAATAGGCTGTCATAGGTAATGATGATGACCCTGGAAAAGCATCTGTGCTTATGAGAGCCCGTCTCTGTCCTGGCAGCCCAGTCCACACTCTTCTTTGATGAACCACTTTTCTTTTCCTAGAGTACCAGGTGGATGCCCAGCCCCTTCGTCCCTGTGAGCTGCAGAGGGAAACGGCCTTTCTGAAGCAAGCAGACTACGTGCCCCAGTGTGCAGAGGATGGCAGCTTCCAGTAAGGCTTATGTCAGCAGCGAACTCTCAAGGTCCAAGATGCCATAAAAAGCATCTTGTGCCTTCCCCCCTCTTCCTGAGCTCTGCCCTGCAACTCCTTTGTGCATGTGAGGCTTGGCCACTGTCATTTGGAGGTGCCTGCCTTTCAGTTCCACTGTCATTTGGAGGTGCCTGCCTTTCAGTTCCCCAAGCTGTTCAACACTGGACAATCTGACCAAGTGAACCCCAATCCATGCTTCATCCTCCCACTGCCCTCCCTTCTCTTCTTGCCATCACTTTTTCTGTGATGGCTTGAATAAACGGCACGTGTGGGGAGTGGGGCAGGTTGAGGAGAGTGTCAAATGATCTGTGCTTTGGGACCTCTCCCTCCTCCAAGTATCCTCTTGAGAAGCTGGGGTGGTGGAAGCAGAGGCTGCCTTGACTTCCTAGTCCTTAGCTGCCACCGACCCTGCCCGGACTAGCTCTCTAGGCTGCCTCTGGGCTTCTGGGTCGCTGTCTCCACATTGAGCTGCTCTCTGAAAGGGGTTTCTCCAGCTGCCCTAATGCAGACTTGGGGCCTGAGACCCTCTCTGTGGAGAGTGTGGTAATAATCTAGACAATTCTTCCCTGCAGAATAGACAGGAATCCTTTGCAATGTGCATGCATTGAAATTTCCTTGTGCTATTCCAGTCATGTTGAATCAGGGGAACTCCATTTATATAACTGCGTTCTGGGAAATGTCTGTGAAACCTCCCTCCCTGCTGCTATCTTATGTACACTCTTAATGTGCCTAACCTCCCACGAGTGTGCAGAGATGCTGCTAGAGCAGTCCCTGCTTAGATCACTGGGAATTCTGGAACAGCAAGGAAGGAGTTAAGGAGGAAGTCTCACTTTCACCAGCCTTATTTATATTCCCATTCCCAACTCTCTTGTTCTGGCCTCTTGCAGTTTCAAACCTGGCCTCTCTTCAGGAGGCTTTGCATATGCTGTTCCCTTTACCTGGAATATCTTTTACCTTCTTATACCTCTGACCATCCTGCAGGTCTCAGTTCAGTCATCATTTCTGGGGAGTCAACTCTATGGCCTGGCCTGACCCCACCCATGTGCTTCCCAATATACCCTGCTGGCCCCTGATCCCACTAACATCCCACCCCCAAGCCCCCACTCCCTATCCATACAATGTGGGCACTGCCTTTACCCTCTGCAGCCTCATAATGCCTGAGGACACTTGGTGGATGTGGCTGAAGCCCTGCACTCCAGGGTGGGTCACTTGTTTTGGGGCTGGCAGGCTGGACAGGTGGTGAATGAATGGCTGGGGCAGGAGGCAGAGCAGGTGCTAGCCAGGCAGGAAAAGTGGGGCCTTTCCTTTCCCAGGTCAGCCACCCTTCTCCACTCCACTCTCTCCCTAATTTAAACGAACCAAAACTTGCAAGAATGGAAATGAAGAAGAAAAGTAGCCTGAGTGGGAGCCGGCATGTGGCTTTGGGGGCCCATCCCAGGGTCACCTGGTCTGTGTCTCCTCCTCAGGACTGTCCAGTGCCAGAACGACGGCCGCTCCTGCTGGTGTGTGGGTGCCAACGGCAGTGAAGTGCTGGGCAGCAGGCAGCCAGGACGGCCTGTGGCTTGTAAGTGGGAGTGGGGGACGTCCCTTGGAGGGACCCTGCTAGGACAACTCACTTCCAGGAATGAGCACTGGGTTTGGGTGGGTGACTGAGCAGGTCCTCCCTCTGGGCTGCTGGCTTCTCCTCTGTGAATAAGAATCATCCCTGCAAGCCATGGAAGGCCCTATTTCCTGCAGGGCCACTGTGAAAGTCCAGTCATTTGTTCAATAAATATCTACCCAGTTCCTCCCATGAGCCACATGCTGAGAAGACAATGGTGAACAGACATCAACATCTCCTGAAATCAGAAAGTGACCAGAAAAATATGAGTGCCTTCTCACCCGTGGTGTGAGGAGTTTCTAAAATTTAAGACTTGGGTCAAAGCTATCCAGTTAAGATAATTATTATAGTGAGTAATCAAAGAAACACAGTCCCTATTTAAAGCATGTCATAACTCTAAAACAATGGTTAACTTAAGCCAACCACCTCAAAATGAGGAAATTGAGCCTAAAACCAAAACTATCCTTTGACGGATTAAAAGCTCTGTTTGGGGTACTGGTTTTATGCATCTAGTATGGTTGTCATGGGGGCACGCTGGCCCCATACTCTCCTGCTGTGTGAGCTTGGCTGAGTCAGGCATCCTCACTGAGCTATGGGTCCTCATCTGTAACATGAATATAGCATCTGCCTTGTATGATGTGAGGATTTAGAACACGTGTAAACACTAGGCACATAGTAGGTATTCAATAGGGGTGATCATTGCTAATGTCTCAGTCCATTTGTGTTGTTATAAAGAAATGCCTGCGGCTAGATAATTTATAAAGAAAAGAGATGTGTTTGGCTCACAGCTCTGCAGGCTGTGCCGAAGCATGCCACTAGCTTCTGCTGCTGCTGAGGACCTCAGGCTGCTTCCACTCATGGTACAAGGGGAAGAGGAACCATCTGTGCAGAGATCATGTGAGAGAGAAAGCTAGAGAGATAGAAGGTGGAGGTGCCAGGCTCTTTTTAACATTCAGCTCTTATGGACACTAATAGAGCTGGAACTCACTCACTCCGAGGGAAGGCATTCATCTCTTCATAAGGGATCCACTTCCAGGACTCAAACACCTCCCACATTGGGGATCAGATTTCAACATGAGATTTGGAGGGGACAAATGCTGAAACTGTAGCAGTTAATGTCACTAGCCTACAAGCAGAGTGGTGAAGCAGCTTCCCCAGGATCACACAGAGAGCCCGTGGAGAAAACTGGACTCAGAAAAGCTCTGTTAATGCCAGGCCTGCACTCTGATCCCATCTCCCCTCCACAGGACCGTGCTCTGGGGTACCTGACTGATGTGGCACCAGCGAGATCAGCCCTTCTCTGACTCAGTCCACAGGATACTAGCTAGGCCTGTTCTGTGGCTGCCACCCCATCACTGCGTGTCCTTGGGCGGGTCATTCCCCTCTCAGCTGTGTCCCCTTGGGAAGGGAGCATGAGTTTTCCTGGGCTCTGCCCCCTGGAAATTTCCCTGCAGTTCTATCTAACATTGCTCCTTGTACCCACAGGTCTGTCATTTTGTCAGCTACAGAAACAGCAGATCTTACTGAGTGGCTACATTAACAGCACAGACACCTCCTACCTCCCTCAGTGTCAGGATTCAGGGGACTACGCGCCTGTTCAGTGTGATGTGCAGCAGGTCCAGTGCTGGTGTGTGGACGCAGAGGGGATGGAGGTGTATGGGACCCGCCAGCTGGGGAGGCCAAAGCGATGTGAGTTTCACTGAGCGCCTGCACCCCTAGAGCTGGGGAGGGGCTGAAGCTTTCCTCACTGCGATCCAACACATTTAGGGTTTCCTGCCGAAGTGGGCAGAGAACCAGGCCCTCATTAGGGAAAATGAAAGCTTCAAAGGGAAGGTTTTATTATTCTCATATTTCCATATGGTAGACAAGCCATATTCACTGGCTGATCATTAGAAACATAAACAGGATTTCATTGAACGTTGTGAGTCTCCTGTTGCAGACCTGAGTCACTGCATGGGTCTCTAACTGTCACGTGTATAGTATAAGCACAGCCATGTGCTGCATACGGATGTTTTGGTCACCAGTGGACCACATACATGATGATGGTCCCATAAGATTATAATAAAGCTGAAAAATTCCTATTTCCTAGTGATGTAATGATGATCTTGACCCCGAGCAGGCCTAGGCTAATGTGTGTGTGTATCTCTTAGTTTTTAACAAAAAAGTTTAAAAGTAAAACAAAAATTAAAAATAAGGAAAAGTTTATAGAAGAAGGATATAAAGAAATAAAATATTTTTGTACAGCTGTACCATGTGTTCCTGTTTTAAGCTAAGTGTTATCATAAAAGAGTCAAAAGTTTTAAAAAATTAAAAAATGTATAAAGTAAAAATATTGGCCGGGCGCGGTGGCTCACGCCTGTAATCCCAGCACTTTGGGAGGCCGAGGCGGGCGGATCACGAGGTCAGGAGATCGAGACCATCCCGGCTAACACGGTGAAACCCCGTCTCTACTAAAAATACAAAAAATTAGCCGGGCGTGGTGGCGGGCACCTGTAGTCCCAGCTACTCGGGAGGCTGAGGCAGGAGAATGGCGTGAACCCGGGAGGTGGAGCTTGCAGTGAGCCAAGATCGCGCCACTGCACTCCAGCCTGGGCGGCAGAGCAAGACTCCGTCTCAAAAAAAAAAAAAAAAAAAAAAAATGTTGCAGTAAGCTAAGGTTAACTTATTACTGAAGAGAGAGAAAAAAATTATAAACTTAGTGTAGCCTCAGTGCATAGTGTTGATAAAGTCTACAACAGTGCACATGAATGTCCTTGGCTTTCACACTCACTCACTGACTCACCCGGAGCAACTGCCAGTCCTGCAAGCTCCGTTCATGGTAAGTACCCCATACAGGTGTACTATTCTTTATCTTTTATACTGTATTTTTACTGTACCGTTTCTATGCTTAGGTATGTCTAGATACACAAATACTCACCATTGTCTTACAATTGCCTACAGTACTCATTACAATAACATGCTGTATAGGTTTGTAGCCTGGGAGCACTAGGCTAGACCATATAGCCCAGGTGTGCTGTAGGCAAACCATCTAGGTCTGCATAAGTACACTCTATGATGTTCACACGACAATGAAACCGCCGAACGATGCATTTCTCAGAGCTCATCCCCATTGCTAAGGGACACGAGTGCATATGCTGCTCGACTGCAGAAATATGTGTCTACTCATATATAAGGATTTTTTTTTCGTGAAAATGTTTAGGTCCAAGGAGCTGTGAAATAAGAAATCGTCGTCTTCTCCACGGGGTGGGAGATAAGTCACCACCCCAGTGTTCTGCGGAGGGAGAGTTTATGCCTGTCCAGTGCAAATTTGTCAACACCACAGACATGATGATTTTTGATCTGGTCCACAGCTACAACAGGTAAGGGGAGCAGGGGTGTGCCAGTCACTGGGCCATCACCTGACGCAGCCCACACTCACCTTGAGCTGGGGGCCTCCATGTGTCATATGTGCAGCATGATAAGGAATTAAGAGCTGCCTCATTCTCATGAGCTGTCCTGGGCATCTAAAGTGCCACGGCGTTTTTTAACAAGGCAAACTGGCAATTGATATTTAATGAAAAATAGATGTGCCCTCTGGCCAATGAAATGTAAAACATCAGAATGTGAAGACATATCGGCTAGGGTGCCTACTACATCATTTTTCATTGTAGCAGGAAACCGGGAGCAAAGTGATCATCAAAACGTGGCTTGCTGAATAAATGTGAATCTGCCATAAATATTTATGTAGCCATTAAAAAGACTGCGTTAGAGCTGCTAGAACATTTGATCTGGAGAGGAGGCCACAGTATATTATGATAATACAATACAAGATACAAAGCACAGATAATATAATATAATATGCTTAAATTTTTAAAGAACAAATGAGCAAAAAGATTCTTTATTTGTGCTTATGTGACTATATTATTATGCAGGTCTCTATATAAGACTATGTGAGCACAGAGGGTAAGAGGAAGGAGCATAAAGTGCATGGTTATCCTGGGCTGCTTTAGGGCCAGGGCTGCTCTGCAGAAGAAAGAGTAGGCAGAAGGCCGGGCGCAGTGGCTCATGTCTGCAATCCCAGAAATTTGGGAGGCTGAGGTGGGCAGATCATGAGGTCAGGGGTTGGAGACCAGCCTGGCCAATATGGCGAAACCCCATCTCTACTAAAAAAAATACAAAAATTAGCCGGGCGTGGTGGTGCACACCTGTAGTCCCAGCTACTTGGGAGGCTGAGGCAGGAGAATCACTTGAACCCAGGAGGCAGAGATTGCAGTGAGCCGAGATTGTGCCACTGCACTCTAGCCTAGGTGACAGAGTGAGACTCCATCTCAAAAGAAAAATAAAATAAAAAATAAATCAAGAGGAGGCAGAAAGGGGATCTGCAGGAGAGGAAAAAAGGCAGCACTCCCAAAAGCATGGATATCATTATATTTGTGAATTTTTGTAAACTGTGTGTATACGTGCACTTACAAATAACTTTAAAAATGTAAATAATGAATATAAACAGAGAGAGGCATTATAGATCTTGACCCAAATAGCCAGAGTAGCTTCTGGTCATCCACACTGGCCACTGGTTTCTTGTAAAGGGTTCACGCAGACTTTAGATGTAATTGAACCATTTGGAGTAGAAAGAAATATGAATACTAGTCTGCAAAGACTGATATGAATTCTCTTGGAGAACTTGAGCCTCTCTTTGGCTGGTTTCCAAAACAACCAGTTTCTTTCCATGTGTGAGGGAGGAAATTCTCATGGGCTGTGCCAGGAGGAATCTCAGACTAGCAGCCTGTGTGCAGAACTGTCCCACAGGCAGACTTTATTTGAACTGCATCATATTTTAAAAACTGGAAACTTTTATTAGGTTGAACCCCATGAAATTTCTATTTTTGTAGGTTAAAAAATAGTTGAACATGAGAAGTTTCACATGTTCAACCTAAAACACACAATTCTGAATTTCTGATTTTAAAGAACAAGGGTGAGAGGCTGCACGCACGCACTCACTGGTGGCATCAAGACACTGGCTTTACTGCTCTTTTTAGACCAAGGACACGCCCTTCTGTGCTCCGGGTCCCTCTGTGCTCTGTTGCCACACCACTGCCTACCTCATCCATTTATATGACCTGCCTGGTCCTGTAGCATTTGCCTTTGGGACCTGCCTTCTGCCTTTGCCCCTGCTTAGCACAGCGACCTGGCCACTTACTCTCTCAGAGCCTCAGTGTTCCCATCCGTCAAATGGAAGACAAGCCCCTGCTCATTACACCATAGTGAAGATTTGATGAGGCCTCATCTATGAAACCATGGGTGCAAATTTACAAAGTTGTAAATTACTATACTTCTGTAGGTAATTCTCATGCATCAGCCAGCTTCAGCAAATGTAGGTTAGAATTTCCCCCTCCAGGCCTGGCCTGCCTGAGAGCAAGTATAAATCTCAAACAGCCAGTTTTATTGAGTACTTATTGCTGCAAACCAATGTGTTCTCAGTTCAAGATCACCTGAGTGCTTACTATATAATGGGAATTTTATATCCTTTAACTTACCTTAATACTTATAATTAGATAATTATAGTCATTACTATACAAATGATTACTGAAACACAGAGGTTAAGGAACTCACCCTAGTAAGCTTAGGTGCTAGAACTGTCTGGCTCCTTTTAGTATCCCACATAAATGTAACTCATCTCTGTTCCCCTACAGTGCATGGCACAGAGCCTTGCACACAGCAGGTCTGGAATCAGTGCTTAAGGAATTGGTGAATGCATCCAAGACCCTGGTGTGTGCCACACTGAGGTTGAGGCACAATTCACAGCTATTTCCACAAGAGGGCAGTCGAGTTAAATGCAAAAGTTCAGAATAAGCATTCTTTGTTTAAAAGAAACACAAAAATTTACTCCTGAAATGGGAGCCTTTTCATTTTGTAAGAAAGCATGTCTCTGAGTAAATTATGGTATTGAAAGGTCATGGGAAGGGTTGGGTGGTTGGTTACTGGAAGCCCAGCTGTAATCAGGGATTTTCCGATACTTAAGTAGACCTGGGTAGTCGCAGGCCCAGTGACTTCTCTGGGCACAGTGGAAGGAGCCTTGGAGGCCATATAGAGGGCCTAAGCTTAGCGACTCAGGTTTCTAGGTAAAATACGAGACAGCAAGTTACGTTTGAATTTCAGATAGCAAAGAGTAATTTTTTTTTTCAGTGTAAGTATGTTTCAATATTGCAGCAAGCATGTGAAGCTTGGGGTTGGGGAAGGGTATATCATAATCACCACTGGACTTGGATTTCTGAAAAAATGGAATGGGTGAGGGGAGAGCAGAGTGAGTGCAAGGAGGCAGCCCTCCGAGTTTGGAGGCTACTGCACTAGTCCAGGCAAGAGACGACGTTGACATGGAGCAAGTGTCGGAGAGGACAGCCAAGAGATGGGGTGAGACTGGAGGAATATTTACCAGGTGGAATCCACAGAACTTGGTGAAGGAATTGATATGGAGGTGAGGGTCGGGGGGAGTCAAGAATGACTCCTAGGTCTGGTTTCTGGATGGATTCTTGAGGATAAATTTGAAAAGGAAAAGCCACAAGCTTTGTTTTGGGATGTTGAATCTAAGGGGATTTTTTTTGAAAATTAAAATGGAGAAGTGGCAGAAGGCAGTTACTTCCCTGGGGCCACCAGAAGGCTGGAATCCTGTGGGCAGCTCATTCGCTGACCTGCTGCTGTGAGTTATTTATGTGCTGGGTGATGGTTTGCACTTGAATTTGGCAATGATGTTTGCCCATCTGAAGTAGGTCCTTTTGCCCTTCAAGAAGGCTACTGCTTACAATATCTGTTTGGCTGGAAAATTTTAAAGAACCATGTTGTAATGGGGAGCAAGCTTCACTGGTCCTTCTGACTCATGCCCCATCTTTTATATTGCCCTAGCCCAACCAGTAACTGTGGACACACATTCTGACCAAGCAGATCATAAGTAAAGGTCTTAAGAGCCTTCAAGCAGGGCTAATGCCATTGTCAAAGCCTTAATGATCTGAGTTAATTGGCTTCTTTATTAACCCTTGTCCTTAATGACTAAACACACTCAAACTTCTTAGCAACCAGTCTAACTTCAAATGCCTTAGCCACCCATGCTACCCAGATTGCCCAGTGGGAAGAAGGATCAGATGTGTCTTAATATATGGTAAAGGGGCATTGTAACCAGAATGTGGAAGGTACTGTATGGAGAAATCCTCACTGGGGAAGCACCAGATCACCCTCATTACAGACACCTGTGGTGGTTGGCTATGCATCAGGCGCTCTGCTAGGCTACGGCCCCCTCTTATTTTATTTTATTTTATTTTATTTTTGAGACAGAGTCTTACTTTGTCACCCAGGCTGGATTGTAGTGATGGGATCTCAGCTCACTGCAACCTCTGCCTCCCAAGCTGAAACAATTCTCCTGCCTCAGCCTCCCAAGTAGCTGGGATTACAGGCATGCGCCACCCCACATGGCTAATTTTTGTGTTTTTACTGGAGACGGGGTTCACTATGTTGGTCAGGCTGGTCTGAAACTCCTGACCTCAAGTGATCCACCCACCTCAGCCTCCCAAAGTGCTGGGATTACAGGTGTGAGCCATGCCCGGTACGGCCCGCTCTTTTAAGGAGCACCCTCCCTAGTGCAGGACAGAATGAAATACATGGCTCATTTGTGAGTCAGTGTTTAGATTTCCAAAGAACTGCCTGTGGGAGATGTTAGAGAATCTGACTGAGCCCGGAGGCAGGAATCGTACTCTGCGAATGAACAAGACCAGATGCCCAGTGGAGACCAGAATTTCGCATTCCTCTGAGCCTTGGTTGTAATTTCTCTGTCTAGGTTGGCTGTAATCTGAGCATAAACTCAGAAATGCCACCCCTTGCCCCTCTGCTAGCATTTGCTTTCTTGAGGATTCTTCTATGGCCACCCTGAGATTTTGCTTTTTATTCAACAAAAGGCAAACATCCTTTTCCACTAGATTGTGGGCATACAGAAAATTAGGAAGATTCTGAGCTTGAACTCACTGGTGATTGCTCTGTTGGAGTGGTAGTCCAAAATATGGTATTTTTCAATTTTTAAATATTGTGTAGATTTTGTCTTCCTCCTTTCTTCTGATATGCCCAAAACAGGATAAAAATGGAAATTAGAGGGAATCATGAGGAAGGCAAAATAAAAGTAGAAAATCAGAATAAGGCAAGGCAAAGATTGGCCCACATCACTCATTCTACACAGTCCTAACAAATGTGAGGGGCTGCATATTTGGCTCTGGGATCCCTGTAACCAAAGAAAAGAAAAAAATAGTCTAAGTTACTTGGTTTCTACAAGATAAAAATAAGAGTTTCTCAGGGGTCACAATGTTTTCTTCTATTGATGATGGAGGGAACTTGGTTCCTCGGGTCCTCATGAAGGGGGGAACACTGTATGCCACAGGGGACCATCTGACTTGACAATGTCCTGCTGCTGAAGGACCAGTGGTTTCCAAAGGCCAATGCCTATAAAAAGCATCTTCAGGTCCAGCGCGCTGGCTCACACCTGTAATCCCAGCACTTTGGGAGGCCAAGGCGGGCAGATCACGAGGTCAGGAGATTGACGCTATCCTGGCTAAGATGGTGAAACCTCGTCTCTACTAAAAATACAAAAAATTAGCTGGGTGTGGTGGTGGGTGCCTGTGGTCCCATCTACTTAGGAGGCTGAGGCAGGAGAATCACTTGAACCTGGGAGAATCACTTGAGCCAAGATCGCACCACTGCACTCCAGCCTGGTGACAGAGCGAGACTCTGTCTCAAAAAAAAAAAACAAAAAAAAAACAAAAAGTGTCTCCAGGTGCTGTATTTCAGAGGCTGCGAATGTTGGGTCCTGGCATTCTCTACCAGACTTGTACCTCCCTCGGTGACTACCAATATCTCAGTTTTCCTTGCTGCCCACACCTTGGTTCTGTCTCCCACCTTGAAGTTGGAGGCATGCAAACGACCCTTCTAGATATGTTCTTCACTCCTCTGTTATCTCCTGGTCAAATCACCATTCGTGGCTTTAGAATCCCACTCAAACTCACCTCCTTTGGGGACATTCTTTGGTCCAGCTGGCCCAAGGCTAGGGATGGAGCCTGACTCTCCAGCTTTCATCAGGGCTTTGGGTTCGGTCTCAGTAGTTTGACTTCTTTTGGTTGATGTGGGGCAGGAGATCTAATAAGGAGGAGGCTGAAAGCATGACAGAACCCCTGTTCCCTGATGACAGTGAATCACTACTGACAGTAGCAGAATAACAGCTAAACAATCTTCATGGTGCTAATTATTATTTTGGAGAAGGAGTCCAAAATGCATAGATGGTGATATCATTTCAGAAATTAGCCACAGAAATCAAATTGTATCAAATGGAATTGTGGGCACACAGGAAATTGGGAAGATTCAGAGCTTGAAATCACTGGTGATTGCAGGGCAGGGCCCCCAAAGGACTGTGCTCTATTGGAGTGGTAGTCTCACCCTTTGGCCACCTGCTGTTGTTGAACGAGCACTGGAAATGGACTTGGGATTCTTGGCCCCTGGTCTTGGCTGGATGATCTTGACCCAGTCACATCACCATGCAGAATCCCAGTTTTCTCATTTGGGAAGTGGAGATTTTTAAAGAGTTGTGAGAATTAAATGAGACAAATATGGAGAGTGTTTGGTCTGATTGTTCATACATATCACTTGTGATTATTTTATGAATAGTAATTAATAGCAACAATCATATTAGCTCTTCTCACTATATACAGAATTAGCAAGAAGGGATTAAAGATGGCAGCACAGGGTGTCTGTCCTAGAGGTCAGCAAAGAACAGCCCTAGAGAGCCCAGAAGGCAGTAACTGGCCTTAGGGTGATCTTACTGGGAGGGTGGGAGGACCCTCTCCAGAGCTGAAGACAGGGTGATCTCCAATGTGCGGGAAGCAGGAATATCAAGAGTGAGGTCCATGCAAAAAACACTGGTAGGTCCAGGTACTGGGCAGTTTATAAGACCAGAAACCCCCAGAGAGGGGCTCTGACCATAAAGTGGTAGGATGAAGATGGCTCAAAGACTGTGGAGGTCATGTCTGCCATGAGCCAGGATGTTGAGGTGGGTCTCTGGGTTGAATTAGCGAAGCATGGAACTAGAGTGATTTAAACGATTTAAACTTGTGCCTCACGCTGGAATGTGTTTCAGAACCCACCTCGGGCCAGCACTTGTGTCATCAACATCTATGAGATGCCAGGAAGAGCGAGGTGCTGGGCATATGGAGCAGTGTCAGACAGAGTCACATGCCTTGCAGGGCAGGATGTAGGACAGAAGCCAGGTGCAGCCAAAAACACACTGAATAACACCACTGGCAGAGATAGGCAGCATGTAGTGGATGAGACCAGGGTTTGAACCCTAGTTCTCACCACTAGTTCAAGACAGTGGCCCATATACCTCACCTTCTTAATCTCTAAAAGGGGGATTAAAATGTACCACCTTCCTTTTAGGAGTGTTAGGTGGATTAAATGAATCAATGTGTATTAAAACATTTTGCAGATAGTCTTTTACAAAGTAGTGCTCAGTAAATAAAAGTTATTATTATACTATTATGAGTATTTTTAAAATTGAATTATCCTAGGCTCTGATGAATGAACTTTTATTATATACCCCCTACCTCCCTATTAGTGGCAACTAAGCAAAGTGAGTTTTTAATATTTGTTATGCAACACGCTTACTGTAACATTCTGTTTAACACACATACACAGAACAATAGATTAATAGCATGGAAAAAAACCTCATCCATAATCCTATAGTGCATTTCTAGCTTTTGTTTTGCATATCCATTTCCATTCAAATTAAATAATAGTTATTAACTTGAATGGAAATTCAAAGCCAGGCTCTCAGCAATTACTACACCACACATTGACTTCCAATACTGATTCAGTTGTACAGTTGTAATTGCAATACATGTATATGGCATTTTATAATCTAACCTTTTTACATAATGTTATACACACTCCCTTTTGGCTAGAATTTTTAAGCATTGTCCTCAATCATAGCATTTTATTATATTTAGGGCATTTACTATAATTTACTTCTTAATTTTCTACTATTGGACATTAAGGTTCTTTTCAATATTTTGCTAGAATAGATTGCACAGCAATTGGCCTATCATTGTACACAGCTGCTGCTTCCGTTAACTTATTGCTGGGAGATATATTTCAGACATAGGTAGAAACACATTATGCTTGGACCTCATATATTAGTTATATAGTTATATAGGGCATGAAAACAAATCTCTAAATGTTATAAAAGATGAACAGTTCCTCTCTGGTTGCTAAATCATTGCACAGGGGTAGAACTCCTCAATATGGCTTTTTATACCTTACCTTTCTATTACTTCTAAGAAAGGGAACCCAGTTGATGAGCTCGTTATAACAATTGCCAGGCCAGATGTGATTAGAGAATCTCTTTCTTCAGTTTACGGAAAGAGATGGATAGCCCTTGTTAGTGATGCTGTATTGATTTGTGTTTTTTTTCAACTATGGGACTGGATACATTTCCTTCTTAAGGATTTCCTGTGGTGGCAGCTGGCTTCTTTTCAAGCTTTTGAAAAGTCGTAAAGGGGCCTGAAGTCATTTGATCTCCCAAAATGAGATAATCTCCAATGTACCATATGTTTGTAAAGCAGACTTGGCCTTTAGTCTCGAGAGCTGTATTCCAGGAAAGGAACCAGTTAATGCGATTTTCCTTGACTGCTTTCTGCCTTGCCCTATGAGACAAACGCATGGGCATAAATTGGTCAAATGCCATAAGTGAGGAAAACGGCTAATTGTTAGACGACAGCTATGCACAGCTTTATTTTACAAGGTCCAGCCTGGTTCCAGCCAGGTTAAACTAATTTGTAAAGGAAATGCATTTACTGCAGGAAGCATGAAGCAACTGTCATGTGATAAGAAAGTAGACATTCCTTTTCACTAGGCGTGGACTTGGCCACATTTATTTCTACAGGAAAAGCTTGTGATGACTTGCCTTTATGAATGGTGACCGTAAATCTCATTCTCTCCAAGGTTTCCAGATGCATTTGTGACCTTCAGTTCCTTCCAGAGGAGGTTCCCTGAGGTATCTGGGTATTGCCACTGTGCTGACAGCCAAGGGCGGGAACTGGCTGAGACAGGTGAGTGATACCCCTCAGGTGATCTGAAGGGAGGGAGTGTGATTCCTCAGGTCTGAAAACCTGGATAACATTGCTTGTAAAGCACAGCTAGAGTGACTGCCTGCCCCCTGCCAGGCTGCTGTGGGCATTGAGGAGGACACAACCTTAGCAAACTGTCATCTTGCAGTATGGTGAATGCAGCTGCTGCTGGCCCACATAGTGCCTTTGTGCACATTGGAAAGAAGTGCCCCGCTCTGGGCAGATGCAGCCCCGAAATTGGCGAGTGGAGCACAGGATGGATTTAATCTCTTATTCTATAAGCACTGCTCCTTTGTTTCTATGAACAGCCTGCACAACCATCCACAGCAGCTCTGACTTTGGAAACTGTTAAAGTGTTGTTCAGACTTATTGCCTAATGATGCTGGTGAAGGCTGTCTCTCTCAGTATCTGTTTGCACAACAAGGTCAGGGCTTCCTTTCTGAATGAGACCATCTCTGAAAGTCTTGCTGTCTTTGCTCAGGTTTGGAGTTGTTACTGGATGAAATTTATGACACCATTTTTGCTGGCCTGGACCTTCCTTCCACCTTCACTGAAACCACCCTGTACCGGATACTGCAGAGACGGTTCCTCGCAGTTCAATCAGTCATCTCTGGCAGATTCCGATGTAAGTAATAAACTGCCAACAATGTGCGTGTTTCCATTAGGGGGACGCCTCTTGGGTTTCAAAGTTGCTATGGTGTGTGTGGCTGCTCCACCAAAGTGAGGGCAGAGATGAAAAGAATCGTTAAGAGCAAACAGCAGTGCATGCTGTGAAGACACCAAGCATTGTTGACACTGTCTTCTTTACTGTGTGGATTTCCTCTAGGCCCCACAAAATGTGAAGTGGAGCGGTTTACAGCAACCAGCTTTGGTCACCCCTATGTTCCAAGCTGCCGCCGAAATGGCGACTATCAGGCGGTGCAGTGCCAGACGGAAGGGCCCTGCTGGTGTGTGGACGCCCAGGGGAAGGAAATGCATGGAACCCGGCAGCAAGGGGAGCCGCCATCTTGTGGTGGGTTTCCTCTGGGGGCTTCCTCTTTCGGCCTCGGATCATATTACTTTGGCGGTCCTCCAGACCAACCTCTCTGGACCCCATTAATTCAACTGCCTTCTAGTGTGCCCCTCTGGCCCTTCAAGCTCAACCTGTCTGAGAACCAGTTTATCATCATTAACTTCCAACATGTTTCTCATCTTGTGTCAGACCTCGTTGCATTTTCAGGGAGCTCAGGGAATATTAGGAGGCTCATAGATGAAGAAAAATAAAAGAGAATTGAGTTCCCATGTGCGGTGAGACAGGAGCATGCACATAACTAAAGGAGCATGGTGAGGTGGGCATTCGATCTTGCAGCAGGTATGGGAAGGAGGCATTTAGGAAGAATGCATGGAAGAGGCCATACTTGATCAGAATCTTCTAAGAAGATGTTTCCTGAAGGAGAGGAGTAAGGAAAGGTGTTCTCTATATAGAGAGCAGGAGAAGCAAAATTAGAAGGACAGAATAATAGGCATTGATATGCTAATGATCATCTAATCTGCAAGAAGGATAGAGAAAAAATTGCTGGAGTATGAATAGGGTGGTGCTCCGGACTCTGAAGAAAGGCAGGGGTAAGACAATGAGGTCTTTGTTATCCTAACAAAGGCTTGGGGGCTTCATCCTGGAGGTCAGGTGAAGACAGTGAAAGGTTTTAAGTTGGACAGTATCATCGTGGGTTTTGCACGTAAGGCAAAGAAATTCTGGAGGAGAGACTCAAAGAAGCAGTAGTCCGGAGGCAACGGGGCTAATTAGAAGGTCATTGCCATGTTCCAGAGCTGATGGAGTCTGTATTAATTTTCTAGGGCTATGGTAATAAATCACCACAAAGTGGGCATCTGAGAGCAACTGAAATGTATTGTCTCTGTTCTGGAGGTTGGAAGTCCAAAATCAGGGTGTCAGCGGGGCCGTGCTCCCTCTGAAAGCTCTAGGGGAGGATCCTTTCTTTCCTCTTCCTAGCTTGTAGTGGCTGCCAGCAATCTGTGCATTCTTTGGTTTAGGGCAGCATTACTGTAGTCTTTGCCTCCATTGCCACGTGGCCATCTTCCCTCTGTGTCTGTCTATGAGTCTTCTCCTCTTCTTACAAGGAGACCAGTCATGTTGGGTTAAGGCTCCACTTGATCCAGTCAGACATCATCTTAACTAATCCCATCTACAATGACCTTCCTGCCAAATAAGGTCACATTCTGTGGTTCTGGGAAGAGCATGAATTTTGAGGGACACTATTCAACCCAGTATGGGGCCAACATTAAAGCAGAAACAGTGGGAGACAGTGAGAACTCTTATTAGGCATTCGAGCCAGACCCCATTTTCTCCTCCTGGTGAAATTTTGAAGGATGTTATGATGAGGAAGGGAAGAACCAGGAGCATTCCTAGGCTTCCAACTTGGGGAAGCTGGGTAGATTTTAAAAGATTTGGAATAGTGATACACCAATGCAGGGTTTTTTATAGCTTCAATATATATATTAACATTCATTCAATAATTCCTGCTAAATCATTCCATTTGTCCCACTTAACCTTTTGAATATTCTTCATGGTATGTGGTTATATTCTATCTGCTAAGTGTGAGAATGTCGAAAAAGAAAATTTGGAGACACTTTCTTGAAGGTATTTACAATCACATTTCATTTCTACTAAAACCTAGAGAATGTTATGCCATCCAACTTCCAGGTGGAAATGAAGAACTATGGCTTTCCAAATTAAAGGCCATAAATGGCTCTATCAAGTGCATAGATAGATCATATATTTTCAATTTTTCTGTCTGGTATATCAGGTCCTATTTCTGTGGAAACAAATGCCACATGGAAACAGTAATTGAATTTCCTTGCTTTGGTAACACTACATAACAAATGGATGGAAAGAGAAAGGGTAAGCTCTTAATTTGGAAGAAGACTAAGCAAAGCAGTAAACTTTATTTCTGCCATACCTTCCTGTAATATCCATTAAAAGAGGCCATGGCCTCGTTGAGGGATGTTACGTGCTCTGATGCTGCCAATCTTTCCCCTCCCACCACATTTTCCAGTTCTTTCTCTGTTGCCTGGTTACAGAAGGAAATTGGCTGACTTTCTTTTTGGCATTTATGTGAATCAAGAGGAAAAAAATATTTTAAAAGTTGGGGGGGGGGCGTGGTGGTTAAAAGGTAAGAGTTATGATTTTATGGAGAAAAATGGAGCTTACTTTACATCCACCTATGTAACTGAGACAGCCCCTTGGTGTTTGAATTTTACATTTTTTCTCTCTTAATGTGGCTACAGTCAGCCTAGGATGTTCAGATAGAATGACTTGACCATGCAAAGAGTTGGCTGAGCTGATCACTGTTAAATTAGTAATTTCTAGGAAAGGTCAAGAAGCTCAGAAGAATGTTCTAAGTGTGTACACTGGGTAGGCATTATTGTTTTATATTATAGGAAGTATTATATTTCCTATATTATAATATATATTACAATATAGGAAAATATTTCTTATAATAGGAACCACTAACAGCATTTCAGATATGGTTCTTGCCCTCAAGGAGACCATAGCTAGCCTAGAAAAGACTACTCCCAAGGAGGAATTAGCCACACTAAAATCACATAGTGAAGCATTGAAGTCTATTGAGAATTCCAACGAGAGAATGCTGGAAGACAACATTTCATTAAATACGCATAGGAATGTGTTGGTCTACTAGTCTCCTAGAGCTGCCACAACAAGTCACCACAAACCAGGTGGTTTAAAACAACAGAAATTTATTCCCTCCTAGTTCTGGAGGCCAGAAGTCTGAAATCAAGGTGTGGGCAGGGCCATGCTCTCCCTGAAGGTTCTATGGCAGAATTCTTCCTTGCCCCTTCCTGGTTTCTGGTGGTTGCTGGCAATCCCTGGTGTCTTTGGCTTGTGGCTGCCTCCCTCCAATCTGTGCCTGTGTCTTCACACAGCCTTCTTCCCTGTGTGCATCTTTGTTTATTTACATGACCTTCTTATAAGGACATCAGTCATTGGATTTAGAGCCCACCCTAATCCAGTATGACATCATCTTAACTTGGTGACATCTGCAAAGACCCTATTTCTAGACCACATTCTGAGGTTCCCTGTAGACATGAACATCATGTCTGTGTGTGGTGGGGGACACTATTCACCTGAGTACCATTGGCAAGTGAGGTCAGGTTTTCAGAAAGTGAGCCAGTATTTTCAAGACTTGCCTTAGAAGGGATGAACCTCTAGTGAGAGCTGGTGGAGTGGTCATGCCAACTGGAAAAGTCACACTTCCAAAATGGCCCCACAAAGGCAGCTCAGGGGAAAGGAAAAAATAAAATGACACAGAGAAGAAAGTGGTTTCAAACGTAGGTGTCCTTGATTGAATGTTCTGGCTTCTTACTACCTAAAGGATCTGAGGAGCTGTCTCAGGATTGCTTGTGACATTAAAACCTTTTCTCCCATTTCACTTTGTCTCATGCAGCTGAAGGCCAATCTTGTGCCTCCGAAAGGCAGCAGGCCTTGTCCAGACTCTACTTTGGGACCTCAGGCTACTTCAGCCAGCACGACCTGTTCTCTTCCCCAGAGAAAAGATGGGCCTCTCCAAGAGTAGCCAGATTTGCCACATCCTGCCCACCCACGATCAAGGAGCTCTTTGTGGACTCTGGGCTTCTCCGCCCAATGGTGGAGGGACAGAGCCAACAGTTTTCTGTCTCAGAAAATCTTCTCAAAGAAGCCATCCGAGCAATTTTTCCCTCCCGAGGGCTGGCTCGTCTTGCCCTTCAGTTTACCACCAACCCAAAGAGACTCCAGCAAAACCTTTTTGGAGGGAAATTTTTGGTGAATGTTGGCCAGTTTAACTTGTCTGGAGCCCTTGGCACAAGAGGCACATTTAACTTCAGTCAATTTTTCCAGCAACTTGGTCTTGCAAGCTTCTTGAATGGAGGGAGACAAGAAGATTTGGCCAAGCCACTCTCTGTGGGATTAGATTCAAATTCTTCCACAGGAACCCCTGAAGCTGCTAAGAAGGATGGTACTATGAATAAGCCAACTGTGGGCAGCTTTGGCTTTGAAATTAACCTACAAGAGAACCAAAATGCCCTCAAATTCCTTGCTTCTCTCCTGGAGCTTCCAGAATTCCTTCTCTTCTTGCAACATGCTATCTCTGTGCCAGAAGATGTGGCAAGAGATTTAGGTGATGTGATGGAAACGGTACTCAGCTCCCAGACCTGTGAGCAGACACCTGAAAGGCTATTTGTCCCATCATGCACGACAGAAGGAAGCTATGAGGATGTCCAATGCTTTTCCGGAGAGTGCTGGTGTGTGAATTCCTGGGGCAAAGAGCTTCCAGGCTCAAGAGTCAGAGGTGGACAGCCAAGGTGCCCCACAGACTGTGAAAAGCAAAGGGCTCGCATGCAAAGCCTCATGGGCAGCCAGCCTGCTGGCTCCACCTTGTTTGTCCCTGCTTGTACTAGTGAGGGACATTTCCTGCCTGTCCAGTGCTTCAACTCAGAGTGCTACTGTGTTGATGCTGAGGGTCAGGCCATTCCTGGAACTCGAAGTGCAATAGGGAAGCCCAAGAAATGTAAGTCTGTTGGGTATTCAATCTGTAGGTTCCCTGAGTCTCTCTTTAGGCCCTGACCCAATGCAGTACAGTAATAGAAATCCACTCCTGGCCAATGCTTACACTTCAGTTAAGGACAAAATTGACTGCTTATATTAAAAATTATCCAGGAATGCCTAGATAATGTTAATCAGACCTAGGAGTAAATGGGGAGATTTGTCTGGCCTTAAAGAACTGCCACATTTCTGCAGTGCTGATCACCAACTGATGTCAATGGTGCTGATTTAGTCATGGGGCAATGCCTATCTAGATATTATTTACAAATTTAAGCTTCATGGTATTTCTATGGCTATATAAGGTTTTAGACGGAGTTTGGACAGTTAAGTGGTTTTATCTTGGTCTTTCCAGTTTGTTAAATTTCTTAAACTGAAACACCTGCTCATTGTTCCTCCCCAGGCCCCACGCCCTGTCAATTACAGTCTGAGCAAGCTTTCCTCAGGACGGTGCAGGCCCTGCTCTCTAACTCCAGCATGCTACCCACCCTTTCCGACACCTACATCCCACAGTGCAGCACCGATGGGCAGTGGAGACAAGTGCAATGCAATGGGCCTCCTGAGCAGGTCTTCGAGTTGTACCAACGATGGGAGGCTCAGAACAAGGGCCAGGATCTGACGCCTGCCAAGCTGCTAGTGAAGATCATGAGCTACAGAGAAGCAGCTTCCGGAAACTTCAGTCTCTTTATTCAAAGTCTGTATGAGGCTGGCCAGCAAGATGTCTTCCCGGTGCTGTCACAATACCCTTCTCTGCAAGATGTCCCACTAGCAGCACTGGAAGGGAAACGGCCCCAGCCCAGGGAGAATATCCTCCTGGAGCCCTACCTCTTCTGGCAGATCTTAAATGGCCAACTCAGCCAATACCCGGGGTCCTACTCAGACTTCAGCACTCCTTTGGCACATTTTGATCTTCGGAACTGCTGGTGTGTGGATGAGGCTGGCCAAGAACTGGAAGGAATGCGGTCTGAGCCAAGCAAGCTCCCAACATGTGAGCTAACGCATATGAAGAGTTAAATGTGTGTGTGTGTGTGTGTGTGTGTGTATGTGTGTTTAACATATAAAAAAGGATGTCTAGTGGGAGGGTATTGAGTGTCAAAGCTGGAATGGAGTTTAGAGATGGCTGAGAAAACGAAGGCTCACAGAGGGGAAGGGACTTCCCTGTATCAACACAGTCAGGTGTTGGCAAGATTGATAGAGTATATTTTAAAACTTTCATATAATTGATTACTTCAATCAGTGTCTTAGATTTTTACTGGATGTCTTCTGTGTGCAAGCATCTTCATCTTAGAGCTGATGAAGGCTATAAAAGTGGAGATGACCTGGCCCTCGTCCTCCTATGGTTAATGTTTAGTAATCGCTCCTATGTTAGGTGTACCTTTTAATTGACCAATGAATATTACAGTGAACCTGCTACTTGCACAGAATGCTGCTAAATATGCAGGCCTCAGGAGAGTGCCACCTGAAGTGGCTTTAATTGATTTGGAAGGATTTAACTAAGGGACTGATTGGAGAGCCGGTAATTGAGGTCTATACATTCAGCTTTGTGGCAGACTTATGGGAAAGCTATGATATACAAGCCATAAATAGAATGAAGCTGACACGAGTTTCAGTTAAAATGCCTTATCCCCCTCAGCTGTGCCAGCAGTTTGAAAGAACAACCAGACATGTTCAACACTGTTATCACCAAATCCAAATCTCTCTAACCAGCCATTGCTAATATTATAGGTGATATGACAGCTGTTCAGTAAAATCTCTCAATTCATTCTTTGCAAGTTTAACATTGTCTGGACCTTCCTGAGTAATGTTAAAATCCATTAGACTATTTTGATATTAGCCAAATTTTAGGCTTTAGCAGCAACTGGGTTTTTAAAATGTCGGGTGAAAGTACCATGTGATGAGAACGGTAATACCCTTGGCATTTTGAACAGCCCAGAGATGACAATGCAAGGATTCTCCAATCAAATGTCAAGTTCCAGCAATAGAACCCTCAAGGTTAACACATTGATCTTGGCCTGACTGTTAGATAAGAAGTCTTATTTATTTTTGTGGTATTTGTAGAATCATTCTCCATACCAGTGGTCAGGTCTCTTACATGGGGACATTCCTATAATTTTAAATTATCTAAGACTAAATTTGGTCCTATTTGTATGCAATTTTAGGAGCATGAGTTGTTGATACCAAAAGTACCTAGTAACTTTATTTTATTTTATTTTGAGACTGAGTTTCGCTCTTGTTGCCCAGGCTGGAGTGCAATGGAGCGATCTCAGCTCACTGTAACCTCCGCCTCCCAAGTTCAAGTAATTCTCCTGCCTCAGTCTCTTAAGTAACTGGGATTACAGGTGCCTGCCACCACACCCAGCTAATTTTTTTTTTGTACTTTTAGTAGAGACGGGGTTTCACCATGTTGGCCAGGCTGGTCTTGAACTCCTGACCTCAGGTGATCCACCCGCCACAGCCTCCCAAAGTGCTGGGATTACTTTAGTGACTAGTCTTACCTTAGTCTGAATGCTGGATAGAGTGTTAGAACTAGACTTAGAGTAATTGGCTTTTTTTTAATTGAGTAACAAGAGACTGGATACAAGATCATCCATTAGGGAGAAAATGTTAGAACTTCCATCTCTATTCAGTATTTCCTATCTTCCCTTCACATTTCTATTAATATTTTCATTTTTGCAATTAAATGTTTAACAGCTGAAACAGCTAAAAATCTTCATGTAGTGTATTATTTTAGTAGTATGTGTATATGCCTTATAAAGAAATACCCATTTTTGGGGGGGGTGCATATTCAAACTCTTTTGTTGATAAGGGTATGCAATTGAAAGGGTTTGATACTCAAAGTGTGGTCCAGCAGCATTGGCATTCACCTTGGGAACTCATTAAAGATTCAGTATCTCAGACCCCACCTATTGAATCAAAACCTGCATTTCTACAATATTCCCAGGGGAATTCAATGCAGCCAAAAGCTTAAGGAGGACTGGCCTGGAGGACAGAACAGTAGCTGTCTTGTACCATGGTTCTACCATCTACTGCTCTGTGACCTAAGAGAGGCTCTTTTGAGTCTTAGAGTCATCTGTAAAATCTGAGTTACAATACATAACTGCCTCAAAGGCTTGTCGGAAGAATTACTAAAAGTAATAGATGTAAAGTGCTAGACTTGGCACACAGGAAGTACTTAATAAGTGATGGCTGGATTAATACAATTGATAGTGAGTAACGAAGGGACCAATAACTTCCTACATGCATCACCCACACGGGTGATGGCTCAGGCCTCTAGGAGTTTGAGTCTGCATTGCTATCTCTGGCCTGTTTGAAATTTTGCTTGCTTTATTTAATATGTGTTTATGAACTGCCTACTGTGTGCACTGTACTGTATGATGGGAAGACAGTCAGGTGAAGGATGGTGTCTGCTCTGAGAAGCTCAGAGACCAGTGGGGAAACCAAGGATGTTATCAGGAAAGTAATAAATGGCAATGGTGGAACAGAGGTATGTACGTGGAAAATGCGGTGGAGGGCGCTCAGAGAAAGGGGCTACTAACTCATTGAAGATTGGGGTAAAGATTAGCTTGACCCCAACTACTGGGATGATTCTTGAGAGGAGTTTGTCCAGTTGCAGATGTGGCAGGCCCTTTGGGACAGAGGAAATAGCATGCACTGAGTCAATGAAGCTGTGAGTGAGGTGGAGGAAAGGTTATAGACGTAGGAGGGGAGGGGATGCAGGAGGGAATGAAAGAAGAAGAGGCGGATAGTAAATTGGGAACAGATTATAATTTTTTTGAGACAGTCTTGCTCTGTTGCCTATGTTGGAGTGCAGTGGCATGATCTCAGTTCACTGCAGCCTCAACCTCGCAGGCTCAAGCGATCCTCCCACCTCAGCTTCTCAAGTAGCTGGGACTACAAGCATGCACCATCACGCCCAGCTAATTTTTGCATTTCTTGTAGAGACGGGGTTTTACCACATTGTCCAGGCTGGTCTTGAACTCCTGGGCTCAAGTGATCTGTCTGCCTTGGCCTCCCAAAGTGCTAGGATTACAGGCATGAACCACTGCATCCAGCTGGGGACAGATTTGAAAAGATCTTATGTGCCCAGTTGTAGATTTTCACTTTATCCTGGAAGAAATGTAGAGCAAGCTGAGGTTTTTAAATGTGAGTTTTTGCTTCGGACATTCAAAATCCCTGGGATTAATAGAATAAATTATTTGATAATATCCTTTTGAACAAAAAAACAATAACTTCAAATTCTGGAAGTCAAAGTTTTCTGTTGATCCCATGCTCTCAAAAGAATCCAATGACACCCCCACTGTTGAATTCACAATGTGATGTTTGAAGTAAATTTGGCGAGGGTGGATTTTGCTAAGTGACACTGCCAAGGACAGCATGTGCCAGATGCTGTGCCAAGCACTTCAACTGCAACACTTAAAAGGCTTATTACAAAACCCCATGGACTAGATGCCCCAATTTTTCCCATTGCACAGATCAGGAGGCTGAAGCTCGGAGAAGTTAAGTGCATTATCCCTGGTCGCACAACTAATAAATGACCCAAAAATTGAACACAAAGGTCTTTGAGTGCCACAGTCTTTCCTCTTCACAGGAATAACTCTCTGCTAACTTACAGTGCCTCCCTTCAACTTTTGATATCCATCCATCCATCCAACCATCTATCCATGCATCCATCCATCCATCATCTGCCTATCCTTCATTAGAGACAGCTAGTCAAGATCACTATTCCCAGAGTGAGACTGTCTAGATTGAAATTCTGAATCAGCTGCTTGCTAGCTGGGAACTCGTTTAAATTATATGACTTCTCCATGCCTCAGTTTCTCATCTGTAGCATGAGAATAAGAATATTTTATTGGGCTGTTGCATCAATTAGATTGTCTGCGTAGATGTGCTCAGGATGATGCCCAGCATGGAGCGAGTATGAGCTATTACTCATCTTATGCAGTGGTTCCTCCACAAATGGTGACTGAATGGGAGTGTGGAGGCAAAACAAGGAACATTCCAGGTTGTGGAAAGAGCTGCTGCGAAGAAAACAGCTGAGGCAAAAATGTGCTCACGTGTGGGTGTGTATTGTGTAGTGTGTGTATGTGTGTGCTGTGGTGGGTGTTTATGTATGTGTGTGTGGTGTGTGTTTATGGGGTTTGTGTATTTCTATATGGGTGTATGGTGTGTGCACTTATGTGTGTGGTATGTGCATAGGTGTGTGTGTATGTGTATGAGTGTGGTGTGTGTGTTTATGTGTGTGGTGTGTGTGTATGTGTGTGGTGTGGTGTATGTGTGTGTGGTATGCGTGTGTGCATGTGTGTGTGGTATGCCTGTGTGCATGTGTGTGTGGTGTGGTGTGTGTGTACTGTGTGTGATGTGTGTATGCATGTGTGTGTACTGTGTGGTGTGTATGTGTGTGGTTGTGTGTATGGTGTGTATGTGGGTGGTGTGTGTGTGTGTGGTATGTGTGTATGGTATGTGATGTGTCTTGAGTGGTGTGTGTATGTGTGTGGGTGGTGTATGTGTGTGGTGTTCATGTATGTGTGTGGTATATGTGTGGAGGGTGTGTGTGTGGTGTGTATTTGTGTGTATGTGTGGTGAGTGTGGTGTGTGTGTGGTGTGTATGTGAGTGTGTGTGGTGTGTATGTGTGTGTGGTGTGTATATGTGGTGTGTGTGTATGTGTGTGGTGTGTATGTGTGTGGTGTCTGCGGGGGTGGTGTGTGTGTATGTGTACGTGTGGTGTATGTGATCTGTATGTGCATACTGTGTGTATGGTGTGTATAGGTGTGTGTGGTGTGTCTGTGGTGTATATGTGTGTAGTGTGGGGGGGTGGTGTGTATGTGTGTGGTGTGGTGTGTGTATGTGTGTGGTGTGTGGTGTGTATGTGTGTAGTATGGGGGGTGGTGTGTATGTGTGTGGTGTGGTGTGTGTGTGGTGTGTATCAGTGTGTGTGAGGGGGTGGTGTGTATGTGTGTGGTGTAGGGGGGTGGTGTGTATGTGTGTGGTGTGTGTGTGTGGTGTGTGTGTGGTGTGTATGTGTGTGCGTGAGGGCACACATGCTTCATGGGAGTCAGAGGGAAGTCCACGTGGTGAGTGAGTCCATCTGTGTTATTTTTATTCCCCTAGGTCCTGGCTCCTGTGAGGAAGCAAAGCTCCGTGTACTGCAGTTCATTAGGGAAACGGAAGAGATTGTTTCAGCTTCCAACAGTTCTCGGTTCCCTCTGGGGGAGAGTTTCCTGGTGGCCAAGGGAATCCGGCTGAGGAATGAGGACCTCGGCCTTCCTCCGCTCTTCCCGCCCCGGGAGGCTTTCGCGGAGCAGTTTCTGCGTGGGAGTGATTACGCCATTCGCCTGGCGGCTCAGTCTAGTGAGTGTGGTGCCCTTCAGCTTTCTTACTGCATCGCTTTGGAAAAGCAGGAGCTTAAATTCGTCTCTCCTCAGTCATCCTTAGGACTTTGTGGTTTGGCTTCCCCAGACTGATGGGTTCTTGGGAAGGAAAAGGCAAAGTGGTTTGGGGGCACCAGTCAAAGCTGGAATGCTGCACGCATCTCTAAAATGCTCCTTAATTCTCCAGCGAATCTACCCTAGGGCAGGTTTCAGATGGCACCTGCCGCTCCCACAAAGCCAATATTCTTGTTAAAATGCGAGGGACCCAAGCCCGTGAATGCTCAAACACCCCTTACGGCCTGCTCCAAAGCTTCCCTCCATTTCCAGGGATTCAGGAACACCACACAGCAGGAGGGGAGAGGAAGCCTCGATATTAAGTAACTATGACACATTGATCTCATCTGATCCTGAGAGTAACTCCAAAAAGCAGGAATTACTACCTGCATGCGACAGAGGCATAAGCTCAGGGAGCCTGCAGTCCTCTGGTCTATAATAACAGCTGAACAGTATGCTTTTTTTTTTTTTTTGAGACGGAGTCTTGCTCTGTCACCCAGGCTGGGGTGCAGTGGCACAATCATAGCTCACCACAGCCTCGAACTCCTGGGCTCAAGCAATCCTCCCACCTCAGCCACCTGAGTAGCTGGGACTACAGGTGTGTGCCACCACATGCAGCTAATATTTGCACATTTTTAGTAGAAACAGGATTTCACCATGTTGGCCAGGCTGGTCTCGAACCCGTGACTTCAAGTGATCTGTCTGCCTCGGCCTCCCAAAGTGCCAGGATTACAGGCATGAGTCACAGCCCTTAACCAGCTAAACAATATTCTAACTTCACCTTTGAGCAGGCACTTACTGTGCTAAGTAGATTATCAGATCTTCACATTTAATCCTCTGACAGCTCCAGGAGAATGATGGTATAATCACCATCCACAATTCTTTGCAAATGGGGAAATGGAGTCTGAGGTTAAGTCACTTGCCCGAATTCACACAAGTGATAACCAGTGGGCCTGGATGGGAAGCCCAGAGACCTGGTCCTCCAGTTCATCTCTCCTGTTCCCTGCCAGGCAGATTCCAGGTATTGCTGAGGTCAGTGCCTAGCTCTGCCTCATCCTAGAGCCCTTGTTCTTCCTCCATAACCTCACAGCTGCTCTGGCAGGAGAACAGGTCCCTTCCAAGATTTCTCACTGACCCCACATCAACTTGACAAGGACAAATGATTAATCTGTCTTTGAATCTTACTCAGGATCCCCATCCCTGTCAAATGGTCTCAGCTGATTCCCTGTCTAGCTTTCTAGGCTTGAGTCACCAAACAGCAAGACAGTCCTCCCCTGACAACATCTGCTCCAAGTCAAAGAGAATCCCTCCAGCAGGAGGGCAGCTCCCTGCCTTCCCATCCACGCCAGCAGGCACTCCAGGGTGTCTATGGCCAGCGTGGGATTGGGTCTCAGTGATCTTTGTTCTCCTAATACCACGTGACAATCTCATGTGTGCCATCTTTGTTTCCTGCTTCTCTCTCACACCAGACATCTCTTTTGGAGAACAAGGCACTGTGTCTTATTCTTTCTATATCCCTGGTGCGTGGCACAGTGCCTGACACCTACAAGGAGCTGAGTAGCTGGTGGTTAACCATCCTTATTGCTTTCTTCCTCCCTTCTTTCTCTCTCTTCCGTCCACTACCCTCACCCTATGCCTAGGCACTGCTTTTCTCTGTTCCTCAGAGACTGGGAGACTTCTGCTTTTGGGAAGAACCATGTTGTTTTACATTTTTGTACAAAGACAGGATTTGAGGTAATCAAAGAGAGAAGTGGGATTGGTGCTCCTTCAGTTGTGACCACTTTGGTCAGGGAGGGAAATGTCGAGAAAGGGGAGGCAATGTTGCTGGTGCTGTTGAGATTAGTCATTGAATGGCATGTTGGCATTTTCTTCAGAAGTCGAGCTGAGAAGTTCCTCTCCAAGTAGCCACATGCTCCGCTTTGCATGTCTGAGCTTGTAGAGGAAAGAGGAAGGGACCATAGAGGACCAGGCCTGGTCTTTTCCCTGAGAGTCTGGGGATTGAGGGCCCAGAGCGAAGTGCCTTTGGCCACTAGAACATGGTAGCCATGTCTGAGGGCCTAATGAGCGTGGCGAAGGCCATGGGAGGAAATGCACACCGCTGTGTCTGGCAAGCACTTGGTGTTTAACACCTATCAGCTCCTTTGATGTAAATATCACAGTTGTCTTGTTAGGTGAGTGTTAGACCCATTCCATAGATGAGGAAACTGAAGCTCAGAGAGGTTGGGCAACTTGCTCATGATCACAGTTAGGAGGCGCAGTGCCGGGATTCAGAAGGAGGCCTGGCAGACTCCAGAACGCTGTCCACTGTATGGGGCTGCTTCAGAGGTCGGTCCTGGTGTCCCCAGATGGGCTCTGACTGTGAGTTGGTGGCATCCTTGTATCTGCAAGCTCTCTCGTCTGGAGCCATGAAGCCTGTTTCTGAAAGGTGGGGAGTGGGGAGAACTGTCCCAATGAACTGCAGGTGACTGCCAATGGTGCTGCCACAGATATTCCCGTTCTCCCTCCAGGATCCTGGTGAGGAGCCCCAACCTGCCCCAAGTGCCAGCAGGAGTGGAGAAAGAGCTCAGGCGACAGTTCATGGCCACTTAGGAGGAGGGTGGTGGTTGTGGCAAATCAGACTGGGCCTGGTAAGACCCACACCAAACTGATGTGTGTCCCACCCGCTGCCCACCCTTGCTTCTTCCTCTCCCCCTCATGCATTCATTCACGCTTTTTTCCCAATCGGTGATTTCTTGAGTGCCTACTATGAGCCAGACACTCCTCTACATGCAAAATAAACACAAATCTCTGCACCAAAGAGCTTAAATGCTAGTGCGGAGGAGACAAATCTAACACAATAAATGGGAACACTATGTACTATGTTGGTGGTGGGGAAAGCCATGTGCAAAGCCCAGTGGGTCGGGGACTGCAAGAGCTGAGGACAGATGCAGTTTCATTAGTGGGGTGGCCAGTGGTTCATCATATAACCTCCCTCGCTGAGCCTCTGTGTCCTCACCTGGGGTAAAAGTTCTGGCTTCATGGAGCTGCTGTGAAGATCTGATATGATTTTTGTGGATATCCAAGTTTCAAAGGGGTTAAAAACTAAACTGTAGGAGTTTGGTAGGGAAACCTACGAGGGCAGCTGATGTCAATCGCCCTCCTGTGTTCCAAGGCCAACCTCTCTTCTTTCTGTCTGTGAACCCTTGGTTAAGTTGCTTAATCCATCTGTGTCTCAGTTTTCTCATCCATTAAATGGGATAACATGACATTTCTTCAGATTGCTGTGAGGATTAAATTAATTAAGGTATGTATTTAGCTAGTGCCTCACACATAACATATGAGTATAGAGCCTACCTATTATTACTATTATCTCATGTGCCTGAAGACACTTCACTGACCTACTGATTTCTGTATGGAAGTTATTGTAGAGGTCTACTATAATATTCTTTCAAGCTTCAGCCTAAGTGTTATTCTTAAAGGACAATCTGTTGAGTGCCTGCCTACTGTGCAAGGAGCCTTTGTAATACTGTGGGTTGAAATGTTTGTCAAATAAATAAATAAGAAGGCCTCCTTATGTTGGAACCAGGACATACGTGGTTGTTCTCAGCTACAGAGCCCACACAGAGCAGGTGGTCATATTCTGCTTTTCTCCTTCCCTGACTCCAGCCTTAAGCTTCTATCAGAGACGCCGCTTTTCCCCGGACGACTCGGCTGGAGCATCCGCCCTTCTGCGGTCGGGCCCCTACATGCCACAGTGTGATGCGTTTGGAAGTTGGGAGCCTGTGCAGTGCCACGCTGGGACTGGTAAGGAGGGATAGGCACCTTCAGGTGGCCAAGTGACACCCCTTTTTTATTTTAGAGGACAGAGCCCCACACTGGGAGGCAAGTGAGCTGGACTCTTAGGCTCCTCTTTAGCAGCTGGTGAAAAATTCCTTAGCTTCTCGGGCCTCCAGTTATCTCACTTGTGTAACAGGAGCAGGAAACTTCTACCAGCCTGAAAGACAAGTGGGTGGTTGCTGGGGGCATCAGAGTGATTGTGGACAATGTCCGGCTGGGGGTCTAGACTGGGGACAGAAGGCGACCAGGCTTGCACTGCTATGAGTGAAGAAGGAAAGTTGTTTATGGGACACTCCAGGGTAAGTCCCTAGTGCAATTCCTGAATGTTCTCCCCTTGGCTCTTTTCCAGGGCACTGCTGGTGTGTAGATGAGAAAGGAGGGTTCATCCCTGGCTCACTGACTGCCCGCTCTCTGCAGATTCCACAGTGTAAGTGAAGACTGCAGAGTTCTCCTCCTGACCCCCCTTGGTGGGCATCACTGGTCTAGTCAGCTGTGGTTGCCTAACCGCTGGAGACTCCATGGCCCAGCCCTTCAGCCAGGTCCCGGGTGCAGCCAGACGCATTTCCCAAGTCCCCAGGCCTGCAAGCTTGCGCTGACCTTGGCACTTCCTAGTTGGAAGGCTCCCAGCTTTGCAGGTGGAAGGAAACAGCTGAGACTGTTGAAGGAGCCCTGGTTCTCCCCCTCTGTACATCTGCTGGGCAATTTCAGCCACTCCTGTAGTTTCAGCAACCGCCTCGCCTCTGAACCTGCAGCCCCAACCCCTCTTCTGAGGCTCAGCCATGTGTAATCCACAGTCCACTTGACATCTCAAAGCTGGCATGTCCCACATGAGTCTTTGTCCTCAGAGATTCTACCTCTCTATGAAGAGCACCTGCATTCACCCAGGCTCATGACCCTTAAAGGTGGGGTCAGCCTGGGATCCCCTCTTTCTCTTGGCTCCCACGACCAGTCCTTTACAAGCACCTCTCTCTCCCACAGGCCCGACAACCTGCGAGAAATCTCGAACCAGTGGGCTGCTTTCCAGTTGGAAACAGGCTAGATCCCAAGAAAACCCATCTCCAAAAGACCTGTTCGTCCCAGCCTGCCTAGAAGTAAGGGTCTGGAAGCACAGGATTGGAGCCGGGACTTGTCCCCGCTGGTCAGAGATGATTTTTCTTTTTGTTCAATACGTTCAGCTTAGTTAAAAGCTCACATGATGTTCTCAGCCTGGGTGTTTGTCTGGGCCTGCTAGAACCTGGTTCTGTGACCTTGGGCTATTTACTTACCTTTTCTGTGTCCCAGTTTGTTTTGTTTAATCATAAGATCAGGCCACATTTTGTCCTAGCTAATGCTAGGTTTGTTTTGAGACTCCAAGAAAATATCTTTCATAAGAACTCTTTGAAAAATAAACAAAACATGCTATCATGTTTTTCCTAAAGGCATCTTGGCCAAGGCCCTATGCTTACAGTGTCCCAGGTTCTCAACACACACAGAGGACACCAGCTTCTTTCCCTCCCTAGCTCCCGGGGTGATTGTAACAATTCATAATTCAGCGAAGTACTGATGTAGAGCTCCTAGAGAACGAATTTATGCCCAGAACTTAACCACTTACTTGCCAAGTGAGGGAAATCTCTGGGCTTAGTGTCCTTTTTCTAAAATAGGATGGTAGGAACACCACCACCCACTCTGCTCAGCTTCCAAAGACTTGATGAGAAGCAGATGAAACAGCAGTGTTGAAACTCATGAAACTGTACAGTACTAAGCAAAAGTTTCCTTATTATTGTTTGGTACTGTAAACATGGACCCACTTAAGCATAGTTTCATAGAGAAATTAGTCACTATTGTTTAGTTTTTTAATCTTGGCTGGAAAGCACCTACTGTTGGAATGCAATTCTGCTTCTCCTTCCTGGGCACTGATGCTTACACAGAGAGAAGGAGAGGTAGAAGCCACAATGTCCGATGGTGGGAGAAGGGATTACAGAGTGGAGCTTAGAGGCGCTCTGAGGTGTGGTTTGCAAGGCCAGTTCCTGTGGAGGACTCTAGTACTTGTCAAAATCATTTCTGGAATTAGTGAGGCTGGTCCAGGAGCATGGCTAGGCTTTGGGTCTAGATGGGTTTGGGCCTGGACCTGACCTGCCTCTCACTCACCAGCTGTGAGTTGTTGCCCCACTTTCCCTCTCTGAGAGATCTTCAGTTTCACCCACCCAAAAGCGGGAGAACTGTGGTCCATGCCTCATGAGGCTGTTGTAGCCGTCAATCAAATGATGCACGTAAAGGGCTGGGAACAGGAGAGCACCTCTCCCCACCTCCACATCTCTCCGTCTGGAGAAGCCATCACCTGTTGTTTTGGAAGGGACACTTTTGACATCTGCCAGCAGCAGGTTGGCCACTAGAGCATCTTGCCCACAGTGACTGACATGACCCCGGCTTTGTCTCAGACAGGAGAGTATGCCAGGCTGCAGGCATCGGGGGCTGGCACCTGGTGTGTGGACCCTGCATCAGGAGAAGAGTTGCGGCCTGGCTCGAGCAGCAGTGCCCAGTGTGAGTAGCAGCCCCTCCTGGCATGGCTTCTCACCTCTTCTGTGGGGCACTGAGCGTGGAGTCCAAAGAGCTGGCTTCGTGTCCCAGCTCTACTGCTTCCATAGCTGTGGGGGCACAGCTGCTGACCTCACTATGCCTCAGTTTTCTCATCTATGAAATCGGGGCAATATTCCCCCATCTCTGCAGTTTCTTGGGAGAAGCAAACGTGGGAGGGAGTAGGCTGTGCTTTGTGTCTGAGAAGTGCAAACCAGCATTGATCCCCATCAAAGGGGGCCCTAGGGCTTTGGAGGGCTGGCCGGATGTGTGGCCCTGCCGTCTGGTTTCCGCAGTGAAGCCCAGGTGATGTCCCCAAAGGGCAATGTGCAGATGTCCCTCTTCTGCCTAAACACCATAAATGCTCCCATCATCTTCGGGGCCGTGCTTGAGCTCCCTGGAATGGCTCGAGGGCCCTTTGCATCTGGTGCTGGTGTGTCTTCTTCGACTTCTCTTTCTTCTCCATCAGTTGTGCTTCAGGGTGCAGTTGTGATAAATTCTGGTCAGACTTTGGAAAAAGGAAGACGCTTTCTTCCACCTGTGCCTTCACGCGTTCTGGCTGTGCCACCTGCAATATGTCCGTCTATCCCCTCCCCACCTGACAAATTCTTGCTCAGACCACACATCTGTCCCTCCAGGAAGCCTCTGCTGGCCTCTCTCTTCCTCTGTAGGCTCCTACACTGCACTATTGTTGCCTTTATTTCACAGAACTGTACCTGCTCACGTACTTGTTAACTCTCCTTTAAGACTCTAAGCTGCTTGAGGGCAGGCAGTGGAGGGGAGAGAGTACAGAGCTGAGCCAGGTCCAGTGTTTGCCTTGTTGTCATTCAACCTCCTGGTGGGGAGGCAGCCCCAGACCCCTGGAAGGCCCTGCAGGCAGGTGGGCTGAGGGTGGCCGTGGGTGGTGAGGAGGGTGATTGGGCATCTGAGCAGGGAGTGGGCACTGATTCCCCAGCCCATCTGGCTTGTCTCTGTGTCAGGCCCAAGCCTCTGCAATGTGCTCAAGAGTGGAGTCCTCTCCAGGAGAGTCAGCCCAGGCTATGTCCCAGCCTGCAGGGCAGAGGATGGGGGCTTTTCCCCAGTGCAATGTGACCAGGCCCAGGGCAGCTGCTGGTGTGTCATGGACAGCGGAGAAGAGGTGCCTGGGACGCGCGTGACCGGGGGCCAGCCCGCCTGTGAGAGTAAGTCATGACCCCCTGGGGGGACGACGAGGCCTGCATATCTGTTCTTTGATCCAGACTGGGTGAAGTACTAGAGAAGCTGGGAAGGCAGGGGTGGGAGGGGAGGCAGGAAGTGCAGGAGGGATGTAGTTGTGGTTGAGTCCCTTCGTGTGAAAACTTACATCTACTTCCTGAAGACGCTCCTGCTGGGAACTGAAGTCAGAAAGAGCCTGGGCAGGGAACCCCCAGAACTGACACCTTAAGAAGCTTGGGGGCTGTCCTGCCCGGGAGTTTTGGGTCTTATTCTCTGTGTCTTCAGATGGGGAGAAGGACCGTGGTTGCAGGATCTCAGTGTGATGGTTCCATCCTCACTGAGGCACTTCAGGAATTTGTGGAGGTGTTGACTTGTTTATTTTTATTTCAAGTTTTAAAAATTTAGTGAATGTCAAATATTGAAATGTACATCACATCAATATATAGAATATTGAACTATATTGTTAAATATTAAAATATATTATTATTGATTTTTAACCTTTTATTTCTCCAATCTCTCAAGTCACAGGACATCACAGTCATTTTAAAAGTTATGTGAGTAGGTGGGTTAGATTATCTGTGAATTTCCTTTCAGGGCAGGAAATGGAGACATTACAAAATACTTATTACCAATTGGGGTGGTGGGTCTGGCAGAGTTGCAAAATACTGTGCTAAATGATTCTGAGTTAGCCACAGTTGCCTTTCTTTTGATGTTCTTATTCTTTCCTTATTCTTATTTTCTAATCTCTAAGCAACATTTTGGAACTGCAGGGAAATTTAATTGGGTCTAGTGATACTTCTGGTTGATATTTGTAAAGAGATGGGAGGAGCCTCAGAAGCAGGGGTGGGAGGGAAGAGTCCCCCCACTCTCATTGCGGGGGTTGCTTTCCAGTTTTGTCTGTACTCCCTCCTGCCCTGAACCTGTGCTGTGTCCAAGGCTTTTACCACACACCGTTTCCCCCAAGTCCTGTTTTGCTGCCCTCTGCATGGGGCCCTGCTTCATCCGCATCTTGACTCTCTATCATCTGCTATCACTATGCAGGATACACAGTAGGTGCTCCGTGGATATGTATGCATGCAACTGCCTGCCCTGTGCTTCTGAAATAGGGAGAGAAGTGAAGGGTCCACCTTAAGTCAGATACAATCAACATCCAACTTCCAGGTCATCTAGGAGTGGTCTGCACTGAGACCCAGGACACAGACCGGTGTGGCCTCCTCCAGGAACAGGTCTGGAGCACAGCTCCTTTAGCGCTTAGGAAGACTGTATGTGGCTTGGCCATGTAGGACTCCATGATACAGTTCCCGTGTACAGATTACCTGTTCAAAGGTGCTTTTCACATCCCTTATCCCATTTTTGCCTTCCAACAATGCAGGTAAATAGATAGAGCTCTCCTATCTCCCCATTTTTCAGATGACAAAACTGAGGCTCAGAGAGGCTCATGAACATGTCCAAAGTCACACGGTTAGCAGGTGGAGCAGCCAGGATTTAACCCGGAGTCCTGCTGATGAAACCCTCTGCTGTACAGCTGTGAGGGCTTTAGGAGAAGACAGGAGGAAGGCTCCAGAAGGTCATTTATTGGCCTTATTGAATGAAGAAAGAAAAAAGATAAATATGTCCAAAGGAAGAACTTTGGCCTCCTCTCCTTATAAGGGAGCAGTTCATTGGCTGAGTTGTTTTTAAGACTGGGGAGCTAACATTTGTAAAGGCTTCATCATGGGTTTGACGGTTGGGTAGATGCTCACTTGCTCTTCTGACGCCACCGGCCTTTGGGATTGGGCTGGAAGTCTAGGAAGATTCCTAATTCTTGCCGGGCCTGGCAGGCCACTCCTGCCCCATGCAGGTGCAGATGGAATGGGCAGTGGTGGGAACAGCCAGCATTGGCCTCTTCCGATTCCACAGCAGGGCAAGGGAGTTTGGGAAAAGCTGAGAGATTTAATATAGACAGTAATTTGGAACATTGCCCAGGTTTCCTGAGAGTCTTAAAGTGACCAGGTTCCTGGTCATGTGATCAGGAACCAAGAAACACCATTCATTTAAACACAGGAGAGTGGAATAGTCCTGGGGTCCTGGAGTTGAGGCCAGAGGCTGGCCATGCTCAGTGCACCAGGAGGATGGCGTTAACATGAGACACCCAAACCTCTTTCTGCTGACTCACTGCAGACTGTGATGGAGAGGCAGGCGGCAGACAGACAGGCTTGAATGGCAGCTCCACCACTCACTTGCCAGGTGACCTTGGGCTGGTCCCCTAACCTCTCTGGATGTCAGTGTCTCAATCTGTGAAATGAGAAAGGAGAATAGTAGCTATTTGAGTCATTATTAGCACTAATTAAGACAATCTCTGTAAACTGTTGAGCACTGGAATTACTAATACACTTAATACATATTATTACTATTTTTGCCAGTATTACTTAGGGGATGGACTTGCTCAGATACCAAGTTGCCTCTCTCTGCATCCAATGTCATGTTCATGCAAAATCCTGCCTCCAGTGGGCATTAGCCTGGTAGCTCAGAGCACAACACTTCCTGGTGTTGGGCTTTGGGTGGCAAAGTTAAGCTCTCTAGGCTTCAGGGGCCTCATCTGCAGGACGTGGCTGATAACAGTCCAGCCCCACAGAGTTGTTGTGAAGATGGAGTCAACGCCTGGGAGGCCTTTGGGCAGTCCTGGCATGCAGAAGACAGGCAGTGCTCACAAACTCTTGTAAGATGGCAGGTGTGAGCGAGCAGGTCTGGCTTCTAGTCCAATCACCAACACATGTCCCCAGGCGAGCCACTTAGCTCCCTTGAGCCTCTGTTTTCTTCATCTCTAAAGTAGCAGTAAGAATCCCCGTGGTATAATTTTGGAAGGATTTCATGAAATTAAAGATGTAAAGTGTACTCTCTGGGGCTGGGCCCACTGTGGATATTCAGTTAATTTTAGTTTCTGCACTTCTTCCTTCTCTCCTTAGCCACTCCTCCCTGGCCGTGGGGGCCAGCAGGGTTGTTCCATAGCCAGGGAGTAACTTCATTTCAGTGACATGGGGAATAAGGCTGTGGGAAAACAGGTCTGCTAGGGAAGGTAGGTGCCCTGGCAAGAGAAGCGTCAGTGTCCTAGGTGATGTTTGTGGCCCCAGGAGGAAAACCCCTTTCTAGCCGAATCAGATCACTCACTGGCCCACTTCCAAAAGGCAAGGGAGGGTAAAAAAAACAAAAACAAAAACAGAAAAACCACAGGTGCAGATCATTCCTGTGGGATAAGAGGGGAAACCTGTATTCACTGAAATGGGAAGGATGCTTACACACTCATTGACACCCCACTTCTTACCTATGTACACACATGCATCTAGCACACTGGTGGAGGATGTGGATTCTGGGGCAAAGATAATGGGGTTCAAATCCTGATTTTTCTGTTTACTAGCTATCTGACCACAGAAGAGGCATTCACCCTCTGTGTGCCTCAGTATTGGCGTCTGTATAGGGATAATGGGACCTATCCCATAGGGTTGTGGGGAACATTATATGAACTGATATTAGCAAAGCTCTTAATGGTGTACCTGGCACATACTACACATCCCATAGTAGTTTTTAAATAAATACTCCTACTAGGAGGTAGGCATTATTGCCATCTTCACCATTTTATGGGTGAGGAAACTGTCACAGAGACACTAATTAATTTGCTCTAGGACCCTGAACTAGTGAATATTAGGGCCAGGATTCATAGCCTGCAGGCTGGTCCAGAGCTCATAGGTGAACTCTTGCCATCCCACTTACACTTGGGACTTGGTGAAAGACAACTCAAGGAGCCTACTGCAAATCGCAGTGCAAAATCTTCGCCAGGGACCATTGCCCTTATCACAAAAAAGACCAGGTTTGGTTCTGGAGATCAAAATAGGTCATTCTTCCTCTTTGAAGCCCCTGAATACCCTCATATTCCTTACAGATTGCAGATGTTAAGTCATATACTGGTCAAAAGACTGTGCCTGAGTCTGATAATGAACAAAATCTCTAATGGTGTGAAATTGTCACGATGAGTGTGTTTGCTCTTTAATTTACTCATTTTCCCATTTACTTAACTCATATTCATTGAGCTGTGTCTGGGGCAGCTGTGTGCCTTGGCCTGGGTGAACAGAGGAGAGGTGCCCTCTTTTTCCCTGTGGACTCAACCCAGTGGGGTGACCAGCATGCCACTGATTAGAGGTTCTAACAATTGACAAAAGGAAGGTCTGTACCTGGTGGCCTGGGAATTCAAAAAAAAGAAGACCTAAGTCTGCCTGGGAGAACCATGACAGTGGTAGAAAACAGAACGTGTTGAGTTGATATTTGAGGGTCAAAAAGGAATCTTCCAGACAGGAGCAGGCAGAAGGAAGGCTTGGAGGTGTGTTCAGGGAGTAACAGATATTCCTGGAGGCATTGGGGAGCTGGAGGAGATGAGAGTGAAGAGGAAGGCAGGCTCAGCCTGCACAGGAGGGAGTTGAGAGCTGATATTCGGCTCTGGCATAATTTCTCTGCCAGCAGTGGGGACTGAGTGGGATGTGGGAGCAGAAAGGCAGGAGGAGGTGAGGCCTAAATGCAGAAACCTGGCAAAGAGCATTTGCTGGCAGTTCAGGCAGAAAATGAAGGATGTCTAAATGAGGGAGGTGGCAGTAGGGACGAAGAGACATGGAGCAGGTGTGAATGGTGACCAAGACAGAGGAGATGAACCCTGCAGGAAGGCCACCAGGTGGCTGGCTTGGGATGGCTGGGTGGCTGGTGGTACTGATCCTTGTGCCTGGGGGACTGAGGCAGGGGTGGCAGATACTAAGTTCAGGCCTGGATGGTGGGCTTTGAGGTGAAGAGACCAGGTGGTAACTAATTGGCTTTAGAGATGAGAAGAAGCTCGAGTGCCTGAGCTGGACATCAAGCTACACGAGACATTCATGCTTAGGTGTCTGTTAAAACTGAGAGCAGATGGGCTCATCCAAGTAGAGGGCAGGGCAGAGAGAAAGGGGAGCAGGCCCAGGCCAGGCCCTGAGAGCTTGACAGGTCCAGGGAAGGGGAGAGGAGGAGGGCCCAGTGTGAGTGAGAAGGAGACACCCACAAGCAGGCATGCTCAGTCGTCCCGAGGCTGGGCAGGTGCCCACCACGGCTCCACTTTCCTTCTCCCAGGCCCGCGGTGTCCGCTGCCATTCAACGCGTCGGAGGTGGTTGGTGGAACAATCCTGTGTGAGACAATCTCGGGCCCCACAGGCTCTGCCATGCAGCAGTGCCAATTGCTGTGCCGCCAGGGCTCCTGGAGCGTGTTTCCACCAGGGCCATTGATATGTAGCCTGGAGAGCGGACGCTGGGAGTCACAGCTGCCTCAGCCCCGGGCCTGCCAACGTGAGTGGCATCAGAGCATCTATCCTGCACCCCGCTCCCTCTCAGGGCTAGGGCTGGGACCGAGATATGGAGGCGTGGCTGCTCCATTTCCCCACCCAAATGTAGCACGCTGGTGGTATGCCAGATGGCACCAAGAGATGGGAGAGAGTCCCATGGAGCATTTTCTAGAAGGAGCAGATGTCCTTCACAGACTCCTGGAGTTAGGCTTTCTTTGTCCCTTCTCTGGAACCATCTGCTCCTTGAGAGAATTGCCATTCTTCCAACTTTCTTGGGATGTCTTGGATTCAGGAAAAATACTGGGCAGGTCAGTGCTTCAACAGCTGGATAGGTGGCTCACATGCTCAGCAGCTCTGACATGCTCAGAGCTGCTCTCCCAGCCTCTGAGTGACCCTGCCCCATCAGCCTCTCCCCAAGACCACCTGGACTTCCAGGGCTAATGCCTGGCTTAGCAGGAGGCCCTGGACTCTGCTCCAGGTAGGGCATCAGTCCTGATTGCTGGAACTTGTGTAAGTTTCGGCCCCCTTTCCTAGTGCTCTGACCAGAGCTCCTTTTGCCTTGTCACACACTGAACCCACTCTGGGACCTGGCACTTGGTCCACCCGGTGCAGTGGGAAGGGCATCTGGGAGAGAGACCAAGATTCTGGGACTGTCACAAGGCTCTGGGTGGATGCCAGAGTGTCAAGGAGAGCATTTGTTGCAAAGCACTCTGGGTTATAGAGGGTCCCCATCCAGAAAATTCAAAATGTGATTTGAATAAATAATGGCCTGTCACTTTGACTATGTTGAAATCAAGACCAGGATGGTCACAACTGACCCTAGAGCAAAGGACTTTGGGGAAAAGAGGCACAAATCTTGAGCTCCTGAAGTTGAATACAGGCTGCTGTGCATGATTGTTCAGGTTGTGCACTGAACAACCTTAGAGAATACCATTCATTCCCATCATCTATGATGTCTATTCTTAACCTGAAAAACCATACAGAGTGGCCCTGTCTGTATGCAAGATGGCATGGAAGATTTTCCAAGGAGAATGTCCAGGACCTCAAAATATAAAGCACCCTGGTTTGGAGGATGAGGCAGGACTGAGCTTTCTGTGAGGGTGCTCAGTAATTTCAGAGACAAGCTGTTATGCTGGAAAGTACTTAGACTCAGAATGACAATGCAAAATGGCAGTGCTTATGTGTTTTGAGCTCAATGAGGAAGGGTTATTTTTGCAGAGGAAATCCCAAACAAAGAAAATAACTCTACAGGCCCATTGCCTCTGCTGATCTCTGGTGCTTGCCTGCAGGGCCCCAGCTGTGGCAGACCATCCAGACCCAAGGGCACTTTCAGCTCCAGCTCCCGCCGGGCAAGATGTGCAGTGCTGACTACGCGGATTTGCTGCAGACTTTCCAGGTTTTCATATTGGATGAGCTGACAGCCCGCGGCTTCTGCCAGATCCAGGTACATGCCTGGCCTTCCCCACAGTGAGGGCTTGGACTCAACTCAGGGTTACGGTGTCAGAAAACCTGAGGGCTCACATTAACACAGAGGCTGGAGACAGGGGCCCCATCTTCAAGTGTTTGCTGGAACTAATAGTGAATTCTCTTGGCAGCCTTGAGTTTTCTAGACAGCCACTTTAAGAGGGGCTAGGGTCTTCCCAGGGGTCTGGCCTTAAGCTGTTAGAAACAATGTTAGTGCTTGTTCAAGTCTTTTGATGTCAAGGCTGAGGTCTAGTAGAGGGCTCAGAGGAGCCTGGCTAGAGTTTGGTTCATGACAGAGTCTTCAGGATGCAGCAGTTAACGAGATCACCTCTTTGCTCTTTGGGGAGATGACACTAAACAAGTACCTGTCAGGTAAAGGTAAGAGCTAAGAGGGGAAATAAAGCAGGTCGGGCCTTGCTTGAGAGGGACGCTGGTGAGATGAGAGGGGTTTTTTACAGAGAAAGGTCAGGAAGAGGCCTCCAAGAGGTGCTACTGAAAGGGACGGGAGTGAGGTAAGGCTGAGGGCCTGTGAGTTCTGGGGGAGAGGAACCCCTGCAGAGGAAATAGAAGGTCAGAGTTTCTGTGATGGGCACATACTTAGTGTGAGCCATAAAATTGAGGGAACCGGTATGAGTGAGCAGAGCAAAAGAGGGAACTGCAAATTGGGGTGTGCATGTTGGAAATGGCTCAAGGCCTTGTTGGCTGTGGCTAGGATGGTGAGTTTTATTCTGCATGTGATGGGACATCACTGAAGTTGAGAAAGTGACAGGATGATGGGAGTTTTACAGTCTTCTCCAGCTGCTGTGTAGAGGGTAGGCTTTGAGGGGTTCAAGGTAGGAGCAGGGGTCCTCACTGCAGCCTGGGGCCAGGTGGCAGTGCAGAACATGAGAAGCAGCAGGAATCTTGACATATTGGGACAAAAGAGCCTACAAGACTGGGTAGTAGTTGATGTGTCATGGGAAGATGGAGGTGTTGAGGATGACTAAGGTTTTGGATGCAGGGAATGGCTGAAGACATGTGTTTCAAACATGGGGAAATTAAATCCCATGCAGAAAGGAGTAAAATGTTCTGGAATCCAGGGGACTAGAGAGCTGAGGACCATGCTGAAGACAGAGATAGGGTCAGGAGGAAGCTGGGCAGGGACCTAGTCCTAATGACTTCCTAAACAAGGTGTCAGGGTATGACCATGAGACAGAGAGCTTCTAAGGTCAGAGCTTCTAAGAAGGGAGTCTTATTCTTCAGAAGGAGGAGATGATACATAGACTTTCAAGTCAGATGGATCTGGCTTCAAACCTTGGCTCCAGCACTCCTACCAGTGTGACCTGGGCCTTTCCCAGGCTTGGTAAGCCTCAGTCAATCATCTGTGAAATGGGTTTAGGAGAACCCACCTTGGAGAGTCAGTTTAAGTGAGATAACGTACAAATCCAAAGCTTTTTCTCTTTATCCTCTGCTGAGAGCTAAGGAGGTTCTGGGGTTAGTGGAGTTTTGAATCCCGGCTCTACTACCTACTGGCTGTGGGATCCTAGGCCATTTCTCAGTCTCTCAGAGGCAAATTCTCCATTTGTAATGTGGGGTAATGAGAGTCCCAACTCCATAGACTTGTTTTGGAGATTAAACTAGCTAATATGTTTAAAGCACTTCACACAGGGCCTGATGAATAACACATGTTCAAAAATCGTGCCACAGTGCCTTCTGAGAATACTAAGCCCTTGGCACACAGTAGGATCTCATTAAATGACAACTATATGAACACTCACATCCACGTTCTCACCTTCACCAGGGGTGTGGCACTGGGTATGGCACACAGTAAGGTCTGGGTGCCAGGGCCATTGGGATGGATGGCATGCTACATTCAGGCTTCATATGCATTGGACCCCTGGGGCTGGCTTTCAGGGCCCTGTCTGCATTCTGAAGAAGGTAGTTGAGGCCTTTTGTGGTGAAGGCTGAGGGCCAGGGCCACGTCAACTCTGAATTACTCATTGGTGACAGAGTTCACTTTCCTTCTAAAACCCTCCAGTCACTCTCTAGGCACCCAAGCTTTTGATAAACTGACTTCCCCTTGGGCTTTATGTAAACTCTCTTGGAATGTTACCTTTTGCCATCATCTGAATGCTTGTGTCCCCCCGAAATTCATATCCAAACCATAATCCCCAACATGATAGTATTAGGGAACTTTGTGTTAGGTCATGAGGGTGCAGCCCTCATGAATGGGGTTAGTGTCCTTATAAAAGAGACCCAGAGAGATCCTTGCCCCTTCCACCATGGACACAGTGAGAAGACAGACATTTATGAAGAGAACCTTCACCACACATGGCTGACATCTTGATCTTGGACTTCTCAGCCTCCAGAACTTATGAGAAAAAAAGTTCTGTTGTTTATAAGACACACAGTCTGTGGTATTTCGTAATGTTCATCCAAATGCACTAAGACACCCTTTGAAAGGGGCTGATATGAAGAGGGAGAGGTGAAGCTTGTGTTCAACCCTGGACCAAAGCCTGGCACCATCCTTGGGCTAACAGGCCTCACAACCGTCTGTCTTTCTCCCCAACCCTGAGGAGCCTGCAGTACATCACTCACAGAAATTCAGTGGGCACAACTCAGCCACACTTAGGCTGGGAGGAGAGACCAGGCTGCATAGCCAACATTGAGGAGCTGGTGGATGCTATAGGGGTTCGGAGATGTCCTGCTGAATATATGTATGGTGAAGACATTTGCAGAGTTGGCTAAAGTTGTTTCACCAGTGAAGTATGGTGACTGGGCTTTTGATGCATGGAGCCTAGCTCTTCCTCCACTTATACTTCTGTACACCATGTGACCAGGGCAGGTTATTTAACTTCTCTGAAACTTGTTTTCCTCAGATGTGGAAAAGGGGGTCACTATTCCTTGACCCCCTGAAGTAGGGTTGGTGGAGGATTGAAGGAAGTAACATAAGCCAAGTTCTGGTTCCTGGTGTGGACCCAACAAAACTAGCTTTCTACTCTGTGTTCTTGAGCTGAAAGTGTCTGTCTTCTTGTAGGTGAAGACTTTTGGCACCCTGGTTTCCATTCCTGTCTGCAACAACTCCTCTGTGCAGGTGGGTTGTCTGACCAGGGAGCGTTTAGGAGTGAATGTTACATGGAAATCACGGCTTGAGGACATCCCAGTGGCTTCTCTTCCTGACTTACATGACATTGGTATGTTTTTCTGTGGTAGTACCTAGAATAAGCTATGCAGCCTCTCTGAGTCTCAGTTTTCTCATCTGCCAAATGGAGCTGGTGAAGAAGCCCATGATGTCTTCTTGTGAAGACTATGGGGAGAGCTAATTATTTAAAAACATATAATAATCAATAGACTTCTTGCCAATCGTTTACTAGAGTTAAATAATGTCAACAAAGAGCCTGGTTCTGTGTCGTGAACATCTGCTAATACTTCTCTTGATTTTCTGCGTGCAGAGAGGTGAAACAGAATGTGTGAAGGGGATAGCAGGGTGGGCTGGGGAAGTCTTTATTGGTTTTTAACTTATGTCTCGTCTGTTTCTAATTGTAAAACATTTCAGACCACTTACACCATTTAAAACAGGGCAGTCACGATATGGATGAGTCAACAGAGGAGAGAGAGAAGAATGGATTTTATGATACCTACTGTGGGCATGTGCCATGTTCAGCTCTGAGCTTTCTGGTAGGATAGGAAAGAGCCCGTACATTTCTGACCAGAGAATGGGAGGCAAGTCCATTTTCTCTTCCACCATCCAGTGGCCAAACATCCAGGGGCAGGACTGGCTGGAGTTTGCCCTCTGTTCTATGAGGAAGAACTTCTGGAAAACATTGCCAGGAAGGAGACTGCATCTCTGTCATTCACTAGTTCTCAGGATAGTAATCCTCTAAATAATAATTCAGAAGAATTGTGAATTCTCCAGGAGCCCCAGCATTGTGAATTAGGGGTCCCCTTCCATCTTTCTCCAAAGAGAGCCTGGATAATGTGGGTATGTTTGGAGCCGCAAAAACATGAGATGTTTGCTTGTTTCAATGGTGAGGCAGCGAGACTGTGATTGGAGACCATGGGCTGGCTCTACAGTAGCCTGTTACAGCCAAAATGTTTGCTATGTGCACGGATCTGCCCCAGCTCCTGGCATGGTGCTCGCCTGCTTTCTTCCTAGGAACTACTTATCATTTGACACCTGGAGACCTCTCGGTGTTTAGCTAAACACTGAGGCAGAAGGCCCTGTTGCCTCTTCAAGTCTTTGCTTTCTTTTTGAGTGGCCACTTCACACACATTCTCTCCTAGGACCCTTACCAACTGCAAAGAGAGCCATTCCCAAGCCATTTTTCAGGTGGGAAAACTAAGGCTCAGAGGTGTTCAGTGCCTCAATGAAGGTTGAGGTGGATGAGTATCTGAATCTTGAACCTTAGACTAGTGACTGAAGACCCGATATCCTATGTTAACATGGGTTGCATTGGTGCCACAGAAATGGCAAGAGCCAGGAAATCTGGGTTGGAGTCCCTACTTGTGCTTCTGATTCCTGGGTGACCCTGAACCAGTTCATCCCCTTCTCTGGGCCTCAGTTCCTCCCTCTGTAAAATGAGACACCACATGATGCCTATGTCTCATTCCAGTCTGGATATTCTAGGCATCTCTGCCCTGCTTAATCCTCCCTGGCCCTAGCAGAGTACAGTGGGGGTGACCTCTACCTTATCCTGTGTCTTACAGAGAGAGCCTTGGTGGGCAAGGATCTCCTTGGGCGCTTCACAGATCTGATCCAGAGTGGCTCATTCCAGCTTCATCTGGACTCCAAGACGTTCCCAGCGGAAACCATCCGCTTCCTCCAAGGGGACCACTTTGGCACCTCTCCCAGGACATGGTTTGGGTGCTCGGAAGGATTCTACCAAGTCTTGACAAGTGAGGCCAGTCAGGACGGACTGGGATGCGGTAGGTCCACTCTCTCCCTGGATATCTCCTGTGGAGCCATGTGAGGCTTTAGGAAAGGCCACCTCAGCACTGGAGAGAGGCTACTCTGGACATCCAGGGCTGAGAACCATCCATTTAGTTAACGAGCAAAAGTTTTCAATCATCTACTATGCATGGGTGTATAGTCTCCATCTGCTAGGTGGCATGGCAGAAGGAGCCCCATATTTGCAGTGATTCTTTCTGTTGGTTATTGATAAGCTTGGACCCTGGGCCTGGCCTGCCCTGTCATTGTGATGAAGGCTAACATACATTTGTATCCTGGGCGCACATTTCTCAGTCTGGCTGTGGCAATGTTACTCACCACAATTTCCAAATGGTCATTCATCAGCCCAGGGCTTTAAAACTCAGGGAAAATGGTTCCTGATTGAGGTTCACTTGGGTTGCTCTTGCCTCGCCTGTGAGTAGTTTGGGGGCCATTTTTAATGGGAAAGTGATGCAGATTCCTTTAATGGAAGTTGCATTAGTTTCCTGTTGCTACCATAGTAAATGACCAAAAATTTTGTGGCAGAAAACAATACAGATGTATTATCTTACATTTCTATAGGTTTGGATTACAATGCGGGCATCACTGGGCTAAAACTGAGCTGTTGGCAGGGCCTGCAGTCCTCCCGGAGGCCCCTGGGGAAATCTGTTTCCTCACCTTTTCCACTTTCTTGAGGTTGTCTATATTTCTTGGCTGGTGGCTTCCTTTCTTGCTCACCAAACCAGCAACATTTCAGCTCTCTGACCCCTCTTCCCTGGTCACATCTCCTCTGACTCTCTTTTACCTCCAAGGACCTTAGAACTACACACAGCTGCATGATTCAGGATACTCCTTTATTTTGAGGTCAGCCAATTAGCGACCTTAATTCCATCTACACAGGTAATTTCCCTTTGCCATGTAACCTAACATATTCACAGATTCTGAGGACTGGGATATGGATATCTTTGGGGGGACCTTTGTCATGTCTACCACTGAAGATTCAAAGGTCTCCTGATGAGAAGCCTTCCTCCTGTGTGGGGTGAGATAGAAAGACATTTTTATGGCGCTAAAGAAAGAGAAGATGTTTCTCAGTTATTTTTTTCAATTATTTATGTTGGTCGCAACATAAAAGCCAAATGGCCTTTCCTTTTCTGAAATCTATGCCAAATTGTAAACTCCACGTTGGATTTAAGATGCAGCTAAATCCTAACACAGAAAACAGAAAGACAACCACTTCCCACTAGCATTTATGGAGAATTCTGCAGTTCAAGTGCACCTGCACAAACATTTAACTCTCACAATAGCCCCTGGTGGCAGATCCTTTCCTCATTTGACAAAGAAGCTGGGGTTCAGATTAAATGAGATGGGGCATCTGTCATGCCTGGGGTGGGGCTGACACACAGGAGGGACTGTAGCTCACCTAACTGATTAATAGAGGGCGAGTAAGCCCAGGTCCTCTGGGACCAGAGCCTGTGATCTTTCTTTCTATTCCATCAGAGCTGCCCAAACCAAGGGGACAAGAAACAGAAGCAGGAGTGGATGGTGCCACCCCAGGGTGGGTGAGATAGGGTTGCAGAGAGGGAGAGTCACAGAGAGAGCACCTGCCCCATGTTCACAGACTTTACTGTGAAGAGCCCTTGGCTTCAACGCCAGATGCTGAACTAGCAGGGGTGTACTGGTGTATGTGGCGTGTGTGTATGAGTGTGTGTGTGTATGTGTATTAGTGTATGTGTGTGGTGTGTATACATGTGTCTGATGTACATATGCATATGTGTGAGTGTGTTTGTGTTTTTGTCCGTACGCATGTGTGTGATGTGTCTATGTGTGTATGCACATGTGTATGTTGTGTGTGTGCATGTTGGGAGCAGGGGCTGCAGGAGCCTGCTTTTCATAGCTGCCCCAGGTGATGTACCACATGGGTCTGGAAGCAGCCCCAGGAGGCTCCTTGGCCTCAGGGGTGCCCTCTGCAGCCAGAGAAGGAGGTAAAGGGAAGGCAGAGAACCTGTGTTGACTCTGTGCCTTCAAGGAAGTTCTATCTCCTCTGACTGTCTTCCTTTCCATCCCCCACAACACACAGGTAAAATAAAGGGGCTGGCCTAGAAACCTGGTTTCAAGATTCCTTCTAGGAAGCTCAATTATTAGTTCCTGTCAACAAGAAGATGGGAGGGGCCACTCAGCTCAACTTTGCCTGAAGGGGAAAGAGTAGGGCCTGGGAATCAGCAGCTGGTGTCAGGGCACGGGGCTTCCGAGGGGCTGTGGGAGCCACAGGATGGGGCGTAGGGAAGAGACTGCATGGGAGACCTTGCCCAGGACACACCTGGGCTGGAACAGGACTCAGCAAACCTTTCCTGTAAAGGGCCAGATGGCGATGTTTTAGACATTGGGGGCCATATGGTCTCTGTCTCAGTGACTCAACTCAGCCATTGTGGGGAGAAACATATGGCTGTGTTCTAATAAAACTTTATTTACCACAACAGAAGGTGAGCTGAATTTGGCTCATGGACTGTGGTTTGCCAGTCTTGCTCTAGATAAACCTACACTCTATCTTCCAGCTGCTGTAGCCTTTAACTGACTCACAAAGACTTGTCAATCACACCACATGGCCCCATCCTCTTACTCCAAAGGGTTGGAAAGATCCAGAATGGAAGTCTCAAAAGCAGTACCAAAAGCCCTGAATTTTCTTCAGCATCAGTTCTAGTACCTGTCGCTCACTGAGTTTTTGATATTCGTGTGGCCTTACTAACATTTTACTGTCCAGAGACTCAGGTGTTATTAATTCCATCTTATGCATGAGGAACCGAGGGGCCTATAGTGCCACACAGCTTCAGGAAAGTGCTCTGTGAAGTCAGGTGGACCCGGGTTCGAGTCCTAGCTCCAACACTTTCTCATTGTGGATCCTGGAGAAAGTCCATTATTCTCACTAGACATCTTCTGAAAAATAGGGATAATAATACTTATTGCATGGGGTAATACCTATTGTTGTTTAGACAGCATGAAATAATGCAGAGCACAGCACTTAGTAAACTCTTGGCGAATGGTTTGTTGTGAAAATTGGCAGTGCTGAGATCTAAATCCAACTCTGTCTGCCTCCAAGTTCTTTGTTCTGTCCTCTGCATCACACGTCTCCCTTCTCAACAAGGAGGTTCTTGGTGAAATCACACCCTCTCATTTTTGTATCTATTCTTATTGGCACTTTTCCCTTGAAAACATATCTGGGACATGGCCTTGATGTTACAAGGCAGAGCACTGTCCTGTGGCAATAAAGCAGGATTCTCTGTGTCATCCTGGAGGAGGGCTAATCAGGATGGCCCCCTTGGAGGGCAATGACTCAGAGGTCCAATAGGAAAGTCCATTGCTCATGACTCGTGTAGGCACAGCAGCCTTGATCCAGGGAATTGGTGACGGCCAGGGAGCAGAGACCTTATTTGCAGCCCTGATGGAGTCAGTTTTGTTCCCCCTTTTGCCTCAAGGCCAGCCATATGGCTTCTCCTTGAAATTACCTGCTGGCAGCCTTCATAGCAGATTAGTTTATGAAGGAGAATAACTGAGAAATTGTCTATATTTTTCATATTCCATTCTGGATGATATTAACTTTCACTCATTCACTATAATTTCTTCTAATAGAGCTGGTTCCCTATGGATTTTTTTTTTGCTGAAGGAATTATGCCTGCCTGCTTACCTACTTTCCTTCCTTCCTTACTTCTTTCCTTCCTTCCTTCCTTCTTTCCCTCCAACCCTCCCTCCCTTCCTCCCTCCATGCCTCCCTCCCTCCCTCCCTCCTTCCTTCCTTCCTTCCTTCCTTCCTTCCTTCCTTCCTTCCCTTACTTCCTTTTTTTCTTCTTTCCTGTCATCCATCCGAACTTTCAAAATATTATATGCCATGTTACACACTCAGGGAGGCAAAAAACAAAGCTCCAATCTCAAGGCACTCACAGCCTGGCTGGGGAGAGATCAGTGAGTATTCAGCTAGACCATCCTGTGAAGAAGCCTGTTACATCACAGCCAGGGTGGTCAGGGCAGGTGTGCTGGGGTAGGAAATGCTGGCAGAAGTCTTGAAAGGTGAGGAGGAATCGTTGCTCAGACAAGAGCAGACAGAAGGTAGTGCATGTTTGTGCATGTATATGTGTGTGTGTGTGTGTGTGTATACCTGTGCTGAGGGTGCTAAAGTGAAGAAGAACATTCCAGAAAGATTGGTATAAATGCAGGGAGTCAAGAAGTTGCTGACTCTTTGGAAACAGTGCTCATAATTTGTACAGCTGGGGAATGGGGTGTGTGGGAAACGTGACAAGAAGTGGGGCCAGAGAGACAGGGACAGGCCAGGAGAGGCCTTGGAGCACAGCAAGGGGAGTGGGCTGGAGATGGGACCATGGAAGGATTTTAAGCTGGAGAGAGAGAGGACCAGGTGCGGGCTTGAGCCACCTTCCGAAGGGGTGAAGGACATTTACGGTTCCTCACAGATGTCTTTCTTCAGCAGAAATGCGGCTGTCAATGTTGGGGGGTTTGTGGACAAGGGTTGGCAGGAGGGGTGGCCTGACCCTAAAGCTCTGTGAGACTCTCAAACTCAAATAGGTATAACTGTCTTATTTTATTAGGCTGGTGCAAAAGTAATTACGGTTTTTGCAATTTTTTTTTTTTTTTTAATTGCAAAAACCACAATTACTTTTGCGCCAGCTTAATATTAAGGAAGGGTCTGAGGCTAAAGGATTTTCCAGTGATTTTGAGGGATTTAACTGAGGGTCAGCACCTATTGGTGGCAGTGGACCCAATGGTCTTGAGAGAGCCCCTTCTCCCGAGGGAAGGTTGACAGTAAGGCAGCCGTGGTCTCATTCTGACTTAGAAACGTGCTCTTTTGGGTGGAAAAGACTTGACGTCAGAGACGGAGAGAACCGGTGGGAGGAAACAGCGTGTGCATTCCCTGAGCACAGACAAGAGTCTGGGACCTGTGGGATTTGCAGCGGAAGTTAAGTTCTAGCTCTCTCATTTCTGCTAGTTGCCCGCACCTAGGCTTTTGGAGGCTGGGCAAGGCAGGTTGGCCGAAAGGCTTTTGTTTTCCTTCAGCGGTGAATTTGGAGGCCACTTGAAAAAAGGCCACAGTTCTGGGGTTGAAATGCTAGAGATAATCATCACCAACTTGACTCATAGAAGTAATGAAACTCCACTCTCGGAGGGAGGATATTAATTGCTCTGGGCAGACCAAAAAACACACTGTTCAGTTTCCAAGATGTGGCTCGAGTTTCTAATTTACTCAGAAATGCCAACTACACACGTAGACCAGAGACAGTAGTTGCTAAATCAACATTGGCTCCATCTCAGCACGTCCCACTCATTGGTACTGACTTCTCTGCCAGAGGGAGGTGGCTGGATTGGTGGAAGGAACAAAGACTTTGGTTTGGAGATGAATGAATGGAGCTCAAATCTCACCTCTGACACCTCACTGCTTGGCCGTCCTTAACCTTGAACCTCAGTTCTCTCTAGTCTTATATGGAGATGATAACTTCCCCATAGGGTTGTAAGAAAAACGGATTAAAATATCTGCACAGTGCATGGCATATTCTATAATTTAATTTCCCACTGACCTTTGCTGAAAAGCATACAAAGAAGTCATGCATGGACGTCTGAGGCTCAGCTTTCTCAACTGTGAAATGGGGATAAAATACAGACTTTCCATGGGTGTGATGTATTAATGTATGTAACAGGGCGATAGACTAAGTGCTGCCAGTAGTGAGCAGGATTTTAGCTTTCACCTTTTACTTGGTAAAAGCTCACTTCTTCTGGAAGTTATTTGGCAAATTCTCAAGAACACAACTCTGAACCATGAAACAAAGTAAAACAACCCCCCTCTTTATTTTACCCCTATTTGAAATCCCTGTCTGACCCTCTCATCTCCTACAAGCATGTCACTTCCCGGACAGCAGGAAGCTCGCCTGACTTCTTCACAGCTGCTTCCCTGCTTCTTAGAGTCTGACACACAGTAGGTTCTCAGTGGACATTTGTTAAATGAATGAGCTCTTGAACTGGTTTGAGGATTTTCTTTACCCTGTGTGTTCTGGGATTGTAACTGTGAAGCATGTGTCTTGATTTTTAACATCATTTCTCTGTTTTTTTCTAGTTAAGTGTCCTGAAGGAAGCTATTCCCAAGATGAGGAATGCATTCCTTGTCCTGTTGGATTCTACCAAGAACAGGCAGGGAGCTTGGCCTGTGTCCCATGTCCTGTGGGCAGAACGACCATTTCTGCTGGAGCTTTCAGCCAGACTCACTGTAAGTTCTGTGGAGTGCTTCTTTGAAAGAAAAGCCCTGCAATGAAATGGAACTCAACAGGGTTTCCCAATCTCTGCACTATTGACATTTTGGGACAGATAATTCTTTGTGCAGGGTTGGCCTGTGCTTGGTAGGATATTTAGTAGCATTGGTAGCTCTCAGATGCCAGTAGCACTCCTCCCTAAGTTGTGACAGCCAAACATGTCTCCAGACATTGCCAAATGTCTCTTGGGTGGAAATGGCAGGGAGAGCAAAATTGCCTACCTGTGAGAACTATTGGGTACACAACATAATAATCAAAGGGGCCGCCATCTTTGAATACTTACCTACTGCTAGGCCCTGGGCCAGGCATTTTACCTGTGTTGCCTCATTCAGTGCTCCCAATACCTCTTCCAATATTAGTAGCCCAGCTTTTACAGATAAGAAAGCTAAGACTCCAAGAAAAGAAAGTTAGTCAAAGTCACTCAGCTAATGGATGATGTAACTGGTCTTTGATCTTGGTTTTATCTGATTCTGAAACTTCTGATTTTTGTAAGTCAACCTTATCAGATTGAAAAATGGAAGATATTTTCCACCTATAGTCATTACTGCTATGTAGCTCATCTTCCTTCTCTGCTGCATGAATTTGCCAGGACTGTATGTATGGGTGGCCTTCCCATATGTCACGTGATTTCACTCGACCTACTTACTTAATAGTCCCCTGGGTATTGTTGGGTTTTTTTCCTAGCAAGGACCCATAACTTGCCTTGTTGTGCATCTCTTCTTGTTAGTCTGAAACTGTGTCAATGTGAAGGAAACTGTTGTGCTTACAATCCAAATAATTTCTAGAATTTTTAAAACAAGTCATCAGAAAAGATCAAGATACTTTCTTTGCTCAGGGCAGTTTCCTGGTCAGGAAAGCAGTAATAATAGAACAGTAATTCCAATAAAATAAAAGTAAAAGGAATTTTATAGGCTGAGAGTCTGGCATTCTTCCTGGAGAATAAACTCTTCACTGGGAAAATAGAGTGTCCTTGACATCTGGGCATCACCCTCAGTTTGTACACAATGACTTGAGTACTTGTAGTTTGAGATGACTTGAAGTGCTATCAAAATACCAGAGAAGCACTTTCTTAAAAGAAGATTAATGTAGTGTGCTGAGCCTTGTTTATGGAGGGGATATGACAGAAATGGCAGGAATAGAGGACACAGGTTGAGGCTTGCACCAGCCAGACCAGGTTTGATCACCACTCTCCCTTCTTACTGGCACTGTGACCTAGACAAAGCTACCTTCCTCTTCTGAATGTCAGCTCCCTCCTGTATTGGGTGGAGCCAATGATAACTCACTCACAGGGTGGTAATAAAGGGTGTCTTAGGTCAGGCTGCTATTGCAAATTACCATACACTGGGTTGCCTAAGCAACACATTTGTTTCACACAGTTCTACAGGCTGGAAGTCTGAGGTCAGTGTGCCCACATGATTGGGTTCTTGTTGAAGGCTCTCTTTCTGTTTATGTCCTCACATGGTCTTTGCTTAGTACCTACACAGAGAAAAAGAGAGAAAAATCTCCTGTCCTTCTCTTTCTAATAAGGGCATTAACAACATCGTGGGGGCTGCACCCTCATGGCCTCAGTTAAACCTAGTTACTTTCTAAAGGCCTCACCTCCAAATACCATCACACTGGGGATTAGAGCTTCCATATATAAGTTTGGTAAGGGAGGGACACAAACAATCAGTCTGTAGCAAAGTGGAATCAAAATGTTTAGCATAAACAATAAGCATTTATTCCCCACCCATTTTGGGGGTGAGCATTGATTGCATTTTCATGCAGTAGTAGAGAGCTGTATTGAATCATTGCCATTCTCCCAAACATCTTCCCTGAGCAGTGAAAGAGATTTTAGTGAATGGTTCTCTAGGATCAAGGTTGGAGTCTGTGCTAAGGATCTGTTCATACCTAAGAAACTTCTCTATGACTCATTAACCCGCATTGAATTACCAGGCCTGTGTTCTTAGATGGAATTGTACTGAAGAGAAGCACAGGGCAGAAGAGTCTGCCAAGTTTTAAATAATGCCAGATTACAATATTTCTTTGATTTCCTTTTGGTGTTAGGTTAGCTTTTAGAATCCCAACTCCTCTATATAGTTCAGGTCTCTATTATTGATCTTGCTTATACTTTTCTCCTACATTTTATAACTTAGCTGGTTCACTGGACCATGTTTGAGGTTCTGCTGATAACTCTTCAGCAGAAGTAGCTCTTCATTTACTTGTTTGTTTATTGATGTATTAACTCATGTATAGCATGCAGGACATGCAAAGTATTCTATTTAAAAATAGCCTTTGTAACCTCCCACAAAAAAGTTCTTATTAATCAATGGTGAATCACATAACCAATAGTCTGGAAATATAGAAACTCAGATGTTATGAAATCTCTGGGCTGCCATAAAATATTATCTTTCACCTACTTCCCAGACCTGGAGAACCAAATGAAGGCATTCCCTTTTAATATCATTCATCCAAAATTTATTGAGTACCTGCTTTCTGCCAACTGTATAGTGGGTATATATTAAATAAAACAAGTAATGATAAAGTCCCTGTCCTCAAGGAGTTTAGAGTCTGACAGAGAAAAGAAACGTGTGAGCATATCCATGTGATGTAATGAATAGTATAATGGAGGTACATATTAGATACTGTTATAGCAGCTTGTGAGAGGTCTTGAAGGACAAGGGGACATTAGCTAGGGGGCCCGGTGGAGAAAGGCCTTCTAGGAAGAAGAAACAGCTTGAACATGGATATAGAGGTATTCATCCATGGATTTGACTAGCATTTATTGATTTTGGACAGAAGCTTGTTTTGTGGGTCAGACACTGAGCAAGGCATTTGGATACAATAATGAGCAAAACCATACCTGGTCTGTGCCTTTCTGGAACGTCTATCGAGTGGGAGGCAGGCAGTCATCAATCGTTCATTCACACAGGAAAATGGGAATTGTAACAGTGTGCCCTGCTGTGAAGGAGAGGTGTGGGTCCCTGGGATAGTGTGTAACATTTGGGCCTGACTGGGCTGGGACGTCCAGAGATGTCTTAGTCCATTTGGGCTGCTATAAGAAAATACCATAAACTGGGTGGCTTATAAACAGCAGAAATTTATTTCTCACAGTTCTGGAGACTGGGAAGTCCAAGATCAAGTTGTCAGCAGATTTGGTGTCTGATAAAGGTATCACAGATGGCGCCTTCTCACTGTGCCCTCACATGCTGGGAGGAACAAATGAGCCCCCTTGGGCCTCTTTTAAAGGGTACAAATCTCATTCATGAGTGTTCCACTCTCATGATCTAGTCACCTCCCAAAGGCACCACCTGCTAATACCGTCACACTGGGCACTGGGTTTCCACATGTGAATTTTGGCAGGTGGCACCCATAGATTTAGACCATAGTAGGAAGGCTTTCCTGAGACAATGAGAATTGGGATGAAAACAGGTGAGTGGTGGAGAGTTCGCGCAGCAAAGACTGGGGGAGCTGTGGGCCAGAAGAGGGCCCAGATGAGTAAAGCTTGTGTTGGAGCAAATGGTATCAGAGAGATTGGTGTATTCAGGGCATGGAATGAAGCAGGTGGTGTGTGAAGCATGGGGTATGTGTGCAGAACTTAGGGTGGGTGGCGGCCAAATCACAGGGGCCTTATTGATCAGAACAGTGGGAACACTGAAGAGTTTTAAGCTGGAATGTCTGAGTTAGATGTGTGACTTGGACACCTTGTCAATGACCGAGAGCCTGGGAGTAGGAGTCAGGGGATTCCAGAGGCCCATTATTGACGGCTATGTCAATCTATTGGTTCTAGGTGTCACTGACTGTCAGAGGAACGAAGCAGGCCTGCAATGTGACCAGAATGGCCAGTATCGAGCCAGCCAGAAGGACAGGGGCAGTGGGAAGGCCTTCTGTGTGGACGGCGAGGGGCGGAGGCTGCCATGGTGGGAAACAGAGGCCCCTCTTGAGGACTCACAGTGTTTGAGTAGGTGCTGGGGGTGAAATCAGTCATGGTTCCTGGGGACTGGGGAGTAGTCTCAAGGGCTTTTTAGAAAGGGAGAGAAGCTGGAGGTGCATTTGTCTCCAACTTTTTGTTTTGAAAAATTTTAATCTGTGTAGAAGTTGGAAGAACCGCAAAATGAACAAATACCCATCACCTAGATCCAAAAATTGTTAACATTTCACTCTCTCTTTTTTGGAATCATTTGGTATGTAAATTCCAGATATCAGGAACCCTTACTTCTAAGTACTTCAGCATGCACAAGAGATGAATTTTTATATTAAAAGATCTGTGGAGGCCTCCATTCTTCTAGGCAGCTTGACTTCACTAATCTAGTCAGCATTTCTTCCTCAGTAGGACGTTGTAGAGCAGCAGTCCCCAACCTTTTTGGCATCAAGGATCAGTTTCATGGGAGACAATTTTTCCACAGACCAGAGGTGGCAGGGTGGGGATGGTTTCAGGATGATTCAAACACATTGCATCTATTGTGCATTTTATTTCTATTATTATTGCATTGTAATATATAATGAAATAATTATACAACTCACCATAACGTAGAATCAGTGGGAGCCCTGAGCTTTTTTCCCTGCAACTAGATGGTCCCATTTGGGGGTGATGGGAGACAGTGGCAGATCATCAGGCATTAGATTCTCAAAGGAGCATGCAACCTAGATCCCTCACATGCACAGTTCACTATAGGGTTTGCTCTCCTGTGAGAATCTAATGCTGCCACTGATCTGACAGGAGGCGGAGCTCAGGCAGTAATGCTCACTCTCCCAATGCTCACCTCCTGCTGCGTGGCCCAGTTCCTAACAGGCCATGGACTGGTACCAGTCTATGGCCCAGGGGTTGGGGACTTCTGTTGTAGAAGACTTGTGTGCCAGGCCTTGTTCCATATCTTAATTGCTGGGTGATCTAGAGCAAGTTGCTCAATCCCTCTGATCCTCAGTCTCCCCAGTGGCTTTCAGTCTATTTCCTGAGAATCAACATGAACCTATAAAGTCAACAAATACGTATTGAGCTCTACCCTGTACCACGTACAGTTCCTCAGTGAGATACTGGATGGGAAAGTCCCAGGTAAACCATCAGATATGCTACAATATATAGTGTGATGGGAACCAGAGGAACAGAAGAGAAGAGTATGTCCTGTGGGATCAGAAGTAGTTTAATCCCAGTGGTGCCTTTACTGGCTGTGTAGTCTTAAGCAAGTCACTCACCCTCAGCAGTTTCTTCGTCTGTAAAATGGAGACATCAGTTTCCCCCGTTGTAAGAGTGTTGAGTGCCTTAGCAATGGCATTACCTACCAGCGGTAGTAAATGTCTCAGAATAAGAAGGCTCAGAAACAGTATTTGCCCTGTTTCCCCATCTGTTAAACTTGGAGGGAGGCTGAAACAGTCTGCAAGGTCCCTTAATCCTGATATCTTCTCAATCTTTATGACTCTGTTCCACCTTTCCCTGGAGCCACCTGCCTCTGCTTGAGGTCTTGTGGCTAACCTTTGCACATTTGACAAGCCCAAGCAAGCCAGTCTCTTAGTATTTCTGTGGAAGGAGAGGGCCTAACATACATGGGCTTACTGTGTGCCAGGTGTTTTATGTGTTTATCAAATTTGAATCCATGGTAGTCCTAAAAGGTAGATATTATTGCCAATATTTTAGCTGAGGAAACTGAGGCAAAGAATGTCCAAGCACTTCTCTTGGTTCCATAGTTAGGATAGAATATACCTAGAATTTGAATTGGTGTATGTCAAACCACCAAACCTTTGTATTCTTCATTCTACCAATCTGTTTCCACCTAGATTTACCTGCTTCCTCAATAAACATATCCTCACATACACACACATATGCATGCATAGCCTACCTGTCCTCCAGGGAAGCTGGTACAGCTCATGGGATAAAACATTAGTGAAAATCCAAGTGAGAAATTTTCATTTTCTAATTCTCAGAGCAATCATTTCCCTTCTCTAGTGAAGTGCTAACAAGTCCTAAGGAGTGCGTGTGTGTGTGTGTGTGTGTGTGTGTGTGTGTGTGTTCTTGAATAAATTGCAAATCCAATGAAAGTCTTATTTTTTTCCCAACATCCCTCTTCTTGGGCAGAAAAAAACAGGGGAAGTACAGCAGGAAAGTGCTTTGAGAGATCAGTTAGCCAGATGCTTCACAAATGAAGGAGACTGTGTCTTTACAGAATACAACTTGCCCTGCGGCCCTGGTGATCACCATCAGTCCTGGGATTATTGTCTTACGTGCTCTGAGCTCTCTTTGCATCTCTGTCAATGGGTTGGCCTTGAGGATTGTCTTATGCAGTTTGTAGGGCATTTCATGGTGTATTCTGCCCAGTGTTCAGGGCAGAAAGAACAGTTTAAACAGTGGCACCAGAAGTGCTCACGAGTCACAGCTGAGCTTTGACAACTTTGATGATGCCTCCCTGAGGCGCTGGCTTCTGAATAGCCTCCAGATAGAGCTTCAGCATCTTTGGCTTCTTATGCAAAGCTCTGAGCTTAAGTTTCCCTTTCTGGATATGCCTGGGGATTTCTATGCCACTAAGCTGGGCCCTCACTGGGATGTCAACACATCTCTTCTCAGAATTGCCTTTGAGAGGAACTTTCTCTTCGGGAGTAAAATGTTTAAGGCTTTTGTCCTTCAGGCTAGGTCCTTAAGCAAGGGACTTATACCTCCCCAGACAGGTACCTACCTGAGAGGAATTTGCTCCTTCCTCAGCCCTCTTGCCACTTCCTTTGTTCAGGCTTCTGCTGTTACCTACATGGTACTGCCATACCTGCCTAACTCATCTTCTTGCTTCAGTCCAACAGTTTTTCTATGATGCTTCTAGAGCTGTTATTTAAAAGGAGATTCTGCCTATGCAATGCCCCTTAAATCTCTTCAGTGGTTCTTCATTGCTCTTGGGATAAAGCACCATTTGCAGTATCCCAGCCTCCCCTCTGGGCTCTAACCTCATTAGACCATATGTTCCTTTGGGGCTAGAATTGTATCTTATTTCTTATTCTATTCCAGGGCCATAGGTACTCTTTGACAGAATGAATAAATTTCTCTAGTTGTCTGGGATTCTTTGAAACTATTTCCTAAAGGTCTTCAGGGAAGGAGATTCTTCCACCACCTCAATTCCTGTGGTCAATTTTACAAGCCCTGAGACTTAGGAAAGGTGTTCTGCAGGGGACAGAGGGACTTAGCACTTACTGAGTGGTTACCATATACCATATACCATTCCATGCTATATTATTTAGTCCTCACAACCAGAAAACTGAAACTCTCAGAGGTTGCAAGGTGTCCAAGGACACAGAGCTGGTGGTGGCATCAGGACTCGAGCTGAGGGCTCACTCCTGAGTTGGTGCCTCTCCCTGACTGCCTGCTGCCTCTCTCTCTGAAATCTCTCCTGCTGCAGCTTCCTGGCACTCCCTTTGATCTTCTGTTTCCTTTGTTTACTTGCAGAGTTAGTAAAAAATATTTCCACCTTGCTCACTGGAAATATTTCCAGTTCATCTTCCCTTTAACTTTAGGTTCATTTTCCTAATTCTGATCTTTGTCAACCTATGCTGAAGATTTCATATACCACATCAAGTGCCTGAACAGAGGTATTTACATACCTCTGTTCCAATATGTGTGTGCACGTTGTGTGTGCATATGTGTGTACACGTTGGAATTGTGCCATCATAATGTTATCTCCTGGTTTCCTGGTGTTGTGATGATGTTGTTAGTCATTCATTTGCCTATCCCTCCTTTCCTCATATTCTCCCTCCCTCCCTCCCTCCATCCATTCAATATACAGGAAAGTAGTCTCTCTGTTACTATCCTGGCTAGTGAGGGTTCAAATATGATCAGAATATTGCCTTTGCCCTGGAAGGAGATGGGAACCTAAGTAGCCACAATAAACTATGCAAAAATGATGAAATATTAATATATACTGTGCTTTAATGTTAACCTTTTATGCTTTCCTTAAGACATTTGTAAATAGCCGTTAAGTATAAATTGGATAAATGGGAAATTATACCAACAGAATGTATAAATATGCAAACTGACTCCATTGTCATAATTCATTGGCAAATTGGTTCATGGATTGTTTCTGTTCTGCTTGGCCATGAGCTTCTTCACAGAATGCTGAAATGTGAAGATCTCTATCACCAAGGTGTCTCTTTTCTGAAAACCAGCAGATTCTCTAACTGAAGTGCTAAATTTACTGTATTTTTGGCAGAATTTAATTAGAAACTGAAAGACCTTTCAAATTGTATTTAGTCTCCTAGAATATTTTGAGCATCTGGTCTGTACCAATCAAGACTTAGGGACACTGTGATGATTATAACATGGCATTTGCTGGACTGGAGCTTGCAGTCTCTACAAATGAGCTACTAAAGGGTATAAAAATATAAAAAGAGATGAGAGAAGAAGGGCTTTGTGTGGGCAGAGCACGTGAAATTGGCAACTTCAGCAATTAACATGGATGGGCCAGTTTGTAAAATCAGAATTCTTTTCTCTATCAACACTTTTGAAGGCTTAGAGCATGCTGGGATCACAGGCCTGAGCCACCGCGCCTGGCCGAGCATGTCATTAATGCTCACTTCTCTCAACCCAATCCCAAAAGGAATAAACATTTTTTTTCTGCACTTATTATGAAAGCTGAGAAAAAATCACTTTGGATGGCCTTGAATTTATTGACTTGATGAAAACCCATCTAGATATAAGTCTTTTTTAATAAAGCAATGGATGTACATAATTAGTGCTTGTATATATGTTTATAATTATGTTTGCAAAAAACCAATACTCATGTGCCTTTGAGGTTGTACATAAGTTTTTCTTTTTGACAGTTACCCGTAAGACTGCAAGATATTGACACTCTTGGGAATTTGTGGCTTGGAAGGTGAATCTCATTCCTTGAGAGTTAGCCTCCATGCTTTCTTTTTTGCTTGGTGAAGAAAAAGTTCCAACTCTCATAGCCCTGAGAAATTATATTTCTTCCTCCTCACTTGTCTAGTTTTATGAGCTTGTGACTGTTATTCCTATCAAATGGAACTCAAGTGTGTTGATGGTAGCTAGGAAAACAGATGCTAATAAATCACTTAACCAATCTTAAAAATGCCTGAGCCACATGACATGTCTTCAGATTTACCTAAATACATATGCACATGTCTTTTAAAAAATAACTTACCTCATTTCGGAAAGAATTCAAGTTGTTTTACAGAAAGAAAATGCCAGTAAAATAGTTATATGATGTAATTAGCACTGAAGGATAGGGACAGAGAAATATAAGTTTATATTATCAATGTTAATGAGAAGAAAATAGTTGTAAGGACTAACATTAAATTTCCGCCTCACTTCGTGACAATGAGGTAGAAGCAGGGAGAGCTGGTAAGTTGTAACTCTCAGTTTTAGATATGGAGCAGTATGTTGGAGCTACCTTACAAAGGAATTGCTTTTCCTGGGACATTTGTGTTACCAAGAGCTACGAATGGGTATTGACTGCTTGACCTAACAGTCTTTATGGCTTCTCTGCAGATGCCCTACACCCTTCTGAGTCAGATTTACTAAATCTGCTTTATTTTTAGTGATGCAGAAGTTTGAGAAGGTTCCAGAATCAAAGGTGATCTTCGACGCCAATGCTCCTGTGGCTGTCAGATCCAAAGTTCCTGATTCTGAGTTCCCCGTGATGCAGTGCTTGACAGGTGAGGAGTGGTGGGGAGATATGCACTCAGAAGAAGGTGTGGAAATAAGCTCTGCTGAGAGTTGTCGAGACAAACCAAATCAAACCATTAAAACTATAATTTAAAAACATACTTTATCAAAAACACTATAAATGAATTGATTTCCAGAATGCATATTCAATTCATAACTTAATTGCAGAGTTGACAGTTTATCTACTGTATGCTATCCACATGGCACATGTTAAGGAGTAGAAATGAACAAAATTAGTTTGGCATAGATCTATGTGTCCAGGTCAGGATCTATATCTCCCTATTTTAACAGTGGGGCCAGAGAGGTGGTAATAAAGGCTGCCATTTATTGAGCAATGTATGTTTACAAGGATTATCTCACAATCCCAAAGCCACCCATAAACTGGCCATTGCTATCCTGAGTTACAGAAGACAAAAATAGTTTTAAGAGTGTAAGTGACTTGCTCACTGACATAGAACCAGCAAGGGGTCAGGGCTTAAATTCAAACCCAAAGTAACAACATCAAAGCCTGCAGTCTTTTTTTGTTTTAAATGATTTTATCTTTGGGGTGCACGAAAATCTCAGACTTTACCACTATACAATTCATCCATGTAACTCAAAACCACTTGCATCCTAAAAGCTATTGAAATAAAAAATATTAAAAAATAATCTCATCTTTGATTTTAGATTTAGGGGGTGTGCATGCAGGCTTGTTATATGGGTATGTGGTATACTGCCGAGGCTTGGGGTACGATTGAGTCCCTCACCCAGGTAGTGAGCGTAGTCGCAATAGTTAGTTTTACAACCCTGTGCTCCTCTCTGTATTCCCCCCAAGTAGTCCCCAGTGTCTATTTTTGCCATTTTAACACTGCATTATGCCTGCCTCAGTACCCACATGTGATGTAGTTATTAAGTAATTAACACTCTGAGTGTGAATCTGTTTTGGATATCAGCTTTGGTTATGGTGAGCACACTATAGTTTGTTTCACAAACACAGTGCAAGGCATGAAGTAGAAGCTGGAGGAAATATTTGTAGAATGAGAGATATTGACAGGAATGGAGGGACAGAACCAAGTGGTCAAATGAGTAGATGTGAGGAATCAGCATGAGGATGGCAGACTTGAGGGACAGCTTTGGCAGTTATTTGTCTCAACAGGGATTGTCATATACCTGCTCATGTGTGCGTGCACTGTGACACAGCTTAAGTTAGAAGGGCAGGCAGGGCGTGGTAGCTCACGCCTCTAATCCCAGCACTTTGGAGACTGAGCGGGGGTGGATCACCTGAGGTCAGGAGTTCGTGACCAGCCTGGCCAACATGGTGAAACCCCGTCTCTACTAAAAATACAAAAAATTAGCCAGGCATGTTGGTGGGTGCCTGTAATCCCAGCTACTCAGGAGGCTGAGGCAGGAGAATTGCTTGAACCTGGTGGGAGGTGGAGGTTGCAGTGAGCCGAGATCGCTCCATTGCACTCCAGCCTGGGCATCAAGAGTGAAACTCCGTCAAAAAAAAAAAAAAAGGAAGGGCAAACTGGTGGGATGGGAAGCAAAAGAGGATGCAGAATCTTAGGGAGTGAGGCAAGCAGGGAAAACACGTCCATCTGTTCATGTCCAGAGATGGTTTAGCCAACTGGGCCACTGAGTTCAGTGTCTAAAATATGCTGAGAGAAAACAGACAACAGTTAGAAAAAAGAGAGCCACATCAAGGAGGTCCAGCAAGATGCCATCCTATCAGACAAACGAGAGCAGAGCAATCCAAGACAAGCAGTATTTGCAGGTTGAGTACAGGTCCAGGCAGGCATCCAGCACTGTGTTAGTCTGTTTGGGCTGCTGGGACAAAATACCGTAGACTGGGGGACTTAAACAACAAAATGGATTTTCTTGTAATTCTGGAGGCCAGAAGTCCAGGATCAAGGTGTTGGCAGGGTTGGTTGCTTCTGAGGCCCCTCTCCTGGGCTTGTAGGTGACTCACTTCTCCCTGTGACTTCACTTGGTCTTCCCTATGTATGTGTCTGTATCCTAATCTTTATTTCTCATAAGGACACCAGTCCTATTGCCTTAGGGCCCACCCTAATGATCTCATTATGCACTTAATTTACCTCTTTCAAGACCCTAACTCCAAATGCAGTCACATTCTGTGGTGCTTGGGGAAGGACTACATGATACAAATTGTGAGTTTAAAACATAATTCAGCCCATAATGAAAAATCAAGGTGGTTTTACGGTAGATCGAAGGGCCATTTAAGGGGTAGGAAAATAAAGCCACTGAGTCAATGAAGGGTTGGATATCATTGTTGGTGGGGAAAGGGGAGACTGGTAAGAAAACCAAGGCATCTAGAGAACTAAGTAGCATGATCAGGAATAGGAGAGAAATGTGGATTGTTGGGGGTGTGAGGGGAAGCTATGGTTGGGGTCATGGTAGGAACCCTGGTTCTAGTTCAGCACTTAACCAGCCAGGGTCTAGGGTGCTCATCCTTCTAACACTGACTCAGAACTTTAATTGTTTTCTTGACTGAATTTGTCCCTGAGCCCGAAGCAGGGATCTGCTTGCCGTGAAGATTAGGTTAGTTCAGTTAAGGGGACAGGAGAACTTTAGAGCCATGAGCCAGTGGACCAGTAAGAATTATTTTCTTTGGAGCTGGGCACAGTAGCTCATGCTTGTAATGCCAGGACTTTGGGAGGCCGAGGCAGGTGGATGGAGACCAGCCTGGGCAATGTGGTGAAACTGCATCTCTACAAAAAAATAAAAATAATAATAATACAAAAATTAGCCAGGCGTGATGGTGCGTACCTGTAATCCCAGCTACTTGAGAGGCTAAGGTGGGAAGATGGCTTGAGTCCAGGAGGCAGAGGTTGCAGTGAGCCAAGATCGTGCTAATGCACTCCAGCCTGGGCAACAGAGCCAGACCCTGTCTCAAAAAATATTTTAAAACAGAATTATTTTTTTGGGGGGGGTGTTCTGAATAAGCCACACAGTTTCTGGGTAAAATGACATCATCGACCTCTCAGTGCCTAGTTCATAAAAGACATTACAGCCATACAATGCTGAGATGAAAATCAGGAGATGATGAAAACCCCCAGAAGACCACCTCTGCACCCAAGAATGTCATCTCAATAGAGCTGCAGTTTGTGAGATGTCCTGTTAGAGAAAAGGAAGACATCTCTATCCCAGATACCAGTGGCTTTCCCTCGCCTTTCAGCTGGGCAAATACAGGGGGAAGGGCTCAGGAATTGGATTGCAAAGGTATTCAAGTTACTGCTTTGCTCCCATCAGCCACAGACTGTGCTGATTTTTAGTCTTGGTGTTCCCATCTCTAAATTTACCTCTTACCTAATGCAAAAATCAGTATTAATAATATATGTGAAAGTGCTTTGTAATGATAAATGTGTAAGTGTATGCTTTTTCTCCTTAATTTACATTTTCTACCAAAACCTCCTATCCCTGTTAAATCATTAATTGCCATCGTTACTCATGAATATTACACAGTTGAATGCTTCATGCCTATCACACAGTGTCCACAGAAAGCAGCTGTGGTCCCTGCCCTCATTAAGCGCATGGCCTCCTGTCATCTTGAGAGGGCACTCACTGTAGGAAGTGGGGATTCTATTCTATCATTCAATCCCTTGCAGGGCTGCTGTCTGCTCCTGATGGAAATGGGACATAGCCTTGAACAAAGTTGTGATCTCAATGGATACCTAGATTTGGCTCCTCATAGAATAGAAGCAATTAAAATGTATAAAAGGTTTAATTTAGGCAGATACAGCTTAGTAACTGTACAAGTTCTGAAGTCTGACTACTTAGATTTCAATCCTAGCTCTGCCACTTGGTAGCTTTGTGACCTCCGTGAGTAAGTGCCTGAACGGAGCTGTGCTTCAGTTCCTTAACTGTAAGATGGGGGATCGATGATTCAATACACAGAAAACACTTAACACTGCATGAGGTTCATGGTACGTACTTAATAAATGTGTGCTTATATGTGTGCTTGTGGGGGTATATTTGGGGGGTGTATTTGGGTGTATATTTGTGTGTGTGTGTATTTGGAGGTGTGTGTATTTGAATGTGTATTTCTATGTATTTGTGTGTGTGTTTGGGTGTTTATTTGGAGGTATGTGTTTATTTTGGTGTATATTTGTGTGTGTCTGTGTGTCTTTAGGTGTATATTTGTGTGTCTTTGTGTGTTTGGAGGTGTGTGTGCCTGTGTGTGTGTATATTTGTGTATTTGGAGGGGGGTGTGTGTATTTGTGTATCTGCATATTTGTGTGTGTGTGTGTGTGTGTGTGTGTGTGTTTGGGCATGTGGGGCAGGGGCAGGGGGATGTGTCTGCTCTGCCCTCAGCATCCCCCGGGAAAGCCAGGTGAGTGACCGTCCCATGGTGCTTGCAGATTGCACAGAGGACGAGGCCTGCAGCTTCTTCACCGTGTCCACGACGGAGCCAGAGATTTCCTGTGATTTCTATGCTTGGACAAGTGACAATGTTGCCTGCATGACTTCTGACCAGGTGAGGTGGGGCAGCCACGTGTGGTTCTGCTCCTCATCCGCTGTGGATCAGATGTGCTCTGAGGAGCGGGCAGCAGGCTGGCCAGGCGATGGAATGAGGTTGTCGAGAGCTGATCCTCTGTTACCTCCATTTCTTCAAAGCAATGGGACTTTGGCAAATTGAAGCTGTGATAGTCCAGAGACAGACCCAAGATGAAGCTGGAGTAAGGGGCGTCTGCTTGAGCCTTGTGGCTTCCTGACGAGTCAGTCAGGAGAGAACCACCTGCCCCATCAGGCAGTGTGGGCAAGATGTGAGGGGGCCCTAAACACCACTGCCCCTTGGGGTCCCAGACCCGAATATGCCTTTCCATTGTAGAAATAAAACATAATCGTGGTTGGAGGGCACGGTGGCTCGCATCTGTAATCCTAGCACTTTGGGAGGCCTAGGCGGGTGGATCACTTAAGGTCAGGAGTTCGACACCAGCCTGGCCAACATGGAGAAACCCTGTCTCTACTAAAAATACAAAATAATTAGCTGGGTGTGGTGGTGGACACCTGTAATCCCAGCTACTGGGGAGGCTGAGGCAGGAGAATCGCTTGAACCCGGGAGGTGGAGGTTGCAGTGAGCTGAGATCACGCCACTGCACTCCAGCTTGGGCTGCAGAGTGAAGACTCCATCAAAAAAACAAACAAAAAAACCTATAATTGTGGCTTAAAAAGGAAAACAAGTTAAATATTAGAACCACATAACATTGCTGTTCTGTGAGTCAAAGCTTATAGAGTATTGTCAGTTTCATGTGGTACCATCAAATTAGGATAATTAGACCCTGTCCTCCTCCAGTGGAAAGCAGGAGTCTCCTGTCTCCTAATTTCCCAATTCATAAACACGTGCTCGTGCATAAACACGAGCTCTTCTCAGGTCTGCGGGAATGTCTTCTTTCTTTTTGCTCTCCAAGGCTCTTCCTCCTCTCCCCAGGCCATTGCCTCTTCAGTGAGTTCAGGCTTTCTGCAAAGCAAGAAGAGCTGTTGCCTTCAAACAGCCTTGCTGTAGCCCCTGTCCTCCAAAAATTCCCACAGGAAACTCAAAATTTGGCAGCCTTGCGGGGGAAGGCAAAATACTGGGAACAAAACACACCAATTTATCCTACCTCATCCACATAGCAAGACTGCTGAAAGTAAGTCAGAAAGAGAGATCAGAAAGGGCCAAGAATTGCAAGATCTCTGGAAGTCTGACCTCACCATCTCCGAGCTTAAGAACCTTCTTCTAGATACTCCCTGGATAGAAACTAAGTGCCTGTAAGGTCTTTCATAGCCAGCTCCAGCCTCTCTCTCCTCTCCCGTCACTCCCCTCTCATAACTGACAGTCCAAAAATTACTGAATTACTGAACCTAGTTCTGAAAACACCCATGAAATTCTGGGTCCCTGAGTCTGCTGTTTCCTCTGCTTAAAATCAGCCCTCTCTTGTTTCCATCTGGCAAACTCTTTTTTTTTTTTTTTTCTTTTGAGACAGAGTTTCACTCTGTCGTCCAGGCTGGAGTACAGTGGTGCAAACTAGGCTCACTGCAACCTCCGCCTCCCAGGTTCAGGTGATTCTCTCGCCTCAGCCTCCTGAGTAGCTGGGATTACAGGCAGACGCCACCACACCCGATTAATTTTTTTTTTGTATTTAGCAGAGATGGGGTCTCAACATGTTGGTCAGGCTGGTCTTGAACTCTAGACCCCAAATGATCCACCCGCCTCGGCCTCCCAAAGTGCTGGGATTACAGGTGTGAGCCACTGCACCCAGCCCAGCAAACTCATTAATATCTCAGAACCTCACTCAGACTCACTTTTTCTGGGAAACTTTTCTAGCTTCTCTTTCTGAATGGAATCAATTGCTCCTTCCTCTCTAATTACCTCTTCTTTAATTATATGTATCTTTGCAGCTAACACTCCTGGCTGCAAGTTACTGCTTACACATCTGTCTCCTCCAATAGACCAGGAGCAACTAACTTACCTTTGTAGCCCTGGTGCCTAGCCATGGTTAGGGTTGGATGAATGTTTGTTGGATTGAATTATAAAGTATTGCAGGATAATAATGCAGCATCTTTCCATCTCCAGAAACGAGATGCACTGGGGAACTCAAAGGCCACCAGCTTTGGAAGTCTTCGCTGCCAGGTGAAAGTGAGGAGCCATGGTCAAGATTCTCCAGCTGTGTATTTGAAAAAGGGTAGGTTGGTCAGGCTGGTTGGCTTAGGCCCGCGGTGGCTTCACACGGTCATGTTTGGAGCTGGTTTCCAGCAGGTGCATGTGAGGAGGAGCCAGACTGTCCCGCTCCCCACTCCACACCCTCAGTCTGGCTTCTCTGAGCTCCATCCTTTGGCAGACTCAGCACAGCACGCTCCTCAGGCAGGCACTGATCTCCCCTGGGACTGCAAAGATATTTCCACATCATTCTCCTTTGTGCCTTCAGGTTTGATCCCATTGCAATCTAGCAAGGATTGAGAGCCTCATTCTGCAGGCAGAGCTAAGTTGCAGAGTGGACACAAAGCTACGAAGTGAAGGATCTTGGCAGAACCCGCTGAGTTCAGCCTGTGCCGTCTGGAAGGCCCATGCGGCCCAAGAGGCTGGGCAAACTGCTCACTGGGGCCTGGGTGCCGGGCTCCCAGCAGCTGCTCCTCCCGGGCTTTCTGATTCATAGAGCTTCTCCTTCTCCTCACTTAATCTCTACCCTCCCAGGACGTTTTCCTCCCAGTGAACCCAGGCCCTGTAAGGTGCAAACCTGAGTTAGTAAATCATTGGTGTCAGGCCGAGATCTAGCCTTTCTAATCACCCCTTAGAGAGTGCCAGTGCTGCTGGTCCGGGGACCACACTTTGAGTAGCAAGCTGTGTCGTACTGTATAGTTTATGACTTCCTTTCTCATTCATCTTTTCATTTCACACTCATGGAAACTCTTGGAGAAAGGCACAAAGGGGATTCCAATCCCCATGTACACATAAGGAAGTCCTCTGGGCCGCTGCTGGCACGTGGGAGAGGCAGGAACTCTTTCCCTGGAATCCTGAGGTCTGCGCTCGCTCTTCTGCCCCACCCTGCTCACCCCCTGCCTCCTCTCCGGTGGGGTGGAAAGGAAACATGCCAGCAAGGCACGCTCTGAGCCATGCGCTCTGGGCCATGGCCAGGCTCTGACCTGTGACCTGTGGTTCCTTCATAGCTGTTAAGGGCTGCAGAGCAAGGGAGGACGGTGGGGCCCGCCTGCCTGTGTGGAACCCCTCCTCTGCCACATATGAGCTGCATGGTCTTGGGCCTGTTCCTTGACATTCTCAGCTTCAGTTTCCTCCTTAGTAAAACAGGAGTCATGGTGGACCAAGGTCATCGGCAGATTGGAATGAGGTGACACATGTGAAACTGTTAGGACAGGGCTGGGCTCATGGGGAAAGCTCAGCGAGTGTAGAACATTTCTGTAATCATCTTTGTTCCTGCTAAAAAGTTTCCTGAGGGCCCGAGGCCATGGCTGTGCACCAGATGACAGCCAAAGGGGGCTCGACCTGGGACTTGGGGGTTGGGAGAAGGGGAGTACAGGTGTCACTCTCTGAGGTTCGTAACTCAGGGCAAGTGGCTCGGGGCTTCCAGCAGCTTCAGACTTGTGCCAGGAAAATCAGCAAGTGGAGACGATGCCACAGCCCAGGCCCAAAGCTGCCCTGACCTTGGTAGCAATTGCGAGCCCACAGCAGGGACAAGTGTTTGTGTATTTTTCCCTGTGGTCCTTCTTTCACCTAATGCCTTCATCCCCACTTCACAAAGAGTTTGCCTGGGAGATTGGAATCTGGCAGAGCTCGGCTCTCTCTAATCTATGACCAGGGTCACTCGGATCTCTCTAATCTAGTGACTAGGGTCACTCGGATCTCTCTAATCTAGTGACCAGGGTCACTAGAATTTCTGCTGCAATCTTTATTCCAATTATTTTCATTGTCCTGTTTTTCTTTTTAAATAACAAAACATAGGGATTATTTTCTAAAAATAAAAATCAAAATAGAACAGTAACCCCTACCCAAAATGTCCTTTAAAATCATGACTTACCCTTTTATGACATTTTAAAAAATGCAATTGTATTTCTGTTTAAGTGTTTATTTTTTTTTTCAACATCACACAGAAAGTCCTAGTGTTTGTTATTTTTATTTTTCCTTTTTGTCTCCTGAAAGTTTGTACTTTGGGGGAAAGTTACAAAGGAAATTGGGAAAATTCCTTGTTGCCAAACTAAATCAAGGGCAGAACTATGTTTTGCTTTTTTTGGTTTGTTTTCCTTTTTGGTTTAAAGCAGAAGATGTGCCCGGCAGCCGTTCTAGACCCGGGTGGAGTGGAGGAGGAGGGGAGGAGGAGTAAGTTGGGTCTGGCTTCCAACTCCCGCCTCCCTCTTCCTGGCTCTGTCTCTGATCAGGAACAACTTCTTTATTTCACTTGAAACTCAGTTTCTCCTCTGTAAAATGGGACTGTGTCACAACCGAGGAGGACAGGACACAGTTTCTGAAAGTCACCCACACACATCTTCAGCTCGCAGTAGGTAGTTAATCATGTCCATTCCCATCTCTGACCTTCAGTAACCTTCAGTGGGACTAAAGAAAGGGCCTGAGTCCCAGAGCTTGATCTGTCACCCAATACCCTCTGCTGCCTACTCCCACTTAATGTCTGTGGCCTTCAACTTGGGGGATGAGTCGTGGGGTCTCTCAGAATCAAAGGATGTCAGTGCCCAAAGGTTCTTTAGAGATTATCTAGCCCAACCCCTCATCTCACAGATGAGGTCTAGGAAAAGGAACCATCTTACTACATGTGACATCAAAGTGGAACCTCCTCTGAGTCTGAAAGGCCTTCCTGGCCTGCTTCATTGTCTAGGCTTCTACCACTGCGGTGCAATAAGCACTTTTGTAGGCACTGTGGATACATCTGTGAGCAAAACAGAATCACTGATAGGGGAATAGAACCAGCAATAAGATCATCTCAGAGGGCAGTAGGTGCTTGGATGAAAATGAAACAGGACGAGGAGGTAAAGACGGGTATGAGCTGCTTCAGGGTGGTCAGGGAAGGAATCACAGAGGAGGGGACATTGGAACTCTGATCTGAAGGATGAAAAGCAGCCCATCGGCCAGGCGCAGTGGCTTACGCCAGTAATCTTAGCACTTTGGGAGGCCGAGGCAGGCAGATCACGAGGTCAGGAGATTGAGACCATCCTGGCTAACACAGTGAAACCCTGTCTCTACTAAAAATACAAAAAATTAGCTGGGTGTGGTGGCGGGCGCCTGTAGTCCCAGCTACTCGGGAGGCTGAGGCAGGAGAATGGCATGAACCCAGGAGGTGGAGCTTGCAGTGAGCCGAGATTGCACCACTGCACTCCAGCCTGGGCAACAGCAGGAGTCTCAAAAAAAAAAAAAAAAAAAAAAAGCAGCCCACCATGCAAAGCTCTCAGGATAGGTGCCCTATGTGGAAGATACCAAGGGGAGCTGAGATGTGGCCCTGGACTCCAGAGCAGCACCGTCCAATGGAACCTTTGGCAGTGATGGAAACGGTCTACAAATCTGTGCTGTCCATTAGTTACTCATGACTATTGAGCATTTGGAAGGTTGCTATTGCAATATTAACTTTGATTAACTGACATTGATTTTTAAATAGTCACATAAGGCTATAATTACGGCATCAAACACTGGAGAATCACATGCTGTAGGGGAGGCCGACTCTCTCAAGTAGCTTAAATACAGGGAGAGGGACGGTAGAGGGTTTAGTACAGGCACAAAAAGAATGTATGAGGGATCAAGGGAGAGAGAGATGAATTCTAACTGTACAAATGCAGAGATGGACCCTTCAAATAAAGCTGGGCTTTGGTGAAGAGTGGATTTGCATTCGAGGCAGAAGGGGCTGAGTGAGCCAATGCTTGGAGGGAGAAGACGCTGGCTTTTTGGAGATACATAAAACATCTGCTGAGCATAAGCTAAGTGGCAGGCTCATTGTTGTTCAGCCCTTTTATATATAGTCTATGGGGTTTTTTTTTTTTGTTTGTTTGTTTGTTTTTTAAGATGGAGTCTCACTCTGTTGCCCACACTGGAGTGCAATGGCAGGATCTCGGCTCACTGCAACCTCTGCCTCCCAGGTTGAAGGGATTCTCCTGCCTCAGCCTCCTGAGTAGCTGGGACTACAGACGTGCACCATCACACCTGGCTAATTTTTGTATTGTTAGTAGAGACGGGGTTTCACCATTTGGCCCGGCTAGTCTTGAACTCCTGACCTCAAGTGATACACCCACCTTGGCCTCCCAAAGTGGTGGGATTACAGGCATGAGCCACCATGCCCGGCCCCAGTATATGTTTTTTTTACCTGCTCAATGTCCTTGAGGATTACTTATTATCATCCTCATTGTACAGATGGGAAGCTTGGGAGGCTGAGGATCCAAGGAATTAGGGACTTCCTTGGCAGGGTGACCTCAGATCTGTTTGATCTGAAGCTCGTGCTCTTGGGTCTCACACTGAAAACCTCTCTATGACGTCCAGCTGTGTGAGTCAAATAAGATGGGGTGATCTGCCAGACTGACGGGAGGTCAGAGTGGTGAAGGGCACAGGCCCTGGTGTTCTGTCCACCACTCACTGGCTGTGTAAACCCGAGCCAGACAGTTCGCATGTCAAGACTTTTCCTCAAATGGAAAATGGGCATAAGAATGGGGCAGACATTTAGGCTATAGTGCTCTATATATCTATCCCTGAAAAATCTCATGTTTGCAAAGTGACACTCTAAAATTAACAGGGCTGATTTGAAAACTAGACTTAGGGACGGGAAACCCAAACCGTGCCACTTTTAGGTAGACCAATGGAAAAAAACATTAACAATTCTACTTAAAAATGCTAGAACAGTTTTTAAAAAGATGTTTTGAATTCATAATAAAGAAATGCTTCTGAAAATGTAAAAGAGCAAGGTAGCTTGATGGGGAGGGTGTAAGGAAGGGTTGAGGCTGCTGAGTTATGGAGACAAGGGCTGCTTGCACAAAGGGAAGGGAAAACTCTGCAATGGTCACTTTGAAGACAGCCCCTGGGTGGGGCCAGTTTCAGGCAAGAGGAAGAATGTGGGATCATGGGTATTGTGTACAGTCCTGAGTTCTTGCAGTTTGTTGCATTCAGCTGCATTTGTCTACAGAGCATTCCTTTAATGATGTTTGGTGGCACAAGGCAATGACATGCTCAGAAAACTGTAGATAGTGCAAGCAATGTGACTTCAGCATTACAGTGGCCAAGCTTCCCTACCACATGTTTAAACTAATTTGTGTGACAGAAACACTTGTGATAGCAGAGCAAGGCGGTGAAAATCAAATGAAACCACGTAGGTAGAGCATGTGGCACAGGGTCTGTGTATATACTTACAGTGCAATACATATTTGCTGGTAATAATAAACATAAAAATATATGGCCATTTTCTACACATACCCTTTGGACCCTTGAAGACGTGTTGGGCATTTGTCCCGATCTCCTGGGTTTGGGGCCATGGCCTTGGCTGGCCCCACCCTCTTCATGCACAGGCACATCCAGAAGCTTTGTGGCACAGAGAGCATCTCATCTTGGCCCACACGCTGCCTGGAGCACTGTTGCAGCTAAGTCAACAAACTGTCCTGTGAGATCAGTAAGCTCTGTCCAACTCTGCCATGTTTTGAGGTCTTTTAAAATTTTGTTCTGCCTTTCCCCCAGGCCAAGGATCCACCACAACACTTCAGAAACGCTTTGAACCCACTGGTTTCCAAAACATGCTTTCTGGATTGTACAACCCCATTGTGTTCTCAGCCTCAGGAGCCAATCTAACCGATGCTCACCTCTTCTGTCTTCTTGCATGCGACCGTGATCTGTGTTGCGATGGCTTCGTCCTCACACAGGTTCAAGGAGGTAATGTTGGCAGTGAGGGCCAGGGCCTAACAAGGGATGGGGAGCACACAGGGATGCAGAAGCCAGGACACACAACATGGAGCTGCATGGGGAGTACAGTGTGAGTGCCTACACCCAAAGAGAAGGTGACAGTCAAGTACACAATACACACATGATACTCACATTCACATTCCACATGTTGCACACTGTGCTGGCCCCTTCACCTTGTAATACTGGTTTATTCCTTTCTGCTGTCTTTACGGGGCATATTGCAAGCTCCGTTTTACACACTGAGAAACTAAGGCTCAGATAATTTAAATCATTTGCTCATGTTCAGACACCTTGAAAAGTGATAGAGCCAGGATTTGACCCAAGTTGTGTCTTCCACAGCACCTTACTGTCACTTGTGAAGCCAGGACTGGACATATTTGGTCCAAAAATGTCAGCTCATTCCCATTTCCCACCATCATTCATTCAACAATGATCTATTGAGTGCCCACTGCATACCAGGTCCTGTGATCAATAGGCCTATCATTTTGAATAGTATCTCAGCAATGGAGGTGCCCTTCTGTTTATGGAAATAAATTCATGTACTCAGCAGTGTAGCCTAGTGGTTGAGAAGGGACTTTGGTGTTATGGACCTGGGTTCTAGTCACTGCTGTCACTTTCTGGCTGTGCGATCTTGGACAAGTTACTTAATGAAGTTGCACTTCCCTTGTTTATAAAATAGAGATAATGATACTTTCTACTGGACTACTTGTTATAAAGATAATGAGTGCAAAATGCTGCGTATAGATTTGGCTCCTGGTGTGCCATTGATTGACTAAGAGAGTCTTAACTGTTTTATATGAAAACCAATCCTGTTTCTCCTTAGCAGCATCAAACTGTAAGCCACTATGTGACTGGTCACATTAAATTTATGAAAAATTCTAAAGATTAGAAAAAATTGAAATAGTCTGATATATCTTGTTATGGTTCTCACTTAAGTCAACAGGAGACTCCAATTGATCACCATATATGTGCAATGGAATGTTCTAGGCATTACAAACAGATAAAAAGGACTTTGGGTCTGGTGGGAGAGGCAGTGTGCACCGTGAAAGGGGAATAAATGGCCTTTACTCATTTATTCATCGCTGCTGGCGTTCAGCAAACATGTTTGGAGCACTACTCGGCATCAGGCTTGAGAACTAGGCAGTGTGCGATGCAAATGCCTGATGAGGTAGAGACGTAGAAGTCTTGGAGTGTGAAGGAAGAGGATAACAAGAGGAAGGTCAGGGAAGGCTTCCAGGAAGAAGAGGAACTTGGGCCAGGCTTTGTGGGATGAGCAGTACTTAGATGACAGAGTGGGAGGATTTGGTTCAGAGTGGGTGTCCTTGTGAGCTGAGCTAGAGACAGAGAGACCCCAGGTTTTCTGAAGGCTATTAACTGAGACATGGAGCTGATCAGGAAGCAGGTGTTTTTTGGTATCACCTCGAGGACTGTTGCTGCCTCCAGCATCTGCACAATATCCCCACCAGGCTCAGGGTAGAGGATGTCTCCTTCTGAGAAGGACTAACCCTGCCTCCTGGGTATAAGAGCCCCTTGTCTTACCTTTGCAGGCCCATGCCTGATACAATTTGGATGTTTGTCCCTCCTCATCTCATGTTGAAATGTGATCCCCAGTGTTGGAGGTGAGGCCTAGTGGGAGGTGTTGGGTAACAGGGGTGAATGGCTTGGTGCTATCCTCGTGACAGTGAGTGAGTTCTTCTTGCAAGATCCTTAAAAGTATATGCCACCTCCCCCTCTCTCTAACTCCTGATCTCCTGTAACATGCCTGCTCCCCCTTCACCTTCTGTCATGAATGTAAGCTTCCTGAGGCCTCACCAGCAGTAGATGCCAGCACCATGTTTCTTGTACTATCTGCAGAATCATGAGCCAATTAAATCTCTTTACTTTATAAATTACCCGGCCTCAGGTATTTCTCTATAGCATTGCTAGAACAGCCAAGTACAATGCCCCTGCCCTCCTCCCTGCTCTCCACCTGTCACCAGCCCAGTGTTTTCCAGGGCTCCCCAGCAGAAGGCAGATACATTGTTCTTAGCCCTTCTCCCTTCTTAAAATCCAACATGTGCATGGCACCACAGAGTCCATGACCTCCGACCTTCCCTCGAGTGCCTTTCCGGTTGCTCTCCTTCTCTACCACAGCCAGACCCTGCAAGCTGAGACCCTGTCTCACCCCCAAACTGCTTCTACCAGCTCTCCAGTCACCAGGGGCATCTTCTGATCCTCTGAAGGCCTGTTGTCTCTGGCAGCTGTCACTATTTCCTGCTGTCCAGTTATTTCCACCTTCTCCTCTCCTGACCTCCAAGATGCCCTTCTCTTGCTCCTTAAACTGTGCCTTCTCTTCTCCTTCAGCTTTCTGGGTTGAATCCTTAGATATTGATAGGTCCCACCTCCACCTCTTGTGGGTCTGTGTTCTGGGTGTGACCTCTCTGCAGAGGTCGACATCCATACACGCATCTGCTGTCCAGATATATCCTCTTGGACATCCGTTAGGAATCTCAAAGTCAAATGAATGGATAGTTTTTACCCTAAACCAGCCGATCTCAGTGAAGGGCACCTGAGCCACAGACCTGGGATCATGCTGAATGCCCCACAGCCCTCTTCCCTTCTGTGAAGCTGTCACTCCAATTTCCTGTTGCTCTCTTATTATTTTGTTTGAGATCGAGGTGTATTCCATCCCTGTCACCTCAGTCTGCATTTAAGCCTGTATTATTATTTTCTTGGCACCTGTACCAGTCTCTTAATTGGCCTCTCACCACCAACCCCCACTACTTGACTAGATTCCCCATCCTCCAAGTCATCCTATTCAACTTTAGGCTCTCCTTGTGATTTCCTCCTCCTGGAGTACTATTTTGTCCCTTCTTTTTGTATCCAAGTCCACATATCCATCTCCCTGGTGGATTCGAACTCCCCAGGCTATGAAAGAGTTATTTATCCTCAGCCTTTAGGACAGCCATGCTCACTGTAGGTGCAGAGGAATGCTGCTGAATTGGGCAGACCCCAAAGTGGGGAAGTGACCTGCCAGATGCCCGTGTTCCAGTGGTCAGCAAAGGGAACTTGGCTTTCCTGACTTATGACATAGACACTTGTGCTCTACTCCCCCTCCCACCCCCACTGTTTCCACCTCCTCCTCTCAGGTCCAGAGGGAGAAAAGGATAATTGTTAATTGCTAGACTCTGAAGACAAGTGAATATTGCATTGAAAACATGTAATAAGTCTTTTGCCCCATTCAGAGAGATAAATTAAGACTTTCCGAAATCTTGAATCATGTGTAGTTTAAATGAGATAAAGAGAAGAGGGAAGGTGATGTTAAATGGAAAGAATAGCATATGCAAAGTCCCTGTGGGAAGAGGGTGCAGGATAAAGAAGAGAAGCCTAGAGGAAGCCGTGGTCCCTGGAGCAGAGAGTACAAGGCCAGAGGTTTAAGGGGCGGGAGGGAGAGGCCAGGCCACAGTGAGGAGAACCTTGTAGGCGGCATGAATAGTTGTTTTTATTCTAATAACGACTGGAAGCCACTGAATGTTTTAAGCAAGGAAGTGTCATGATCAGATTTGAACTTTGACGTGAGCGCTTGTCATGTCATGGCTTGAATGTGGAGAAGGTTGTGGCTAGGGGTCAGAGTAGATGCAGAGATGAGTTAGAAACTGTCGCAGTAGTCCAGGGTAGAAGGTATGGTATCCTGGGCTAGGGCTATTGCAGTGGAGAGGGGGAATAGAAGACAGATTTAAAGCATCCCCAGGAGGCAAATTCAATAAGACTTTGAATTTGGGGGTTGAGGAAGAGGTGTCAATGATTATTCTTGGGTATCTAGCTTGTTCACCTGTTGTGTGGCAAAGAATGAAAGAGATTGGATGTCCAATTTGGCGATGGGAGAGGGAGATTTAGGAAGGCCGTGGGTCCATGTGGGGTATACTAAGTTTGAAGTGACTTTTGAGACATCCAAAAAATGTCAGCTGAGTTTTTAGATGCAAAGATCGAGAGCTCAGAAGGGAAGTGTGGATGGGAGATATAAATGTGTAAATTACAGCTTCGAGGTGGTATCAAATGTGTGGATATGAATGCAGTTTTCTAGGAGGAGGGTGCAGAATGAGGAGATAAAGGGGGATGGAGCTGATCTTGATGAACAGCTACATAACAGGTAGAGAATATGCAAAGAGATAGAGAAGGAGCAGCCAGAGGGGGAGAAGGAGATGGGGATAGTGGATCCTCGCGAAAGCTAGGGTGGGAGAGCGTTGCATGGTGAGGAAGTTGTCAACAGTCTTGAGTGCTGCTGAGAGTTCAAACAAGGTGATTCCTGAAAAATGCTGAGTTTAGCTCACAGTGGTTGAGGTGGCTAAAATGAGAATGTTTTGTTGGAGTGGTGGGGCAGGAACACAGATTGGAATGAGCTGATTCCTAAAATTCCTTCTACATTTAATGTTCTATGATTATGTGATGTGGATTCCTGTTAGTGTTTAGATAGGAAAAATATGTTACACACACACACACACACACACACACACACACACACCCTATATTTGTCTTGATGTATATCTATATTTAGAAACAACATAACTCAAATCCAGGATTCCTCTTTGAACTAAATGTATTTTCTGAAGATACCACAATTTCCCCAGATGCACAATGACTCACCAGACCATATGATTTTTTTCAAGCTGGAAAGGTTGATTTCGTTTTCCTTAGGATCATATATGGAAGAATGTTTTTGTTCCATGGAGTGGTAAGCCCACAAAATCCTTTTTTTCCATGATATTTCTGGCTGGCAGCTTGCTTGCTTTTCCCTCCAAGTTTAACCTGTGATCTGTGAATTATGTTGAACTAAACACTCACCTCGCAGTGCTGAAAGTCAAGCCTTCTTTGAGATACACATAAAGTATCGGGCAGATGTTTTCCCCAGTCTTGTCCAGTGGGCAAATCTGGAGTTTTAACTTATGAAGATTTGGCTGGATCTGCTGACGACCAGGAACAGAATTCCACTACATCCTTTACCACAGTCTGGAAAGTCATTTAGCTCTGGTGGATTCCCCTCCTTCCCCTCCTTTCCTTTCTCCCCTCCCAACAAGTCTCTAGCCTCCTCCAATCTCCACCCCTCTAAGGCTTTGTTTCCACTGAGAGTTATTAATGAAAATTCATGGGGCTTCTGAACTACATTTTAGTGGAGACTGCTTGGAAGTGGGGCTCTGAGGGCCTTGAATGGCCTCAGGGTCACAGGAGTGCAACTGAAGCTAAGCTGGCAATGTATGACCAGCAAAGTGACTTCCAGCCTCTCCCTGGCCCCTACCTCTCAGGCACAGCCTTCTCAGGGACATTTGGCACTAGTTAAAGAGGAAAGCTGCATGGGTTTCTCTACTGAGGTCTGAGAGCAAAAGGAAAAACGCACTCTGCCTCTTGTTAATTCCATCATTCTGTTTCCTGGCTTTCAAGTGAGCCAGACCACAGTGATCAGCCTTCCTCGAACTCTCCTGGGCTCTGAGTGTGCCCCTTGCTGGTGCTGCCCTCACGTTCCACAGCCGGCCCTCAAGCCTGCACCTTGCTGAGGCTCTTGCTGCCTGCTGGCCATTCCACAATTTCTTAGCTCCTAGACAAACCATTCTTCCTTTCTGTGCCTCGGTTTCCCCATCTGTAAAACGAGGTGGTCTAACTAGGTCAGTGATTCTCCATGGTGCTCTTTACAAACATGTATGTCCAAATGCACCCCGCCCCATACACGTGACCTACCAAGTCAGAAACTCTGTGGTTGATACCTAGAAATGAGCATTTTCAAAACCCTCCCTGCATTTCTGATGTCATCAGTCTAAGCATCCTTGTTCAGAAACCACCATATGAGATGACCTGGAAGGCCACTTAAAAAAATTCAGAGATTCACTGCTGCTGGTTTTTTAACTACTGCAGTTTAACAGTGGCCAGCAGAAGAGAAAAGGACACAATGTGAAATTTTTAAGCCAGACATCCATGAGTCACCTACTCTGGGGAAATTTTGGAGATAGAATTGTTTTGAACTAGATCCAGATTGGACATAAATTAGGAAATTAGAATGAGGAATGGAGTAGGAGTTGTGGGATAATATATTGCCCTTTTTTTTTTTTCCAGGAGAGTCTGAACAACTCTACTCCCTAAAAGGTTTATTTATCCAAATGGCATAGATATAAATTTATAAATCTGAATATCCTCAAGCAGCTTAATTAACTTACATGAGACTCAGTTTCCTCATCAGTAAAATGGAGATAATAATGTCTATAAGAATTAAGGGAATTAATATACTTAAAGACTTACCACAGTGGCTGGCACATAGCAGATATAAAAAAACGTGTGAGTTACTTGAATGTATCCAGCTAAAATCACTATCAAATTCGATTACCTTGGGAGTAGGTCTTTCTGATGCTAAACAAAGTCATAATTTTTGGGTAGCTTTTTAAAATTCAGAGTCAGGAGACATATTCAAGATAAAAGAGTCCAATGTCATCTCCCCTAGTTACAGATTTCTCTCCACACATCCTAGGCATATGGACACACAGTCTCTGCTTGGATATGTCCAAAGACGAGGAGCTCACTTCCTAACAGGGAAATATGTGTCATTGGTGCATAGGTCTTAGTTTTTAATAGTTTCTTACTCCGTCCCCCCCCAAAAAAAGTTTCTTACTTTGAATCTAAGTACTCCTTTATGAGACCCTTCAAGGTTGATCTTGTGTGTGTGTGTGCATGTGAGAGAGCGAGAGCAAGAGCGAGAGTGAGCGAGAGCGAGAGTGAGAGCGAGAGCGAGAGAGAGAGAAAGAGAGAGAGTGAATATGATGGGAAATGAGGCAGAAGGGGAGGAGAAAAAGGAAGAGGAAATTGAAGCAGCAGCAGCTCAGGAAAATCACCCCGTTCAGCAGGTGTAGACCATGGTGACTGAGGATTCTGGCAGTGATGCCCCCAGGAAGTTGGAGGTGCTGTCAGTGCTATGGATGCCATGAAGGAAAGCTCTCATAGGGAGGGAAAGGATCAGTAGGCTTGAAGGTGGCCCTCCCCTTGGAAATTTGCCAATAAGACAACTGCAGGAATCACAGGCAGGATTGTCTCAATTTAAAACCAGGCTCTTGAATTCTAGTGTCTATGTCTTCTCCTGAGACGCTGTCACCTATCTTTATTTGCAAATGCTCTCAGGGGACAGAGAAGAGTCTCTAAAGGTCCCCCTCCATCACACTGACCTCTCCTACCTCTTGTGATTCTCAGGTGCCATCATCTGTGGGTTGCTGAGCTCACCCAGTGTCCTGCTTTGTAATGTCAAAGACTGGATGGATCCCTCTGAAGCCTGGGCTAATGCTACATGTCCTGGTGTGACATATGACCAGGAGAGCCACCAGGTGATATTGCGTCTTGGAGACCAGGAGTTCATCAAGAGTAAGTCTTTGCCATTTGTCCATATTCTTTCAAAATTACTCTTCACACGAGCAAGGCCCTCTGCTACTTTCTTATGAGCCCTCCTTGTGGCCTGAGGAGCTTATACTTCTGAAAAAAAAAAAAAAACTTTACCAATCATACTGGATGGAAACAACCCTAGCTTTTCAGCAGAACTCTATGGGAAGCATCCATTTAGCTCCTCAGATTGCAGGTGGACTGTGGGCAGGATGGCCCAGCAGGGCAAGTCTGCTGCTCTCAAGAATCTTGGGGTTAGCTGGCAATTGATGGATCTCATCTAGTCTTGGTTGGCACATCTGGGCCCTGCTCTATGAGTTTCTCATCCTCCTCTGGAGGAACGTACTCTTCTGTAGATGGCAGAAGCAGGAAAAAGGAGAAATAAGCAAGGCCTCTGTTGGTGGAGCTCAGATCTGTCACGTTACCATTTCTGCCTCATCCTATTGGATAAAGCAAATCCCATGGCTAAACAAGAGACAAAGGGTGGGAAATAGACTCTACTCCTTTAGTTGGGGGGACTGCCAAGTCATGTGCAAATAGTATGACTACAAAGAAGGATGGAAAACTGGAGCCTGAAATGCAATCTGTCCCCCAAACTAATGCCCATCCAGGCATATTTTCCCCCTCTATGAGTTAAGAAATTCCAAGTTTACCAATTGTACTGCCCACTCTAGTGATGGGTGCAGGGGACCATGGGCTCCATTGCATGGACTCAACTAACAGAAATAACCACTGGGCTTTCTCTTTCCTCTTCTTTCTCTTGGAAGCTCTTTTCTACAAACATATAAACACTATAGTGAGGCTGCATCTCTGCGATCATCTGCCCCAGCCTCTCAGTTTCCAGAGATGGGCAGTTAGTGCCTGAGGCCCCCCAGCCAGTGGCATCACCTTCACAGCCCTGCACTGCCTCTCCCAGCAGACCCCCATCAGGAAAAAGTGAATGCCCACTCTGTGCTGGGCTAGGGACTGGCCAACCATGTACCACTGATGTGATCAGGAAAGACAGGACCAGCACCACCAGCACCACCATCACTGGAAGCTGGTTAGAAATGCAGAGTCTCAGGCCACACCCCAGCCCTCAGGGTGGGTCCCAGGAATCTGTGTTCTAACAAGTGGTCCAGATAATGCTTATGTAGCACTGATGGCTTGAAAGTTTCCTTCCATCACTGAGAGTCTGACTTATGATGAAGATGGGGCCAGCTGTTCCTTTTGTTCTTCCAGCTCCAGAGTGAGGTTGAGGGGAAGCCCTGCTCCTCGTTGTCTATTTATCTGCCAGAACCTGAACTGGGAAAGCACCTCCATGCTTCCACTCCACCTTCTGAGTTGAGAGCAGTGAAGGCATGTGCAGGTGCTGACCAGATAGACTGAGCACCTGATGTGAGAGGGTCAGTGGGATTCTTTCTGTGGGAACCCTTGGGTGCTTATGTTGCTGCAGGAAGTGGTCTCCCAAAGGCTGGCAGAGACTCTCTCCTGCCTCCCAGGGAAGCTTCTGAGACTCACACCTTTATATCCTGCATTTCTCAGGGTTCCAATGGCAGAGCATTCCATGTCACCTCCTCCAAGAGCCCTCCCTGACTACCCACAGGGCTTAGTGCTTCCTCGACTACAGAGCTTCATGGATGCTCTGCCCATTCCTTTGTTAGGCAGTGCAGTCAGCAGCGTGCCGCAATTGCGCATTTGCCTGTCTGTGGAAAGTTTGTCTGTGATGTTAAATCCTAGCTTTGGACACCACTTGTGTGACCTGGAGTAGGTGAATGAATGTTTTCAGGCCTAATTGCCTGTCTATATAATGACAGTAATACCAGTACCCATCTCACGGGGTTGGGAGGATAAAAGGAGAGGATATAACAATAAAAAAATAAGGATAATAGAAATGACTTATGTAGCACACCCTCTGAGGCAGCCCTGCTCTGAGGCCTTGACCTATACTCACAAGTCCTCAACACAGTGCTTCAAGGGAGGCACTCTTATTATCATTGTCCCGGTTTGCCAGCTGAAGACACTCAGGCACATAGCAGTTAGGGGACTTCCCTAGGTCTTAGAGCTTGTAAATAAGAGGGCTGGGATCTGAAACCCAGCATTCTGGCTCTCTCACTGCCTTTCTTAACCACTTCTCTGTATGGGCCCTTGCAGATCAAGAACTAGCAGAGTTCCTGATCTGTGGTATTGATATTAGATGATGTTATCATTATTTTTTCAATTTGTCATTGTTTTCTGTCATATTTTAAAAACTGAATTGTGTTTCATTAATTTCTGGATTACCACCATTGAGCTATGCTTTATAATGATGGCATAGAAAAAGATATATATATCTGTGAGTGAATGGTCACCAAATTCTGAAAATAAAATATCACAGAATTTGGTGGAATTCCATGAAGCACAAATAGTTTCTTTTGGCGTCAATAAAATCAAATCGCTTATTTATATGATGAGTAGTAAACATATGGTATTCATTACTCCAAGAGGTAGCACAGGGTGAATACAGGCATTTCAAGAAAGACATATGATATATTCATGGCAGTAAATCCAGAGTGAATTGCTCAACCCAGAGCATGTGCTTGATATGTGCCCAAGAAATGAGGACTGTGCCCTTGTCTGGCCTCCCAGAGTAGCGGTTACCAAAAGACTTTTGAAATGTTTGTTTTTTTCAGTGCCCTATATGTGTGTGTGTATTGTGGGTGAGGGCAAGGCTTTAAGAAGTGTGCACTATGATAGGGATTTCAGGCAGCCTTGATACTCCAAATTGGAGGTTGCCCTATACAAAGGCTGAGTAGGAGGCTACCTCCAACTGAAGGCAACAGGGCACAGATATTTCCTCTTCAAAATAAGAGGTCAGTCTTTTAGTACGATTAACCCCTGGAGGTGAGAGGGAGGGAGTGTAATAATTTAAATTCTAACTACAGCGTGAAGAACTGATAGATACCCTTTTCTAACAACAGATATTGATGGAGGAAAAGAGGAGGATTCTGGGTACAGGAACAGTTGCAGGGGAGGGCATGGAATGATTTGAAAGAACATAGGGGGTGCTAGGGACAATAAAGACAAACTCCATCTCCACTAAACTTGACTGGGGACTGGCCTCTTCATCCCAGTTTAACAACGGGATAGATGGTTGTGAAGACAGACTCTGGAATCAGGCCCTGGAATTTGAATTCCAGTGTGAATGTCTCCTCAATGTGTGGCCCTTCTAGGCTTTGGTATTCCCAATTACACAGTGAGGATGATGGTGGACTCTGACTCTCCAGGTAGTTGAGAGGATTAAAGAAGAATGTGTGTGGAGCAGCAGAGTGGTGCTGAGCACAGCAGGCTAGCGGTGGACACTGGAGATACGGCACAAGGGCTGGGAGTGAAAATGCCTGGGATTGAGCCTGGCTTTTCCCCTAGCTCTGTGACCTTATTCAAGACATTTGACCACCTTCAGCCTCAGGGCCTCCATCTGTGCAATGGGCGCATTCGTTCACAGATTACTGAGTGAAGTGCTGGCAGGCTTCCCAGGCTGTCGAAGAATGCCTTGTTCTCTGGTCCCTGGCTCCCTAACAGCACACCCAACAGAGGCACCTATGGGACTTCGGGTGCAGACACCTGCTTTCGTTGATCAATTCACGGGTACTATCAGGCTATGGTTCAACACATGATCTGGGTAATGGGGAATTGGCATTTGTTTTTAAAGCACAAATGAATTGATTGCCAGGTGTAGGAAATCACAACCCAAAAGAACACAAATTCAAGTAGTAAATATATTAATATCTGCACTGTATTATGCAAAGCACTTTCACGTACAACTCAATCGATCCTTTGGGCACTCTGGTGAGGCAGTTGGTTATATCACAATTTCACTCATGAGAGTGAAGTTTGGAGCTGTGACTTGACACACTTTAAGAAACAATCTTTGCATTAGTGCCATGGCTGGGGCTCAAGCCTTCAGCTTAGGAGACCAGTGCTATCTTGTGGAAGCTCTCTACCCACTCCTGGCTGCCGCCTTCTGCTTCCACCATCCTATGTGCAATTTACTGGAAGTGGAAAGTGCTTTGGAGTTCTCCTTGTTATTGTGCCAGAAAAATTAAGGGGTCTCCGGTAACTGAGAGTGTCACTCCTCAGACATCACTTTGGGGCCAGCTATGCTCCAGATATTGGGTATTAATGCCTGCTAATGGGATATTCTACTTCAAGGGTTTTACAGGGCTGTTGGGAGAAGGGAACAGAAGATTCAGGAAAGCTGTAGGGTCAACTGTGAGTTGCAGAGGGGAGCTGGGAGATGTGCAAACACCTTTGGAGGAGGTGAGTTTGTGGGGAGCCCTTCCCCAGGCTGGAGCAGCCCCTGTGTTTCCTCCTCCCTCCCTCATATCCTGAGCAGCTGCTGGGTAGATGTGAGGGTGAGGTGACCTGGCCAAGTCCAGATGCAAAGATGGGGACAGTGGCTTCTGTTCTTAAGGAGCTCACAGGCTAGATGGGGTGAGAGATACAGAGATTATTAAATACAGCAGGCCTCCTGTTTGCCCACCTTAGTGGACTGACAGGGATTGTAGGAACACAGAATGTCTCCTTAGCATATCCTTTTCTGTTTGGTAAAAGCTTCATTCAGGTCACTTGCCACACAGAAGTTAGGACTGACTTCTAATACCAGCCCCCAACAAACAAACAATTATACCCCAAACAACTAATCCCACGAAACACCTGGAGGCTATTTTTATCTAATTTGGAGACACAGCACCTTTTGCTGTGAGGTTTCTCTTTCCTGCCATCAGCAATGAGTGATGGCTGAGAATATGAGATTTTGCTTCACTTGGTAACTGGGTTGACATGTGTTCTCCAGAGAGAAATCCACTCAGGATCTGGATCTCCCAAATTTCCAATGAGCATTTCTGAGTGCATTCAACTATTTGCTGCTGGCTGGGTCAACCCTCTTATTTGTCAGAAAAACATCTTAGAAAGCTCTGGGGCTGCATATGGCTAGTTTTTGACAAATCTTGAAGTGCAAATGAATGGAAAAAAGGCAGATTAAATGTCCCCTAATGCCACACAGATGTAAAATTTGATAGAAAAAAAAAAAAGCCTTGGCAGAAATACTACTGGGTTCATCCTGAATCCAAAAGGCTTGATGTTGAGTGATTGTGAGGCTTTGCCTGATGCCTGGTGTTCACTTTATAGGGGTCTGTTTTATGTCAGTGATTGTCATTATCTTGGGGTGCCAGGACCTCAGTGGAGAAAGTTACAGTACACCTGTGGTACTCATTGCAATCAGACGCATCTAGATGAGATGGCTGATGAATGCCTAGGAATAGGATGAGTCGTTTAAAAAGGGCCCTACAGTTATTAGTTACTGCTGTCACAGGTTGTGCATTGCCATGTGCTTAGTGCTATGTTTGTGTCTTAGTTTATAGTTTGGATTCCCCCAGAATCAACCATGAGACAAAGATTCAGGAGTGTCATTTAAATAGGAAGGACAAGGAATATGAACAGAGTCTCAGGGCAAGTAACACAGAGAAGACACAACAGCCAATAAAGGGTGGACTCTGAGGCCAGTTGTACTTAATTCCCTGGATCAGTGCAAAACACACTTCAGAATGACCCCGCCAGCTAGGCCAAGGAACAGGGTGTGTACCCAGTGGTGCTGCAGAGGACTTGGCTGACAATTGCAGGGAGGACAGCAGCTCCCAACCCTTCCATCCTGCCACTGTGCCAAGGGCAGCTGTGGCTTTCGGCAGCTCCCTCAGAGCCCTGGGCATAGAACAGCAGTTCATGTTGCATACGTCATTTCCACTCATCATCTAAGACCTGGAGAGAAATGGCATTTTCTCCATTTACTGAGGGGGAGAGTAAGGCATAGGGACTCAAGGGAACTTCCTCAAGGTTATTCAGCTCACCAGTAGCACAGCTTGGGTTTCCTTTATTCCACGATCATATGATCATTATTCAGATCTGCTTCACTCTGGGAAGTGGGATGTAGAGATCCTGATATCTGCCTCCTGTTAAGGAAGCTCACTGTCTAGCAGAGGGGCAAGGGAAACACATGGCCTCCTGAGGCAAGTGCCACTGTATTGGTACAGCTGAGCAGGCCTTGGTTCCCCTGAGGCTAGGCACCATCTGCTGGGAAGGACCCTGGGAGACTCCATCCTTATATCAATGCCTCCAGGACCTACAGCAGCCATTCTGAACCTACCTAACCAACACTGGAGGCCCAGGATTGTCAGCTGATTCTTCATAATGGTCATCTTTGGTGGCTGGAGGTCTTTCCCCCCACAAGTCACTAGTGGATTGTAATGAAAGCAAGTCTCCAAATTCTGCCACACATCCAAGCAGTTATTAGCAAACAGGCCCAGAAACTGTCGCAACCTGTCACCTGTTCAGTGGCCCCAGTGAAGGCCCATCTTGCTATCCTTGGCACCTTGTTGGAAAGGTTTATTTAAGACAGAACCAATACTATTCTCACAGCTGAACTCAACTCACCTTCTTGTCAAAATCAGATGAACAAGAATCCTTCAGATCCGTGACTGATCACAGACCCGTTTTGAATCAAGCCACGGCTCTAGGGCTATTGGGCTCAGGAATCTGTCACAATCTCTTCCTGCCAGCATAGGAGTGACACTGTGATACATTTAGCCAAGCCATATGTTTTGAATGCTATGAATCTGACCAATAAATATGTACCTATTTCCAGCGTTCAGTAGGCTAATTAACAAAGGCCGGTGGTGGTGGTGTTAACTGGGATAAAGAGTTGATGTATCTGTGACTGCTTCCTGGAGGGCGGGGCTCCTGGACAGCAGCTTTTCCATGCCATGTGACCACTCCTAGAGTGTGCTTTTCCGTTTAGGATCCTGTCCAGTTTAATCTGAGGGTGTGGATTAAAATTGACTGCCGCAGATGCAGCGCATGATCTCCTCAGAAGTTTTCTGAATAAAGACCACGTCACACCCAGCAATGCTGGAGAATGGGCTCTGTGCCCAGACCCTCAAGTTCTCAGTGTGTTTGTGCTCCTTCAGCCTTGATCACAGGGGCAGCGACCCTGATTCAGGGGCTGGAGGCCTGTATGTGTAGAAGGGATATTCTAACTCAGTTATTGGGGAAGAAATGAAAGTATTTTCTAGGCAGTCAAAACTGTGATCATTTATCAGGGAAGAGGTGGAATGATGCTTGCTTGCATTCTGTGTACCTTCTTATTCTATTCTATTAGGGAAATTTTGGGGAATGGAGTAAAGGGTCAGAAGTCTGTTTAGAAAAACTAATTTGGGGCTAACCTTCTGATGCGTGGGAAGGCAATGTTCTGTGTTTATTTGGTGGGCTCTGTGTATCATTCATTGTTTTGTTCTCCCTCCTTCATTTATCCTTGCATTTATTTATATACTGAACACCAGCTCTGTGCCAAGAATTGTGCTGGGGGAGTGGGTGATATAAAGAGGGGACTTACAGTGTATCCAGGAATCTGGACAGTAACTACCAGGCATGAGGGGAGAGAAAGAGAAGATCTCTGAATACTGCAAACTCAGAGGACGGGGGTGTGTGACCAGCTGGAGAGCTCAGGGAAGCCTTTCAGGAGGCAGTGATGCAGAACCTGATTCTGAAAGAATGAGTAGAGGTCAATCAAGTGAAAGAGAACAGGGTTCTAGGCAGAGAGAAAAAGGCATGCAACGACGCAGAGGCCTGACAGCAAGCATTCAGTGTGACTCGGGAGGTGGGCACTTTGGAGACAGATTAGGGCATGAGGCTGCTCAGCTGTCATGAGCCAGATTGCAAGGAACTGAATTCTGACATCCTTGTAGCTCCTGCAGGACCAAAGGTAGGTTTGTCTTTCAGGATGAGTACCTGGGGGCTATGTGGCTGAGGGATGGGAAGGGGCCAAGGTCAAAGCCTGGGTGGGGATTAGCTAAACCTAATGGAGTTAGGAGTTGTGGTAAGGCTTGAGCTGAGAGGAAGGGTTTGGAGGAGAGGAAGGATTAAAGAACAGTTTAGGGACTAGTCTGAATGCATGTGGAGACTGATGGAGAAGGAGTCAAGGACGACCCAAGAGGAAGATGGTCCTATTAACTGATTTAGAAAGCAGGAGGAAGTGAGTTTGGGTGTAGGGATGGGAATGAGAGATGAGGAAGATAAGAGAAAGAAGGGAAACATTCTTTCTTTTACCCAGTATTCTCTATGTATTCCTATGGAGACTTGGCAATCATATTAACAATGAAGACCACCAAGGGGTTATAACTTTCCTTGTGGTGATTGACAAAGGTGCTTCCCAGGACACAATAATCTCTGTAGGTGCTGGTCAGGTGACTTTCTGGACCTACAAAGGTGCTCTACATACATGTGCTGAATTTAGTTGAATTCCATTGGATTAAATTGTGTTGAAACAGGCAAAAACCAAGGATGAACTTAAGACAGCATATTTCCCAGGCTGGCAGACCCAGGGCTCTGTTGCCTTGAGATGGACAGAGTGTATAAGGTGTCAGCTTCCTATCACAGTTCAGTACATTCTGGGCCAAAAATACAGTCCCAAACTGATGTGCACCTGCGGGAAGCACCCATTTGTCTTTGAGTGGTGAAAAGCATCTATAATTTTTGACATTATGTAAAACAGGACACACACACCGACAGAAATAAGAGTCTCAGAGAGAGTGAAATACTCACCACCAATTCACCGCAAGTCAGACACTGAGACTGCTGAGAGGTAAAGACCTTCCTCTTGACATTTCCTAAGGATTACGGCTCTTAGGAAGGGGCAGGCGTGGGGATGTGACTGAATTTGTATTTGTATTGAGGGACTGTAACCCAAATTCCCCAGTGATTTCATGGTAAACTACACACACACACACACACACACACACACACACACACACACACGTATGTATATATTATTTTTCCATACGTTACTGGGGTAAGGTGGTGTTTGGTTACATGAGTAAGTTCTTTAGTGGTGATTTGTGAGATTTTGGTGCACCCATCATCTGAACAGTGTCCACTGCACCCTATTTGTAGTCATTTATCCCTTGTTCCCGTCTCACCCTTCCCTCCAAGTCCCCAAAGTCCATTGTATTATTCTTATGCCCTTGCATCCTCATAGCTTAGCTCCCACATATCAGTGAGAACATCTGATGTTTGGTTTTTCATCCCTGAGTTACTTCACTTAGAATAATAGTCTCCAGTCTCATCCAGGTCGCTGCAAATATATTTCATGGTAAACTGCTTCTTAATGGGGTCATTGGCTTCAGCCTTAGACTTGAGAGCAATACAATACTCTAGAGATAAATGTTGTTTCTTTAAGTTTTACAGGTTAAATAAGAATTATAATGCATGACCAAAAGTATGTTAAAAACCTTATTCACTTTACATCTGTATTACCTATATGAGTATATAGGTTATATCTATAGCTCTCTCTATATGTATCTACATATGGCATATCTATCTATCTATCTGTCTATCTATCTATCTATCTATCTATCTATCTATCTTTAAAGAATCAGTATATCAATAGATTTGGGTATACAAAGATTTAAGGCTGGGCACGGTGGCTCACACCTGTAATCCCAGCACTTTGGGAGGCCAAGGTAGGTGGATCACGAGGTCAGGAGTTCAAGACCATCCTGGCCAACATGGTGAAACCCTGTCTCTACTAAAAATACAAAAATTAGCCAGGTGTGGTGGTGGGCGCCTGTAATCCCAGCTACTTGGGAGGCTGAGGCAGGAGAATTGCTTGAACCTGGGAGGCAGAAGTTGCAGTGAGCCGAGATCGTGCTGCTGCACCAGGCAACAGAGCAAGACTTTGTCTCAAAAAAAAAAAGTTTCAAAAAAATTATCTGATTTCCCTTGTGACAAAGTCTAAAACCCCATAGCCTGAGCTTTGAAATAAGCAAATGATGATATCATGAGGAGAGAGTGAAAACGGAACACAAACTGAGCAGGTGCGCAACCACTGGTTCTGTGTTGTTGCAGTAGGAGTATATGGTGAGGTCTCCTCTGCAGTGTGGAGGACAAGGAGGACAAATCCAGTAATTGCAGAGATCCAAGTCTACATCTCTCAGATGCCATAGGTGTTCACTTGCGCAAATTGTTATAAATAACTTTTACCTTCTAAAGAAGGCTATGACAGAATTTTGAGTAGATCCTTTAGAGAAACATCTCAATATTGCACAGTCTGAGAAGTTCTAGCACCATTGTTTATTCCCATTTCAGAAGTAAAATCAAATGAAAGTGCAACTCAGTCTTTTTGTCTCACCTTTGTGTCCTAGAACATGGTAGCCCCGGGGAGACTTGTCACTTTGAGAGCCGTTTTCCAGAGAGTTCAGTTCACACCTCTTTAAACACAAACACCTTTAACATTTTTGCCATGTCAGATGGACAGAATTCTGAAGTACAGCCATGCACCTCAAAAAGACACTTTGACCAATGAAAGACCATGTATGTAATGGTGGTCCCATAAGATTAAATGGAGAATAAGATTATAAGATTAATGCATAAGATTATAATGGATAATAATAGAAACCTGATACATAGCACTTGATACTGACATTTCAGATCAAGTAGGGGAAATGATTAAGATTCATTAATGATGCTGGGACTTTTTTTGTATGAAAAATATATGTAAATAAAAGTATATAGAGCGTCTAGGCTTATGTAAGTACGCCCTATGATCACACAACAACAAAATTGCATTTCTCAGAACATATTCTGGTTGGTAAGAGATGCATGGCTGTATATTATCCTCTCCTTAGTGTGGTGATTAGGAAGGAGTATGGGATTTGAAGCCAAATAGATGGGGTTTGAATTCTTGCATTAACCTTTCTTGACTTTGATTCCTTTATCTGGAAATCAGGGACCTTACTTTATATCATGCCTGTGAGTTTTAAATTGGGTAATATAAGGAAGGTTTTTGTGCAAGCTTGTCCAGTCCACCTTTTGTTGTTGTTGTTCTGTTTTGTTTTGTTTTAGGTTTTTAGTATTCTGAAACCATGGTTTTTAGTTTCTGTCTTTAGTGATAAGCAGAAAAGAGTGATGAGGAAGGGGATTTACTGGCCCAACCAGAAACAGAAACTAGGAACCCATGACTGTATTCTCTCCCTTAGACACTGCTGCTAGTGTTGGATAAATGGTAATAACTGTTTATCAATAACTAGCTCTTCATTAGGACAAATACCTAATGCATGCAGGGCTTAAAACCTGGATGACAGGTTGGTAGGCGCAGCACACCACCATGGCACACGTATACCTATGTAACAAACCAGCACAAAGTTTTGCATGTGTATCCTGGAACTTAAAGTAAAATAAAATAAAAATTTAAATAAAGGTATAAAAAGACTAGCTCCTAATAATAATTAAAAACAAAATTTGATCATATCTCGATGTCCCAGGCTGTCAGCCAGCCCTCTCCTGTAGCATGGGGCTTATTTGCCTCCAGACTCTGCTATCTGGGCTATTTCCCTCACCTTCCATGTCACAGGGAATTTGAAAGGAACTGAAGACTGAGCAGGGGCAAAAGAGGCAGCACTGACCATCAGGAAATGGTGTGGCAAGCCTAGTGTCATCCAGAGTGGGATCCAGGGGAGAACAGTTTGCCAGAAAGGAAAATCGGATAATATTATTAATCGGTTGAGTTGTGGCAGCCGCCAACAAGTGGCTGCCTATCAAATGTTGAAGACTGCAGAGGATAGTTTATACACAGTATTCCCATTCTCAAAATCGCTGTCCACATTTACCAATGAGGCAAGAGTCTCTGAGGAGTTAAGTGATGTGGGAAACTCACACAGCCCTCGAGTGTCCCAGGAGGTTTACTTTCTTCAAGCCAATCTCCAGTTCTTTAAGTGACTCTCCCGAGTCATAGGTTCACAACCCCTCATGGAAGTAGTCCCTTTGGTGCCCTGAGTATGACACCCATGTCTGACCAGCTCTGGTTTTGTACTAGGGAGCTGGAATAGAGCTGCAAGAAGCTTCTGGGTTACATCTTACGTGGGAAACAGAGTTTTCAGGCCTAGGAAGAGCCTGTGTCAAGGGAGATGGGGCTATTGCAGTAATGGTGGGTACCCAGTGACAGCACACTCAAGCTCATAAAAATAAACATCTTCCTTTGCAGGTCTGACACCCTTAGAAGGAACTCAAGACACCTTTACCAATTTTCAGCAGGTTTATCTCTGGAAAGGTGAGCTCCGTGGTGGAAGAGGGGGTTAGCAGGACGCTGATTACATGAGATTGTCTGGCACCACCTCTCATTCACAGGGCACTCTATTTCTGTAGAGGAATAGGTAGAGAGTCACTTTCCAAATGCATACTTTCTGTGGAATAGAAGGGCTCCAACTCATCAGATAAGATGCCAAAGTCTAAAACAAAAATGAATACTGTGGAAACCCAAGAAGGGATGGATAGAGGAAGCACTAGGTTCCCGCGAGATAAAGCTTGCTGACCACAAGACACCCTTGTTCCTAGGAGGGGAGTTCAGGGCCATTGCAAAGCACAGGAGGCATTTGTCCAAGTGGACTCAGCCCCATGTGCCTTTCACCCTGAGGCCCAGGGACTGGGGACAGGACCCCAGGCAGGTAGTGCCCTGATCTCCTGCTCAGAGATAATGCTACTCTGGGTGTGTGGGACAGAGTGTGGGAAAAATGGAGAGTCTGACAACATGTATGCTTGGCACTTCCCTTCTGTTTCTTTGTCCTCCTTCACGTTTTCTGAATGTTGACCAAGTGCCTACTCAGACCCAGGGAAAATGAAAGGCATTTAGGGGAGAGACGAGAGGCACAGCCCTGACTATTGAAGGGTTCCGGCCTCAGGAGGGAGCAGATAGAGCAGTGGCCCATCACAGGTCATGGCCATATGTGCTGGGTGAGAGGCATGAGAAAAAGCCTCTGACCCCATATTACTTCCTTCCTGTTCCCCTAATCTGTCCTCGCTGATCTTCAGTGTCCCAAGAGAGGATTGGCGACTTGCTTCTACATGCTGATAAACTGAAAGAGCAGGAAGGCACAGACTTGGAATGATGGGATGTGAATCCTGTTCCTATCAATCCCCATTCATGTGCCTGGGAGCCCATGGACCAGCCCCTCATGCCTAGATTCCCCATGGGTAACGTGCGATACAGACGCCACTGGCCTCAGAATTGCCTGAGCAATAATACATCAATGCACAAAACAATGCTGTGGATATCATACATGCTGAGTAATGTTGGTGGGGGTGGTGGTGATGAAGTGAAGAAGGAAGGCAGAAGAGGAGGAGGAGGAAGAGGAGAAAAGGAGGGGGAGGAGAAAATGAAAAGGAAGGTGTTTACCATCATTTTCATTTTAAAGAGATAAAATGAGATTATGTACTTCTTTTCTCATTTAATTATACCCATAATGTAGGCCTAAAGAGGGGGTGATATTTTATTCATTTTCCAGGCAAGGAAAATGAGACTTGGAGAGGATACGTGAAATGCCCATGGTATGCCTGGGAGGTCCTGGGGTTGAAACCAGACACTGGTAGGAGATCCCAAGTCCAGTACTTCCTAGTTATCAGAAATTTCTGATAAAGTGTTAGCTGATGAAAAATGAGGGACTTACATTTCTCCAGGACATTTGCCGCACTACAGAGAAGTGCCTTAAGGCCTGCCTGATACCTGCACTGCCACAGGCTCACTCGCTTTCATGGAAGACCTGTTCCTGACTTGAACATTTAGTTAAATTGTTAAAATTTCTAATTCATTTACTGGCCACTTGAGTGGTCTGGGATAAATTATTTTGCCTCTTTAAGTCTCAGTTTTCTCAAGAGTAAAATGGAAATCTTGTTCCCTACCTACACAGGGAGTTATAAACAGCAATATTTATGAGCATATTTTGTTAACTCGAAAGGGCTTTGCGTATGTTAATAATTTCAATATCACAGATAATGATGTTCTATCACTGAGAGGTTGGATGATGTTCCATATAAAAAAGAGTGCAGATCCATGTCAGGGCATCTGTTGCAGATCTTCTCTAAGTCACCTGGCTTTAGGGCCTGATTTTTCTCACATTGCTACTACCATTTTGTTGACCAGTGGAGTACTACCCATTCTCCCCAACATTGCAACAACTCTTTTTTTTCCTCCTAGATTCTGACATGGGGTCTCGGCCTGAGTCTATGGGATGTAGAAAAGACACAGTGCCAAGGCCAGCATCTCCAACAGAAGCAGGTACTGACCCCCAAACCTTCTTACACACTTGGGTGTCTGAATGCAGAGACTAAATGGGTGCACCAAGAGTTTAATCAATGAACGGACGTATTGACATCACTCTATTCTGTATCCATGGACTCTCCTTTAATCTTTTAACCCAATTATCCAGCTCATAAATATGGGAAGCTCCTCAGATGGGCAATTGTCACAGAAAGTAAGGCAAAATCACTGCAAATTCATAAGTGTTACTGGAAATGAAGACAACCATAATAATAAAACCTGAAAAAAGAAACAAAGAGCAAGGTTCACCTGACTGTGGCCAATGGGCTTCACTTATGTCAGCCCTGAAAAGTATAAACAAAGTGTAAATATTCTGAAATTGTTTCATGAATGACATGTCTGTGAGAATCTTTTGCATGTCATGGCATACAGTGAAAGCTGTGATTCCAAACATGAATAGGAACAGTACGTATGTACTGTCTGGACTTCTCTACCTCCAGAGTCTGTGATTATTATTACTGAGGTGGAGCTGAAACTCAGAGAGAGAGGGAGATCAGCTGCTCAATATGGGCTCAGCAAGGACCAGGAGACAAGACATCTGCATGTGGTCTGCAGTGTGTGTGTGTGTGTGTGTGTGTGTGTGTGTATTTGCATGCATGGACGCACTGTAGGAATAGGAGTAGGAGCAGAAGGAAAGAAGGAAGGAGAAGGGAATAAGAAGAGGGAGAGCCAGATCAGACTGCTGGCACAGGAAGGCAGCATGGTACAGGGGAAAAAAACGTCATGCTACAGAGCAGATACTAGAGCTCGAACCATGTTTCTGCCACTGACTACATGCCTTAGTGCACGGCCATGGGTAATTTGCTTCCCTGCTAAGATCCCTGGATTCATGTGTAAAAGAATCTTGTCTACCTCTTATCCCGTTAGATAGCAACCACTTGGCACAGTGCCTGGTACTTAACACATGCCTAAAAAATGCCCAGCACCCTGCCCTCCCCTGCTTGATCAGGCGTTGTGTTTGTGATCCTCAACCTCGGCAGTGCCTTTGAGGGGCAGCCACACAGCTTGTGATAATGTAAATGTGTGTGAGTTAGTGGCACTTGAGAAGGTTCTGTCAAATCCATCATCACACACTACTTTAGGGCTACTTTAGGGCAGCATCTGCAAAACTCTCACATGATTCACACAAGATGCTCCCCCTGCCCCCTGCTTTCTTCCCTCTCCCCTAGAAGGGGAGCTTGGCCCCCACTGGAGACCTTGCGGGGAGTCAGGGTGAATAGACAAGGCTCAGCTCAGTTTTCCCTTTCTCAGTTGATTGCATTCCTGGGCTCAAGTAGATAAAGTGCCTGGAGAAAAAAATCACATTGAGTCCAGGCCGAGTGGCATCTCCACGTGGGCTCGTTTACTCAGACGGTGCTTCTCAGGGTCCATGAGAATGGCCTCTCTGATTCAGAGGACAGTGAGGAATCTTCCCCTTTGTGTATCAGGTTACTCCCATCAGTCTGAATGTTTGAGACAAACCCAGGAAGCCAACGAGAGTGATTGGTCTCATTGCTTTTAAGGAGGGCACATAGTTTTAAGAGAAATAGGAAATGGCTTAATCTAATACGGCACGTAAACCAGGTATAAGATGAAGTGGCTACAGTATTCATTCTTTCATCCAACCAGACATTTTTGAGCACATGTGGCTGTGGCCTTGGACATTCACAGGCTAGTGAGAATTCCATGTGCCAGCCACTGCATGACAGTGTGGCAAGGGATGCAATGTGGACAGGTGTCGGTTGCAGTGAGAATGCAGGAGAAGGAATGCTAGCAGCCTGCAGGGGCCAGGAAAGGTTTCTCGGAGGAGGCCAGAAGGATCTGCCAGATGCTCCCAGGTATACCTGAGAAAAGGTGTTCCAGGTAAGGGGAACACCTGTGCCAAGGCTCTGAGAGCAGGTGTGCCTTCAGTCCTGCTGCCTTGTTTCTCTTCTCTTTCTGCTTTCTTGAGGGGCAATCTGTGATTTCCCTGAGCTCCTACTTTGTGCCAGGCATGGTTCAATGGGGAGACCCACATGGGGACTGGCCATTATACAATCATGTGAGATGAAGGCTGGGGAGGCAATATGATCTCTGAGGTCTCTGTCCTCTTGTGCCAGGCATGGTTCAGTGAGGAAACAGGCTTGGGAACTGGCCATCATACAATCACATGAGATGCAGGCTGGGATGGTGACATGGTCTCTGGTGTCTCTGCCAGCACTAAACTTCTGACCTTTCCAAGTACTCATAAAGCCTTTACCTTGTCCAGTGGTTCTTTCTAGTGAAGAAGCTCAGTCTCCTTGAGCCTGCTTTATGAAGTGTGGAAAATGGCTGCTGACAAGCACTACAAGGAAAGTGCAGGGCCCAAGTCCACAGCAAAGTGGAGGTATATATGGGATGTAGTGCCCCTTATACAGAGCCCTGAATGAATGGACATTGCAAACATTCCCCAGCTCATCTCCCTGATCTGCATCTTGCCATCGTTGTACATCCCCCTGGAAGACAGAGCCCTCCAAGGTTACAGAGCTATCCCCACTGGGCCTGGGTGTTGGGGTCCTTGGCCCTATAGAACCTCTTTATAGAGTCACAGGACATCAGAGCCAGAGGGATCAAAGCTGATCCTCAAAGCACAAGCTGCACTAGCTGGGTGGTGGAGGAAGGTGTAATGGAGCTTGAGCCAACAGAGGGAAGAGCATGAGCAATTGCATGGGGACTGCAAACAGTGTGGTGATGAGCTAGAGTTAGCAGGGCTGTTGTGTTGCTGAAGTGCAAATCAAGACAATCCGAGTTGAGGCTGAAAATGCAAGTAGAGCCCAGATTAAGAAAAGAATCTGGACTTATTTTCTGTAGGCAGTGGAGACTCCAGGAAGAGCTGGGATCATGGCATGTAAATACCTGAAGACAGAGTCAGGGAATGGTTGAGCTAAAACTTTCAAGTTTGGGTTAAGTGGAGCTGAAAGCTGACTTTGTAGATGAAGACTACCATTTTGGAGAGAGGCTGGACTTCCATGTGGCTTCAGAAGACAAAAAGAGGATCAGTGGTTCAAAGTTACAAAAAGAGGACTTGACTATACAACTTCCTAATGATGGAGTGGGCTGCTGTGGTTAGCACAATGATGTCATGTGGAGCTATAGAGGCATTAGACAGAAGTCTCCAGGGGAAAACTTCTGCATTAGGTGAAAAGGTGGACCAGATAACTTCCAAGGCTTTATCCAAACCCAGAGTCTAAGATTTTGCCATCCCATAATTTTTAGGACTTCCTGGGGCCTTCTGAACTATTCCTGTCTGACCCAACTCCCAGCTCTACTGACTTCAATCCTGCTCTGGTTTCACACAGCATAAAAATGTCTCTGTCTCTATCTCTGACACTTTCTCTCTCTGTCTCTCTCTCTGTGTGTGTGTGTGTGTGTGTTTCTTTCTTGTGTTTTTCTCATATTCACTAGAGTTAAAGGTGCAGGAAGTTGACTCCCTGCTTCTTTTTCAGGTTTGACAACAGAACTTTTCTCCCCTGTGGACCTCAACCAGGTCATTGTCAATGGAAATCAATCACTATCCAGCCAGAAGCACTGGCTTTTCAAGCACCTGTTTTCAGCCCAGCAGGCAAACCTATGGTGCCTTTCTCGTAAGTATCCTTAGAACTCATTCTTCTTCTTCCAGACACTGTAGTCAGGCATCACAGGCCAAGTCTGGCAACTCCTGAGACACAGATAAGGCCAAATTTTGTGTCATAACTCATGGATCACTGTGGATGATATAAAAGAAAGATAGCACATAACCCATATCTTCAAGAAGGTTACAGTGTAGTTAATCTCTACTCTGCTTCCATAACCTATCTTCATCCACCTGTCTCTCCATCTATCCGTCCATTCACCCATCCATCCATCCATCCATCTACCCATCCATCCCATTCATCCATCCATCTACCCATTTATCCATCCCATCCATCCTTCCATCCCATCCACCCATCCATCCATCCATCCATCCATCCATCCCATTCATCCGTCCATCTTTGCATCCCATCCATCCATCCATTCGATCCATCCATCCATCCATCCATCCATCCATCCATCCATCCATCCACCCATCCAACCATCCATCCATCCATGTATCCATGTATCCATCCCATCCAACCATCCATCCATCCATCCATCCATCCATCCATCCATCCATCCATCTATCCATCCATCCATTTGGCAGTTATTAAGTATGCATTATGTTCAAAGCTTTGTGTTTGATTTTGGAGAAGAAAGAGAACACCCAAAATGAATCAAATCAACCATGTTCCTTGCCCTTGGGGAGCTCATATATACCAGGGGCACAGGCTGACTTGGGCACAGGTGCAGGGAGACCATTCACAAAGTTCACAGTTTTTACAGTCCTGTGACCTCTGGTCTGCAGATCCTGACTTCCTCTGAGATGGCCATGGGTAGATCCAATGCAATGTTACTCTTTTGCCTCTTGTATTGCTGAGTTTGAGGTTTGTCCCTTATGCCTTCAACTCTGCCTTTATTCAGGAGCACACGGCCCCCTCCCCAGCTAGCAGAACCCCAGCGTTTTTGCATGGGCCTTCCAGACTGGATGATCATGACAGTCTCAGGCCTCTGCCCTAACTAGGAGGGATCTCTACCAGGCATTTCCCCACCCAGAGAATCCTGTAGAGATTATTCTCCCCTGTAGACCCCACAAAAACTAAAATCACACTACTCTCTTGCCTGTAGGTTGTGTGCAGGAGCACTCTTTCTGTCAGCTCGCAGAGATAACAGAGAGTGCATCCTTGTACTTCACCTGCACCCTCTACCCAGAGGCACAGGTGTGTGATGACATCATGGAGTCCAATGCCCAGGGCTGCAGACTGATCCTGCCTCAGATGCCAAAGGCCCTGTTCCGGAAGAAAGGTGAGCACTTGGAGAGATCTGCATAAACTGTATTTCCAATGTTCTGCTGGCTCTGTGGTTTTAGAAAGATCCACATTAGTTTCTTATTTAAAAAACATTTTCTTTATACTTTTATTGGTTTCAAGAAGATGGGAACATGGATCCAAACTTTCACGGTTAGAATCAATAAACTACTACGTAATTGTCTCAGTTTAAACAAAAAATATGAAAAAGGGTTATTTGGGGGCAGTATTTCAATGCAGAAGTGGGCTTTAAAAAAATAAAACCCAAAATGTTTATTCACACTTAAAACTAATTTATTCTTCTTTTAAAAGTAAAGTTATTCATGTTCCTTGTAGAGATGTGAAGCCATTTAGAACTGCATCAATTTGACAATAGAAAATAATCCTCTCCTAAGACAGCCACCTTTAATACATGCATCAGAATCCCATTTGGCTGTATATTACAAGGAATGTCAGCAACAGTGACTTTAACAAGATAGAAGGTGATTTTCTCTCCCAGGCCATTAATGATGCCATATTTTTGGAGATTTTTTTTAACCCCATACAGTCTGTTTTCTCCAGATGTTGTCACCTTTCATTTACTGTTCTATCTTCTCTGTTGGATGTCTTTCTCAGATGTCCAGTGACCCTTATTTTTCCACTCGAATGTCAAAGGGGTCCACAAGCTGACTGGGCAGCCCCAAATGTGTGGTGGGAACTTGTTGACTCTAGGTTTCTTTGAGGGATAATCCTGTTGGGTTGCCCTTTGGGGAATTCCTCATGCCAGTATTTTTAGGTTCCTCCTTCAGAGGAGTTTCTCAACACCTGGCCTTGGGGCACGAACCTGGCTCCTGGTGGTTTGGGCACCAAATAAATCTGGAAAATGTCGGGGGGACACCTCAATATTCATTATGCAGGCTGACTTGAAAGAATCTCCTACTTTCTGTGAAGTGCTCATGCCATGGTTTGTATCTGATGCACCCAAGAGATCCTCTCTTCTGTCGTCCTGAGAGAACGAACCTTCTATCTTCTTCCGTGGTGGGGAGAGGGCTGTTGTCAGCTGCGGAGAGGAGAGGAGAGCATCTAGAGGCCAAATAGCTTCTTAAAGAAATTCCAGCCAGTACTTCTGTTTGGGCCACCTTCACCCCCAGGGCTGCCATACTTAAACCTTGTGGGATTCCAGAGGGCAGATGGCGTTGCTTCTTTGTTCTTTCCACAGAAAAGTTGAGTAGTTTTCTTGGTCTGTTAGGCCTATTTTTATTTCTCCATATGCTTTCTAGCTTCCAACATTTTGTTGCTGTGTCTCCACTTTTTTAAAAAAAATCTTTGTCCCTGTGGACTTGCCATCATTTTAGTGAGATTTGAGTTAGGAAATGAGGTTTAATATGAATTTAATATGTCATCTTTAATTGGAAACTTTCAGTCTGTATTTTACTCATTTGTCCTCATATTTTCATGACTACAGCAAATCTCTAAGTAATGTATTTTCTTTCTTCCTCTATGAAGTTATACTGGAAGATAAAGTGAAGAACTTTTACACTCGCCTGCCGTTCCAAAAACTGATGGGGATATCCATTAGAAATAAAGTGCCCATGTCTGAAAAATCTATTTCTAATGGGTAAGCTACTTGTGTCTCACCCCTAATGTTTATTATGAATAATACTTCCTCAAAGAAGATGACACAATCACAGCTAAAAACAGAAGCATACCCAGCACTTTGGGAGGCCGAGCTGGGCTGATCACGAGGTCAAGAGATCAAGACTATCCTGACCAACATGGTGAAGCCCCGTCTCTACTAAAAATACAAAAATTAGCTGGGCATGGTGGCGGCACATGCTAGTAGTCCCAGTTACTCAGGAGGCTGAGGCAGAAGAATTGCTTGAACTCAGGAGGTGGAGGTTGCAGTGAGCTGAGATTGCGCCACTGCACTCCAGCCTAGCAACAGAGCGAGACTCTGTCAAAAAAAAAAAAAAAAAAAAAAAGCACAAAAAACTATAAAATCCAAAGCTAAGGGGGTAAAAGATAATAAGGAGGTAACCATATCTGAAAACCTCAGCTAAGGTAAGTTACTGATAGTAAACACAACATTTAGCCTTGAACTACTCGCTGGATGATGAAAGAGCCACCGAGCATTATTTAATATAAATTATCAAGTATGGTACTAAATTTGATTGTCAAAACCTCACATTGCAGTGCTCAGAATCTGGAGAGCAAGTGGAAATTTTAACAGACTCATATACATATAAATAATTTTTATTTTTTATTTTTAAAATTTATTTTATGATTGATTTATTTGCTTAGTCATTATTTAGTTGTTTTAATTGAAGATGATGTCTCTCCTAGTATTGTCTGTGGATCTTACCCATTAGAATCACCCGGAGAGCTGAATGTGAATTCTAATGGGTGAGATCCACAGATCTGTATTCTTGGGTCCTATTTATAAACTGCATCCTTGGGTCCTATTTCAAACCTGCTGAATCAGCATTTCCTGGGATGGAGTTCAAGAATCTGACCTTTAAGGAAGCTTCCCCTGGTGATTCTTTTATACTTAAAAATTCAAGTGTCATCCATTCATGAACCATTGATCTATGAAGTGCTCTTGAGTTATGACTGAATCATGTTGCTGGTGCTTAAGATCTACTTTTGAAAATGGGGGTAAAAAGATGAGGCAGGCTAGTCTGTCTTGAGATTCAGCTGGACACCACTGTGCTGATGGGAGTGGTGGATGAAAAGGAGGGTTGGAACCAGGGATCAGCCTGACCGCGGAGCTGTGATGGGAACTAGGGGAGTAGATTGTGCGTCTGGACTCAGGAAAATGTAGTTGGCTGGGAAAATCCATGGTCCAGACTGGATCTTAGAAATGAGCTTCCAAGATAGGAAAAGGAAGCAGTAAGTGGACAGGTTAGCAGAGAACTAGGAGATGGAAAAGCAGAGAGGTGACTTGCAGGCATCAGGGCACAGATGCTGCCAACATTGGAGATGCTGCCCAGCAGGTAAAAGCATCACCGCTGGGATGTGGCTTGGGTTCAGGGAAGGAGAATGGCAATACGAGGCAGGATCCCCTCACCAAGAAGGGGCTAAGTGTTTGAGAAAGCTCTCAGGAGTCACGAATGAGTGGTCAGACTGGAGCAGAGTGGTCGGGGCAGGGGAAACTTGGAATTGACCCCAGAAACATTGGTTTGGAGCCATTAAGTCCCTCCTGCCATGAATAGCCCTAGAAGCTGAGGGTGGGGCTTAGTTATTGAGTGGATAAGAAGGTCAGTCTTGAGAGAGCCTGGCTGGGTGGGCTGACCCAGTAAACCGAAATGCATTGGTAGAGAGTGATTATCCACGTTGTACACTGAGTAAGAGGGGAAGTGAAGGGGAGCACAGGCTCGGCTCTGGCTGCTTACACAGGCCCTTGGCTGGGTCACCCTGACTGTAAGCCTATGGACTCTCCTCTTTCTAGAAATGCCTTCCCTGTTATTTCTTTATTTTCCCAGTGTCCAAAGCTGAGACCTTCTGCTTACCTGAAAGGATTGAAAGAGTACATTCTGGATCCTGGGTTAGCTTGGTTGGAGCCTGGCACATAATAGGCACAGAATATATGCATGATGAATGAATGGGTGAATAAATGATTAATGGCAGGACAGTATTCCTGAGAGGAGTAGAATTTTGTTTTCAGAAAGAACCTCAAAGCTAAGAATCCACTCATGCATATTGACCAAAGCACCCCCAGTTTAAGTAGGGGGTAAAAAAATAAGCTAGTTCCCCAAAGCAAGAATGACTACCATCAGCCCACCCAGTAGGTCCTGGGTCACCAGTGAAAACCTTCAGGCCTGCTCTTTCTCTTCCTATGCCAGGTTCTTTGAATGTGAACGACGGTGCGATGCGGACCCATGCTGCACTGGCTTTGGATTTCTAAATGTTTCCCAGTTAAAAGGTAATAATGGTAACAACTTCCTCTCCCCTGCGCACAGTACTCTGCAGTTTAGAAAACACATTCACATCTATGCTTTTACAAATCCTCAGCATCTCCTATCCTCGTTCACAGATAAGGAAATGGGGGCTTGGAGAGGGCAACTGGCTAATAAATGTGGTAGCTGAGACATGGCTCCTAGTCCAGTGATCATCACTTTACATGTGCAGTTCTACCTGGCCAAACTTCCTTCCTTCTACTCTTGGCTTGGATATCTTTTGTTCATCTTTCAACACTTAGGCCAAGCAGCTTGGCGAACTTTGGATCCATTTGCATGATGTGTACTTAATGCTTGGTTGATTCCCTTACTAGTGTGTGATTCTGGAAAAGTCACTTAATCTCCCTGAGCCTCTGTTTCCTCCTCATCTGTATATAGGGCTACCAAAGCTACCTTCCTCGTAAGGTTATGTGAGGACCAAGTGAAGTGATACCAACAGAGACCTAGCACAGCCCTAAGCACATGTTAGGTGCTTGATAAGTAGCTCTATCCCTTTGCTCTTAGATCAGAGGCTCCTTGAGTTCAGGTACCAGGTTTTTCAGCAGTGGCTGAGATAGTATCTGAAATATAGTGGTGTATCCCAAATGTCTGCTGAACAATGTACTTGCAGAATTTTTCTCATTTATTAGACTCTTCCATTGTACTCAGTTTCCTGATTGTGGTTTTTTGTTTTTTTTTTTTCCACCCCAGGAGGAGAGGTGACATGTCTCACTCTGAACAGCTTGGGAATTCAGATGTGCAGTGAGGAGAATGGAGGAGCCTGGCGCATTTTGGACTGTGGCTCTCCTGACATTGAAGTCCACACCTATCCCTTCGGATGGTACCAGAAGCCCAGTAAGTACCCTTCTCATGACAGCTATATGGACGTCTTTAGTTAACTATTTCCCAGCCATGCATTAGGACAATATTCTTGGATTGGTGAGTAGATTAATGAAGACTCATTGGGTTCAAGCAACAGAAATAGATTCTGTTTAACTTAAGCAGACAAGAAACTTATTGAAAGTTTGCTCATTGACTCAAAGGAAGGATGAGCAACTAGGTCTCAGTAAAGACGGAAATGGACCATTTCCATGGATGTATGTAACAAGAACAAATAGGCAACTTCTTCAGTGTGCCATGATCATCATTAATCTGCTCCATAGGGTTTAGTGGTTATATTCAACCTTTAAATTCAAGGAGGAGAGTTTGGTCCCACCTGGGCTTAGTCAGCACGCTGCCAGAGGGAGAGTGGGACAGCTTGACGGTCCTAACAAGATGGTATGCACTAGGATAGGGGGTGTTCCTCAAACAGTAGTGAAGGCACTGTTGCTGGACAGGCAAAATCAATAGATATAGACTCTGGCACATTTCCTTGGTTTTCTTACCTTGACAATCAAGACAATGTACCACATGGTAGTCCCATGGAGGAAAACGGGGACAACCAATGTGTATTTGACAATGCATATAGAGTTAGGACTTCAGGGCCAAGGCAGCATTGACCCAACATGGGTCCTTAAAGTATGATTCTGATTATATCTATGTGGCACGTTTTAGGAGCTCAATTTGAAATTGATGAAGGAATGAATGGCATTTACAGTGTGGCATAAGAGCTCCTGGACTCAGATAAGGAGACATTAGGTTTGTTCCAACTCTGCCATCTACTTACTATGGGTTTGTCTTTCGGAAAGTCACACCACTTCCTCAGTTTTTCCATTGGTGAAAACAGCGAATGAGACTCACTATGATTCTGTCACCGCTTACATCACATGTGTTTATGGTATGGATAGATTTGGGGAATAGTGGGCAGCCACATGGAAACTAGACATCTTCATCCTGTGTCCCAGAAGCAAATTCACAAAGATGTCCCAGATCCAAAAAGATGGAACACCCTGTGTTCAACTAGGAGGAGTCAAATTAGAGAGAGGCTGAGCAGAGGTTTAGTATTTCCAACTTCTCCCACTAGTGGCTTCCTTATTAGTTTCAGAGTAAATATATGGGGAATTCTGGCTCTTACTTAGCACTTGCCCTAGAAAATAGAGCCATGGACTGTCTGATCTGGAAATGTGGAAGGGGTCTTCGAGATCCCTACATTTGACCATTCCTTTTTTTTTTTTTTTTTTTTTTGAGGCGGAGTTTTGCTCTTGTCACCCGGGCTGGAGTGCAATGGCGCGATCTCAGCTCACTGCAACCTCCACCTCCTGGGTTCAAGCAATTCTCCTGCCTCAGCCTCCCAAGTAGCTGGGATTACAGGCCCCCACCACCATGCCCAGCTAATTTTTGTATTTTCAGTAGAGATGGGATTTCACCATGTTAGCCAGGGTGGCCTTGAACTCCTGACCTCAGGTGATCCACCCGCCTCGGCCTCCCAAAGTGCTGGGATTACAGGCGTGAGCCACCGCACCCAGCCACATTCTTTATTTCACCCAATATAACCCTTTGTCCAAAGTAGGCAAAGAGAGAAGAAATTACATTCTTCACGTCCCTGCCGTTTCAGACCATGATGGATTTACGTGGGTTATACCATTTAATACTCATAATACTCCTGCAGAGTAGGTATTGTTTTTTCCATTTTAAGGTGAGAAGACTGCAGCGTAGAAAGTTGAATTGCTTGACCCAAACCACACGGCTGGTAGGAAACAGAGGCAGGCTTCAGGCCCAGACCTGATGACCCCAAACTTATTCTCCTTCCCTTTACGATGTTGCCTCCTGGCAGGTCTTTCACATCCCAAAAATGACTAGACAGGAAAATGTCTAGATACCTTTCCTGACTGACCTTCCCCCAACTCAATTGATTAACAAGAAATTGACTAACAGATTAAAAAGAATAAATACTGATAAACTAACAAATCAAACCAGTTGGTGGTTTGGTGCCTTGTTCCATAGCCATATCCAACATGAAAGATCCAGATGCAGCTCCCAGGCAGTATCTGGTGCTCGGCCCTTGCTCATGAGCCTACCCATTCCCTGTGTGTGCCTCAACTTCATGGAAGATGTTTCTGGAGTTAATTATTACCAGTTTGAATGGAATCTTCCTGCTGGTGTCCACCTTCAGCATCCTGTGATTTGATCTGAATTGACTCTATTGGCTTTTTATTTTATTTTAACATCTGAAATTATTTTAAGAAAAACATCAGGATTGTATAATGAAATATCCTCAGTGGGTTTCTATTAAAGGAATAATGTTCCATATATAACAGTTTCCCTGCTTTAACTCATAGAGGAAGGGAGAAAATACCTGCCCAGGTCTTTGACCCCAAAGGAGACCCAGTGCCAGCACTAGGTATTTGGGAGACTTCAGAACTGAGCTCTCACCTCTCACTTCCCCCTTGCCCCATCTGTCCTCTTACCTCCTTACCTCACCAAAGTCTTAAAAATGTCATTTTCCATCTTCATATTACTCATGGAAGAATCGGGTAAAAAGAAGCTTAAGAAGTAATTCATTTGTTCAGAAGTAATGAGAATCAGACCAGAGTGTTACAACATCTTGACAGGAGTTGGCAGGGGAAGGAATCAAGGTACTCATTGTCCCAACTCATTCCATCTGTTCTTTTTCTTTTCATCTGACTGCATAGATCATTAACTTTTTCCAGCATATATTCTGTGGGGTCAGTCTGGGGACTCGACTCAGGAGTTTTGACCAGAAACTTAGAGCAGGGAATTAAACATTCACAGAGGGGTTCTTATTCAACCAACATTGACTGAGCGTTAATCATACCTGGGGGTCCTCTGGCATTACCAATATAACCTCTATGTATTGGGCTCATACTGTGTGCCTGGCTGGATTCCAAACACTTTGCATGCACTATCTCACTTAATTTTCACACCCATGTATCATGAGGAAGTAGAGGCTCAGAGAGGTTGTCACTTACTCAAGGTCACCAGAAAGTAAATCAGAGTTAGAATCTGGACACAAGTCTTTCTGACCCTAAATCACTATGTTGTGTGATTGAAGGTGAAAAAGCCATGATTTCTGTTTTGCAGTCACTCACAGTCTAAGAAGGAGTTAAAGATTATAAATAAATACAACATTCTTGTGCTGGGTCTCTCTTACTATAAGTTTTTCAACTTTACTGAGTGTCTGTTTTCAGTTATATACTGTACTGGGCACTGTGGAAAGTGAGATTAATAAGATATATTCATTTTCCTTAGACACAGTGTAGTGAGGAAAATATGAGGAAATATGATTAAATATAGCAGAAGAAATGAAATACTAGAACACTTATCAGTAAAGTGTCACGGAAACATGGGAGAAAGAAATTGTGCTTGGGAGGTGTCTTAGTCCGTTTTGTGCTGCTATAACAGAATACCACAGACTAGGTAATTTATAATAAACAGAAATGTATTGGCTCTCAGTTCTGGAGACTGGAGAGTCAAATATCAAGGAGCCAGCATCTGTCAAAGGCCTTCTTGCTGCATCATTCCATGGGGAAAGGTAGAAGAGCAAAGAAAAGAAAGGGGACCAAACTTGCCATTTTATAATGGCATTAGTCCCACCCATGAGGGCTCTGCCTCATAAAGGTTTCACCTCTCATTACTGTTGCAATGGCAATTTAATTTCAACATGAGTTTTGGAGGGGACAAACGATGAAACCATAGAGGAGGTGTGGAAGCCTGTTGCTGGAAGGTTCCTATGGGCCCTCTTTTTGGCCTAAGGCCCAGCTCCTGCAATCTCCTCTCCCCAAGCAGGTGGTCTTTCACACTGTGCACTGCCTGCTTGCAGTGTCTGGGTGCCTGGGGAGAGAAAGAAAAAGTGCTACAATGTCATCAGACTCTCATTCTTCCATCCATGGCCCCTGAACAGAAAACACCATGGGATGCACATGGCTTATGGGCATTCTGGTGTGAGTGGCTCCGTGGTTCTCATTTCAGAACAGAAGGAGGAGGACTGGCTGTCACAAGGTTGTGTTGACATGGTGTGATTTGACTCTCCAGCAGAGCAGGACAGGGTTCTTTCTCCCTTAAGTTGTCTTCATCAAACAGAAGTGGGTGGTGGGATAAGTCTTAAGACTTTGTGGATTATTTCCTCCTAAGACCTAGTTTGAGAAGGGTAACCTTACTTAAGGAGACTGGTTTAATAAATTACAGTATTCTCACAGGTGGGCCATGTGGACCAGTAAGAAACCATCTTTTGATTTATGATATAGTTTGAGCCAAAACACACTTATTAGCTGAGTTCTGAACATTAGTACATTGGATTCTATTTTCTCTAGTAAACAAAACCACACCAGTATACTGATGTAAAATCCCAGCACTGAAGCTGACATTGTCATTACTTTTCTCCCCACTCTTAGCTTTGTATTAGGTAATTGCATACATAATAGTAGGAAGTAGCCTCTATGGGACTAGGAAAGTCTGCCTAGAGACAGGAATCTCTGGGCCTGAGCCTTGCAGGATGGATAGGATCCTCTCCTTCACCTCTCTGTCAGCACTGGCACATGAGACAAACATTTTTACCAAGGATTTGATGAATATTTTCAATAATAGATTTTGGCCTTGCTTCAAGTCCATGGTTTGGTCATTTAGTATAGTGACATCTATACTGAGTGATGACTATGAGCCCATTAACACTATGTATTAGTCCATTTTCATGCTGCTGATAAAGACATACTGATAAAGACTGGTTAATTTACAAAAGAAAGAGGTTTAACTGGACTTACGGTTCCACATGACTGAGGAAGCCTCACAATCGTGACGGAAGGCAAGCAGAAGCAAGTCACATCTTACATGAATGGCAGCAGGCGAAGAGAGAAATTGTGCAGGGAAACTCCCATTTTTAAAACCATCAGATCTTGTGAGACCCATTCGCTATCACGAGAATAGCACGGGAAAGACCCACTCCCATGATTCAATCATCTCCCACCAGGTCCCTCCCACAACACATGGGAATCATGGGAGCTACAAGATGAGATTTGGGTGGGGACACAGAGCCAAACCATATCACACTAGGTCCCCTGTTTCTGAGGAATTGCCACTAGGATCAATTAGGAATTGAGATTTATTGAGTTCCTACTATATGCCAAACACCTTGGAAGCACAGAGGGTAGAAGTCCCTGCCCACAAAGGGTTGACAGTCTGGCTAAGGAGACAGATGTTAAAGAAAACAAACCTTTCTTAAGCATTACTGTATGTCAGACTGTGTTCATCCATTTTGCATTGCTATAAAGGAGTATCCAAGACTGGGTAATTTATAAAGAAAAGAGGTTGATTTGGCTCATGGTTCTGCAGGCTGTGCAAGCATGGCACCAGCATCTGCCCAGCTTCTGGAGAAGCCTCAGGAAGCTTTTACTCATGGCACAAGGTGCAGGGGAAGCAGACCTGTCACATGATGACAGTGAGAGAAAGAGAGAGGGAACAAGAGAGGAGGTGCCAGTCTCTTTTAAACACTACTTCTTGTGTGAACTCATAGAGCGAGAATTCACTCATTACTGCGAGGACAGTACCAAGCCATTCATGATGGATCCATCCCCATGACCCAAACACCTCCCACCAGGATCACCTCCAACACTGGAGGTCACATTTCAACATGAGATTTGGAGGGGACACACCTCCAAACCATGTCACAGACACTACTCTAAAGGCATTCCTTGTATCAACTCACACCCCTCTGGGAGGAGGGTGCTGTTCTCCTCCCCAGCCTCAGAGAATTACACCGTGATGTGGCTTGTATTACTGTAGTGGAATCCCAGGGGAGAGGTAGGGTGTTGGGGGTGCTTCTTCAGAGCATGAGAGAGGAACAGGAAATTCTGTTCTGCAAGGGATTATACAAAAGTGACTCTGGGGGAAAGCTGGATATAGAGAAAGGGAAGTGGGGTGAAGGAGCAGTGGCCACTGACTAGCCATAGGCAGTAGGTAGAGAGGAGGTAGCATGTCCCTGCCCTTACAGATCTCACAGCCTCAGAGGCAGAGACCTGCACACATGGACAATTGAAACATAACCTTCTTAGAGGGCTGTGGTCACAGATCAAAGGATGGAGCAGAGTCTCCTAGCATTCAGAAAGAGAAAAGCACAGACCTAGTGCAGCAGAGCACCAAAAGGAGAGTCCAAAGAGCCTGCAGCCATGGGCCTTCTGATTCTGCTATGAGCAGAGTTCAGAAGTGAGCAGAAAGTTCCATGCATCTTAGCATAGAATTGCAGAGTCTCAGGCTAAGCAATGTGAATGCAAATGAGACTGTTTGCAGCCCCTTCCTGGCAGTAGAGCCAGAGAGGAACTGTTCTAAGCCTCCAGAGGACAAGGGTATAAGTGCTGAGGGGAGGAGGGGGTGGTGCGTGGAATAAGGGGCTGCTCTGTGGTTAAGCAGTACCCCAGAGCCCAGGGCTTCCTGGAAGGGGTGGGCCTCTGTGGCATTGGTACTCTCTGTTCTTTGAAGAGAACTAGGGCTGCCCATCTTATCTGCAGCTGTGCATTGTCTGCAAGTGGGGCAAGATCTGTTTACAAAGTCAAATGTGACTTCTAGAAAAGAGAGTTGAAGCCTCACAGTTCCTGTCTTCTGCTAAGCAAATGTTTTTGGACCCTCTTGCAATTCTAGATGTAAGAATCTGGAAAGGAAATGACAAGCTCTTCTAATTATGTGTCTCTGCAACCCACATAGAAACTTCCATATGTAGGTAGCAATTTACTGTAGAATCTATTCTTTATCATCATTCACATCCTATGAACAGCTTCTTAACCTTTTACTAAGCATAAAGTCTGCTGCTGGCACTAGGCTAGCATTTGGCATGCAGTATCTCATTTAATTCCCTAACAATCTCATGAGGTAGGGCCTACTGTTACCCCATGCAGTGCTGTGCTGGCAAATATGTTACAACTGATGAAGTGGGAGTAAGAGCTATTTTTTACTCACAACATTTCTGATACCACATCTGTCAGGTTTTTTGCCCCCACACCAACCAATTCTTCAACCCTCTGTTCCAGTGATTCAATTCAATCCAGACACTAACTACCTGGATTTCAAGTCAGACCCCACAGGTTAAGTCTCAGTCCCAGAAGACTGCCCCCACTTCAGATACCAATCACAAGCCCTGAGCCTCCTGCACTTCTGACCATATAAATTGGGGGTCTCCATGACCTCCTCCTTGGGGTCAATAATTTGCTAGAATGGCTCCCAGGACTCAGGGAAACACTTACTAATTAAGTTTTATTATAAAGGATACAACTCAGAAACAGCCAAAAGGAAGGGGTGCATAGGACAAGGGGGCTGGGGAAGGAGCCTCTAAGTCAAGAGCTTTTGAGTCCCTTGGGATCTCTAGAGTGACAAAAGTATCTTTTTGTCTTCTAATAAGATGACTGGTGGCTGGAGGCCCCTAGACAGGTTAAGAAGGAGGGCTAGCTGCCACAAAGACCAAGGCAAGAGTAGAAGATTGAAACTCTCAGTCCCCCTCCCCTATCTCCAAGAAGAAGAGAACAGCTGGAGATTGAGTGCATTGACCAATGGCCCATGACTTACTCAATTACTCATATGTGATGGAACCTCCTTAAGTCCCCTCAACAACCAGGTTTGGAGAGCTTCTGAGTTGGTGAACACACAGAGGTGCTGGGAGGGTGGGACACCTAAACAGGGTGTGGAGGCTCCCCCCCGGCCCTCTTGTCCTATGCACCCCTTCCTTTTGGCTGTTTCTGAGTTGTATACTTTATAATAAAACTTTAATAGATAGTGGTTTCCCTGAGTCCTGGGAGCCATTCTAGCAAATTATTGATCCCAAGGAGGAGGTCATGGAGACCCCCAATTTATATGGTCAGAAGTGCAGGAGGCTCAGGGCTTGTGATTGGTATCTGAAGTGGGGGCAGTCTTCTGGGACTGAGACTTAACCTGTGGGGTCTGACTTGAAATCCAGGTAGTTAGTGTCTGGATTGAATTGAATCACTGGTCCAGAGGGTTGAAGAATTGGTTGGTGTGGGGGCAAAAAACCTGACAGATGTGGTATCAGAAATGTTGTGAGTAAAAATAGCTCTTACTCCCACCTAATCAGTTGTACCATATTTGCCAGCACAGCACTGCATGCGGTAAGAGTAGGCCCTATCTCATCAGATTGTTAGGGAATTAAATGAGATAACTGCATGCCAAATGCTAGCCTAGTGCCAGCAGAAGACTTTATGCTTATTAAAAGGTTAAGAAGCTGTTCATAGGATGTGAATGATGAAAAAGAATAGATTCTACGTAAATTGCTACCTACATATGGAAGCTGAGGATTCTCAGGGCTCATCTCAGTCCTGTACAATAAAGAAGGTCCCACGCAAAGACTTATAATGCCTGTTACTTTTTCTCACTGATAGTGGGTGTGAAAGGAAAGTAAAGCAACGCAGCAGACTGTGTGGCAAATGCTCTGCTGACGTGAGATGCATGGTAATCCCCCCAGTAGATGTGCTGTAGCTCACGCCACCATTCTCATAGTGTTCAGCATTTATGTAGTTGCCAGTGTTCAATCAGTATTGGGAGATGTTTCCTTTGCAAACAGAGCTTGCTTTGAATTTCAAAGTAAATTTCTAGGAGCAGAATTACTGGACCCAAGGGTGTGGACGTTTGAATGCCCTCAACATAGATAGTCAAATTATTCTCTGAAGATTGCACTCTCAGGAGCCTGGTTCTGTGAGTCTCTTCTGGGAAGAACAGACATTTTAAACAAGTGACAACAGGGTGACAAGTATCAAGCTGGCCAGCTGGATATAGAGGAACATGGGGGTACTTCTGAGCAATTATGAGTTATATTAGGAGCTCCCAGAACGTGAGATGACAGAAGCCTTGGCTCAGCGTGGATCAGCAGCAACAGCAGCGCTGGGGAACTTGCTTGAAATGTAGACCTCAGATCCCATCCCAGACCTGCGGAATCAGACACTCTGGGGTGGGACCCAGCAAGGTGTGTGTTACCATGCCCTCCAGGTAATTTGGAAGTCTGCCAAAGTTTGAGATCTGGTGCCTTAGAGTGATAGTAGCAGGTGCTTCCAGGCAGATGATGCCAAGGGGAAAAGACATAATAGGATTGAAGGCTCTAGAATGCAAAGAGGCTGGGGCTTGGCATATCTGACCAAAGTGAAGAAGGCAGAGAAGGAGGTGGATGTGAGGCGACCCACGCAAGGACTTTGGGACCAGAACACAGCATGACTCTGACCCATGGCTTTTCATGGAGACACACAGGGACAAGAGACATGGCAAGAGTATATTATTGTTAAAGGGCAGTATTAAGAGTGAATCATACACAGGATGTATTGAACGTTTACTATATGATCAGAGCTGCACCAGTATCAGCTCATCTAAACCTCGCAACCCTATGAGAGGCACTGTTACTATGCCCATTTTATAGACAAGGAAACTGAGGACAGAGAGGTTGAGTAATTTGCTCAAAGTTACACAGCAGAAAAGTGGCAAACCAATCTTGCCTGGGGCTGCTGACCCGGGAGCCCCTACTTTTGACTGCTGGCCATGCTACATTGCCGCAGCTCCCTGTGAGCAAGGAGATCCCATGTACCGTCCTAGTTTGGGCCACTGGAGAGAAAAGAGTAATGAAGATTTAGATTTATTCAGTAAAGGAAGAAAAAGGGGAAGAAGATAATTTGCATTTATGTGTCACATACTGGGTATGAATGGTTCTTCATTTAATGTTTACATCATCTTCGTTTTATCAATGCTGAAACTGAAAATAGAGGAAGTTAGAGGACTTGTTACTCTACGCTGCTTCCAAGTGGTCTGATGAGGTCCATATCCAGTCTGTCTGCCTTCAAAGTCCAGGCTGCCACCATGCTGTGCTGCTTGCTATTAGCAGCTGGCATTTGCTGAGCTGGTATCTTATGCCTGGCACAGTGCCAAATGTAATAAATTGTGTTATCTCCTGTAATTTTGTCATAATTCTCTAGGTGGGTAGTACTAAACTCATTGTACAGATGTGAAAACTGAGGCCCAGAAAGCATAAGTGCCTTGCCCAGTTCACAGAGTCAGTAAGTGATAGTGGCTAGCATTTGTGTTGTTTCCCACACGTTTCGACTCTCTGCTCTCTGGGACGGGGTAGGACTGCACCTCCTCACCCTTGATCTCATAACCTAACTTTGGTCAATGTCATGAGAAAAGAAATGATGTGTGTCACTTCTAGGCAAAAGCTCTAAGAGCAAGACTGAAATAAATCTGCTGCATTCGCTTTGCCCTGCATGGCAATTATTGAAACTTGAGGCAAGAAGCTGCCTTTTTCAGCTTGGTCCTTGAGAGACGATAACATAGAGCAAAGCCCCCAGCCTCTCTGCAGTAGGCAGGTGGTACAAGGAGAGGGATCCTGAACTGTTCTAAGCCACTTATATGTTGAGATTGTTTGTTAGCTCAGCATCATCCAGCCCACCCTGACCGATACAGGTTGGGACAATCTGTCTGCCTTCCAAGTCCAATTTTACAATCACCATCTTATACTTATATTAATGCCTTCTGAACTCGATGATACCATGGGGGTAGAAAAGAACTGAAAGACTGCTTTTTCCTTTTCAGTTGCTCAAAATAATGCTCCCAGTTTTTGCCCTTTGGTTGTTCTGCCTTCCCTCACAGAGAAAGGTAAGTTCATTGTCTTTTTATCTCTTGGATGAGAGTACCCCCTCATTCATCTTCTTTCTCCTCTTCCCCCTTGCTTTTGTACAGAAGTTGATAGCTTGCATATCACTCGCATTAATTCCAGCTCCTATGAATTAAACACATGTATAAGTGGGGTGAGTACCAGCAACATGCCCACTTTGCAGATGAGAAAATTGACTCACGGGAATGAAATGATTTGTGGAAATTATGTGGCTGATTGAAGCAGAGTAAGACCTAAGTCGCGTTCTCCCAGTTTTCATTTTAAGGATTATTTCGCCCTATCGAGTAATGACTAGACACACACAATCCGGAGGCAATGTCAAGAATGGTGTTATTTATGGCCAAAAAGGGAAAGAAGTCAGCTCCTTATTAGTGCAAAAGAGTTGGAGCTTACAGTTATCGGCCACACTGGGCAGCACTGTGACATCTAATGATGAAACACTGGCCCTGAGTCCAGGAGCCCAGGTGCCCAGGTGCCCGGTAACATAGCCTGGACCCAGGCTGCCCTTGCTCCTGCACATCCCACTGATCCTCCTCACTCATGGCATGAGTCAGCAGAAAGTGCAGAGAGGTTGGGTGCAGTAGAGACATCTGGATGCTCTAGATGGGGGTGAGGTGGAGGGGTCAGGACAGCATGGGCCTCACTGCACCGTCCCCTTTTCTGCTTCCCTTTGTCAGGAAATGAGAGGCTCAGCCTGGGCTCCACACGCTGCTCAGCCAAGAGGCCAAGCGATGTTAATTCCTGTCCTGTGACATGATGTCTAAGGGGCCCTAGAAATCTGTCATTATGGCTATTATGGCCCTGGCTGGAGAGACAGAATATAGCTCATGTAGGAGGAAATTATTTAAAACCAGGGCTGTGGCTAAAAGTATAAAAATGTCTTTTACTCATATATGTTATTAGTTTCCCTCAGTCAGTTAAAATAGCAAACTTTGGAGAACACATTATATATAAAGTTGTTGAGCCTTCTATAGAAACTGTGTATGCTAAGCACTTTGCATTCATGATAGACGTTAGCTTCCTGAGATACTGTAAGGTTGGCATCGTTATTGCCATGTCAGATGGTGGAGTAGGGCTTAGAGACAGATAAGGTTGCCCAAGACCAAACAGATAATACATGTGCTAGCCAGATTTTGGTCAAAATTGATTTTGAATTTTATCAAGTTAGTGTACAAACACAGTTGAAATAATCAAAAAGTCCCAAAAGATTTATGGTTTAAAAAGAAAACAGGCCAGGTGCAGTGGCTCACACCTGTAATCTCAGCACTTTGGGAGGCTGAGGTGGGTGGATCACGAGATCAGGAGTTCGAGACCAGCCTGACCAATATGGTGAAACTCCATCTCTACTAAAAATACAAAAATTAGTCAGGCATAGTAGCGTACACCTGTAGTCCCAGCTACTAGAGAGGCTGAGGCAGGAGAATCTCTTGAACCCAGGAGGCAGAGGTTGCAGTGAGCTGAGATCACACTGTTCTCCAGCCTGAGCAACACAGCCTCCATCTCAAAAAAAAAAAAAAAGCAAAACAAATGAGTTCCCTATGTCATCTATGTCATCTCTGCTCATCTGCCACTCCCACTCCTAGTAGCCCCAAATTTCAACTCTTCTAACTACTTTTTTTCTCATCCTGGCCTCCGTGTTTCTAAGTTACAGTTGGCCTGCTCTATGTGGGTTCCATAGCCGTGTGTTCAACGACACATAGATCAAAAATAATCAGAAAATAAAATTCCAAAAAATTCCATAAAGCAAAACTTGAATTTGCTGTGCGTCAAGTACTACATTGAATCCATGCAGACAAAGCTGTGTGTAGGCATTGTATTAGACATTTTAACTAATCTAGAGATGATTAAAGTATACAGAGAATGTGTGTGAGTTATATGCAAATGCCACACCATTTTGTATAAGAGACTTGAACATCTGTGAATTTTGGTAGCCATGGGTGGGAGGGGTCCTGGAACCAGTTACCCATAGAATCCCACTATTCCTTGATTTGTCAACTTCAGAAGTGACTGTTCACTTCTTGCCTTGATGGAGACTTAGCTCTCTGTCTCTTTTATCACTACCCTTTTACAATTTTCCTCCTTTATCAACAAAATATATTAATATCAAGATTTGGGGTTGAAACAAGAGTAAATCATTATTATGGCCATGTAAATATGGTTCACCACAGAGCCCCAAAGAGAAACAGTAGCATCCTGTTACAATTGTCAAGATTTTCAGCTATCCTGCTGTCACACACAATCCCTGCTGTACCCCTGCCCTCTGCAGCACCTGCTTCCTGCTCATCAAAGGCCTGGGGAGCTGCAGATCGTGTGGGTGCTTCCTTCTGTAGGCACTGGGGCACTGCTTGTTCCTCTCTGCCAAGTCAGTTAACATGCCTCCATCTCCCATTCTTCACTTAACAGTGTTTGAAGTCCCTCATCTGCTGTCTGCTCCTTGCGTTTCCTTTTTTCCTTGTTCTTTTTTTTGTTATCTTTGTGGGTTTAGATGCTTATATTCTTTTACTTCATTTTGCAGGGGGTTGTGGAGGGAGAGAGGATAAAGGGCAGTATTTAATTCAAAACAATACTATAGTATTTTTCAAAACTTTTTAACGTTTAATGAAAACTCATTTTGTCTTCAGCACTGTGCTAAGCATTTAAACTTCATATGAACCTCAAGCGATAGGTCCTATTATAATATTTGTTAGCTATAGAAAATTCACACAAAGCAGAAATATAGAAAGAAAATCACAGTTATTTAGAAGTTACTCTGTGTCAGTTAATTCATTTGTTTATTTTTTCAATCTTTTTAGGCTCTCTGTATGGTCTGATATCATTGTAGTCTCTATGTATAATGTTGCATTTTTGGTTGTTTTTACCTAATATTGCATTGTATATATATATGTGTGTGTGTGTATATATATATGTGTGTATATATATGTATATATGTGTATATATAGTATATATATGTGTGTATATATGTGTATATATATGTATGTGTATATATATATGTATGTATCTCCAAATTGTTACATATCTGTCTAAATCACTCATTCATGCAGGCATGTATATACGTAGTGACTCATTCATTGAGTCTTCTATGTTCCTACTCTCACGATGCTCACCTTCTAGTGATGAACAACAAATGAGCAACAATATTGTTAACAGAGATAGCTGTCCTGTTATTCCACCAGTTCATTAGTCCATTTCTTTATTTTTGGTCATTTGATTGTTTATTATTATTCATCATTATAAAAATAGCAAAGTGAACTACTTGGTACCTAAAATTCCCTCCAGAAGACCAGATTATTTCCTGGGGTAAGATTGACCAAAGCGGAATTATTGGGCTTGAGAAATTTACATTTTAAGACCCTAGATTTATATTGCCAAATTAGTCTCAAACAGTTGTTGCTAGTTGCATACTTACCAGCCGTAAATTAAAGTGGTTTTCGGCTTTTGATATACTTGCGATCCTTAAGTTTTATCACTAAAAAATTATTTATTAAATTTATAGATAAAGAGTGTTTTGATGTCAAATACTATTGTTAAAGATGCATAAACCAAAGCATAACTTCTTTGGGTGATTTTACAATGCTTCCACTCTATTTTTGCTAAACATTTGTATTACTGACATGTGAATTACCTACAAAAGAAAAAAAAAAAGATGGAGCATGGAGCATGTCCTTTCACATATACACACAGCCTATGGGCCTGAGTAGGTGTTTCCAAGGTGGAATGAGATGTCACAGTGCTTGTAAGTGTCTTGTTAACAAGTATGATTTAAAAGCATAGAAATGTCAGAGCCAACATCCTATCTATGTGTTAAAATTCCCAAATTAGAACTAAGAATTTTGGCATGTTCCTTTGATGTGAATCAGAGGGAGGGGATAACTCTGCCTTCAGGGTGTTGAAATGTCATTGTATGGTTCTGACATAGATTGTGAGGATGTGTCTATATGTGTATGTGTATGTGTACAGGCACGTATGCACTGTGTATATGTAAAATATTCATCTTTATGTACTCTCTATTCAGGGAGAAAAGGAAATATTTCTTAAATATCAAATATTTATAAATCATATAATATTCACAAGAAATTTAGGTTCATAGCATGGTCTGTTTTTCAAATAAGGAAACGGAAATTAAATGACTGAGCTGGGATTTGAACCCACATCTGTATGGACCCTTTCAGAGTTAGATAAGGTTACTTGGTTGAGTTTCTGAAACAGGTTAGCAAAGATGAGCTTTTGAGTCTAGACTTGTCTGGAGACCTAATCTCTTGGTTTCATGTCTTTTATACGTGTGTGTGTGTGGTGTGTGTGTGTGTGCGTGTGTGTGTGTATAAGCCACCCATTCAAAGTCTACTTCAAAGAAAGAATTCTTTGCATATGCAAACCATTCTCTCTGGAAAGACTTTCTAAAACTCACCTGCCTGCTAAACTGGTGCCTTCAAACCAGCTAGTGTGTTAGAAACCTTCTCTAGAGCAACAGAAATGCAGTGTTTAGAGCAGCCCTTATCACATAGTATGTACTCAAGACAGGTGCATGAGATTTCAGAAGTCTCCTCCATCTGCACACCATCCCCACTGACCAGTCGGGGGAGCAGAATTCTTTCTTTGAAGTAGACTTTGAATGGGCAGCTTGTACATACACATGCACACACACACACACACACACACACACACACACACACACGAAATGAAGCTAAGCAATTAGGTCTCCAGACAAGTCTAGACTCGAAAGTCCATCTGCACAGTGGAACTGTTCCTAGGCTGCAGTGGGATACTGACAAGTTTCCCCCAGATTCACCATAGACAGGCAGGAAAAGCACCACAAATATATTATGACCAAACTGTGACTTGGAGGAGGAGTGTGCATCTGTCAGATGGCCAAGAGGAGAATGGATAGTGTCTGAGGCAGAGGGCACTGCATGTGTGGAAGCATGGGGACATGCATCAGCAAGGCTCAGGCAGGACCATGCAAGTAGCTCAGTGTTGCAGGACCAACAGGTGCAGAAGAGGACCGGGGCCAAAGCGTAAAGTGCATTGGATACTGCAGATCCTTGCAGGGCTTGAAGCAGTGGAACAATGATCTTTAAAACTATGTAAAAGCTTTACTTTGCACTATCATGAGAGTGTTTTGGTGGATGACTAGCTAGATTTTGAGAAAGTGAGGACAATTATATCAACGGTGTATAGTGTATAGTTGTACTCTCTTTGGATAAAAATTGTTTTATAAACAAGTGAAATAGTAAATATATATTTTCTTTGTCAGACAAATGTACATTGCATCTTAAAAGGCTTACACCAACCAAGCCAGCAAGGCTGCTGCAGGTTAGCTTGAGTTATCTTCTCCAGTGTTGGAGCCTGCCTGTGTGATCGTCGCACCCCTTCCCTGCTTCCCAAATGTGGGATCTCCTAAGGGTTTATTCCCAGGACAACGAGCATTCAGCTTGCCATTCTCTATTTCAGAAATGTTTCTCTTAGAGGTGTGTATTAGTTCATTTTCACGTTGCTCATAAAGACATACCCGAGACTGGACAATTTGCAGAAGAAAGAGGTTTAATTGGACTCACAGCTCCATGTGGCTGGGGAGGCCTCACAATCATGGCAGAAGGCAAGGAGGAACAAGTCACATCTTACGTGGATGACAGCAGGCAAAGAGAGAGCTTGTGCAGGCAAAATGCCATTTTTAAAAGCCGTCAGATGTCCTGAGACTTATTCACTATCATGAAAACAGCACAGGAAAGACCTGCCCCCATGATTCAGTTATCTCCCACTGGGTCCCTCCCACAACACGTGGGAATTATGGAAGCTGCAAGGTGAGATTTGGGTGGGACACAGAGCCAAATCATATCAAGATGCTACTTAATTAAATTTACTATTTGGATTGAAAGCCAGGGTAAACACAGAATATTTAGGATTTTGTCCTCTCCATTCTATGTGTGTTTCACATGAATACTTCAACATACCATTTGGAAAATGCTCCCGCCATTGACTTTGAGCCCTTTTGAGCAATGGGTGCAGCACAGGTTGCTGCTGGCAGAGCGGACTGTGAAGAAGGCTGCAGCTGAGAGGTGCGAGGTGGAGCGAAGAGAGATGTCTCGTTACAGTTTGTCCTGCTCAGCTTTCCAGCACCTCTCTCCTGACCTCATCCTGGAGCTCAGTGACAGGGACAAAGCCTGAATTCAGGGCAGATGGAAACAGCAGTGGCTGCCCCAACAGCTTTTGAACCACACAATGAAAAGGAATCAACTTTGTCTGCTTGGCCTCCATCCTGTGCCTTTGCCTGTGCCCGTGGGTTGACGGAATTCACTTGATCTTTTCTGCAAATGTTTTTCATTAAGCTGGAAACAGAGTCCTGTGATCCTAAAAAGTGTCAGCACCGGCGGGAAGCATGTACACCCTCTAAGCGAGGAAGCAATGCGACATCACGGTGCAGCACGTGGGCTTTGAGGTCCACCTGGGCAGCTTCACTGAGTATCTGGGCCAGATTTCACAGCCTCTTGATGCCCCTGCTTGCCCCAGTAAAGTGAGAATAATGGTGAAATATAAGCAATATCAGTCTAGCAGGCTTTTGTTGAAGAGCAGATAAAGTATAATGCTCAGCATGGAATTTGCTGTAGAGTGGGTGTTCAAGAAACGTCAGCAATAATTCCCAAGTCCAAACCGCTTTACAGAGGAGGAAACTGAGGCAGAGAGAGAGTGTGACTTCCCCACATGACAACCAGTTAAAGCTGAGCTATACAATTATATATATATATATATATATATAATATACATGTACGTATACACACCCATGTATACAGTCACACACACATTTTTATGGATAACTGTTATTAAGGTAAAGAGTTTGCTAGTAGCTCTATCATTTTTTGCTCTTATTTTTAGTTGACATATAATAATTTTACACATTTATGAGATACAGAGTGGTATCTTAATACATGTATACAATGTGTAATGATCATACCAGGGCAATCAGCATATCTATCGCCTCAAATGTTTATCATTTCTTTGTGTTGTGAACATTCCAAATCCTCTCTCCTAGAGTTTTGAAAATATACACTAATTGTTAGCCATCTTCCCACTACAGTGCTACACAGCAGTGGGAATCATTTTTCCCGTCCCCCTGGAACTGCACACCCTTAACTAACCTCCCTGTCTCCTCCCCCTCCCTCTGATCTTCCCAACCTCTAATGACCACACACAATCATATATTTTAAAAATTCCTATTCATGGAATGACTGAATATGCCAATCACCATGCTAAATGCTTTCTATATTTTAATCTTCACAACTGCCCTACAAGGTGTGCACAACTGTGTCCATTTTCCAGATTTGGAAGCTAAGGCTCAGAGAGGCCCAAACTCACATAACCAGTACTTTGTAGAGCTGAAATTTGTACTCAACCCGGATGTAAACCCAGAGTCTCCCCGCGAAGATGGTGGCTGTCGCTGCTCCAGTTTCCCGGGAATCATACTCTGAGATGAAGTTTAGTAGGAAGGCCAGTTTTTTTTTTTTTTTTTTTAGCAAAAAGTTAATTCTACCAACAGGGGTGTTAGGAGGCAAGGGAAGGCCCAGGACTGGGCTGAGGGAGAAGTTGAACCTTAGTGTTGTCTCGGTGGAGGCCTCAGATGGCCCTTTAGGGATGCTGAAGCTGGGATGACCTTTAAAATTGTTATGGCCTCACGCTGGTCACTCATTACCATGAGCTGCCCTGAGCAGGGCATGACCTTCAGCCGAGGCAGTCCTGGAAGGGGGCAGACAGTGGTCTGCCTCAGCAGCACCCACCACTGCTAATGTAGAGCCCTGCAGTCCTGGAGGGAGTCAGGGACCCCACAGCACTCTCCACAGTGGCTTTGCACTCTAATAATCCAGACTGGGACGTGTCTGACGGTGGAATGCATGCCTTTAAACGCTGTGCACCAACCCAGGCACACTGTTTTCTTACTACTATAGGCACTGGGCTGATGGCGTGTTAAAGGCACACAGGACTGATTCTTCATCCCTTTGGTCCTCAGCCTAGAAGGCCCAGGTGAGTGGCCACTGATTCCAAAATTGTTTAGTGTTTGTATAAAACTTAAATGTCCTGTCTAAATACGCACAGAGCTTATGCATGCATGTGCACACGCACACACGCACACAAGCCATTTTGAGGGAGCTCATGGTGCATACCCTGTCACTATTTCATCAGAAAAGTTGTCCAGGGATAGGTTTTATATCCCAGGGGCCAGCAAGACATGCCGGTTAGCACACCCTGTTTCCTCACTTTGGTTGAGAGTGCCAAATGAATCATGTTGTTAGCAGCTGCAACACTCAGCACGCGGGAACTCCACTCCCAAGCCAGGATCCACATCTGCCAGGGACTGTGCTGCTTGGGTGACTATAATTGCTGTAATGTGTGAGGCTGAGTATGGTCTGGGCACAGCCTCACATCTGGCAGCCCCCTGGACCTCTTCTCTGTCTCTCTGAGACCGAGAGATTGAGAAGGAAAAAGAAACAGCTGGCAAACTGGTGCTGCAATGATAGTAGGTCTTAGGAAACTGAGAAAGGTGAGGAAACTGGTTCCCAGTTCCCTTCCTTCCTGGAAGGCTTCACTTCTCTCCACAGGTGCAGGAGGGAGCCACTAGCCAATGGAGAAGTGCTGGGTTTAAGACTCAGTTATGGTTTCATCTGCCTTGGCTGCCTTTCCCCTTTGTTCAGTTGCTTATTCATTCAACAAGCATTTGGTGGGTACCTACTTTGTACCAGGCACTAAGCACTGGGGTACGGCTGTAAATGAGCAACATGAGTGTGTCAGAGGATGCACCATAGGCTCCCTCTTTGGGAGTGTTTGTGTGTGTGTGCATAAGCTCTGTGCATATTTGGATAGGAAATTTAGGTTTTATACAAGCATTAAACAATTTTGGAGTCAGTGCCTGCTCACCTGGGCCTTCTGGCCGGAGGACAAAAAGGATGAAGAATCAATTCTGTGTGGCTTCAATGTGCTCCATCAGTTCAATAGAAAGCTATAGTATTAGGTGCAAAAGTTACTGCAGTCTTTGCCTTTGAAAGTAATGGGAAAATTGCGATTACTTTTGCACCCACCTAATAGGAAGAAGACAGTGCTCCTGGGTTGGTGCTGGAGAGCCTGCACAGTGTTTCATAGCACTCATTCCACCCTCAGATGTGTCCCACATTGGACTAAAGTATATAGACACTGTGGAGGGTGCTGTGGGGTCTCTCAGACTCCCTTTAGGATGGAAGGGCTCTACCCCAGTGGCTGTGGGTGCTGCTGGCAGAGAGACCACTGTCAGTCCTGTTCTGGGAAAAGACCACACCTCTATAGGGTTTGTTCCTCCTCTGCTCTGAGCCCCAGGTCACTTCCTCCAAGGGATGGCTGACCACCCCATCCAAAGTAGCTCCCTTCTGCACTCTCCATCCCTTCACCCTGCTGTACTGCCTCTGGGAACCATCGCTATGAATTGTTGTCATTTGTTTACTTGTTGAGTGTTGCTTGCCCTCTCTGGAATGGGAGCTGCAGGAGGACAGGGACTTTATCTGTCTCATTTACTGCGACTGTGGGAGTCCCAGCACCTGTGGGAGTCAGTGTTCAGTAAATATTTACCGAATGAATGAATGGATTTTTCTTGCTTGCTTGTTAGATTTTGGGCTCCCAGAGGGCAGATATTTTGTAATTCATGGTTGGGTTCTTCACATTTAGCAAAATGTCCAGTATAGAGTAGATGCTCAATATTATTTTATTTATAGTTATTTGGTTTTAAATAATAGATATAAGTCTCCACTTTGACCTAAGTCAGTATTTAAAGGTAAAAGTGATCAACTAACTTTTGTTGAAGAAATGAATGAATAACAGAATGAAAAACGAATGAATGGAGAGGGTGGTTGTGGAGTATTGAAAGCCACATGGGATATGAGTTTGGGCAGCCAAGTTTTGAACCCTCCCTTTGGCACTCCTTAAGTATGTGACCTTGGCCAGTTTAAAGAATCTTTCTGCATTTCAATTGTCTCACCTGTAAAATAGAGATGATTATACCACTTCAAAGAGGTTGTTTTAGGCTTAAAAGAGATATTATACATAAAATGGCTGTACTCAATGCTCAGTAAAGGTTGGCAGTGGTGGCATGGCTGGGTTAGGTCATGCACTACCAGTTCTAATGGGGTCCTTTCACAGGTAATCTTTGTAAATGTTACCCCTGCAGTTGTGCTATGCACAACCTGTGCAGCTGTACATAGTGAGCCTGGGAGGCACTTGACAAATGTTTGCTGAATGGTTATGTCTTAAACTCTTGCTAGATCTTAGAGTCTTAGAAGATGGGGAAAATATATGGATTTTCTACAGTAACTTTCTCCCTATACAGTACCAGTTTTGTACCTGGTCCATCAAAAATTTGCTTAATTATATTTAAAGGATATGGAGCCAAGAGCAAAATATGTCAACAGAAAACCTACCATTTGGATTTGGTTATTTAGCCTTTAGCTTTAAATATTTTCTTCTAAATATCCTTCTTAGCTATGGAAGATATCCTTCAGCCTAGAATCAGTCAGAAACCACATAATCAAAAATGACCTCAATCAAAGCCGTAGGTAGAGGGAGCTGGCGTTTGGTACTGCCCTGTCTTCCTCTTTCTCTATAATTCCCCTCTGCCCACTCTGGGTAACTCCTGACTACATGCTCTTAAGCCATGATTCTCATCTAGAATGGCAATCCCAAGGCAGGACACTGTGATGAAAAAGTGGTTTCTCTTTCCTTCTCACCCCTGAACAGTTGCCTTGAACAGGCAACTGTTAAGAATAGAAGGACCTTGTTTATTTATTATTTTATTTTCTAGTGCCATCCTGGAGCCTCTTGAGCCAAATGGAATTAACAAAGTTATTCACACTAAGGTGAAAATATCAATATTTTAATATCTTTTTCAGGGGTGTTCACAGTTTAACAAGTGGGTAAACCGGTTCTATTCTGAGAGCAGAGATTCAAAACTTTTGCCAAACACGCGGGGGAAATATTTTAGGCAGGTTGCCTGTCCTGGGGCTCCTCAGGCCCTTCTACATAGCTGACAGTGAATGGGACCATCCCTGAGTACAACCCACTAGAAGATTTCCTTAGTTTTATGGCTTATAATAATTTTAATCACTGATTAAAAAGAGTGATAGTATGTTACAAGTGGCTAGTGCTACACAAAGTTTTTTTTAAATGATCCTTCAGTCATCCATTCATTTATTCTCCCTTGTTGAGTGTGCTGAATTCCCTGACCTCCTGAAGGAACTCAGTTTGACTTATTACAGAAGCATCTACCTCTTCTCCCCAGTGTTTAAAGTCCGGGAGGTGAGAGGGACCCAGCTGAAGAGGATGGAGTGAGGGCTTCCGTATAACTGGAGTACCTGGTGTCATGGGAAGGTGAGATGGGGAAAGAGGAGAGAAGGGGCTGGGTCAGATGATGGAAAGCATTGGTTATCTTGCTGTGATGGAGTAAGATTGAGGTAATGAGCTCCCTGTCACTGGAGTATTCAAATATGTTGAAGATTCTCTTGTTGTGAGAGGGGTTGGCTTAAATGTCTTTTAAATTTCCCTTTAAATTTTGTAATTCTCAGCATTGGCTCAGTTATGCTGTAGCGTGTGATTTTTTCCCTTCTGCTTTTGTGAGCGCTCACCCACAGGCAAGCAGAAGGAGCCAGGCAAAAGCAGAAGCTGGGAAGCACAGAGCCTGGTGCTGGGCAGATCTCAGTCTCTGTTCTAATTCTATTCCTACTCTATGAATAACCTAGGGAAAGTCACTGCACTGCTCTAAGCCCCAGTTTCTTTAAGGTAGAATTCACCATGTTACCTATTACCTACAAGTTGAGATTTGGGTAAAGTCCTATGTGTAACATGCTTAGCCTACTACCCACCACATACAGCAAGTGCTTGATAAATGGAATGAGCAGCAGCTGCTCCTGCTCCTGCAGAGATCAGACACAGGTCTCTAACGTGGAGGGCAACGGTGCCGCCTTAGGAGTCTGTCTGTGTTCAAGGCAGCTGTGTGAGCTTGGGCAAGTTCCCTACAGTTCACCCATACCCTTGTTCAGCACCCCAAAGGAGGCCTCCATGGTGCTGGACTCACTTTGCTTAGATCAGATTGGTTGTTCACATGCATTTGTGCCTCAGAATTTCTATCGTTTTGCCCACGCACCCAGGATCATGCATGTGACCCCATGAAAGAGGAGTTCAGATGCTCTTAGGAGACCCAATTCTTGTACTCTCTCCATGTAGCTTTTGTGTTTGGGGAAGTTGGTGGGGATGTCCACTTGTTAGGAGTCAAACTTCTTAGAGAGAAATCAGATTCAATCTGAGCCTTTGAAATTTCACTAGGAATTTTGCTCGTAATGAACTTAGTAATTTGTCATGAGGCCATAGAAGGAATATAGATCCAAGTCTGGTTTCGTGTGTGTGGCTTTTCCTTAGTTAGAAATTTCCCTAGAAGCGTCTTTGAAGTTAGCAGCATTAAAGATGGTTACCCACCAACACACAAGCTCATAAACTGAACAGATGCTGGGCCATTACAGACGTCTTTGGAAACTTCTGCCTGCAATGAGAAGCCACAGGGAAGCACTTTATGAGGCTGCAGCTGAGTCATATGGAGGAGGTGGCAGCTGTGGGGCAGTGGGGATTGAGAGGGAGTAGTCTGGATGAAGTCCCTGGCAGTTTGGCTCACCGGTCACAAGTTGTGATCTTGGCCATATTATGTAGCACCTCTGAGCCTCAGTTCAGCCCTCTGCATGATAGTAATTAAGGCATGGGATGATGTAGTTATTCTTGCAGTGTAAATGAAAGTGTTTTATAAACTAGAACACACCACGTAGAGGTGAGATTTTATTAAATCAGCTTCCCATTATTTGCTTCCTATGTGACTAATCTATTAACTAATTGACTCAATAATTATTTACTGAGGTTTTGTAGTATGTGAATAATAATAATCTTAATCTTTATGGAGATATAAATTAGCATTCTATTGCTCCTTTATTAATTAACTTCATTCAATACCTATTTATGGATTAGGGCAGTTTATGAAAAAAATAGTACTATTGCTGCTGTTAAGCACACAGTGAACACTTAGTAAATGCAAACTACAACTACATTACTATTTCTATTGCCAATTTTTTTTTGCTTGCTATTATAGGTCTTGGAGAATCAGTGAAACTAAAGCACAGTTTTTGATCTCAAGGAGCTCATGATTTAACAGGCAGATTTAAAAATAAACAAATTGCAATGCAGTATATTAGTGGAACAGTAAACATATCTAGGCATTTAGAGGAGAAGAAGTAGGCATTTAGAGGTGATGGTGGTGGAGGAGGCAGCTGTAGAAGGGGATTTCAGAGTGGATTATCTGAGTTGGGTTTTAAGGGATGATATGAATTTATCCTACAAATAAATTGACTTAACTTTGTAAGTCAATAGTGCTGTTCACACTAATAATGTACAAAGTCATACAACACAGAGTGTGTTGACAGACCACCAGGTGTGAGAGTGGGATGGTAGGAGGCAGACTAATGAGAGATGAAGTTGGAGAGGTAGGCAAGAAGGCATCAGATAGATTTCAGGGAAACTCAGACACTACGTTTTTTGTTTGTTTGTTTTGCTACAAACCTAGATGGAGTGTGTTTGCTGCAGGGACAATATTCACTTGTAATGGTAGAATCTGAAATTTATATTTAAAATGATATTTATTCAGACTTTCCTTGTATAATGTCCTTTCTAGATGAACATTCAGTCCACTTGAGCACCAATCAAGGACAAGACTTAAGGTTTTGAGTTGGGCAGCCCCATGGCTGGTGGTGCCAATTCCAAGATAAAGAATGTAAGAGGGGAACCAGTGGAAGAATGTGGTTGTGGGTGGAAGTGAGATTATGTGTTCAGTTTTCAACATCCTGAGCTTAAAGGACATCTGCTTGGAGGTGTCCAGGAAGCACCGAATATATAAGCATGGAGCTTGGGCAGAGGGTCTAGCCTGGTTGTATTTGGTGGTCATTAGCATGTCAGTGGTATTTGAAGTCGTAGGGATATGAGCACACCCATGGAGAATGTCAGATGTAAAGAGTAAGAGTCAAGGGCAGCCCCTTGAGGAGAGGAGGAGACACTAGGAAGAGCAGCTGGAGACAGGGGAGGCACACTGGTGGCATCTGCTATCATGGAACCCAGGCCAGGGAGATGTGATTCATCATTTCAAGGAAAATGGAGACTGGAAGTGTCCATTGAGTTAGTCATGAAGAGCCCTTTGAAAATTTAGTGGAGTAAAGAGGAAGGAAACTCAATAGTAGTGATTTGAGGAAGTAGAAACTACAAATTTTCCCAAGCATCTTGGCTATGAAAGTAAGAGAACAAGATTGACAGCTAAAAAAAGAATTGTGGAACATTAGCTGGTAATCATGTTTAGGTCATAGATTACTTGTGACAGTGAATTAAAAACAGTATGTTCCACCATATATATCAAATTTTGCCTATATTTTTTAGGGAAATGGGTCACCTGAAACCCAGACCATGAGATGAGAAACTTTGGGTTAAAGTGTTTTTCTTACAAGGGGGATATTTCAGCATGTTCCTATGCAAAAAGTGAAGTGTCGGTGTCGAGGGACACACTAAAGATAAAGGAAGAATGGGAGTGGGGCTGGGTTGGGGGTAATTGATAGATGGAGGCCCCTGAAGGGGTGAGGAAGAATGAGCTCTAGAGCACAGATAGAAGGACTGACTTCCAATGGACACCCTTCTTCTGTATTAGGAGAAATCAAGAGGGAAAGATAAAATGGCTTATAGAGGGGATGAGGGGGAAGGAAGCTGAAGCAGATATTGACAGATGGCCCCTTTTTGCTCTGGGAGGCCAGAGGTCAGGCACTGGCTGAGAGCAGAAGGGGATGGATGAGGTCTAGGCCTGAGAGAGCGGCAAGCACTGAAAGCAGTGGCTGCAAGGGGTGGAAGAGAGGGGACCAACTGATCAAACTGTGCCGGGGGTCAGTTGAAGCTGAAGGTCCACAGGTTGTAAAGGCACCAGTGTGTTCAGCTGTGGCCATGGGAAATTTCTTTGCCCATGCTCAGCAGACTGAGACAAGCTGCAGGGAAAGAGAGCCCATTGGGTTAGTCCCATTGGGAGGAAGAGAATTGAGGACATTGCTCAAAGGGAAGCTGAGATAATGGACCAATGGGAGGTCTTGGTTGGATGATGAGCCACTGAGGATGGATACCATGGAGTGGGTGGGAGCGTAGAAATCACAGTGAAATTAAAGAGCTGGCGTGAGTGGGCTAAAGTGTGAATGTGCTGGAGAGAAAGAAAACTGTGGTCCATATCAGCAAGTGCAGCTTAGGAAAACTACAATTTAAATGGTGATGGAGTTCAATGCCTTGGCAGGGTTTGGGGTGTGATCATGGAGGCAGTTGGCTGGAATGGAGTGGAAATGAAGGTCTCTGGGATTGAAGCAGACAAGAAACTGAGACCAGAGTTTCAAATGGGCTTCTACTCTCCCTAAGATGATGAAACCACTCAAGATTTTAGCAGGATTTGGAGTGGCAATGGGCTTGAGGAATATGGGAGAATGACTAGGCATTCTCAGTTAAGGATGATGAGAAGGACTAGAAGATTTCATTGTCAGAGGGTTGGGCCTCCAAGAACCAGGACTGCAGCCCAGAGTGAAGGAGGGGACATTACAGTCATGGTAAGAACCCTGGTTTCTGGGACACAGGAGGCTGGGGAAGGATGAGACAGGTTCAGGGGGTAGCAGTGCAACAACGTGAGTTGGTTTCAGAGAGAAGGACGAGCAGGAGTCTGGACCAGAGTGAGAAAGGCCAAGATGGTGCAGAGAGGACAGGCGGGCTGGCATTCTGCTTTTTGATTGGGGGAAGGTATGTGGTTGCCACCCTTTCATCCTATCAAATAAGAATAATTAAAAAAAAAAACTAGAATCTATTCTTCTCATTATTTTGCAAAAGGACATTCATTTCCCCAGTTAGGAAGGACCACTATCAGCAGGTCATAAAATTACAATATTTTGCCTTCCAGATGGCATCCCTTATACTCCTCCTTATTCCTGGAAAAAGCATACAAACTCCCTGTCAAGCTGCCTGTAGGATTTTTGGTTCCCAGGTGTGGACTACCCACCCATTGAGGTGCATAACGACTGGGTTCATGCTCTCTCTCAGATCTGCCTTCTGGGTTGGAGGTCAGAAAACTGCAGCCTGCAGCCTGCAGCCTGTTTTTGTGTAGCCTAGGAGTGAAGAATAGGCCTATCACATTTTTAAAGGGGTGCAAACAATAGAAGAATATGCAGCAGAGAACAAATGTGGCTGGTGAGGCCTACAATATTTACTACCTGGCTCTTTACTATCTTCTCAGTGATATTTCTTCTTAGAAGATATTTACTATCTTCTCAGTGAGCAGAAGGTCACTGATCCTTGTCCTGAAGGCTTACATTGTCTCTGTCCTTCCTTCTGTATCCCTCAATCCTTTATGTGGGTCTTTTCTGGTCCTTCTGGGTCACACAACCAGACCTACATCCCCCTGTGGGACCATCTTGATGTGACAGCATTTCTTTCCAGGAAGATGAGGGGGTAGCAACTGTAACATCACTACTATTAACATTCACTCTTAATATTAAATTTTGGTTGAAAAAGCCCTGTTTTACAAGTGACAGCAAGGATGCCATCATGCATTCAACAATGCAGACAGTGGTGAGAGCTCAGGCTCTGGAGGTTGATGTATGGGAGGTCAAATCCTTAACAAATGTTAGTGAGTATGGCTGTGCCAAGCAGTTTGCAGCCATTGGATGGCTCTATTCAGCCTTCAGCCTGTGCCCAGAGCTCCCTGATTTATCATGCTATGGCACACACAGGGGATGATGACAACTGCATGACTCATTGGGGTAAACAGATGGGAAGATGGGACCAACCCTAGCTCCCTCCACCCCTTGCCCTCCCACAGGCTGGAAAGATCAGTAGCAAACTGTGACTCTCACTGTATGAGAAGCTCTGCTTTACGGTTCAGGTGGTAAAACTGTTCCTGTTCACAAATTAAAACAAAAGACCAATAATTGAGACTTAGCGTATAATTTACTCCAAGTCACAGAGCTGGCAGGAGGCAGAGCTGGCATCTGGCCAGGCAGAGTGCCCCAGAGTGGTCCTTCCTTAAAATGTGCAATGCCACCTCTTAGAGCAGGAGTGACCGGAAGAGTCACATCAGACAGCTGCGTGTGGATGGAAGGAGACAACACACGGAGCACATCACATTATGTCTGTGCCGCTTCGTACAGGAGATGCTTCAACCCTATGAGCCATTTGACTATGTGCATGCGATAGGGTGGGAAGTATCAGTATGATGAGCATTTTATGCTAGAGAGCAGCACTGGGGCAGAGCAGGCCCTCTGTAAATCAGTGAGTGGATGCTGTCACCGAGTGCACACTTATTTTGTTACTTGGCTGCAGCTGCCATAACAAAGTACCACGAACTGGGTAGCTTCAACAACAGACATCATCTTCCCACAGCTCTGGAGGCTGCAAGTCTGAGATCAAAGTGTAGACAAGGTTGATTCCTTCCAAGGTCCCTGTGGGAAGGATCTGTCCCCAGCCTCTCCCCTTGGCTTGTAGATGGCACCCTCTCCTTGCACCTCTTCACTCCATCTTCCCTCTGTGCACGTGTCTCTGTCAACATTTCCCTTTTTTACAAGGACACCAGACCACCATTGGATTAAGGCCTACTCTAATGAACTCATTTTAACGTGATTATGTCTGTTAAGAGTCTACCCCAATAAGGTCACATCCTGAGGACCTACGGGTTAGGACTGCAACGTGTGAATTTTGGGGGGGACACAGTTCAACCCATGACACCTACTGTCACCCCTCTGCTAAGCACTGAGATGCGGAGTCGAAGATAAGAGTGTGCTCACTGAAGAGCTCAACAGTAGGTATTTGGAGGCTGAATGGAGAGGTCAGGATGTCTGGGTATTTTTCTAGGGTTGTGAATGTTGAAAGAGGCCCAGGAGTGTCTGCTGCAAGTGTAAAGAATTTCTCCTGGAGAAATGCTGAACCAATCAGCAGCTCTCCTCCCATTTTCATTCTGCAAATAACCACAACATTACAAGGATGTCTTTATTTGGTCTTCCTTCCTTCTGTTATCAAAGGAACATCTGGTCTTTGATAAATGCTGTTAAGAACAAACATAGGCCACTATGTCCTGGTTCTCACTTGAATGATGGTCTCTGGTGAGAAAGCAGGATGTCTCAATGCAATGTTGTCTCCGTCCGATGACGACAGGGAGACGTGAGCTGGGCTCTTCCTTCCAGCAAGTGCCCTGTGGCCGTACAGGCCTCCAAGGCAGCTTCCAGTCACTTCTATTCTGCTTATCACAGGGATCATGAAGGTTTGCTGGGGGCCTGAAAGACTTTTCCTGCCTGAAAGGTTTCAGAATGTCACGGTTTACCCCAGCCAGCCTGTGCAGGTGTGGAAACCGCCTCTTCTATTTCCCAGCTATTCCATATTCAGGAGCAATCACTTGATGAGTGCTGAGCAGCTGAAAGAAATTCCTCTTGGTTTTGATTGCGGGAAGAAGGGTGAGGATCCTGAAGACTTTTGGATGCCTTGGACTCACTGTTTATTTTTGATGAGTCCTAAGAAAGTCATGTGATCTTTTTATACAATAAATGGGATGGGTCTGTGATTATTTGAACGTTGGAGAGAGTGTCAGGCATTTGCTGCCGGTTTGACATTCTGCCCTTGGATCTGATACAAAAATGCTTGGAGGCACTTTCCGCCTGTTTTTCAAATGAGGGAGGCAATGGCCAGAGCAGAAGCTCACCTGTCATTACCTGCCAGCAAGCGGCAGACCTCTGCCTGTGGGGTGCATGCAGCTCTATAGTGATGTGTAATTTTTTGGGCAATTTTTAATGTAAATTATTTTACTTCTTCCATGATGATTTAGTTGGACTGTCTTTAAACCAGTACAAATATTTCATAAATAATATCTGGCCACTTTCTAAGCGATTAATTTGTTGCTCAATAAGCCGCCTCACATCTTTCAGCAAGAAATACATTAAATCTGAATAGCAAATACATTACACAATAAATTCAGACACAATTAAAATTTGCTTTAAATATTTCTTTGGGGGAGAGGACATCACACTTCTACTCAATGAAGAGAAACATTTTTACAGTCTGATGTCTTATATTTTATTTTAACATCTACTATGCCATGAACTCATAGGGAATAGGTTCTAGCAGCTCTGGCCTTTCCCACTGGTTCTCACACAGTGCGCTTCTCTGCGTGGAGCAAGCTGGCGCTTCAGTTGAGCCCAGGTACCCTTCTCTTGGGCTTCTTTTTCTGATCATTTTCCTTCACGTGTTTCAGGAAGCTATCTTGACTCCCAGAGTGCTTAATGTGCTCAATACCCACATTAATTCTCTTGTCAAGAATCATGCCCTTGTTCATTTGCAACAATGCCAGCAGTACACTGGGGAACATTGTAAACGCTTCCAGTTTTGCCATGGTAACACCTGTGGGTTATACCTTTTTGAACAGTGCCCATTCCCTTGATGCCTACCATATCACCTTTCTTACAGATTCACATGTACCTGGCCAAACGAACAACTCCATGTTTTCCAAAAGGCTTGGAGAACATACCAGGTACCTCTCCTCTTTCCCTTTGTGTTTGTCATTTTGGCGAATTACTGGAAGATGGTGGTTCCAGCTGAAAGGCTTTTTGGCAATTTTTAACAGCTGAAAATAAACCTTGAAATAAACATTTTCTCCTTTAACTGATGTCTGGGAAGGAAGAAACAAAAAAAGAAAGAGAAGAAAGGAAATAAGGAAGGAGGGAGGGAGAGAGTGAAGGAGGGAAGAAAAGAGAATTAAACACGATTATCTACATATCAATGGAAAATTTCAAATATATTCTAGCATAATTTTTTTCTACTTAGTATCCATTAAAAAAGGGAATCATTGTGGAATGCTTAAATCAATCAAATGAACACAGCCATCCCTCGGATACTTATTTTTTTTTTTTTTTGTGGTGAGAACATTTGAAATTGATTCTCTTAGTAGTTTCGAAATGTGCCATATGTTAACTATAGTCACTGTGCTGTGTAATAGATCTCAAAAAGTACTCCTCTGCATCATATACATATATCATAACCTTGTATTATACCCCATAAATATGTATAATTATAATCTGTCCGTTAAAAATAAAAATTAAGCTTTAAAAAAGGGGATATGGTGCTTTCTAGAAAGGAATAGAAGTGCCTCCATGTCACCCAGAGGCCCGCCTGTGCAGAGACTGCAGCTGTGCTGCCTCCAGGTTGTGAGGTGACCCAAGCTGCCCCCATCACCTCCTGCCTCTTTGCTGCCCCCATCATCCCTCCCAGACCCTTCCTTCTCCTCTGCCCTTGTCCCCTCAGCAGCTCTGGTTTGCAGGGGGTATCACCATATAGGGCTGTCCTGGGTGCAAACACTGACTTGCTGCCTGCCTTTCAGCTGTTTGGTCTTGGGCAAGTCAGTGGCCCTCTGTGAACCTCACTTTTCCCTCCTATAAAGTAGGGTTAGGACAGTTCATCTCAATGAAGTACCATTAGATGGAACCAGTTAATCTTTACATGACTTTTTAAGCACTTCTTACCTGCTAAATAGATAGTAGCACTCATTGCTAGTCTATCTGGTCACAGAGGAAAGAGGCTGTATGACCTCAATGAGTCTCTCTTCCTTCAGGGCCACTGTTGCCCCTCTGCCCATGGAAGGGGCAAGGCCTCTTACTTCCAAGGGCATATTCTCCTCCAAGGCTTAGGGCCTTCTGGTGAGCTACTCCTACTCACTGAAAGAGTCACCAAGACCTTTAACCACCATGCTGTGGGGCTGTATAAGGGCTGGGAAGGTGCCTACTAGCTGCTGGGAATGAGGGCTGATCTGTCAATTACCACCTCAATGAGGAGATCCAAGACTATATAGCACAGCAGAAGAAAAGCACAGTTCCTGTGTCCTGCTGGTAGGACCTCAACTAAGTTCTGCACTGTGACCTGGGGCTGCCTCTGTAACCTTGGGGGTGCCTCTGTAACCTTGAATGATGCCTCTATAATCTTAGGTGGTGTCTCTATGGTCTGGGGGAGTATCCTGTGGTCTTTCCTCCAGTGCCTCAGTGTCCCCATCTGTTATGAAGATCAATGCGAGTTAACATAAGTAACTGAAATTACATTGTAAATCGATATTGTTTTCACTTCTGAATGTGTGTTGTGTTTGGTGAGTGGGTGAGAGTAGGGGACACACAGGACCACCCTGTAAAAGTGGAGGGTTGCAATGCAGCTGGAGTGACTGACCCTGCCAACCACACATCTGCCTGGTACCCTGGAGGACCATAGGTGGTGAGTGCTGTGACCAGATGCGGATGTTAGAACGGTTTTGGTTATCCCAGCACCAGCATGAGAATGGCCTGAGTGGGCTGAGACTCATGATCAGGAGGCCCTTGTTTGGAGCCTGCATGGTAACTGCAGTGAAATTGATGAGGCCAGAACCAGGTGGAAAAGAAAAGACAGTTCCTAGAGGGGCTGAGCATGTAGACTCCACTGGGAGGAGGCGATAAGGATGATAGGATTTCTGGTTTGGACAATGGAGGGAGTGGTGGAAACATTCCCTGAGGAAAGAAAGAACATGGTGTACGAGTGAAAAGGAGCACTGGGGGACAGTAATGGCTTCATTTTGGGACTTGCTAAGCTCGTGAAACCTTGAAACACTGAAGTTTATAGATGTTGCTGCAATTCAGCAGCAAGTTTCCCATGAAAACTGAGGCCCAGCCCATGGCACCGCAGGCACACTGCGCAGGAGGTGAGAGGCTGTGGAGGCCCTCCTGGGCAGGAAGCAAGCTGCCCTGGGACAGGGGGACAGGGGGACAGTGGGGCGAGGGGAGGAGGGGTCAGGTGGAAGTCAGGAGTCAGATGTTTGGTGGGGACATAACTGGCAGTAGTTTGGGCTCCTGTGCCCCTTAAAGGACACCCCTGGTACTTCCATCCAGGCTGAGAGCCCCATCATTTTGAAAAAACAGTGTCCAGACTGCATCAGGAACCAAGTAGCTTGACCCAGAGACGGTGAAGGTGGCTGTGTTTGCTGAGCATTTCCCCTGGGCAGCAGCTCACATCTAGTAACTCATTCATTTGTGGTTACAACCCTAGGAGAGACAGTCATTTAATATCACCATTTTATAGATAAGGAAACTGAGGCTCAGAGAAGGGGAGTGGCTTGCCCAAAGTCACACAGTGTAGTCTGGCTGCTTTACTGTGTCCCATTTTTGACATACACTCATAGCCAATTGTTAGTGTCAGCTGCTGGGTGTGTTCAACTCTTCTCTGGTTTCTGGCAATATAAGGGGGCCCTGATGTTATTCTCTAACCAGCGTTGGCTCCCCGGGAGGTGTGCAGAGGGCTGTGTGGTCTCGCACCACTAGGGAGCATGCCAGTGAGCATGGAGGGCATCCCTTCTTACCAGGCAGGACAGTCACTGTGTAGGAGCCAACCTGTCCGGCTTTCCTCTCGGCTCACCTCTCCCTCCTACTCCATCTTCTCCCTGCACTGGAGGAAAAGAACTCCTTTCCTGAGGCCTGGATCCAAGGGCCTCAGAGCAAAGGTGCTGATGGATTAATTTACCCCACAAACGCAATGGTCCATGTGTCATCTACAGAGAGACATTATGCTTATTAGAGATCATGAACAAGGGCAATGCGTAACACAAAGATCTTTAAAATTAGAGTTTCTCAGAGTAGTTAAGGGACTTGCCTGAGGACACACAGTGTCAGGCTGAGTGAGGTTTAGAACTCAGAACTGTTTCTTCACTAGCCTAAGCTGTGTCTCCAGCAATCATGGCCAAAACAAAACCAAAACCAAAAAGGATATCTTAGAGACCACAGTCATTTTCAAACTTGGACGTGTGTCGGAATCACCAGGAAAGTTAATAGACTACAGAGGCCCCAGCTCTTTGAAGTGAGAACTGGGCCTGGACTTTGGAATTCTTGTCACATTTCTCAAGAGAATCTGATGCTCACCCAAGTTTGAGAACTACGATGGACGGGTAAGAATCATCTTAAATGTTTTGGCTTCTTAGACTGTTTTTCCAGGCTGCCACCGTTGGCTGTCAGGTACAGTCCTGGAGTATCAGAGGAGGCCCGTAAATAGTTGTTGAATGAATACATGATTGAAAGAACAAATATACACAGCTGACTTAGTTAATACCGCAGGTTTCCAATCTACTGCCTCGTGGAGGCATATCCTTGCTAGACCGGAATATAGTTTTGGTCCTGTTTTCAAAGTAACCACACAACAAAGAGCCTATTAATATTATGAATAGTCAGTTGTATTTTGATAGTAATAGAAAAGCCAGTAGACTTGAACAGGAAAAAATAGGCAAATAATTTAAAAGATGAGATGTTAATTTTTTAGTTATAGGTTTTTTGAATCACGATTTCAGTTTTGAATTTTTTAATGTGATTTGGCCAGTGGTTTTAAAATGTGTATTAGAATGGGCCATAATATGTAGTCAGTTGGAATCTCAGAAAACCTGGCACGTTTTAAGGTTTCACAATTTTATTTTGGCCATTTTTATGTTAATTTTTTTTTAGTAAACTCCTGTCACCCAGGGAGATATTTGTTGAAGTGTTGACTGGAGGTTGGCTGTCCGGTATTTTGTTGTTTTAGTTTGGGATGATTTATTTTTTATTGCAAGAATTTAGTAAAGCAGGCAGAGTTCAAAAGACAGAGCCTTTTTAATTTAGGCCTTTAAAATTATGGACTTTATTTTTATGCTAAGTCTGAAATGTCATGGGACTGGAGTGGCGCTGGAAGGAGTAAGACCGGGAGAAGGGGGAGGAGAGGCGGGGACGGAAGAAAACACAAGAGTTGACTTTGTAAGTTTTTTTAATGTGTTTTTAAATTTTTTTTTAAGTTTATGGAGTCCTTTTGTTTCCATTGAGTGTGTAGATCAATTAGTTTGGGGATTTTTTACAAGGCTTTTTTTGTGCCCGTTAAAGTCTTTAATTTTTCTTGGGCCAGATATTGTTACACAGACCAAAAATATAGCCAGCCAGATAAACAAAAACTAGAATTAGACCAGACTGAGTATTTTAGTGGAGGTAGGTTTTTAGTATTAGCTTCATTTTTGGAGAACTCAAGTCTAAATTATATTTGGGACTTGACCCTGATCAGGATTTGTTTTAGGACGGAACTCGAACTTATAATTTTAGACAAGGATAGAACTTTAATTTATAATTTTGGACTATAAAAATAGGACTTGAATTTATAATTTTATGATGGGATTAAAGACAATTAAAGGCATAGGCATATATTAATGAGGTATTTATTAGAAATATGTCTAATTTAGTTCTTTTTTTTTTTTTTTTAAGGAAAGTAGTGTCAAGGGAGCCTGGAGTGTTGAGGCAGAGAACTAGGAATCTTCTAGTCAAATCTTTAGACAAACCAGTCTAGGTGGCCACTCAGGGTCAGTAAAGGGGACCCATACCCCACTAAAAGGATAGAGTATCTTGAACCAGTTTTGTCTCACCCATGTCTGTGAGTTTCATTGATGGTGATTTTAGTAAGTTGTCCTGTTAGAAAATATAAACACATAAGTAAATAGCTTTTCTCTATGTCAACAATAACCATTTTGAAAATATAATGGAATAATATCATATTCTATTCTTAATGGCATCAAATATTAAGTTTAATATTAAATAACATTCAAATCAAAAAATTTCTCTCAAATTAATGTTTAACTTTGAGATCATTCCAAGTAACCCAATGAAGCTTTCTTGAACCTTGAAATGGTAAATTTTATCCAAAAGAATGAATAGCCAAGGAGATATTTTACAAAACAAAATAATGTGGAGAAACTTTTACCATTTGATGATAAAATACAGAGTGACTATGGTTTAAGCAGGATGGAGGCAGAGCCAGGATTTGCAAAGACATTCATGGAAAAGAAGAAACACCCACCAAAACAAATTCACTTACAGATAAGTACTCACGATGCGATAAGCATGCATTTTGAATTAAAGGAGAGATTATATTTTAAAATAAATGACACTAGCATTGCAATCTATGAACTAAAAATAGAAAAATGAAAAAAAAACAAAATAAAAATTAATCAATAAACCATAGACTCTACTTTTCAGGAAAAGACTCACACTTTGGGTGAGCTTGGAAGCTGCTACCACCTCATTCATCTGGAGGGGAAGTCTGTGATGTACTAACTCTGGGTTCTGTACCTGCAAGAACTGGCTCCAGCCCTAGCTAGCGCTACCACTTAATTAGCCATGCTAACACTGGCTAAGCCGATTGGCTAAGCAAAAGGGTGTATTACTGGATCGTCTGTTTCCTTGTCTGTAAACTTGGACAGTGACAGTACCCACCTCATTGGTTATCATGAATACTAAATGCAGCAGTGTTGCAAGTTCCTAGCAAATAGTAAACTCTCACAAAATGCTGCCAAGAGCCCCAACTTTCCTGCTTCATCATCCTTCTGCCTCCACAAAGAGTTTGTTCTCAGAATTTTCATGAGATACTTGTGGACCTCCCAGATGTTGGATTCTGCACAAAAGCAGTGACTCATCCAGGGGTTCATGCAGGCCAGGGGACAGTGGCAGGTGGAGGGAATGGCAGGACTTGGCTCCAGGCCCTGGAATGGTGACAGATGAACTGGTTTTCACTTGGAGATGAAATTCACTCTTTAATTATAGTGCTTTCTCCCAGACATCAACCTAAACACAGAGTATGGCCAAGGCTTCCATTTTAAGACCATAATTGGTGAGTCTAGCCCTAAAACCCTTTCATAGAACTTCTCTAAAATTGCAGTGTTCTCACCCTCTAAAAATATGCAGCTCAGTTTGGTCATGTTGCAAAAATGCCCCTTATATTGACCATGAAAATAGCAACATGTGGAGGATGCTTAAGAAAATGAAAACCCAGCATCTCTTGCAGTCAAGCCAGGTCCCAACTTCAGGAAGACACATCTCCTGAGTCTTAGGATGGCACCCACTGCTCCAGGACAGAGTATGGAGGTTTACCTTCCTCTTGCCGGGCCTGGGTGAAACATTATGTTATTTGGCAACTTCTCTGGATGAATCTTTTCTCTCTCTTATTTTTTCTTTCTTTTTTTAATGTAAAAAAGTATAGACATGTCATAGACTGAATGTTTGCATCCTCCTCAAATTTGTATGTTGAAACCCTAACCTCCAATGGGATGTTATTAAAAGGTGGGGCCTTTGGGCACTGATCAGGGTGCAGAGCCTCATGATGGGGTCGGTGCCCTTCTAAAAGAGGCAACAGAGGGCTCGCTTGGTCTTTCTGCTCTCTGCCATGTGATGATACAGCAAGAAGACAGCTATCCATCAAGCAGAAAGAGGGCACCACCAAGAACCCAATCATGTTGGCCCCCCGCTTTCAAACTTCCAGCCTCCAGAACTGTGAGAAATAAATGTTTGTTGTTTAAGCCACCCAGCCTATGGTATTCTGTTATAGCAGCTTGAGCAACCAAAACATGGCACTAGATTGTTTTGCTGCTTTATTTACCAGTCTAATTTTAGTGAACTCTCCACCAGTGTGCTGGTTGTCAAAGACAGGTTTAAGATAAAAATTATAAACTTCCCTGTATAGCTAAGAACAGGGTGTTATCAAAGGCAAAGACCCTTTCATACCTGGGGATAATGTTCTGGAAAAGGTGCTCAGCTGCATAGGAAACTCAGACAGGATAGAAGGAGCATTGACTTAGAGCCAAGACATCTGATTCTCTTCTGGCCTAGTTATTTTCCAGCTCCATGTTCTGAAAAATGTCATATAACTTCTCTGAGTTTCTGACTCCTCCTCTGTGAAAGAGGCACTAGAGCCCCTACCCAACCCCTCATTTGGGTGCTTTCGGGATCAAACATGATGATGAAGTGAATATGGTTTGTAAACTTCAAAGTGCTATGCTTGTGATCGCCATAGTGTTCTGCTAACACAAGGTAAATGCTACCAAATATTTATTAAAGGACACACTACTGTGGTCTTCTGGGAAAAGAAGCAAGAAAACAAGAAAGAAGAAAACACAAAAGCAAGCAAGAAGGTGTGTGTATGTTACAGAGAGACAGAGATTTTCTTTATTAATGATCACTGATGCCCCACTGAACATCTCTGCAGGAGTGTTCTGGAATCAGCTCTCCCGAATGATCATGGAAGCCTATCTTGAGAGGCAGCCTTTCAAGCTCTTCAGTGTTATTTGTGGAAAGTATGATACATCCATTGACCTAGACTCACAGTCCTTTGTCTCAGTGGAAACTTAAGTGGAAACTCAGGATCACCCTCACTTCGTCTGGCTCTAGGCACGGCCCTTGCACCAGATGGGACGAGCTCACCTCCTCACCTCTGCCCAAGCCATCTCTGTGGCTGCTATGCCTGTGCTTCCCTCCCCCATGCTGAGACAGCCACGTCCTACGTACAGGACTAGGGAGGCAGCACCAGAGAGCAGTTGGAGGGCACAAGCTTCACTACATACAAAGGCCAGTTCCAATCCTGTTCCACCGAGCAGGAACAGTGCCCTCACAGGCCAGTCATTTTAACCTCTTGTGTCTTATTTTCTTCATATATAAAGGAAGACGTCTTAGCTGGGGTTTTCCGAGAAGCAGACTCTCAGATGGAGATTTGCATGCAAGAAGCTTGGTGCAGAGCATGCTTGGGATATAGAAGGAAGTGAGGGGCAGGATTGGCCAGAGGAAGAAGAACTTTGATGCAAATCAAATGATGGCCCCACTGATCTTCCAGTGAGCTCTGAAGCTAGGCTGGCCGTTCAGATTTGTTCCATCTTGAGGCTGGGGGTACGAACCTTTATCTACCCCCATGGACAGTGTTGGGATGCAGGCTGTCCATGGGGAAGGGGAGGCAGTTCTCTTAGATCAAAGACAATTCCTAGAGAGAGACTCAGTTGGGAGCTGCCAGCCATCAGCTTAACAACAGTTGGGGAAATGAGAGCCTTGGTCCTGCAGGGGGGTCTCAGTACTGCAGGGGGTCTAAATGGCACCCCACAGTGTCCCTTACAGAAAACAACTGATAGCAACTGGTGTAGTGTCTGTAAAGACCTGAGCATAGTACCACATGATTAACCTGATATGTCTGTTAGTATCATTACCTCATATTATTTTAACTGTTGCTTTGTAACAATTATATCATGATGTTTTTCTTTCTTCTCAACTTCTCTCCCATTCTACTATGAGCTGCTTAATAGAAACAGCCATGCTTTCTGTTTGTTTCGTTCTGTTTTCAACCTTTGTATTCCTAGGCTTGAGCACAGAATCTGGCTCATAAATAATTCAATAAATACTTGTAGAATGGAAAGATGGATCAAGCTATAAGGTTGCACAGGAATGGAGACCAAGAGGAGGATGCCCCTAAGGCTGCCTTTGGGGATATTGGGTAATACACGGCTGTCTTTGTTACTCACCAGGTGACAACTGCATGTGACTGTCCGTTGCCTTCTCTCCTAGTGTCTCTGGACTCGTGGCAGTCCCTGGCCCTCTCTTCAGTGGTTGTTGATCCATCCATTAGGCACTTTGATGTTGCCCATGTCAGCACTGCTGCCACCAGCAATTTCTCTGCTGTCCGAGACCTCTGTTTGTCGGGTAAGGGGAGTTTCCAACCCACAGGTTGGGTGGGACAAAACCTCACACAAGTGCTGCTCAAGATTCTCAACTTAGAAAAACACATGAGACACTACGATAACCTAGGATGCTTGGAAGTAAGGGATTAACCTGGGGAAGAAGACCTGGGTGAAGTCTCCTCATTACCCCACAGGGCAGCCAAGGTGTCCAAGGGAATATGCCAGCCAGAAGATGAGGGACATAAACCCAGGTCAGAGGAAGATCAGAAGAATGATCTAGTGGGTTAGTCTGAGGCAGGAAAGATGCACATGCGTGGCAGCTCTGGCAGCTGACCTCAGTTAGCAGGTGGGCTGTTGTGGTGAGGAGGAAGTACACTTGTCTGGCCAGTGGGATACACCTAAGAGCTATTGTTTTGGTAAAACTCAAATTTTGGGAGACATTTTTCAATGCAGTTGAATGACTTTTTAATAGGCAAAGCTGCCCACAGATGCATAATTCTTTTAGAGAGTTTTTGGTCATTGTTGGTATTTAAACAAAAGCTAGGTAACCACTTGATGGGAATGTTCTACAAAGAATTTTAGCTTCTGAAAGAGGGAGACATCAGATAACATTTATACCCTTGCCAAGATTCTAACCCCCACTGAGGTTCTATGAATTCCATGAATCTCCTTCTCTGCAAGGTTGGATAATAATATGCACAAAGCTATGCATATCTTGCAGATTGGACCACCATGTACAGATATGCAGGTTATGCACTGCACACCTCTGGGTGGTACCATTCACAGAAATTGAGCTATAAATAGGGCTCTTAGGCTGTCAACAACCTGATCAATAAAATGAAGCAGCACTTTTTCAGAACTGTTCTTAGGACTGAATGTCATATAATTTAAGTTGTCTAGTGCAGAACTTGACATGCAAGGGAAAGGGCATGGTCCCTGGTGGAACACTGGGTATGGTGCCAGCTGAGGAGGCATTGAAGAACAGGAGAGGAAGACAGGGCTGAAGATAAAGGCCGGAGTATGGAGAGCCTTGTTTGAGGTAATCCTTAAGTGCATGGGGAGCCATGGAGATATATTAAGCAGGGAAATAACAAGAGCACATTTATAAATTAAATAAACAAAAAAGACCTTAATGCTGCATGGAAAGTAGATTGATCAGAGGGTTGGGTTTCTCATTGCTACCATTTTATTTCCATCCCCTGGTACAGTGCCTAGGATTTATTGTAGTGCTCACATAAATGAGTGATTGCATGACTGATGGATGGATTCATGGATTCATGGATGCATGAGCGGATGAAAGGATAGATGGATGGAAGGGTGGATGAGTGGTTGGGTGGATGGATGGATTGATGGATTCATGGATACATGATTTGATGAAAGGGTAGATGGATGGAAGAGTAGATGAGTGGATGGGTGGATGGATGAATGGATGGATAGACGGATGGATTCATGGATGCATGATTGGATAGAAGGATGGATGGATGGAAGGGTGGATGAGTGGATGGTTGGATGGATGACTGGAAGAATGCATGAGTGAAGTAACATCTCTGAGGCCCAAGCATCACTCTTCTCCCTCTTTTCTGCAGAATGTTCCCAACATGAGGCCTGTCTCATCACCACTCTGCAAACCCAACCTGGGGCTGTGAGATGTATGTTCTATGCTGATACTCAAAGCTGCACACATAGTCTGCAGGGTCAGAACTGCCGACTTCTGCTTCGTGAAGAGGCCACCCACATCTACCGGAAGCCAGGTAAGCCCAAGCCTATGCCTTTGCAGCCATCCTGGGAAACTGGGTCTGGGGAAGGGACTATTTAAACACTTGGTGAGTTGGAGGACAGTGGCTTTTGTTGGCCAAAGTTCTGGGCTAGGTGGCACTCACTTGAGGTAGACTGAAGGAAGGTAGAAAAAATTCCTACTTCTGTATCAGTTTTATTCATTTATTCCTTTAAGTTATAGAAGCCATCTTGGTTTTGAAGCTTCTTAGTAAAATAATTCAAAAGCCCACTTTTTATTATGGTTTTGTAGTTTAGAGAGTTCTTTCACAGGCCTTATCTCATTTGGTCCTCACATTAATCCTGTGTGGTGGCAGGATAAGGGCTTTATCCCTGTCTTAGAAATCAGAAGGCTGTAGCCCAGATAATTTAAGTTAATTCTGTGATTTCACACAGCTAATGATGATGGAGCTGGAACTTGGAGCCAGATCACCTATCTCAAGATGCAATCCTCTCCCACAAAGCCATGCAGCCTAACTATCGCATCTAAACACTTCAGAGAGAGAAGCTGTTCCTGGCTGAGTTTAGTTTTAAAACACGTGTCAGATACTGTGTTGGTTCTGGGGCTCCAGGCAAGGCAAGAGGGAGTAGCCATAAATCCATCACTAAGTAAGACTGCTAAGAGCTGTAGAACAGGAAACAGGGACTGGGCATCTGGGGGAATCCCCTCCCCCACTAGACATATTTATTGGATGAAATTGATGACTGTTGTTAGCTACATCTGCCATCTTGTCTTCTAGAGCAAGGTTCTACAACCATTCTTTTCTGTTAACACTAATCAGCTGCTATTGTAGCATGGGAGCAGCAATAAACAACATGTAAGTCAGTAGATGTGACTGTGTTCCAATAAAACTTTATTTACAAAACCAAGTAGCAGCAGATTTGGCCCCATGCTGTCCTAGAGCATTGACAGTCCTTTGGTTCTGTCTTGATTCCAGAGATATCTTCCTCTTCTGCCCCCTCCTCAGCCTTAGCCTTCAGACCACAAGAGTGTCTTCCAGACCTGAGAATGCTTTGATCGCTAGGTGATGAGCTGTTAGGCCCTCAATCGTAAGTCTTGCCCTCTCTTTATCTGGACATTTATATTATTTAGTCAGGCTATGTAGATTTTTTTTCTGAGACAGAGTCTCACTCTGTCACTCAGGCTGGAGTGCAGTTGCACAATCTCGGGTCACTGCAACCTCTGCCCCCCGGGTTCAAGCGATTCTCATGCCTTGCTGGGAATACAGGTGCATGCCATGATGCCCAGCTAATTTTTCTATTTTTAATAGAGATAGGGTTTTGCCATGCTGGCCAGGCTGGTCTTGAACTCCTGGCTTCAAGGGATCCACCTGCCTCAGCCTCCCAAACTGCTGGGATTATAGATTTTAATAGTATATTTCACAACAGTGTGGGCAATCTGTGTGGTAGTTCTGCTGAAAAATGACTTAACATTGAGGTTTGAGTTCTGTAAAACACAAATTAGACTGCTTCTCTATTACTTCAGTGTGACTAAAATTCAATGGGAAATGCTCACTTCCAAAAGATGTGTGCACATATGCATCTACAGGTGTCTCAACTTTCACACAGACGTTATTTGTTTACAGCTAATACACATGGCCACAGATAATTTTCTTAACCCAGGTAGTCACGTGGCCTCTGTGGGTATTCTAGAAAGAATCTACCATTTCTGCAAAAGAATTTGAAAGAGATAACTTCACATCTAACATTTTCCCCGTGTTTGATCTCATTGAGTTGGGGATTCACTGGGCAGCCTCTGAAGGGAAGACTGAATACCACTGCCATGGGAAAGCAGGCCTGCATTCCCCCAAAATTCTTCAGCCTTTATATTTGTTCTGGCTTTGCTCCCGCCTTTGGATGTGCCACGTATACAAAATGTGGCTGTTTCCTGCATAGCAGAATGAGGTTCCAGCACTTCAGCAGCCACGGTCCTGAGTGCTTGCCCAAGACCCCTTGATTTATGATTGTGACAGGAAGTTTTGCAAGGAGGAACTATGGGGTGACATCAGCCATGATTTGTGATTGAGGCCAGATTAAAAAACAGCAACTGTTCCTTTCCAGCCTGAGTTTCCATTTTGAGTTCTAACTCATATTCCAATGTCTTTGCGACAGAGAAGGCTTCATTTGCTCTTTTTTTCCTCTTTCTCTTTTTTTCTCTCCCTGTGTCCCCCCACCCCTGCCAATTCCTTCCTTTTTTCCTTCCACTCATTCATTCATTTACTTATGTGTTGGACTTCTGCCATTTTTCAGGCACTGAGCTTGGAACATTACAGGTGTTATTATTTATTCCTGTTGTAGGAGATGCTATTGTTCCCATTTCATAGGCAGAAAGACTGTAAAGTTTTTCCAATAACTAGCTGTTCCATAAGCATAAAACCCAGATCTGCTTGACTCCTTAACCAATTCACCATGGTGACGCTCAGTGACCTGGAAGTCAAGGACAGACATGATACCCAGGCTTCTCAACCTCAGAACCCGCTGACATTTGGGGCTGGAGTATTCTTTGTTGTATATGTGTGGGAGCAGTGGTTGTCCTGCCTACTGTAGGATGTCTAACAACAGCCCTTGTCTCTCCCACCAGATGTCAGTGGCATCTCTCCCTGACCCCTGTGACAGCCAAAAATGTCTCCAGATGTGGCCAAATGTCCCCTGTGGGCAAAATTACTTCCAGTTGAGAACCTCTATATGATACAAAGCTCCTGCGGAGTAGATGGACTTCTGTCTGCAGGTCTATCTGCCTCCTCTCCCCACTGTCTTGTTTAGTCACCACTGCAATAGATACATATTTTTATAGAAGGATCTGCAGAGAAAGCAGAAAGGCTTTGTCTGTCAATCAGCCGAGAGTGGAGTTCAGCAGACCAAATCTACGTGTCAGAAATAAGAGACTTCTCACACACACTTGAAGTATCTCTCCATGAGTGTTTACCGCTTCCTTTGTGCAGGGCTTTGAGTCCTGTGTGGCATCAGACAGGCCTGTCTTAAGTTCCTGAAAACAGTACTTGGCACTGAGCCTGGGCCCAACAAAAGTTTACCAGATCAATCAATGAATGAAAGAAAATGTCGTCGAGGAAACAAGATAGGGCTACAGAGAAACTGATGAACGTCGCTGGCGATTAGTGTTGCATGGAGCAGGGTGGGAGGCATGGCAGGCGGCACCAGTGTTGGCCTTGTGGACAAGGAGGGATTTGGACATGAAAAAATGGGCAGGAGGGCCTCACAAGCTGGGGCACCCAGGGCAACCTTGGCGCAGAGAGAGGCAAAGCTCTGAACTGGTCCCAACCCTTTGTGCATGGGGTGTGGTCAGAGCTGGGGTTGAGAAAGGTGTGGCTTTGAATCCTACATCACCCTATATCACCTGTGATCCTAGCAGGCCCTAGGCCTCCACCTCTACATCTCTTCCCTCACTAATGAGATGTAAATGTGGGCCTGCAACCCCTGCACTGCAATTCTGAAACCCAAAAGTCCTAAAAGTCTTTTTTTTTTTTTTTTGGTAAGTTTACAGCTAACTCATTTGGCAGCAAAATCTGACATGGGTGGCTGAAGAAATTCTATTCTTTACTCATCTCTCTCAGGATGAGTAACCCACACATCTCACCACAGAAATGTTGGCTGTGTTTAAAGGTGGGGCTGCACTCCAGACCTCCCCAGGGGATTGGGTGTTGTTTGCTGTTTGCTTCTCTGTTCTTTCAAAAGGCCCCAGGGTGCTGGTAAAGGGTCCTGGGCCTGGATCCATGTATAGAAGGGATTAGCATTGCATTCTGTGCATTTTGGTGCCTAATAAAGATCAGCTGTTTTTGCCATTTTTTTTGTTTGTTTACATTGAAAACCTGACTACATTTAAGCTGTAGGGGTCTGAATGAATGATTGACATTTTCAAGGTGCAAAAACCGTGATTTTTCTTTTGTTGAAAGCACATTCAGAATGCCAGTGGAGAGAGCACTCACTGAGGCCTCTCCCCTTCCTCACCCCTTTCTCTTCCCTTTCCCAACAGGAATCTCTCTGCTCAGCTATGAGGCATCTGTACCTTCTGTGCCCATTTCCACCCATGGCCGGCTGCTGGGCAGGTCCCAGGCCATCCAGGTGGGTACCTCATGGAAGCAAGTGGACCAGTTCCTTGGAGTTCCATATGCTGCCCCGCCCCTGGCAGAGAGGCGCTTCCAGGCACCAGAGCCCTTGAACTGGACAGGCTCCTGGGATGCCAGCAAGCCAAGGTATGGGTTGAGTGGAGCACATCTTGGTAAATGCTCAGAGAAATCTCCTCCATTCTAATCTATCCAAATGGGACTCAGTAGCAGAGCAGTGCATTTTGGATAAAGCAATGTATGGAGGATGGAATATATTAGCTAAGATATCATTAAGTGCTGTGACAGATAAACTCCTAAGTAACAGTGGCTTAACACTGTTTTGCTCATGTAAAGCCCATCAGGTGATGGAGGGGCCTGTATGCTCTGCTCCATGCAGTGATTCAGGGACGCAGGCTGATGGAGGCTCTGCCTTCTTCAGCATGAATCTTCCAAGGTCCCCTGGACATTGATCCAGGAAGAGAGGCTGTGAAATAATTGACAGGAGAGGTTCCCATAGAATAAGCCTGGAAGTGGGGTTCACACATCACTGGCACCGCTATTGCAGTGGCCAAGCTCAGCTTCCTGGCCATATCTGATCTTAATGAAGCTGGGAGACACAGCATTGAAGGGAAAGTAAATGAGCTAATGAAATTTTTCCCACTAGGAAAAAAATTACAAGTTTTTTTTTTTTTTAGGGCACCCATATCCTATCTTCTTTCCTCATCAAAAATTTCATTTTTTCCTCTTTTCCATGTGTATACCACTTTAAATAGCAAGCATATTGAAGAACAATATTGTGATTTTTTTCTAATTAAAGCATACTCGGAGTATCTGTGAAAACAGCACTTATTACTGCTGCTCTTCTCCTTCCCAACTGAATCTCCTTCCCAACAGGTACCCCATGGCTCTATCCTCAGGCAGCTGCAACCTCCATACCCATTATCACCATGGCTGGCTGCTAAGCAGGTCCATGGGCCCATTACTAGATAGAGTGATGAGCTAGGAGGCTCTTAAAGTACTCCAGGAAAAGGGTGATAAGGGCTTCAGCTAGGATGGTGGCAGTCGGAGTGGAAAGGCATGGATTTCCATCTGCTCCACTGCTGGGAAACAAAAATAACAAATATGCGTGAATTAAAGTGCCTTACCATGTTAGGATGTACCCATTTGACAGATGAAATGACGGAGTCACATAGGTTTGAGTGGAGAGTAGTTGAGAGCTTGGGTCATTGTAGTCCAGGGCTAGTAAGGATTAGGTGATGAGCCAAGTCACCCATTGGGTAGATGACCATTGCGCTGCCATTAGTCATAGTCACAGCTGTAGTCAGCTCTCATACTGGGAGTTGCTCAAACCAGCACTGTAGGACTCTGTACTGGTGTAGAAAGCAGGTAGGACACCCCCTCCAGAGGAGAGTCTGCACTCTTGGAGCAAAGAAGGGCCAAGGTCCTGAGTGGCTTTCATTGTCTTCTTCTCTATCTCAAGCTGTTGCATCAGCAGACTTCTCTAAGTTGGTGCATTGTCTCTGGGGAATGTTCTTCCACAGGCCAGTGGCCAGAGAGCGGTGGGCACTCTGTCATTCCCTCCATTCACTGAAGCTGAATCTTTCCACTCCCATTTCCTGAAGCTGCCTAATTTCTGCAGAGCTGGTGGGATGCCAGGCTTTGGAATGGGGTAGTGGGCTCTGACCATGGTGGTGGGTGGGGAGGGGTGGTGATGGAGCATGTCTTGGAAGTCACCCAGTCTGTATCTGCAGGGCCAGCTGCTGGCAGCCAGGCACCAGAACATCCACGTCTCCTGGAGTCAGTGAAGATTGTTTGTATCTCAATGTGTTCATCCCTCAGAATGTGGTGAGTTCAAAAGCACTTGCTATGGTTGCCCTGAAGACTGTCCCATTAGAAATCCACTGTCCCCACTGTGGCCAGCACAGTTCAGTCTCCTCCTCTGTGGCCTGCTGAGCTGAGGTTAGGTGATTTGCCTAAGGACACTCAGTTAGTGAGTGATCTGTGGACTTGGTCAGTTGGTCCTCAGAGCTTGTGGCTAGAACCAGTGAGTGGTGACCATGGGCGTGTGCTTTTTCCATAGTGTCAGGAAGAAGACTGTGGACGTGGTTTGCAGTTTAAAGAGCACTTTTATATCTATGATTTTATTGGTCTTCACATCAACTCTAGGAGGATAGATAGATTGATAAATCGATTAGTCAATCAATTGATTGACAGAAAAATGGAGAGAGATATATTTACCCTTATCTTAAAGGTGCAGACCTGGGGCTAAGAGAGGCTAAGTGAGTTACATAAGGATATTCAGATGGGCAGAGTGGAGGCTCATCCCTGTCGCCGTGTTCCAAAGCCAGTGCTCTTTCTTCTTAGGGCATTTCCCAGTAACAGAGAGTTTGGCTTTTTCTGCCTTGGGCTGTCCGGGCCCCATCCTGACCTTGGAGGAGGAGCAGTGTTACCTCAGTCCAGATGGGCAGTACCTGGCCTCCAGGTGACAGGCCCTGCACAGGAGGGGCCAGCCTCCTGGACACTTCCTGTGGCTGTCGTTGAGGCGGGAGCTGAGGACTGCCTCTTCTTTCTGTGCCTTGCCCTTGCCTCAGCAGCCACAAGCCAAACGGCCTTTTCCCTTGTTGGTGAGCTACCCAATAAAGATGAGTCGGGCACTTTTAGGAGGGGGACACAGGGCCCCTTCACTGATCTGTCCCACAGAACAGGACAAATGAACTCAAGACCACTCAGGCTGGTCTTTCTCTGTGGCATTTAAAAAGACCTCATATTCGAAGAATCCACAGCCACCAAGTGGTGGCATCTGAGCTGGAATGTCAGAGAGGAAGAGACTCCAGGTCAGCCCCTTCCTCTCTGAAAGGCATTTCAATGAGTGACTCCACTGCTCTGAAACTCTGCTTTCACAGCTGTAGAGTGGGGTGCTTATGTTCACCATAGCTTCTACCACCTTGGGTGGAAGATCAAATGAGACACTCTAGGGCAGAGCCTTTAGCACAGCACTTACGGGGGCAGGTCCTCAGGCAGTGTTTGCTCACGTGAGGGGGCCCCTTTGTAGAAACATCTGTGTGTCTGTCTGAGGCCATCATATGTGGAGTGGTGATGTCACAAGGAGTCAGGACCTTGGATGGAGCACGAGTTACCGGGTGCCTGCCTACCCCATGGCCTGAACTGGGGCCTCAGATCCCCAGCTCAGACACACGATTCTAATATAATAGGGTCGGCCTACTTCCAAACCCTCAGCTCTGCTACCTCCTAGCTGTGTGATCTCAGGCAAGCCATTCAACATGTCTAAGCCTCTGCCTCTTCACCTGTCAAATGTGGATAATAAGAATCTGCCAACTTCACAGAACTGTTTGAGGCCCCATTGTAAACACTTGGCACAGTGCCTGGCTCCTAGTAAGTGCATACTAAACTCTAGCTCTGTGTTACCAAGATGGGTCCAGTCACAGAGCATCCAAGGGAAAGGGGACGCCAAGGACCCAGAATGCTTTTTTGGAATAAACCATGGGCCAGAACTGGGAGCTGGAAGGCTGTGTGTTACCATGAGACGGGCTCCAGGTCTGCAGGGAGCAGCCATCTCTGACACCTGCTCACTCTGCAATGTGGGAGAAGTGTCCTCACCTTTTGTGACCTTCAGTTTCCTTCTCTATGAATGGGGTTTAATAGTTGCTCAGGCTGCCATAACAAAGCACTGCAAGCTGTGTGGCTTAAACAACAGAGAGATTTTTCTCACAATTCTAGAGACAGAAGTCCAAGATCAAGGTGTTGCAGGACTGGTTCCTTCAGAGGCTCCTCTCCTTGGCTTGTAGATGTTCCTTTTCTCTTCCTTGTGTCTTTATGTGGCCTTCCCTCTGTACCTGTGTCCTGACCCCCTCTTCTTATAAGGACACCGGTCCTATTGGTGACTTCATTTTACCTTAATTACCACATTAGACACTATCTCCAAATACAGTGAACTGCTGAGGTCTTGGGGGCTAGGACTTCAATGTATAAATTTAGAGGGACACAGCTCCATCCACTGCATGGGGCTAAGTATGCCACAGAGCTGGCCAGAGGAGTCCTGTGTCAACCAAGAATCAGGCTCCAAGCATGGGAAAGGTGCCCTCCCCACACTTTAGCCTCATGTTTCTCCAATACCCACAGGCCCCTAACGCGTCTGTGCTGGTGTTCTTCCACAACACCATGGACAGGGAGGAGAGTGAAGGATGGCCGGCTATCGACGGCTCCTTCTTGGCTGCTGTTGGCAACCTCATCGTGGTCACTGCCAGCTACCGAGTGGGTGTCTTCGGCTTCCTGAGTTCTGGTGAGTTGCTGCCTCTGGTGGGAGCTGCTGACCCCCTGAGCCAAGGCTCAGCCCCTTTTCCCCAAGACCCATCCCCTCACTGCCCCTGCTCCTCCTCCAGCCAAGCTAGGCACACAGTGGAAATTTTAGCACATATGGGAGACCCTCCGGGGATACTGACACCCATAGACAAGGATGATAGTTGCCATTTATTGATAACTTACTACATGTCTGAGCTTCACTGCTCCAAGTCCATTACAGGTCTTATCTTGTGATGTGTGTGTATGTGTGAGTGTGTAGTTTAAAGAGGAAATTGAGGCCCAAGAAGATTAGAAACTGGCTTAAGACTATACAGTCAGGGAACAGCAGGGCCAAGAATTGACTTGCCCTGAACAACCCCAGGGGATGAGTTACATAGCTCTTCTGCCCACAGGGAAGCCATCTGATTTGGAATCAGGGCTGTATCAATAAGGAGATTCTCACCTCCTTTTAATACTGGCCTCACTTGTGAACAATGGCCTGTCCCTCATCACAAACCTGTTGATCACCCCATCTATGGCCTCCATCTTCCCCACTGACTCCTAGGGCTGAAGTGAGCCCTGGACCAACCTAAACATCCTCCATCCACGTCTTTTCCTCCAGCTACCACATGCAGCAGGGAATGTATCAGCTGCAGTGGTCGGGACAGAGTCACTGACCTAGGAATCTGAAGAGCCCAGGGCCACCTCCGGCTGTGGACCCTCAGACAAAACCTTTCCTTTCACCCAGTCTCAGTCTTGTCCTCGGTAAAATGGGGATAATTTTACCTGATTCCAAAGTTATGAGGAGGCTTAAATGAGGTAATACATGTAAAAGGGTTTCAGAGACTTGAGTTTTGCACATCTTCGAGGATAGTGACTGCTTCATCTCTGTTTCCCAAGGGTCTCATTTAAGATCTGAGATATCCTACGTGCTAAGTGTGGGTGGGTGAATGGAAGATAGGTGGTCGGAATGACCAGCTGGACTAGAATGTGTGTGAATGTGTGGGGTAGGCGTCCAGCATGAGCAGAAACCTGGATGACCACATGGCATGAGGCCTTGGATGCTGCTAAGAAGATTCTAGACTTATGAAATGGGCAACAAGTTAAGACAAATAACAACCAGATGTCTATGTAGATGAGGATGAGAAACAGATTTCAGATTTTTTTTGATGGGGAGCAGGGTCAGCTGGGAATCCAAGGACGGATATAACTTCCCCTTTCCTGGCTCTGAGAGACTCTGGGTCCCTCATTTGGCCTTTCCAAATCTCAGTTTTCTTGGTGGTAAAATAAGGAAAATTATCCCCACCCTCTTTCACATATATGTCGTGGTAAGAAGTGAATATGGTAACTGGGGTTTTGTGGAAGCTCTTTGGAGAGTGTTTAAAGAATTATTCACGTGTGAGTTTATTTTCCTCTTTGAAGAGGGAGACCTCTTGGCCTGGGTTTGCTTTCCTCTGTGTGAACACAAGACTGACCATAATTTGTGCCATTGGTAGCCCCTTCCTCTAGAGGTGGTGACATCAGGACTCGCCCCAAGGAGCCTGGGCCTGGGGAACTTTTCCCAGACATGGCTGTCTTGTTGGCTTAGAGCATTTCTAGACAGAAGAGAGTTTCCATATGTCGTCTGTCCCTCAGTGGGCGGGGGATTATGATTTCACAGAGTGTAATCTTGTTGAGAATTCATGTGCTTCTGGAGAGGCAAACTCATTTTGGCTGCCGGCAGGGGCAGCCTGTGGGAAGGAAACGGAAGCTTCCAGAACACCCAACCCGCTCATTCCTGATGTGCACCAAGCCTGCCTGTTCATTTTGCTCAAGGGAAAAACCATCAGCAAGAGAGAAGGAAAGTTACACTTATGGAGTGTGTCTGTCTTCACCAGATATTTCTCCTGGATTACCTCATCTATTTCTCACAGGAGATCTCTGAGGCCAGCAGGGAGCAGCCATTTCACAGATGGGTCAGCGGAGCTCAGTGAGGCTGAGGAATGTTATCGCCACAGTCACAAGTGGCATCCTGTGCCTTCAACTCTGTTGGTGGAACAACAAGAAATACTGTAGTGCAGGCAGCTCCCTCAGATGGCTGGACACGCCCTTTCAATTCCCTGTTCTTCAGCTGTGCTGAACAGTGTCTGTCTTTTGCATTCATTAGCCACAGGCCATTTTCTTTCTTTCTTTCTTTCTTTCTTTCTTTCTTTCTTTCTTTCTTTCTTTCTTTCTTTCTTTCTTTCTTTCTTTCTTTCTTTCTTTTTCTTTTTTTAATTTTACTTTAAGTTCTGGGATACATGTGCAGAACATGCAGGTTTGTTCCATAGGTATACATGTGCCATAGTGGTTTGCTGCACCCATCAACCTGTAATCTAGGTTTTAAGCCCCACATGCATTAGGTATTTGTCCTAATGCTCTCCCTCCCCTTGCCCCCCGCCCCCCAACAGGCCGTGGTGTGTGTTGTTTCCCCTCCCTGTGTCCATGTATTCTCAGTGTTCAACTCCCACTTATGAATGAGAACATGTGGTGTTTGGTTTTCTGTTCCTGTGTTAGTTTGCTGAGAATGATGGCTTCCTGCTTCATCTATGTCCCTGCAAAGGACACGATCTCATTCTTTTTTATGGCTGCATAGTATTCCATGGTGTATATGTGCCACATTTTCTTTATCCAGTCTATCAGTGATGGGCGTTTGGGTTGGTTCCAAGTCTTTGCTATTGTAAATAGTGCTGCAATAAACATAAGTGTGCATGTGTCTTTATCGTAGAATGATTTGGCGATTCCTCAAAAATCTAGAACCAGAAATACCATTTGACCCAGCAATCTCATTACTGGGTATATACCCACAGGATTATAAATTATTTTACTAGAGAGACACAGGCCATTTTCTTTGCCTTCCTTCCTAGCCTGCCTCGTGTGTCCCACATTCCCAGACTTCCCAGTCTCTCACATTGCGCCTCCGTGCTCTTCAGCTCTGAGAAGGGAGCAAAGACATTCACATCCTCACCAAATCATTCAGGAAACTGAGGCACAGAGATAAGGAAAGGGCAGAGCAGCAGCAGCAGAGCCATGATGCAGATTCAGGCTTCTTGCTATGGAGGAGCTATCTCCCGCCTGCCTCAGGCAAGCTCAGAGACAGGACTGAGCCTGGCCCTGCAGAGGCCAACAGGAAGCAGGTGCTCACATCCTGAAGCACAAAGGGGCCAGCCCTTGATCCCAGTTAATCCCCCAATAAGCCTGCGACACTGGTGCAACTGTTCCCTCTTTCATATTTTTTAAATAATAGATTTTATTATTTAGACCTGTTTTAAGTTTATAGAAAAGTGAGCAGAAAGGACAGAGAGTTCCCATACACTCCCTCTCCCCCTCCTTCTTGCCCTGCTATTTATAAGATGCTTTGGTTGGGCACATGTGTTACCCTTGATGAGCCGATGGTGGTGCATTATGATTTACTGAAGTCCACAGTTTACCTTGGGGTTCGTCCTGTGTGTTGGATGCTCTCTAGGGTTTGTGGGTTGCCTGATGTCCTGGACCCACCGTTACAAGGTCCAACAGGATCATTTTGTTGCCCTCCAACTTTCCTGTGCTCCACCTCTTCATCTCTCCCTTTTTCCAGTTTAAGTCATTGAAAATTGCAGTTCAGAACATAGATTTGGAAAGAGCTGGTTACTTTGCATGCCAGCCTCAGCCTAGGATTCTGCAGGGAATGTGGCTTTGCATCTGAGCAGGATGGGGTCTGAGAGCTGCTCTGTGGCTCTGTGGGGCCAAAACTCTGAGCAGCTCCTTCCTTCCCCATCCCAGTGCAGGCTGCCTGTCTGCAAGCAGAAGATGCTAAGTCTTGCAGGGCGTCTCACGTGAGATGAAGTGTGTGAGGACAAGCACCAGGACTCACCCATGTTTATTCCCTGCTTCTTCCCTAGACAGGGGCTCTTCCCAGGCAGGGCTGTGTTTTTATCATTTCCTGGCCCAGTATCTAGCTGCCTCCTGGCACAGAGCTGCCTCCTGATCTCAGCAGTGGCAGCCCTGTCACTCACAGAGCCAGGCTGAGCAGCCCCTCGTGAGCATCATCTCATTTGATAAATATGTGCAGCATCTGCTGCTGTATCCCAGAGTGAAAACGGTCCCTGAGAGCCCCAGACTCCAGAGGTACTTTGTGAAAGAGACCAGAGGAAAACGAAAGCAGAAGCTCGTGCCAGTCCTGAGGCCCACTAGACAAACGCATGCTCTCTGGTGAAAAAAGGCAAGCCCAGCCCAGTGTTTAAAAGGAGTCTTGGTTCCTACGGATGTGAGCAGTTGGAAAGGAAGCAGTTGCTGGGTGAAGGGAGGCCATTTCCCCAAGCCTGGACCCTGTAGCAGGACAGACCCCAGGGGGCATCTGGCACCAAGTTGTTGTTCCTCTCTGTCTGGCAAAGCAATGCAGTGAAGGGAACTGGGGTGGTGGCATCAGACGGGACACAGGAGGATAGGCTGGACAAGGGGCCTATGGGCTCTGCAGGGTGTGGGAGCAGAGGAAATGCGCTTTGGCCAGGACACCAGACAGAAGGTCCGGCTGCCAACGGTAACCACACATGCCATGACCTCATTGTCTCTGGGACACTCGGAGGCCTACTGAGCAGGTCTGCTCTCCTCTCTACCCAAAACAGGCTCAGAATGCTCCCCCAGTGGGTGCCCCCTCACAGGCAGGCTGGAGACAAGGACACACTGCTAGGAGCATCAGCAACATAACGTTAGAACCTACACTTGTTCTATTTTATTAAAAATTAATCTTCTATGGTGCTTTATGACAAGCACTGTTCTGTTCCCCTTACAAGTATTAACTAATTTACTCAACCTTATGAGGAAGTGCTATTATCACCCCCGTTTTACAGATGCAGAAAATCAAAGCACACGAACATTAACTTGTCCAGGGCCCCTCAAGGCTGTACCTGGTGGAGCTGGGACTGCAGCCGGCTGGTGTGGTTCCATGGCCACTACACTGCACTGCCTCTTGTTGATGTTCTCTGGAAAGACCAGGGCGAGCCCAGAACAGTGCTAAGGGGCTTCTATCAGATCGTTGAAGAGATCGAATGAGCAAACAAGAGCCAATTCAACAATGAGGGAGCAGGTGAATGCTTGCTGGGTGCTCTGAGCAGAGGAGTAGGAGCCAGGAGGTACGGGGCAGACCAGGGCGGGTGGCAGTGGATGGAGAAGAGTGTTAGTGCAGGCCTGGAGGGCTTCCATTCAGGTCAGTTCTCCCTGTGGGCAGCTGAGAGCAGTCCTCTGGTGTCTTGCCCCTGGGCCCAAGCCTCAAAGCACATCAGAAGGGGCAAAGAGTGTGCCTGTGGTATGACTGAGTGAGGTGGGGCCTGAGGATGAGAAGAACTGGAGCTGAGACACACAGACTGCAGCAGAGGGGGCGGCCCCTGGGCAGTGATGGGGACCCAGACTGATGAGATAGCCTCATGGCCCATCTTAGAAGGTCAGGAAGGCCAGGAAGAAGTTTGCACTTGATGCAGTAGGAATGAGGGAGGTATAAAGGCTTTTTGAACAGAGAAAGTTTCAGAAATAAAGCACTGAAAATTTTTAATGCACATCATAGATTTTTCAACAAATGTTTATTGAATTGGGTTGAATGTTAGGACAGAATTCTAATTGTGAAATAGGATTTGAGTCCCAACTTGATCTCAAATTCACTTCTTGCATGTAAACAAGCTCATTCCCTCTAAAGTTTCAGTTTCTTCACCAGTAAAGGAAAAGGTTGGACCAGACATGTTGGACCGTAATTGCTTGGTAACTGCCTTCTGCATTTGTCTCTGAGGTTGTGTGTCCCTAGGACTAGGTAGGATCTCTCTTGCTTTCTGCCTTACCTAGCATAGTGCCTGATAGCAGCTGAAGCCCAATTCATACTTGTTTGATGAGTGGCCCCTTGAGCACATGCTCACCTCTGACCTCTCAGAAGTCTAGACCCCAGAAGTCAACATTGACCCTTTTTGTGTAGTGGGGAAAAAGCTGATACATGGGAAGGGAGAGTCAGGAACATTTCCTCTCCTCCTTGTCCCTGGTATACAGGCTGTGGACGTCACTTTTCAGATTTGCAGGACTTGGTCTGACTCAGTTGGTGCCCTGCTTTCCTGGGTTACCTGAGACCTTGGAGGAAACAAACACATTCATCCTAACAAATGGATCATATGAGCAATCCAGAAAGTTCACAGCGAGGATCATGTTCTACCAATGGCTTCACCAGTCCCAGAACACAAAATGCATTTGAAGAACTTTTGAACATCTCCACAGCTGGAAGAATAATTTGTGTCGTTATGCACTCTGAGCTAAGTGGAGTGCTCAGGCAGGCTGCAGACAAGAACACTCTGCTAAGAGCATCAGCAACATAATGTTAGAACCTAAACCTGTTCTATTTTATGAAAAAGTAATCTTCCATAGTGCTTTATGACAAGCACGGTTCTGTTCCCTTTACAAATATTAACTGATTTAGTCAACAACCTTATGAGGAAGTGCTATTATCACCCCCGTTTTACAGATGGGGAAAATCAAAGCACACGAACATGAACTTGTCCAGGGCCCCTCAAGGCTGTAAGTGGTGGAGTTGGGACTGCAGCCGGCTGGTCTGCCTCCATGGTGAGACCATGGTATTCTCTTCAACTTTGTGATTACTAGACTGGGGAATCAGGATGCAAGATTTTTCTGTTTTTTCTTTTCTTTTTTCCTATTTGGGAATATGGGGTCTCATCAGTAGTTTCTTGCTGGATGCTGAATCCTGTGAATCATAACTATGGTGCCTCATGGAGAAACGTGAGGGGTCTGGAGCTCGGGGAGTGGGCTGGGCCGCTGACACACACAGGACCATCACCAACATGTAGGTGGTAATGAAGGCCATGGAACCTGATGAGGTTCCTTAGTGCAAAGTCAGAAAGGAAGAATGGGAACCTCAGATGAGACAAGAATGAGATCTGGTGTTTCAAGGTCTGATAAAGAGGACAAGTTAGTGGAGTAGTTTGGCAAGGATCTACTGAATTCACAAGACAACGAGAAGTGTATGTAGTGTCTCAAAAACCTAAGGAGAAGAGCATATTTTTGCTATACTTGTTTGTATCTAGATCATTTTATTTAAAAAAAAAAATAGTGTTGAGTTTTCAACAAATGTTAATTGGATTCTATGAAAAAGGAAAGAGATCAATTCAGTTGCATGCTAATAAAGGCTTCAGATGATGAGGTGAGGGGAAGGGTGGGATCCAGAGCTCCAGCCTGGCCTGGCCATTGTCAGGGACAACCACCTGAAGGGGTCAAAGACATGGGGCAGAGAGTTCACCTCCTTCCCACTGATTGGCCAAGACAGTGGTGGACCTGAAGCTGTGCTGCCTCAAATCTGAGCAACTCCCCTCAGCTAATGACAGGGAAGCTGTGGCTCAGAGAGTTGTAAGGACATGATCAAGGTCTCCTAGCTGGCAAAGGAGAGGTACAAGAACATGATCAAGGTCTCCTAGCTGGCTAGCATTCAGGCCTATGTGTGTCTGGTCTCAAGGCCCATGCTCCTCCACTGTTCCTCACTGTATTTGGAACCCACAGTCTCTACCTGTGAGGACAAGAGCCCAGAGCCCCTGGCGGGGCCGCATATATGCCTGCCATAGACAGCACCATGATTTTCAAATCCAAGGTTGTAAAGTCACAAAGGATAAAAGGCTTTCCTCTTTTCTGAAGGGTCCGGAGAGGTGAGTGGCAACTGGGGGCTGCTGGACCAGGTGGCGGCTCTGACCTGGGTGCAGACCCACATCCGAGGATTTGGCGGGGACCCTCGGCGCGTGTCCCTGGCAGCAGACCGTGGCGGGGCTGATGTGGCCAGCATCCACCTTCTCACGGCCAGGGCCACCAACTCCCAACTTTTCCGGAGAGCTGTGCTGATGGTAAGTGGTGTGTGTTCTACCTTCAGTCTTACTGCAGATGCGGCTGGGGGAGGTGGTTCTCCTGTGCTGCAAAAGTCTAGTTGGCTTCAATTGCTTGGGTTTCCCTTGTCCTTTGTCCTGAGTGTGGATGCTGCTTGGAGTTTTCCATGTATGTGTGATTCCACAATGCTGAAGAGCTCTCCTGACTTTTTTCCACTCACGTCTGAAGTGCTAAAAATTTTAGATGGTGAAGTGTTTCTATTTCCTGAGAGTGGTTCATTAGGATTTAGTGATCTGAACCATCAATTATCTCTCTTGTCAATGCATGATGGTAAAGAAGAGAACTCACTGTTCGCAATTCTTCTGGATGGCCTGAAGTGCCGGCTACGTGAGGCTGATGATGATGGTGATGAGGAGGAGGATGATGGTGGTAATGATGATAATGATGTTGGTGATGATACAATGATGTTGATAATGACAATAATTATGATGGAAAAAATAACCTGGTTGGCCACTGCATACGCCCTGGTATTTACTGATCTGTCATTGATTAGTTTCTAATTTCATGGCACATCCAATTGGTGCCAGATATGCTGTGCAAGATGCTGGAAATGCCATGAAACATTATACATAACCCAGTTCTTAGGAAGCTTGTCATTACTGGGGGTTGAGGGACAAATGCTTAAAGCAGATATTTATAAGAAGATCTCAGGGCAGCCCTAAGAGAAGGCCCCAGCCAAGCATAAGGGAAGGAGGGAGTTTGGATCAGCACATCCCTTGAGGGGAGTGTCTGAGCCAAATGCTGAATGCTGGGTAGGCATTTACCTAGAGACAAAGTCCTGGCAACAGGGAAAGCTTGGAGGACAGAGCCCTGGTGGGGCAGCAGTGTGGAGCAGAGATGAGCCAGACTGCCCTGAACAGCTTGAGTTTTATCCTGAGTCCATGGGGAGCCTTCAGAGTGGTTTTGATTATTTATTTGTTTGCTTGTTTGTTTTGTTTTATGATTTTAACCATTTTAAGTGTTCCGTTCATTGGGATTAAGTACATTCCCAATGTTGTGCAACCATTACTACTATCCGTCGCCAGAACAGAACCTCTGTATCCTTTAACAACCCCCATCTCCTCATTCTCTCAGCCCCTGGTAACCACTACTCTACTTTCTGTCTCTATCCACTTGCCTGTTGTAGGTGCCTCATATTAGTGTAATCATGTAAGATTTGTCCTAATGTGTCTGGCTTATTTCCCTTAGCATAATGTCTTTAAGGTCCATCCATGTTGTAGCATGTGTCAGAATTTCTTTCCTTTTTATGGCTGCATAATATTCCTTTGCGCAGAGGGACCACATTTTGTTTATCCACTCATCTGTTGATGGACATTTGAATTCTACCTTTTGCCTATTGTGAACAGTGCTGCTGTGAACATGGGTGTTCAGAAGGCCTTTAAGCAGGAAGGAAACGTGCTTAGAGCTGCCCTTCAGGACAACCTCTCTTAAAGCTGGGTGAAGAATGAATTTAAGAGGGGCAACGCTGGAGGCAAAGAAAGCAGTTAGGATACTGTAAAGTTACTCAAGTTAAGGAAAGATGGAGAACAATTAACTGTACCTCAGCCTTGCCCAACCTTTTAGGGATCCAAACTCTTGATCCTAGGAGGGTAGGAGAAGTGTCATTGTTTGGGCGCAACTGATGCTAGGTCAGCATTGTCACCATTGCCAACAGAAAGCCGTGTCACCTGCCACGCATCTCTCTCCATCAGCCACAGGAGCCTTTCATGTTCCTTGGAGTTCATGCTCTGTTCTGGCTCATACAGGCAGTTTCCTTTGCATGGAACAGTTTTTCCCCATCCCCCTCTTTGCCTGCCCTACTTTTCCTTTAGAGAAGCCTTCCTGACTTTTCAGCCTAGAACTGAGCCCTCTTTATATGGCTTGTGCTGCCTGTACGTCTCCTATGCAGCATTCACCAGGATTTCCAACAGTAAGTAATTGCTCTTAGTGCCAAAGCTGCTGCCTCACAAGACTGCTAGCTCCAGCTGAGCAGGGGCTGGGTGTGCCTTGCTCTCCACGGGACCCCGAGCACCCCACACAGCACATCTTAGAGTCCGTGGATGTGCCATAATTATTTTGGGGCAGCAATGAGCAGATGACTGGGGGAAGTTTCAGTTGTTGCTCTCGGGGCCCCAGGACCCACAGGATACACCAGCTCCCTCCCTTCCACCCCTTTCTTGTGAGTCTTGTCCTTTGATTCCAGTTTTCTGCAATCTGTCCCTCCGAAGGTGATCCATCTCAGTGGCAGGAGAATTGAGCACAAACATCTTTCAATTCCTGGTGTTGAAAACAAACTATCCTGCGTTGAATTGATCCTGGAGAGATTTCTCCAGGGCCCTTTCAAAAACCAGACACTCATTAGGACCCAGAAGATGCCAAAAATACCTTCCAATGGGCTCAGAAAGCAGATTTTTCTTTTTGAGGGTTTAAGTGTTTGGGGAATTTCAAATACTAATCTGTTTTAACAAATGGCAGTGTATTTAAAAATAAACCCTTCCATCTGTTTTAGTCATTTGGAAGTAGCTTTTACAACTGCTCCCAGCAGTCCTTGGGATGCATGTGAAATTATTTGGAATTGAGAGAACTAAAATACTTCAATATATTAGCAGTTCTTAAATGTGTTCTTTATCAACAGATGTTTGGGGAAATGAATATGAGTTGGCAGTTTATTCTGGGATAAAATCTTAAGTCTCTCTGCAAATCTTGGGGCCAGAACTGTTGAAACATTGGTCAAGGGAAACCCTGTGATGATAATGAATAACCTGTATTCATTCAGCACATTTGAGACCACAAAGCACTTTCAGTGTCTTATCTCACAGATTCCTTGCACTGATTGGCATGGGGACTTTATTTTATTTTTCAACCTAGAGATAAGAAATTTGAGGCTCAGAGAGATTTAGTGACCTACCAAAGAACACACAGCAAGGAAGAAGCTGTGTTAAGGACTAGAACCTAAAGCCAAGTCCTGTATTTCCCCACTCTGTGATGCTGCCTTTCCAGGAATTTGGGACTCTCTTGGGGTCTCAAGGTGTAAGATAAAGAGCTGAAGCCTAAGATCAGATAGGCCTGCATGAAGATCCTGGTCTTGGAGAAAACACTTCACCTTGTATTCTTCACCTATCACATCAAATCAGTGTGATGAATTGTATTTCCCAAGGTCTTGAGATGTTATCAGGACTTATGGTTTGCAAACTATCTTGCACAACATAGGAACTCAAGAAATCAAGCTCCTTCTTCCCTCTTCCCTTGCCAAGGGAAGGCAACTCCAGATGGAAGTATGTCCTAGGGTATTTCACCCGTCCTGAGGCCAGGCTGGAGGATGAAGGATGACTTGTTGCAAACATGCATCCTGTGGCTGTGTCCCTGCACAGTCTTCAGACAGGGAAGGTCATGTCCTCTGTGGTATGATTCACGGACCCAGAAAACATTTCCCTTGCTGTTCTATGACAGCGCCCCAAGTCTGCATTCCTCAGGGTGAACTCCTGACCTCAGGAATCAGCCTCAAGCTAAATTTTCTGGTCTTGATTTTTACTCCATTCCTGCATGAATCCTGCATGAATCCTACACTCCAGGCTCACTAGCTATCACCCTTCTGAGGAAATGCCATGCCTTCCTCCAGGCCTTTTTATCTCTGTTCTGTGTTCAGCATATCCAGTATCCACCTGGAAAGTTCCTGCTGTCCTTCAGGGCTCAGCTGAAATGAAGCCTCCAAGCCTTTCCTCATCTCTTGAAACAGAAGGAAAGAATCTCACCTTAGTGAAAACACTTATATGTAGCAATGCTTAGTAACTGTGCCTTATTTTACATGCTTATTATTTTTCTAACATCTCTCATTCCAATTCTACTATGACTAGGTGCTTGAAAACTTATATGAGTTTAATCCGCTTAGTGTTTCCTTAACACTTAGCACAGCGCTTGGTTCAGAGACAGTGCTGAGTTCCACTAAAGTGATGAGAGAGATGGTGGTTTGGACTCAGAACACTGTTCTCTATCGTTTTTGCAGTATATCTCATAGTGTGAGCATGCTATGCTTGTCTATTCAGAATTCACCAAGATATTCATGAGTTTTGATGCTTCTACATGTATTTTAGAATAAGCTTATTGAGGTTTTATTCTAATATTTTTGCTGGGAGTTGGAGTGACATAGACTTGGTCATTAATTTCAGAAAAAAAACTACATTGTAATGGTGTTAAGCCTTGCATTCATGAATCAGGTAAACACTGTAACCATGAACGTAGTATTTTTGCCTTGTTAGGTCTTTTTGTACAGTTTTGAACATGTTTTAATAAAAGTTTTGTGCAATCATTGTGAGGTAAGTTCCTACACATGCCATCATTTGCTTGGTATTATCAATGCTGTCTTCTTTTCTATTGTATTTTCCAGTTTGAAAATACTAGTGTTAGGAAATAAGTGGATTCAGCAATTTGCTGAGCTGTTTTGTCACGTCTAATGCTTTGCCTGTTGGTTTCTTTGGATTTTCTATGAAGTTTCCTCGTTATTCTGCAAATAATGGCGGGTTTATTTCTATACCTATTGAAGCAAAATGCTCAATTGATATAAGGAGGAGACCCAGTACTAAAGCAGCTTAGTGGATAAAAAAGTTCATTTTCTTTTTTCTTTCTCTCTCTCTCTCATAACATCTGCCAAGGGGGCAGTCCAGGTGTCTCTGGATCACTCAGGGCTCTGGTTTCTTCTGGATATTTCTCTGCCATTTCTTAAGGCCTTCCTCATCTGCAGGGTTGAGTTTGGGCTGCCAGGGCTTCCAGATAGTAGGGAGGGGATGGAGAGGAAGGAGGACCATACCTGCCGTCTTAGGGCTTTGCTGGTAAGGGGCACACTCCCTCTTTAGGTATGGTTACAAGCAGAACTGCATTTGATTTGCTTTCATTCTCCATCATCTTTCTTGATCATGCTTGTTCATATTTTTATCACATTAGTCTACTTAAACAATGTTTTGCTTTTTAAAATCTTCTCTATGGCTGTGTTTTCAGAAGTCTATTTCACTGATGTCTTATTGTTATCTTCTACCTTCTTCCCGTTTCCTTGGTTATCTATTGTTCCTTTAGCTTCTTAAGTTGAAAGTTAATCTCATTACTTTCATTCTTTGTTTCCTGATCAATTTATTTCAAGCAATAATTTACCCTCTATCAGCTACACCCATGAAATTTTGAAAAGTAGCAATATGTCATTTATTTATAACATTTTATTTATTGCATTATTTTCTTCTTAACCTAAGGATTTGTTTTTTAGACTTTAGATCCCTAGAATTTTTAAATTTTTATTCATCATTTTGGAATTTGATTTCCAATTTTATTGCTTTATTATCATAGAGCATGAATTGGAAGATTCTGACTCTGAAATTTATTAGTACTTTCTCTGTGACCTAATACATTATCCATTTGTTGGCAGAAAAGTTATATAGTGTTATCAAAATCTATCTACCTATTTATTTATTTACTTATCTTTGCTTACTGTATCAATTTCTGAGATTTGTATATTAAAATCTCCAAATAAAATTATTGACTTATCTATTTGTCCCTGTTCAGTTGCTTAATATATTCTGAAACTATATCATCCCATTAACATAGGTTGCAATCATTGTTTCTTCTTAATGTTTTGTTCCTTTTGCACATCTCTCTTTGCCATTATGCAATTTATTTCACCTTAAATCCCATTTTGTCTCAAAATGCACCACAGGTTTTCCTTTTGTTCATTTTTGCATTAAAATTTTTTGCCCCTTTATTTTCAAACTTTGTGTGTCAATAGACAATACAATGCTGGAATTTTAAAGATTTGTCCTCCACACAGCATGATCTTTTAAACATATCAGTGAAATGGTCTTACCCCCTACTTGGATCCTTTCAATGGCTCCTCATGTCTCCTGGAATGGACCCTATGCCATCCCCTACCCTCTAGGGCCCTGCAGGACCTTCCTGATACCTCCTAAGCACACTCCCTCCTTCCCTAGCTCCCTCAGTCTGGCCACCCTGCCTCCTTTTAGCTCCTTCAGCATGCAGTCTTGCTCTTCCTGCCTGCAGGAATTGCCCCATTATTCCTGCTGACTCCATACACTTCCTAGATCTTTACAAGGCTGTTTGCTGCTCATCTTTCAGGCCTCAGCCCAAACATTGCCTCTGCTTGGAGGCCTTTCCTAAGCCTGGACCTGAAGGATGTCCTGCCTGCCAGGTGACTGCTTGGAGCCTGCCCTCATCCTCATCACCATCATTACCAAGCATCTTGTTTATTTATGATGTCAAGCTCCATGATATCAGAGACCTCATCTGGTTTTCATTGCTATAGCCCCAGTACCTGAGCAGTGTCTATTTAGTAGGTGTCCAGAAATATCTGCAGAAAGAAATTCTTGGAAGAACAAATAGCGCAGCTATCACAAGTAACGTGCAGAAAATCTAGGCAGGACGTTTTTATAACAATCGTTCAGAATTTGGTGTTTCCTTCAATCCCTTAGGCCCATCTTCAAGTTTCGTAAGACACCCCCCAGAGTCATACAATCTGCTTTTTCTTAAGGTCACACCTAAAGAAGATGCTGAGCTGCTAACTGGCACCAGGTTTCTCTGGGTGATCTTTACTCCTCTCTCTCTAGTTGCACGTTTATTTGAAAATTTGAAACCCACTGAGCTTCTGAATGAACCACCCATCCTCCTCAACCCAGAAACTCTCCCTGTGTGCCAAGGGTTAAATATTTATTAGGTTTGTTTTAATCAGGAATAAATACATGATTTAGCAAAGTGTAATGCTTCCCACTGAGAAATCCCTCTGGGTGCTCCCCAAATGTTCCAATCACATTCGTCACAACGGAAAACAACACATAAGATACTGTGCAGACATCTGGAGTTCAGGGGGTCACCCTGCCTTATGCGGGAAGTCAATGTCCACAGTGTTACATTCATTTCTCATACGTTGGCTGGTTCCTTTGAAATAGCCTTTTGGAACGGTTGGGGAAACCACAGATGTCTCCTTGTATAAACACACTAGAATCTATGATACAGAAAACTGTGTAACTGCACATACACATACCAGTAGCACGATGAGCTCAGATGGACGGAATGCTTATGTGAGCAGACAGACAGGGAGAGATACTGCAAGCATGTTCCCCTCCTTCCCCAGGATCCCTTTGAAACAGGGAAACATGAGTCACAGATTCATCTGCAGCCCACTCTCTTCCTAGTAGGATTTGGATGGGAGCTTCTCCTTCTCTGGCTATACATTGTGTTTTCTCCCTTGTCTCTTAAAATTATGCATGACATCATTAATCCACTTGGACTCCCCATCTTTCCTGGAGCTGAGCATTTTTCCTCATATGGATGCCAGACCCTTCTTAGAATAAAGTACCGGGTGAGTTAATTCTTTAGACTGTATCCATTTCTTTTCTAAAAAATCCAGCTATTCTTACCTACCCGATCCAGCCAGCCCTTCCACTCTGAAGAGCAGCTGGAAAATGAGCTCCTGAGTGTCCCTCACCTGTCTCTAATTCCATCCTAAGCCATGAGCTGATTTCTCTTTTTACACATTTGTTTATACATTTTTTCCCTGTCTACACTGTGAACACCTCTGTTGGGGGTTAGGACTTACGCATCTTTTTTTTTTTTTTGGCTTGCCTGACACCTTACAGAGGACTTAATGCAATGCCTATTCGGGCAATAAATGAATACTTGATGCATTCATACAGGCAAGAATCCCAGCATCCCAGAGAAGCTCTGTCTGCGCTGCAAAGCCATGGCTGCAGACATCAGGGAAGCTGGTGCAGTTCTAGTCTCGCCTCCTCGATTTCCCTGCCAGCAGTCTTCCTCTCTCTCATTCTTCTGGCCCTCTGCAGAACCAGGGAGGCCAACTGACTTCCACCCATATGGCTTTGGTGCAGGAGCAGACCAAAGGTATCTCCCAATTGAAGGCTAAGAAGTCCTTTGGGCTAATGTTTAGTGTCACGAAGTTCCTTTAAAAAGAGAGGAAAGCATACCAGAAGTCCCTATGGATTAGTTAAAGTAGTTCCATTCAGGGCACCCATCTGCAAACCCAGACCTTCTGCCAGGACACAGCTTTTGTTTCCTCTCCCTCTCAGGCTTGCCCATACAGAAGTTCTCTCCAATGACCTTGGAGTGTAACTGTCTGGACAGGTCCAGTTCCTTGGAGAGCAGTCCTGGTGCCCTTTCTTGTGAGAGTGGCTTTGTCCTTCCCACACACACAATGTGTGCATACATACATGCTGGGCTCTTCCAAGCATCGCCCGACATGTCATGATCCAATGTTTCGTGATGCCACAGCCCTGATCAGACACCAGGGAGGGGTTCCTTTGGTCATGATGTGGATAGAGAAGATGCGAATTTGAGTCTCCATGTGGCTTCTCTTGGCTTCTAAAATACGTGAGGCTCCCAGGGATCAGGGAACCTCGCTTTTCGCAAGATCCCAGGCAATAGTTGGAACTTCTGTTCCTTTTGGGCATGAACCATTGTGTCTGTTCTTGGCTAGTCCTCAAAGTAAGGTGGTGATGAGAAGAATGAGCTCTTTCTCTTGCTGCCACCATACATCAGGGAGATGCTTTTCTTCTTTCGATCAAAGGAGGTGTTGTCCTCACTGGTCAGGGACAGGTAAGAGGCAATGCTCTCTCGAAGGCCATAGCTGAAAAGGGACTCGTCTACCCCAAGCGGGTTCTCTGTTCCCTCGGGGTCCTCCTGCAGTCTGTGGGCCAGAAGAAAAGGCAGTAGAGAAAGGGAAAAAAAGAGAGTCATAGAGAGAGGAGGAGATAAAGGGCAAGAGAATGAGAACAGGAGGAAAAGAAAAACAAAAATCCTGGTGACTATTTCTCTAACTTATTATTATTTTTCTTTATTTATTTTAAGATGGAGTCTCGCTCTGTTGCCCAGGCTGGAGTGCAGTGGTGCAATCTCTGCTCACTGCAACCTCTGCCTCCCAGGCTCAAGCGATTCTCCCTCCTTAGCCTCCTGAGTAGCTGGGATTACAACCATCCACCACCACGCCCAGCTAATTTTTTGTATTTTGAGTAGAGACAGGGTTTCACCATGTTGGCCAGGCTGGTCTCAAACTCCTGACCTTAGGTGATCTGCCCACCTCAGCCTCCCAAAGTGCTGGGGTTACAGGCGTGAGCCACCGCGCCTGGCCCTAACTTACTATTCTAGTTATTACCCTAACCTATTACTCTAACTACTCTAACTGCAATTATTCTAACCCATTATTTTAATTCTGGTTCTTACATTTGTGGGCTGTGTGATCTTGGACAAATCACTTAACCCGTCTGAACTGCTCTTTTCTTGGATGGCTGACACTTCCAGCTGTAAATTTTAGTAAAAATTAATTTTTGTTATTTACAAGAAAGAGCAGTTTTCTTCATGTCTCGCATAATTTTGATCCTGATTTTCTTTGATTTGCCAATGGGATGTCTGGATTGATACTGAATTATTAAGATAACCCACCAATCCCAAACTACAGATATCCTTTAAAATTCACAGGCTGACAATGGAATAAACAGAACAAATCCATGAAAGTTTTTTTCTCTTAGAAAAAACAAAGAAGTCACTGTAGGATTCTGCTGATGTGTTTAAGCTTTGTGAGTGGGTTTTAAATAATATTAAATTTACACAGGATGTGTTACTTTCTAGGATCCTAACAATTAGAAAAGGAAAAGTGGTATATTTCAGCTAGAATGTATATTGCTAGCATAGAATAAGGACTCAGTAAATGTTTGCAGAAACAGGGGGAGCTGCCACACACCTCGTGAGGCCTGAAGCTGCCCCTGCACCCAGGGATTCCCTTGGTCTACACTTGTGGGGGGTGCTCACCCCCCAGTTTCAGCAGGGCTGGCTGACTCTGGCCATGGTTTTCATGTGCTCGGCACACACACCGTTTTGTGCTCACATGTTCACAGAGCACTTGCATGCACACACACACACACACACACACACATACACACACCATACTCACCTGGACACTCTCCTCCAGTCCACAGTCTTCTGACGCAAGGTGACAGGTGAGCTGGAGGCCCTCACTGCTGGGGCAGCCGTGCTTTGTGTCAGGCAGGGCGTGGTGAGCACACAGCACAGGCCATCAGCCACCTCTGAGGAGGGAAGCAGACAGCCGGTCAGGGACCCTGGGGACGCCTCAGCCAGTGTGGGGTTCAGGCCTGAGACACTCTCCAGTGCAGCTCCCTGGCTGCTGCCATGGGGAACTGGGCCTGAGATTTCAAAGGGGCATGGTAGGTGGTGACAATGCTGAAAGTCACGCGCCCAGCTGTTTGAGAAATGTAAGCGTGCCCTGGTATACTCTGCACTTAGCCAGGCATGGGCAGAGAGAGAGGTTTAAGATCCAGTATCAACCAAGCTTGGGTTTGAATTTTAGCTTTACCCCGATAGTAAATTATCAAGAACGTCTCTGAGCTTTCCTTTCTTCAACTGCAGAATGAAAGAAATGAAGCAACAAGTGAGTGCCTGCAGAAGCCGCAGCCTTCCAGGGTTTCCCGCAAATGCCCAATCCATTAACCTCACAGGGTGTGAGAATGGGGCTGCATACAGCGCTGATCCCCCCAGTTGTGCATTTACAATGGAACAGGTGGACTAAATAGATCTCTAGGAAGAAAGATAAAAGAAACAATGAAAGAAGGAAGGAAAGGAGGGAGGGAGCAGAGGAGGAATGAAAGAGGGCGAGGAGGAAAAGCAAAAGTGAGAGGGAGAAGGAGGAAGAGGAGGAGGTGAAAATAGCACAAAAAGTAGAAGACACAGGAAGGGAGGGAAGAGAAAACAAAGATAAAGAGGGCAAAGAGAATGCAGACAAAGAATGAAGACAATCTCTCTTTCACTCTAGAAGCTCACGCACAAAAAGAATAAAAGTTAAATAAACCCGTTTCTTTTTTCTCTTGCATGAAAATCTCTGTATAAAATGTCTGACTCTCAGGATCCCCCATCTTTCCAGGCACATTACGATGTAGCTTCCGTCTCTTGGAAGGCTTCTCCCTAGCCCATGTTATCATGAGAAAGACTTGATTCTGCTGTACTCAGCCATCTTAGAGATTGAGGAAATTCTGCACAGTCTTACTCAGGCTGAAAACCCCAGTGCTTCTCCTGTGCCCTGGGGGGAGATGATGTGGTCAAGGGGGTGAGGTGCCACTGGCCTCCGGCAGGGCTAAGCCACCCCTGGCCTCAGAGCCAATCCACCACCAGGTTTTCGACAGCACGTCACACCTCTGACAGGCCCCACTTCCCATCGGGTTTATGGAGTGCTCTCTGGGGCATCCTTGCCAAAGAACAAAAGGAATTTGTAGCAGAAGAAGCACACTCAGTCTGTCACAGGGCGGGCAAGCCAGGAAGACCTCGTTTCATGGTTTTCAGTCCGACTTCAACTGTGAACTCAAATGTCCACCCACACAGGTGCCCTTGGAGAAATGGGAGGTGAGACCATGAATTTAGAGGGAGATTTAATCGGGTGGGAATCTGAAATAATGACCTGTCATGGGTTGGAAATTGAAATGACCTCCCAGGATATGAGGCGAGGAAGATGAAGTCAGATGCAAAGGCTGGAGAGATCAGCTGCAGTGTGCAGCACAGGCAGGGGACACTCCGTGAGTGTCCTTCCTTAGACAGGTTAATACTCAGGGTGAAAAATACATTTTGACAAAGAGCAAAAGAACCACCACTCATAAGCACATAACATGAGCCCAGCACTGAGCTAGCCTCGTACCCTGGATCTCATTGAGGCCTTGATCAGCTTGTGGTCAGTTTTTTTTTTTTTTTTTTTTTTTAGACGGAGTCTTGCTCTGTCTCCAGGCTGGAGTGCAGTGGTGTGATCTTGGCTCATTGCAACCTCTGCCTCCCAGGTTCAAGTGATTCTCTTGCCTCAGACTCCCGAGTAGCTGGGATTACAGTTGCATGCCACCACACCTGGCTAATTTTTTGTATTTTTAGTAGAGATGGAGTTTCACCATGTTGGCCAGGATGGTCTCAATCTCCTGACCTCATGATCCACCCACCTCAGCCTCCCAAAGTGCTGGGATTACAGGTGTGAGCCACCACACCCGGCTGTCAGTGTTTTTATACCCATTTTGGGGAGGGAAAAACTGAGCATCCCGAGATGAAGTAACTTACTCAGGGCCGTAGAAATGTGACCAAAATCAATCTTATTGACTCATTCTAAAAGCAACTCATTGCCTCTTAAATGAAGAAGAAAGACATCCTCCAGCTGTCTCTTGGGTTCAGACCCCCTGGTCTAATTCACCTCTGTCTACATGGCTCATCAGAATGCACACTCCTCTGCACCTTTAGGGTCCAACAGCTCTATATTGAAGGGTTCCTAGACCCTCAAGGTCCCCAGCCCTTGATTTTCCCAGCCATATTTTAGAATTCATGTATGCCCCATGCACTCTGTTCTCTCAGTAACCACCATGCATGGTATACTTTAGGTGCCACATTTTTCACATGCATCTTTTTTTTTTAACTGGACTAGTGGCAATCCTGTGAAAATTATTGCATTTTAATCCCCATGTTGTAAGTAAAAAAATTGAGCTTCCAAGATGCCAAGTAATTTGCCTAAAGGCATCATGATGAAAATTATAAGCAACCTGTTGCTAGATGTCAATTCAAACCCCTGGTGCACAATTCCTCTCATTCTGTGTCTTTTTTTTTTTTTTTTTTTTTTTTTTTTTTTGTGAGATGGAGTCTTGCTCTGCCACACAAGCTGGAGTACAGCAGCACTATCTCAGCTCACTGCAACCTCTGCCTCCTGGGTTCAAGTGATTCCCCTGCCTCAGCCTTCCGAATAGTTGGGATTACAGGCGCCCACCACCACACCTGGCTAAATTTTGTATTTTTAGTGCAGACAGGGTTTCACCATGTTGGTCAGACTAGCCTCGAACTCCTGACCTCAGGCGATCCGCCCACCTCAGCCTCCCAAAGTGCTGGAATTACAGGCATGACCCACCATGCCTGGCCCATCTGTGTCTTTAGAGTGAATCCAGTGGAGATAAAAGTGGCCATGTGGCTCCCACTTGGAGATTCTCAAGGGGCATAGGAAACAGTTCCGGTTTTTACCCTTTTCAGTTATTCACAGAGGTGAACAGATGACTGTAATCCATTGAGTGGTTCGATGACCAGGAACATACTGCGGGAAGGCGCCAGTGCTGCACTGGGGTGAGATATTCCCCATGGTCAAGCAGCGGCAGTTAGATTTCGGTATTTTTGGCCTGGTAGCCTCATGGCCTCATGGTCCCTAGAAGCTTTGCTAGGACAGCATCCTTCTCATGTTTGCTTTTGTCTATGCAAAACTTATGGTCTCCACACCCCCTCCGATGGTTGTTATTAAAAGCCAAATACCACAACCAACCTTTTCTCATAACCAATATAAGTTGGCTGTTTCCAGGACTCCCTTCCTCTTTCGTTTTTACCTGGCTGCTAAGTTTTCGGATATCACAAGTAATATGTGTTATCATTTATTTTGCATCTGCTATGTGACAGGCTATGCTGAACGCACTACATGAACGATTGTGTTTAATAATCACCTGCTAGGAGCCCATATTCACCCACCTCCCATAAATGGGGACCCCAAGTTCTGAGGGGTAGCTGACCTTGCCCAAGGCCTCACAAGGTGCAAATCTGAGCTTGGACCTGCCTCTCCTGAGCAGCCATTTTTGCCTCATGCCCCACTGCTTCTCGTGGGCCAGCTGTGATAACCAAAGCCCTGTGGACCCATTTCTCCTTGAAATGCACTTTGCTTGCTCAGTTCAAGAGCCCATATGCAAGAGAATGCCAACAAAGTTGCCCCAGTGTGTGAGGTCAAGCATCCTGAACCCAGAAGGGGGAAGATGCTGTCAAAGCAAAAGCAACCTCTTTCTTTCCTCCCTCCAATATGCAGAGGAAGTGGGGAGGATGGCAATGTTCCGCTGGGTAAAAGTGGCTGGCATTTAATGGGAGCTCACGATTATGGGCCAGGCACCCTCCCCACTTTCCATGAACTAACTCTGTGGATCCTCACGGTGTCCTTGGGAGGGGGAACTACTAGTGTCTGCCTGGCATAGATGAAGAAAGTGAGACACAAACAGCCAACCTCAGGCTGCCTAGCTAACAGTGAGTGGATCTGGGATAGAAACAGAGCTTCCTGAGTGGGTTTTTGGAAATGTAGCATTTAGCCAACCGTTCACAATTTCTCCCTTTTCTGTAGGGTAAAGTTCCGATTCCTGAGCTGACATTTGGGCCTTTCACAGTATAACTCAACTTTCTCTCTCTGGCAGTATCCTACACTCTTCCAGCCACCACACCACATGATGCTTGCTTTATCTCAGTGGATGCTCCCCATCTTATCAGCCTGGGAGAATTCAGACCTCTCTCCTGGGTCTGTGAAGGGCACAAAAATGAATTAAATGTAATTCTTAGTCTTTAGGAGCCTGTTGAGGAATACAGCCTAGCACACAATTAACCAGGCCACGGGGAAGCATGATCGGAATGCTGGGAAAGAAACCCTTGGCATGCTCTGAGCACAGCGAAGACAGGTAGCCACTGCTAACTCCTATAGCTTCATCGCAGAGGCGTTTCATGTTGGTCTTGAAGGCCAATGAGGATTCTGACAAGCAGAAAAGGGGAAATGAGTGGCACTCTATAACAAAGCCCCAGAGGCTTGAATATGTATGGCCCACTTAAGGATGTGCAAGCTGGTTGCAGTTGTGAATTTAGGCACACCCTAACTTGTTTAATGTACACTTCGAGAGAGGGCAAATTTGAGATTAGCTGCATTTGACTTATTAAGGCAACATGCACAGGCAGTCTGTTTCAGCCTGAAATTTACAGTCTGAATTAACGAGAGAGCATATCATGAAGGCAGCATAGGCAGTAAGCAAGACCCCTCTGCATTCCAGACGGATGGCGCCACAGAGCAATTAGCTAAGAGGGGTCCCACCATCACAATCACTCCATATTGTATGTCTCTTACCAGAATAGTGGTTCACCAGGTCCTCCAGGCACTGGAAGGTGAGCCTCGGGGAAATGTAGTACCAGTTGTTGGGCAGACGGAAAATGCGGTAATGCTTTACCTGCCTGTGTCTCACCGACAGTGAGTAAAACCCTGCAGGAGGTGGAGGATAAGTCAGTGGGCTCCACCTGTCCTCACCCCAAGGCACCCAGCTAACCAGCCCACCACCACTGAGGCAGGGAGACCTGCCCACCCTTGGGATACAACAGTGATGCTAGGATGCAGCCCCTCCCTCCACTAGACCCTTCTCTGTTTAGATGTTGCTTCCCGTTAGAGACTGCAGAAGTGTATTATTGTGTCAAAGCAGATATGTTCATCACATGGTCCTTACAGGTTTTCAGGAACACAGGTTTCATCCTCTTTGCTTTTTTTTTTTTTTTTTTTTTTTTTGAGTCTGGGTCTTGCTCTGTCACCCAGACTGGAGTGCAGTGGTGCCATCTCAGCTCACTGCAACCTCCATCTCCTGGGCTCAAGGGATCCTCCCACCTCAGCCTCCAGAGTAGCTGGGACTACAGGCATGCGCCACCACGCCCAGTTAATTCTTTTATTTTTTGTAGAGGTGCAGTGTTGCTACATTGCCCAGGCTGATCTCGAACTCCTGGACTCAAGTGATCCGCCCACCTCGGCCTCCCAAAGTGCTGGGATTACAGGCCTGAGCTACCATGCCGGGCCTCATCCTCTTTGCTTTTTGAGGCAAACACATTTGGGGTGCTTCCACATCCTGAGGCCAAATGGAATGATTGTAGTTTGGTTGCAACCTGTAGCTCCAGGATCCATGGTCGTTTTTGGACTCCTTCCCGAGTACTCTCCAAGATGTGATCCCTACTGTTTTGCTCTTTCAGCCCCTGTCCCACCAATGCTGCCACAGCACACATTTGAGGGGGTCCTTGCAGTTATGCCCCCTTTTCCTTTGTCTATACTCTCTCTGACTTATGCTTAGTCTTCTCAGAAATCTGGAGAAGCTGAGTCATCTTTCTGGGTATCCGTAAGAACCACGTGAAAGGCGGGTTATTGCTCCTTAAGCCTCGTTAGAGCAATGACCTGATATGGGTTGGTAAGAGTAGAACCGCAGCCATGTGCCTCGATTTCCTCAAATGCAAAATGAAAGAATTGGATGTAGGCCATGTTTCAGGGTCCTCTCTTGCTCTGGGGTTCCAGGAGTAGAAAACACCCAAGAGACAGAGGAGAAAGGGAGCTGATTGATTATTTGCTATCTCTGCTGGGCAGGGCTAAGCAATTGCCATGAAATCTCTATTAATTCTCAGAAAGATCATAGGAGGTATTGCCCCCAATTATTTTAAAGATGGGAAAACAGAGGCCTAGAGCCCCTATGGGATATGGCCAGAGGCATGGGGCTTGGAAATGCCACCCTGGGGTGTGACCCTTGTCCTCACACATCCCTCACAGTGCTCTAGGCCTGCCGTGAGTCAACCCAGCATGAGCCTTCCCGTAAGGTCAGCAGAACTGGGAGTGTGGTAAGCAGACCGAGGGTAGCAAGTGAAACACTGTCAGAGCTTTGCATACCCAAGGTGGGCCTGCCACACCCACCCAGCCCCAGCACAATGGCACATCTGCCTGATGACATCGTTATTTTTAGATGAGTTACGACACCCACCCTGGGTTCTTCCTCCCTTTGGCCAGGCCAGCTTAGGAGTTTCTTTCTGAGTCGGGGCATCCTGCCTCCGGGGACCTCTAGGACAGGCACAGGATGTTTTGCTTTTGCATTGATCTTTCTGTACCCCAGCATATTTGGGTTTTTTAGAGAAAAGTTGATCGCAGATTTTTTTTAAATCATATATATGTGGTCCCTGCTTTCTGAAAGCAAGGCTGATGCTCATTTTGGTGAAGGGCTCTAGCACCAGGTGGCTTTGGCACTTATTAGGTGCATGGGAAGTACTCTCAGATAGTGTGTTTTCTCTTCTTTGATATTGAATGTACAAGAAGCAAGCCAAGAACTTGAAGATACCTTCTGAATTTTAAAAAAGTTATTATTATTATTCAGTCTGGGAAAACCCTAGCTGTTAAGTATTTGGGGATAAACATGGTACTCTCCTACTGTAAATCTCATGGTCTAGATCAGGGAGCTGAGGCTTAGAGAGAGAGAAGCAGTAAATTAGTAATTTGTAAGGCTAAAATTGGAACTTGGGACCCTTGCTTTGCATCATGACAAAGAGCTCACTCTATTTGTGTTTTTACTGTGGTACTTAATGCATATGATGCAAGGAAATTGTAATGCTAGTGATGATGGTGACTGTGTGAGAGGACACATGTGATTCTCGGAGCTGTCTGATTTAGTTACGGAGCACAGAGGAAACTGATATCGGGACTGTCTGTGCAGCAAGAGCAACACAAATACTATGACATTTGAATCTCACCACACCCTTACAAGGGAGAGGTGTTCTCTCCATTTCACAGATGAGAAAACTGAGTTCAGACAAATCAGTCACAGAGCTTGAGAGCACAGCCCAGGCCCATACCAAAGGCCACATTCTATCTGCACAGCATGCTGCCTACACACTGCGTTCAGTTTTGTTCTCAGTTGCTGGAAAAATTTCCAGCAGGAGTCATCAGGCCTGATGTTGGCCAGGCCCGTGGCAGTGCCCAGCCGGCTCCCCACTGCCTGTCTCTAGTCCCCTTGCTTCCCCACTGGCCTCCCCAGCAGCGTGTGGGCTGCAGGGAGCTTAACTACATTGGATCAATTTGCATGGACGTAGGAGGAAGGAAAATGAAGCCGTGTAATGAGTCAGCCAGGAGCAAAACATGCTTGTCTGCCCCGGATGGGGAAAGATGAGTTGGGGGCCACTCACCTTTCTTGGTCTCACTCTCTCTGATCATGAAGGAGCCGACCTTTGTGTCTGGCAGCTGCAGCAGCTCCTCGGCCTTGTCTCTGCCCAGGCCCTCAAACAGCCAGCTGGGAAGGAGGAAGACAGCCATTAGGATCCGGAACAAGCCCTCCCCCAGGAAAGGCAGGAATGCGCCACCCACCGTACTAAGCACCTGAAACCTAATCCTCACCTCAACCCACTGAGACAGGAAGCATCATCTCTCTTCCACAGATGAGAATACTGAGGGTTCCAGTGATTAAGTAGTTTGCTCAGGAAACCATGTCAGCAGTTGATAGAGTTAAAATTAGAATGCATTTTTCTGGGACATCCAATTCCATAACCACCTCACTTCACTGCTGCTCTTCCTTTTATTTATGTAATTTTTTTTTTGGAAATGGATCCCTGCTCTATCACCCAGACTAGAGAACAGTGGCGTGACCTTGGTTCACTGCATCCTCCACCTTCCAGGTTCAAGTGATTCTCCTGCCTCAGCCTCCCAAGTAGCTGGGATTACAGGCATGCACCACCACGTCTGGCAACTTTTTGTGTTTTTAGTAGAAATGGGGATTCACCATGTTGGCTGGGCTGGTCTTGAACTCTTGACCTCAAGCCATCTACCTGCCTCGGACTTCCAAAGTGCTGGGATTACAGGCGTGAGCTACCGTGCTCAGCCCTGCTCTTCCTATTTGATATGTTAAGGGATGTGATCACCTCTGTTGGATTGGTAGCCTCATAGGGTCATAATTATGTCACTCCTCCTGGTTCCTTACCACCCCCAGCTCGTGCCAGCTGCAGCCTCACATCTTCAGCATGAAGGCATTGATGCATGCTTGCTAGTGAATGAATGGCTCCAGGGCAAGCAGCTGATGTAGGAGAGTCACGTGACTCCCATCTCTTTCAGAACGTGACTCCCACGGCAGCTCCTGCTTCAGTTTTGTTTAGCTTCATCATCCTAAGCATGGAAGTGGCATCTGGTATTCACAATTAAGATCATGAATACTAAAATTAAACTCGCAGAATTCCAGTCTTCAAAGGATTCAGGTGGTTATCTCTGTTTTGCAAGATGAGCATGTGGCATGTAGAGTCCTCTGGACATGAAGAAGTAACTTAGTGTTTATCAATGGATGCCTCCTTCTTTCTTTTCCATTTCCAATGTGCTTTGCATTTCTTTGCCAACTTCCAGCTTCCGACACTTGACAGATGAGGATAATGTAACTCCAGGAGGTGAAGCGACTTTTACAGGACCCTCACATGGAAGGAAGGAAGCCAAGATTTGTGCCCAGGTGTTCAGGGCTCCAAAGCCACCCAGGAGGCTGCAGAGGCCTCACTGGAACGACTACAGGGGAAAGCAGGGTGCTTATTTTCTTATCTGTTGAGCCTAGTTTTCTAAGATATCTCTTGTTTATCTTACCCATTTTTCAAGGAAGGCACATAAGCATTTTTGGCAGTAAGGATTCTGTGTGTTTCTGGATAGGTATTTGATTAGAATAGAGCTAATATTTATCGAGTGCTTACTGTAATGCCTGGCATTGCTCCAAGAACTACACATGTATCATTACATCTTATTCTCCTAACAACCCTACACTTTGATCATATTATCATATATTATTATCCCTGTCGTTCTATGTTATGATCTCTACTTGACAGGTGAGGAAAGGGAACTGATGCATAAAAAGCTTGTTCACTGGCACACAGCCAGTAAGTGACAGAGGCAGGATTTGAACCTAGACACACTGACTTCTAGTCTCTGCACTGTGCTGTGCCCTCCCATAACATTTCCCAGCTGTTTACCACTCTGTGCCAGGAGCACCATGTTAGAGCTGAAAGGTCCAACTTCCTTCATTTTACTGAGGGAGAAGTTGAGTCCCAGAGAGCAGAAGAGATAAGTTAGCCCAAGGTTGCTCCTTTCCTTATTGACTGGGTTGGGAGCAGGACTATCTCTTCTTGACCCAGTGCCTTCCTTACCACTATGAATGCTGGAATCTTTGTTCCACCTTATGAGTCACCAGCATACGCATCATGCTTAATTGCTGCCATTTGAGAAATGTACTCACCCATGGTAAACTCTGGCCACACATATTCCAGGGATGTAACTCTCTCGACCAGTGCTAAGAGAAATAGCTTTCCACCAGCCCCCTTCACTGTAAGAACAAGAACAGAGAAGAACACAGAGATAGGTAAATAGCAAAACCAAAGGATGAATGAACAGAGTAATCAGATTTAACCCAGGACAGTTTGGAACATTCCTCTTTTAAGATCTGTCACTGGCCACGTTAACCCATATTTCGTCATCTGAAAATTTTCTTTTTAAAGGATATGTGTCCAGTGGATAGCCCTCCATTGCAAGCCAACTGGTAAACCCTCCCATGTGCTAGAAATAGCTGCTTTTCAGGGATTAGCAGCTAATGTTCCCAACTGTTGGAGGCTTTTTAAAAATAAATGTTTACTATGTTGATTTATGCTCTGCAGTATAGCCAAAGATAGTTTCATATATCTGAATCAGTGAAGATCTAAATAAAAGGGGCTTAGAACTTCTGTCATGTTCTATAGCCCATATTGAATCAGACTGCAGAGGTAAGAGGAGAGAAGGCAAATTTTTGTTTTTTCTCATCCGAAGGATTTCCAGACCCTGGGGGCTGCCTTCCCGGTCTTCATTCCTACATAACATCAACACTGCACATGTGGTGGGAGATAAGAAGAATATGAGAAGAGGCTGGATCATAAAGGATCTCAAAAGCCAAGTTAAGGAATTTAAATTTGATCTACCAGGCAGTGGGGAGCTATGGAAGGTTCTAGAGCACTGGCCACATTAAAGAGGAAGGTTGCAGTATGGGTCAAATTTCTCACCTCATAATAGGACCAGGACTCATGTGGAACTAGACCACTCTAGCTAACAATCAAATACTTTTCTCCCAAACCAAGTTTATCCTGCTTTGAAGATTGCACAAGTTTTGGAGAGCTGACTCACTCAGAAATCACACGCAGTTTCTCCCCTCGGCGGAATATCGGGGGGCTGATGTCAGGAGACGGGTAGTCACTTAGCACGGCAAGGAAGTCGCTATCCAGTCCTGGGGAAACAAAGGCAAGGGGGAAGGGGGCAAGGTGCTTTTTATTCACAAGGAGCTTAAAGGTAGGCTTGGGAGGGAGGGTATGAAGATGAGATTTTCCAGCAGGAAATACCTTTCTTGTTTTGAACCACCAATTTACAGCAAGGTCCTCTCTTCAGAGATGGCTCTGCAGGGTGTGCGTACGAGCCCTGAGGGTCAGGTGACATGCTCCTATTCTTAAGCCTGCCTTGGCCCTCATGTTCTCATCTGAGAAATGGGATCCAAAGGCTGTGAGATGAGTCATGGGGTCTGGCTTCAGCGCCTGTTACGAGTCTACTAGCCTCACCCTCTCCATCTTTAAAATGGGACTAATACTACCTCATTCCAGGGTCCTTAGGAGAGGAGATGAGAGTATGTTACACCACATACGTTCACATAAGTTGCTGTAAAAACCCCCCTTCTCACTACCAATGCCTCGGGTGTCCACTCTGGGACTCAGAGTTGTTATATCTATGACACTTTTGGGGAAGGAGTGTGAGGCAAAATGAGTTCTGAGGACCCATTAGGACCATGAGGCAGTAACTCTGAGGTTAAACAAAATACTTATTTCTTGCAGAATATAAGGCCCCACGCTGGGCATCTATTTAATAGGGACATTTGTTGAGGGTGGGGGTGGTGGAAGAAAAACTTAGTACTTTTCCTAATAGTGTATTGAAAGGAATTCTGGTGAAGTTTTGAAAAGGAAAGAGGGCTGTCTGGTTCCTGACTGTAGAGGAGAGACAGTGATTTTGCTTTTTGACACTGAGCGATACGTCTGCTTCTATCCTTAGTGATTTGATGTAATTCAGATGCATTAGATGCAGGGTAATATTTGGATACATTTTTGGGGGAAATAACAAGATGTCTTCTGTATCAGCAAATACAGTTATTATTTGCTATGACTTTCATCACTCCACCTGCTGGCTGGGACTTTGAACTTAAAATTCTGGGTAACATCACCTGTTTATTCATTCGGCAACTACTTACTGAGCACCTGTCGTAAGCAGCATAGGTGAGAAAAGCAAGCCCATTCTTGCTGCTTTCACGGAGCTCATGTTCTACAGGATACATAAATAGTCATGGGAGGAACTGTTCCCTGGTTCGCTCACCCCAAGATCTGGAGAAATCCCAGTACTCAGGCATGTGGGCTTTGGGGCCCAAACAAGCCACTTTCTAGGATCCACACACCTCTAGATCCTGCCTCTTACAACTCATATGTCTTGCAGCCTCCGAGTCATAAGCCTCTTGGGCAGACTAAGTCTAAAGAGAGATTAAATACTAGAATCAGTGAGAAAGATGAGTGAGGTTTTGGGCAAAGGTTATGCTTATCGATTGATAAATAAATTAGAAACAAGTAATCACGGTGGAACAGTGCAGTCAAATGTATTGTTCATTTGGGGAAGCTGAGTCCCTGACAATAAGCCATGTAAAAGCAAGAGTTTCTGGGTGTAAGACAGAAACCAAGAGTGATCTTTAGTGGCTTTACAATATGGAAAGGGATCAGGGCTTTTGAGAAACAGTCGTGTCGGGACGTAAAAGGGCTGGCCCAGCCAGACCTCTGACCTGTCCTGCTGCAGACCTTCCCCAAACCTGTGGGGGCAGCTCCCTCACATTCTGCTTTGCTGAATTCAAAAAAGGGATTCTTCCCTGTGTAGCTTTGACTCCACCCCAGTAAGTAGAGGCAGCATTACAGTTGTGTTAAGTTTGAAGCCAGAAGTCCCAAGTTCTCACAAAGGGCAGGTTCACATTTGGCAGGGCATAAAGCTTAAGCAAATTTGGCAGTCCTCTTTAAGAAAAAAATACACAATTGCAAATACAAAATGAAGGACAGACCCCAGCAAGGTGCTGTACCAGCAAGGGGGTCTCAGGCGTATGATTTGTTTGGCTTCCTGGCAAATCTGCCCAGAAGCTGAGGCTGACTTTGCCACTCACTGAGTGGGACGCCTCCTTCTCCTCTTGGGCCTGGGTTTCCTAGTCTGGAAAATGAGAGGTTGAAAAACACCTTCAAGATGGAAATCTATCTTCCTGGACTAATGGCCCCCACATATGAATGGGCCGTTTATTAACATGGCACTGTGCTGCCTCGGCTACATGTGATGGGCCTTTCTCCAACTTGCCAGGCACCCTGGTTCTCAGAGCCTCCGGATAGGCTGTTCCCTCTGCCTGGAACACACCCTGCTCTTCCCTCCTTCACCGTTCCCACCTTTGTCAACTCTAAACTCACCTCTGCAGAGGCTCCAGAGGAGGCTCAGCCTTCCTGCTGTACTAATTCTTCCTCTTGGCCCCTAAGATTTTCCTCTGAAGCGGTTACCCCAGGTTGCATTTTCCCATTTGTGTGACTGTCAGGGGAATGCCCATCTGTCCCCACCCCCGGCTGTGAGTTCCGGGAGGGCAGAATACTGGTGTCTTCTGTGTCTGTAGCCTGTGCCACACCTGTTTTACAAAGGATGCTCAAAGCAGGCTTACTGAATGTGCAGAGCGGTCCCTGTGCTGCAATGCCCCTTAAATACAGCTGTCAAGCTACAGTTTTAAAGCAGATCCAGGCAGAAGGAAACCTGATTTGTGGGAGGCAGCTGGGTAGGTGGCCATTGTGGAACCAGCCCCTTGCAAAAAACGTGTTGAAATGGGGAGGCACAGTGTGTGTTCTCTGTGACAATAATAGAACCTTGAGGTAGATGGTGTGTCTACAGAGGGGTTTGAGGTTTGATATCAAATTCAAGATTAAGACTGTGGAACAGAACAATTGTCTTTCCTAACATTAAAAACAAAAACCAACAGAAACAAAAACAAAAGCAAAATCCCATTATAAAAACCACTGTTCCAATGAGGGAAAGGGAGGCTTAGAGTGTTGGAGAGTTTCAATTTCACAATAACAAAGTTAAGTTTCCTGTGGAATTTCCGTAATAGTGATGTTTTGATAGCTATGGCACTTAAACATCACTGAGGAAACTTTACATCTGGGCTTTTGCTTAAGGGTCAGATAACCTGTGCCTGATCCTTTGCAAGAGATTTCACCTCTCTTTATCATCACCATTAGCCAAACGGGACAAAGTCACTGGGAAGGTATTACAGTTTGGCTTGTACTTCTGTGGGGCAGGGTGGCCATTTTAAGCAAGGCCTGGTGCCAGGATCCCTTCAAAGTCTTCCCTGAGCTTTGGTTGCTACAGAAAAATAAATGCAATGTAGGAAATTTAAGTTTGTTGGTAAAGGTGAGACATATTATCATCTACTCCTAGAACTCCTTAGCTTTATGGAGAGCTCAGCGTTTGAATTCAAGCAGAGATAAATGAGTGAGGCAGAGAAGAGGAGAGTTGAGGAAGTCAGTGGAATTATTGCAGACTTAAGATAAGGAAACAAATTAAGTGAAGACATATGCACTGCGCATGAAAGAAGAAACCCAGAGAGAATTTTCGGGAAAGAGAATGGGGCTTTGAAACCAATCAGAACTGGCTTACATCCCACCTCCGCCACTACACAGTGATGCGATTTGGGGGGAGATTTATTTTTAACTAATCTGAGCTTGATTTCTTCGTGAATAAAAAGGGAAATTGCCAAAATCTGCCTCATAGGATTGAGTGAAGGATTCAGGATGCATTGCATTTTAGGGCCTGCCTTAGTAAGTGGAAGCTAATATTATTTTCATGGAGAGCGGGGTCACCAGACCATAACTCAAGACCAGTGTTAGCCAATAACTTTCTAAAATTTGCAAACTAGTAAACTTGATAATTTCTTACTCTCTAAAAATGAACTCCACTTGGTGAGAACAGAAGATGAAATTCAAAAGACCAAATATTTGCTGATAGCTCAACTTAAGAATGAGTCAAGTTGAACAAAATGTACAAAAGCGTAAAATAGGAAACGAATCCACAAAGGGGAGGGACCCAGGCAGGCCTTACGGGACTTAGTCAAGAGAGGACGGGCCCTTTTGTAAACTGTCATTCTTTGGTGCTGCATGACCATTTCTTTTTAAATGCTGAGAACATTCTCAGTCACTCCCACTTATAACTGTCTAATAAAACTAGTCGTTTGTCACTTCCAGTGCCCTGCCCAGCCCTACAGAAAATACGTGATTATTTAAGGGTGAAGAAGCCAAAGCTGGGAGAGTTTTAGTCACCTATCTAGGGGAAAGTGTGAAGATTTCAAAGCCCAGGGTCCTTCACGGAGCCACACGGCTCTCCTTGGCACTTAATCTTCAAGCTCTCCTCAGCCCACACTTGACCCTTAACAGGGGAGACAAAGGCAGACTCCAGGTAAGTTGTCAGGGTTAGCATAAGCAGCTCAGGGCAACTGGTGGGTAGGGAGCTGTACAGCCCAGGGATTGCAGCCTCTTGTTTTGCATTTCCTGGAGTCATGGCTAAACTCATGGTCTCCTCAGGGGTCAAAGCAGGCCTGACTTTCAGTGTCATCTTCAGGACACACACACGCACGCGCGCACACACACACACACACACACACACACACACACACACACACAGGATTATACATGCAACTAACCAATCACACAGAGCTGGACCATCTAGCCTGGTAGAAGGTCTGCCGAGTTCTGCGGGTCACCATGAACCAGGCTTGTGAGCCCTCTTAGTCATATGTAAAGGGCTGTGTTTGAGACCCGGTAGCCCACAAAGCTCTTTTCTGCCCAAGCCTTGGTTTTTCCGTATGTTAGTGGGGACAGATTGGAACTAAACAGACCTTGAGTCTTTTCAGGGTCAGTCTCAACTCTCTTAGATGCTAGAGGGATATAGGCAGGGCTAGCACAGAACAGAAGCAAGAAATAGTCAAAATGAATATTTTGGACTGCATAGACTCAGAATGTGCTTTACTTGGGCACCCAGGGCTTCTCAGACTTCAGTTGTTTTCATTCCACCATTCCCTTCCTCCCCCTCCTCATCACCAGCAGCAGCAGCAGCAGCAGCAGCAGCAGCAGCAGCAGCAGCAGCAGGGCGCACAGCTCTGGGGGGAATCAGGCACTGGGCTGTGGTGGTACCGAGGTTACCCCTGAAGTCCTCACGCCTCCCTGTGAGGTTGATAGATTGAAACTACCTTATTTTGAGTATGAGGAAATAGAGGCACAGTGAGGTCCAGAGACCGCCCAAGAGCACACACCTAGGAAGCTGAGTGCCAGGTTTCAAAACCAGGTCTCCCTGGGCAGGGCAGGGCATGGCTGTGTTTGAACCACTCAGGTCTCCTTTGACATAGTTGACAGCACTAGTTACTTGATAATGTCTTTTTAAAAATTAATTTACTTAAAAAAACTTGAGTGCTATTCTAAGCAATGTGACATCGTGGATTTCTTGGGCTAGTTATATATTTTATGATGTTCATCAATGTACAATTATGTAAAAGTTGAATGATCAAGTTCTGCCTAAGACCATCTCATGTACCAGCAGCGAGGTTAGATTCAAATAGAAAAAAGGGATCTGGTCCAAGATTTGACACGGATTCACTGTCTGTGGGACCCCTTGCTAGGGCACTTGATCATCTGGGTCATTAAATCTGGGGGCCAGGCACATTCTCATTCATTCGAGACGAGCCCATCCTCTTCCAGAGCATGGGGGCTTCTTGAAACCCTGTCCTTTCCAGGCACACACTGAGGTGGGGAGAGGGACCCTGGAGTCAGACCACCTGGCTTTGAATCCCAGCTGTCTCCTCTGAGCTGTATGGCCTAAGGCAAGTCATTTAAGCTTCTTGTACCTCAGATTCTCCAACTGCAAAACGGAGATGATAATAGGCAGAAGCCTCGTGGGGCTGTGAGAATCGAGTCTGCATATGTAAAGCACTGGGCACTGTGTCTGGAGGCTGTGAGCACCAAGCGGCTCTAATCATTCCCGTTTTACAAAGGAGGACAGAGAGACTAAGGAGATAAACTCTTTCTCATCTCTCGTTGTGTGTCAGTGCAGGGGCAGGACTAAAAGCTGGTCTGTGGTCTGCAAGCTTTAGGGGTTACAGAGTCCCCAGGAACTCCTAGGAAATTCAGCTGGCGGCTACCTTCCACCATCCCCAGGTTCTGATTCGTGGGCCTGGGGTGGGACCCAGGAATCTGCATTTCAGTTACTTCCCAGGGGATTCTGATGCAGGTGGTGCGAAGACCACTTACTGAGAAGCTGCAAGCTGGGTTTGAGAGGTCCCTACCTCCTTCTTCCTTCCCCGAGCCCCACCCGCCCCCTTCTTTCCACTGGGCAACTATGTAAACAGCATTATTTCTACCCTTGCACGGACAGAAAGGGGTCTGTGCTGCTGCCTCTGTTGGTGCCTCTTCAGGTCAGGGTGATAAGAAGAGAAGGAACAAAGAGGGGAAAAAGATCACAGCAGAGAGACAGAGTGCTCATTTTAAGGTGGAAATATGCCATTTCCTGACCACAGCGGGACTTCCCTAGGTTGTATTAAAAAATCCTGTACTGCCCATGTCTGGTACAGAAGTATGTATAGAATTGTAGAGAAAATGAACACTTTGGGATGATTTGAAAGCAAATTACAGAACTACCAGTTTCACCACTTTAAAACTTTTGGGGAATGGCCATTTAGATATAACCTGGTGCAGTCAGGTAACCCCAAACAGAGTTTTTAAAAGTTTCCACACCCTTCTTTGCTGGTGCCTGCCCTGCATCATGCTGTCGCTGTGAGGAGGGACTTGTTCCAGATCTCTGGGGCAGCCCGAGTGACTCACCTAAAGTCACACAGCTTCCACGGAACATTACTGGAAGCTCAGTGAGGGCCTTCTGCCTCTGAAACTTGCTCTATTTCCCTCAAGTCCTGCTTCCTTTTGTAGGTTTAAGACATTAGTTCCTGAGAAATTGACTAATCAAGAATATTCTGGAAATCTTAGTTTAGCAAAACAAAAAACAAAAAAAAAAAAACAAAAAAACAGATGGGTAAAGCCATGTTCCAAGGCATTCACTGTCCTGGCTTGGGAGAAGAATGATCTCCCAAAAGCTCAGAAAACATGGTTGTCTAAAAGTGTCCAGGCTGGCCTCTGGGTGATCCTTGTGCACGGCCAGGGTCTGTGGAGGGTCTGTGGTGCCTCTCTGGCACTGAAGCTAATGTGGGAGCTGGCTCTAATTGCACATTGGCCTAAAGCAACCAGCAAGACCTGCACCGTCTCCTAGGTTACTTGTTTGAGGGTAACCGGATGAGCAGCCATAGGAGCTTGAGCTGAGTAGCAGCTCATTCCATAAAAACTCTGACCCTGTGCATGAGGCAGATGGGGACTACTTAACACGGCATCACTGCACCGCCTTCCCCTCCCTTACTCAAGTAGGTAGAAGAGAAAAGAGGAAACAACGTTAGGACCAATGATCGGGGGAACGTTTCAGGGCTGGGGGTTGAAAAAGCAGCCCACCAGCGCTTGATGTGGTTGCCTGGATCACAAACGGGGTATGACCAGGGGAATTCTCTTCACCAGGGGGTGGAGGGGTGGGGAGACCCCTCTCTCTATGTCTGTTCTAGAGGTGACCTCCCACCCACATAATGGAACAAAATCAACTTATTTCATGACAATTTGCATTGAAAAGTTGAAGGCAAATGAGCAAGCCTTGGAGACTGATGTTTTCATGAGGTTCGCTCAAGCATGCTGCCCCCTCTGCCCCAGGCTGAGAGGTGACGACCCAAGATGGGTTCGGTGGGTGGGTGCCTCCCCAGCCTGCCTGGGCTCAGGGCCCTGCGGTGTCAGTTTTCTAGCAGTGGTTATGACCAGAGGAGGAGGCTGTGGCCAAAGCCAGTTTGGAGAGGGTGAGAAAGAGCCCGGCATTCTCCTGACAGCAGCAGCAGCTCAGCCACCCTGCACGTTGCACGCTGTTCTGAGTGTCGCATGGGAGATAGAGGGCTGCTGTCCTGAGAGCACATGCTCTGTTCCACCTTGTCATCTGGTTCCACCTCCTTGGTCCTGGGGAATATTCTTTTTGTTTATCCCTCTTGCATTTGGCTTGAGAAGGAGAGTTACTTCACTAGATAAATAAGAGCACTAGGATTGTTCTGCATCTGACTTGAAAGGGGTGTGGGGTGGCTGGGTCTTGGCATGCTGGCTTGGGGGCATTGGAGGCCATCAGACCACACAAGCTGGGCCTGTCCATTTTGGAAGCAGTGAGAAGGCTCCTTTGTGAGGGAGCCACAGAAGTCATGAAATGTGCAGTACCTGGAGGCAGCGCAGGAACCTGGCTCAGTCCACTTCCCTGTCAGGCTCGGCAGACAGGGCAGCCATCTGCGCCAGTGAACTCCGCCCAGGGCGGTGCTGCAGGGGCTGCTGGGAACCATGTGTGGTCACCCCTGCGAGGAAATGGGACACCAGGCCCCAAATGCTACCATGTAAGGTGGGAAGCAGAAGTGTTCCAAGGTGCCCCCTGGCTTCCCTAACCGTCCCTTTCCCAAGACCCCACAATATGAGAATTATGGACTAGGAATCTGAGGAAATAAAGGTCAGGCCATTAGAAGGGGCCAGCATAGCTGAGTCCACAGCATGGTGGATTTGATGTTCAGCCTTTTCCCTTTGTTCACTGGTGTTCCCTCCCAGGCCTCTGACCAGTTGCTGAGGGACTCTTTGTAGCTTTGGGAGTCTAACCAAACCTGACATCTCTCCAAAAAGCTGACTTTGGTCATCACTGATTAACCTGCAATATTAGGCTCTTCCCCCGAGAATGCTTGTCACCTTGCAATCCCACCAATGGGACATAAGGTTTCCTTTGTTTTCAGGAAGATGTCACAGGATGGTGCCTAGCTTAGAAAAGTAACACAGATCCAGCTCTTGCGGGGCTAAGTATAAGGATGATATTATATTATGGGCTGCCAGAGTTTGGTAAACAGGAGTCTAGGTTTCAGAATTGGATGGGCCTGGATTGGAAATTTAACAGCAAATGCCCAGTGATGTGGATCCCATTCCCTTTGTGAGGCTCAGTCTCCCTATCTGGAAAATAAAGTGATTAAACCAGCTGATCTTGGAGATCCATCTCAAAATGCCAAAGATTTGACACCCTTCAGGTGCGCCGAGCACCCAATTCTTTTCGTCTTTTAATTATGAAGTATTTGAACCACAAACAAAACTAGAGAGACAGATATAATGAGCCCTTCGGTACCCATTGCCCCATTTAAGTAGTTACCGGCATCCACCACCGCCCAGTCTTTACCACAGGCTCTTGTAGCACAGACTCAAGCATCTCACCAGAGAAGCCAGACTTACCCTCCGGGTTGGGCAGGGGCCTCTCGGCAGGCGCAGGGGTGGATTTCATGCTGTTTCCCATTTCTTTCTTTTTCCCTGGGGCCGCTGGTGATGCCCAGAGCCTGTGGTATAGGAGACAGACGGGGAAAGTCAACCGTGCCCTGAGCCCTCCAAGTGGAGAATGACCCAGTTTAGAGAGCATCGTGCATCATTTTTCTGGCAGCTTGCTTCTTGAAAGGCGGCTGTTTATATGTGAAGATGAGATTGGTGAAGATTGGTTACTTTTGCGCAGCTCAAGTTCTTTTATCAAGGGAATGACAGAAAAACCACAGAGAGGGAAGTTGCTAGCAAATGCTGTTGGTGGCAAAAGTTTCCATTCCTCCGCACCCTTGCTGAGGATGGTAAGCAGCCACAGCAGGGTTTGTGTGAGAAACCAAGCAGCATTTCAGGTGGCCCAGAAAGTATCTCCACTCAGGGGCCCTCACCATCAACTCTGTGTGCCAGGAATTTGGAGTACAGGAGTTGTGTGTCTGTACAACCAAAGGCATGAGGAGAAGGTACTTTCTGCTGCTACTTTTTGTCATCCTTTTGAGTTTGTCAGCATGCTTTAACAAAGGATGAAAGAGGAAAACTTCATAACAACTCTGTGGACTGGCTGCATGCTGCTGAAGCCCTTTCACATCAACTGTTACTTTTGATCATTGTAAAGTCCTTGCATCATGCTTAAGCCCATTGTGCAGTGAGGGAAACTGAGTCTCAGAAGGGGTAAGTGACTTGTATGAGGTCACATGGCAAGTAATTGTAGAACTGAGATTTGAACCACTGATGCTAAATCTCTGGGTTGCTCCATAACGGTTTTCAAGTTAACCACCCAGGCTTAAATTCTGGCTGTGTACTTACAAGCTAGATGACTTCGGGCAAGTCATTAACCTTTTCTGTTTTTGTTTTTTTGAGACGCAGTCTCACTCTGTCGCCTAGGTTGGAGTGCAATGGCACGATCTCGGCTCACTGCAACCCTGCCTCCCGGGTTCAAGCGATTCTCCTGCCTCAGCCTTCCAAGTAGCTGGGATTACAGGCACACATGCCACACCCAGCTAATTTTTGTATTTTTAGTAGAGATGGGGTTTCACCATGTTGCCAGGCTGATCTTGGACTCCTGATCTCAGGTGATCTACCTGCCTTGGCCTCCCAATGTGGTGGGATTACAAGCATAAGCCTCCATGCCTGGCCAAGTCATTAACCTTTTTCTGACTGTTTTGGGGAACACTAATTGAACAGTGTTGGGTTATGGTCACAAAATTAACTGAGATAAAGCATGGGAACCACTTTGAACGTGGCGTGGCATAGAATACATGTTAGTTATTACTCTGTTTACTGATTGTCCTTAATGATAAAATTTCCAAGTCTGGACCTTCATACAAATATTTTGGAAAGGGACATAGATTATCAGAGAATAGGGTTTTAGGGAAGCCACGTTCCCTCTGGATGGTGGAAGCACAGAGAGGAAGGCCACATTCATAAATAGAGCTCTGCCTGCTTTGTGGGGTCAAAGAGAAGAGACGGAACAGGGTCCCCCCATCGGCCTCCAGCCCAAATGGAAACTAATCTCCCACCTACCTGTGTCTGCAGCTCAGGATCAAACCTTATGAAGGGCACAAAAGTCAGCCCATCCAACTCCCACCCTGGCCTTGAGTCCTGTCTCCATGCCCTATGTGTACAGGTTCTGGAAAGAAGTACACTCTCAGAGCAAGGCCCTCCCCGGGTTGAGGGAGGTCTGCACTGCTCCATAATTTAAGGGAAGGGGTGGTGTGAGGTGAGACTCCTACTATATTAAGAAACAAGGAACACCAAAATGAGAGTTGTTTAAAAGTCCGTATATCTTAGACATTTACATGAACAACTTGTCACTTACTGCTCAAGCTAATGCATAGTAATATTCCGAAGACAATGACCAGGCTCGCAAAAGCTATAAACTCATAGTGCACCACAGAAGGGTTGGCTAGAACGGGCAGCATGTTTAAAGTGAAGCGCAAATCCCATCCTTTTTGGATCCTGTTGATCTTTGTGACTAGAAAAGAGGATGCCCTTGCAAATTTGAGGCTCGGGCCCTTCTTTCTTCATGCTTGCCCCTACCCTCCTCACAAACCAGAAAAACATGCGCACCCAAAATCCCAGGGCCTCTGACCCTGGTAGGAACTTTCTAGCAGCTGGGCAGGTTCTAACAGCAACACCTGCAGTCCAGGAGGGCAGGGATACATTGGCCTTGTCTCCATTCCTGAGCCTGGCGAAGGTACCCAAGAAATGTGCTTCCCCAAAATGCTTACAGAAACACAGCAGGTGGCGTGACTCCAACCCACATTCCCCGCAGTTCAGCAGACACTTCCTGGGCATCTCCCCGGTGCCGGGCCCTGGGCTAGAGCCTTGAGGAAGTCAGGATCCCACCCACGTAGTGGGAGTGTGCTGCCTCCGAGGCCCGGGTCAGGCAAGAGGGAAGAGGCAAACCAGGCCTCCCTGGCCCTGAGGGGATTGTAGCCACAGGCGCTGTCCTGCACAGGCCTCGGGAAGCATGCGTGTGACATGCAGAGGCCGCTCTGCACAGGCCTCAGGAAGCATGCCTGTGACACGCACAGGGTGTCGTACACAGGCCTCAGGAAGCATGGGTGTGACATGCACAGGCTGTTCTGCACAGGCCTTGGGAAGCATGCGTATGACATGCAGAGGCTGCTTTGCACAGGCCTCAGGAAGCACACATGTGACACGCACAGGGTGTCTTACACAGGTCTCAGGAAGCATGTGTGTGACATGCACAGGCTGCTCTGCTACGCACAGGCCTTGGGAAACACACATGTGACATGCACAGGCTGTCCTGCACATGCCTGCCTCTGTCCTGCTCCTTGGGCTTCCTGGTACCTGCCAGCTGCCTTGGTTCCTCAGCCTCCTTGTCTATCATCACCGAGGCCTTTGGGCTTCTGGGGAAAGTTCTCAACATGCAGAACTAACTCTGAAACCACATGTGTGCTGGCCTTGCCCATTTGCCACCATCTCCAGTGTCCCCAGACACAGCAAACTGTCCCAACAATGCCTTCCTGTCCTTTCAGCCTGACTCATCAACTGTCATTCAACACCTAGTGATTGTGCCCAGAACCCCGCCCCCATAAGTTCCACCCCTCCAGATGCCAGGGTGCCCCCAGCCCTGCCAGCCTTCCCTCCCCTCCATCCCCTCCCCCAAGCTGCTTCTAAGCAGCAGGCTCCCACCACAATGTCTGATCTCTCCCCTCCTTTATGTCAACCATTCCAGAAAACAAGTCAGAACAAGATTTTGCTATCCATCAAAGAGAATTCCAACATCCTCTCTCTTCCCAACAGCTCTATCATTCTTCTCAAGCATTTGCATGCTATTTTGGAGGGATTCCTGGAATCCACTACAGAAAAAAAAAAAAGCCTTTAAACTTGCATTGTTGAGATTGGAGAAATGAGGTTCATCCAGGAAAAGAAACGTACCCAGGGTCATGAGATGAGAAAGTTTGAGTCAGTCCTAGAGGCCTGGGTTCTTCTACGCTAACAGTCTTCTCTGCTGTTGCTTGCACTCCCACCCGTTCTGTCTTGCCAGTCAGAGTTCAGTCTCCGTGACAGAAGGTGCTGTGTCCGGGCTATATGACCACCAAAAAAACCATCAGGTCTCAACAGCCCTTTAGTGGTCTGCTCAGTGGCTTTCTATAGTCTTCAAGAAGGAGTTAACTTATCTGAAAGAGGCTTTTATTTGAGAAGAGTGAAAATGCCCCCAGAGAATGAGAGCTGGAGTCTCTCTAATGAAATGGCTGAACAATTTGATTTAATCTGTGACAATTTTATGCAGTGGCTGAAGGTGGGAGAGAGGGTACCGGAGACATAATTGCTTCTAAGAACAATAGAAAAGGGCAAAAGAGAAATGAGTTAATTAACACTGGCTCTGCAAATTCTTGATTTCTTTCTCCCTTTCCTTGGTGGTGTGACTCTTAGGTTTCTGGGTCATAGAATCGTAACTGCTATTACCTTATTTTCCCTCCGGTCTTTGGACCAATGTTATTTCCTTTGTGTGAACTTGGACCTTGGTTTCCTGTTCTGAAAAATGAGATGAGTAGAAAAGATGATCTCCAAAGAGCGAGCCTGATAACCCCATTTAATTTTAGCAATCAAGACTCAATGGTTTTTAAAAATTATTAATAAAACAACCATTGGCGTTTTTCAAATGAAGTCCTATTAGACAGAATCCCAATCTTGCCTTTGTGTGCTACAGGATCAAGGGAAGACAGTTAATGTGTACAACCACCTTCTGTGAGGCAATCTGCAGATATTGTTGTATTTAATCTTACAAGCATTCCCAAGGGCAGATACTCTTTCACTTTGTTAGTGTGAGATCAGGGGTTAGTCACCTGCCCACTGTCCTGGAGCTGGAAACCTCACATCTCCGGACTTCAGGACCTACACTTTTTGTTCAGGACCATGCTGCTGTCTCTCCAGCGTAAGGAACTCTGGTCAGTGTGCAGCTGGCTGCCATTTGAGCAGAAACATGGCATGGAGAGGTCACATACTGGCATGGCGTTGCCGTCGACAACGTGGGATATGCCGGCCAGCAGCCCTCCTCTTAATAGGTTTCTGTTTCGCAGATCTGGGTCCTTTCATTGTGTGCTCTGCATTATCTCATAAATCCAGGTGGGGAGGCTTCTCAGAACCTTCCATTCCTGGGACAGTGTCCCAGGACAGTTGTATGCACCTGGTCCATCTTGTGCTTCTGATGCCTGGCCTTGCTGCTGGGAAGGAGGGTAGCCCGAACCCCTTTATCGTGCACCGAAGGGGAGACAAATTGAGGAAGTCCAACCAAGGGAAGGCAGGTCATAAAGCCAGGAACTGAACCCTTGGTGACAGTTAGAATTAATTTGAAAACATACTTAGGGATGCTACCTTCCCTTTGTTCTTAGAAATTTCTGCTGCAAAGTGTGACAGCTATAAGCCCATTCATATAACCTTCTTCTAAGGCATGGAAGTGTGGTGCGGCAAGTGGAGAAGCCTCAATGTCCACCATATATGTGAATGCCAACAACAACGGTGATGACCAGAACACCCCCATCCCACAATTGGTCAGCAAGCATCCTCTGCCAGGCACAAAGCTAAGTACTGTCCAGCCAGTATGTCCTGGGTTGCTCAGAACAACCCCACTTTATAGCTGAGATAAATTAAGTGACTTGTCCAAGGTTATACTGCTAGGAAGAGCTAAAGCTGGGATTCCAGCCAGGTCTGCCTGGCTCTAAAACCTGTGCTCTAACTCGCCACCAGTGCTGCCCTGTTTTGCTGTCCTCTGACAGAAAAGAAGAGATTTTCAAACCCAAGAAGGCAACAGAAAAGTGATTTTTAAAAGTTATCAGGCCGGGCGCGGTGGCTCACACCTGTGATCCTAGCACTTTGGGAAGCTGAGGCAGGTGGATCACGTCAGGTCAGGAGTTCAAGACCAGCCTGGCCAACATGGAGGAACCCCGTCTCTACTAAAAATACAAAAATTAGCCGGACATGTTGGCACATGCCTGTAATCCCAACTACTCAGGAGGCTGAGGCAGGAGAATCACTTGAACCCAGTGGGCGGAGGTGGCAGTGAGTTGAGATCAGGCCATTGTACTCCAGCCTGGGAAACAAGAGTGAAACTCCGTCTCAAAAATAATAAAATAAAATAAAATAAAATAAAATAAAAAAGTAAAATAAAAGTCATCAAAACAAACCTTAGGAAGCATAAACTTTGGGGGAAACTTTAATACAATGGAGGCCCTGAGGGATCTCTTGGATGTCACTTGGCAGTGTTTGGAAGCCCGGGTCTGGGTTTCCAGCGGGGATGAGGGGTGCAGAAGTGCTGCTGGGAGCAGAAGAAACAAGAGAGCGAGGCCAGTTGAGGCATGCTGTGGTCAAAAGGGCAGGAGTGAATCGCAAGGAATGTTTTCTAGCCTTTCACAGCATTATTTTTAAAAGCTGTTACTTAGGAGGCTGAGGCGGGCAGATCACGAGGTGAGGAGATCGAGACCATCCTGGCTGACATGGTGAAACCCCGTCTCTACTAAGAATACAAAAATAAATTAGCCGGGCGTGGTGGCAGGCACCTGTAGTCCCAGCTACTTGGGAGGCTGAGGCAAGAGAACGGCGTGAACCCAGAAGGCAGAGCTTGCAGTGAGCTGAGATCTCGCCACTGCACTCCAACCTGGGTGACAGAGCGAGACTCTGTCTCAAAAAAAAAAAAAAAAAAAGCTGTTACTGCTGTGGAACAAAACAAAAGAAAAGAAACAGAAAGGAATACTAGCTGTGCTTTTAGAATCTCTGTTTCATAAAAATGTGCCACTCAAATGCATACACGTGGAAAAATATTAAAGAGAAATTTCCAAAATGTTTCCAAGGACTCTCTCTGGGTAGTGATTTTATATGTGAATTTATAAATTTCTTATTTACTTACACATTTCTAAAATACCCAGATTTTCTCCCAAGTGCCTGAATTGCTTTTATAATCAAAAGGTTGGAAAGAATGAGGGCGCCTTAAAGAAGAGATTTTCAAAGCAGGCAGGCCTGAGTGCAGATTCCAGCTCCCAACCTACTGGCTGTGTATCGCTGGGCAAGTTAGTTCACTTCTCTGAGCCTTGATTTTCAAATCCACTAATTTGGGATACAAGTATATGCCCTATGGGGTTGTTTTGAGGTTGAAATTATGGGTCATATCTAAAGCAGAGATATGTTTGGTAAATGGCAGCTAAAAATTTACCAAAGCTAGATCCCGTGCAGGGGCTGGGGGGTTGGCTAACTCACTGTGCAAGCTTGAGCAAGTACCTTCCTCTGTCTGGGCCAAAGAGTCCTCAAATCTGATGGGGAAAGGGTTGGGCTGAACAGTTGGTCATGGCTCTTTTGCCTCAACCATTTTCCCGCCGTGACTGTACCCAGTACCGGCACAATTGACTAGGGACTTGCTCAGTGCTGCCTGTGGTCTGACCCTTCCTTTCAGGAAAAATAAGAGCTGGCACAGGGGCTTAGCATCCGGTGGTCTCCCTGGCAGGATTTCCGGGGTCACCCACCACATCCTGACCTCACTTCACAGGTGCACCTCTCTGAGTGCGAGGCTGGGGGCTGCCGAGGCCACTTACCCCGTGACCCACATAGTCCCCTGCTCTCCTCTAGGGCAGGTGCAGCCGCAGGCCTGTTCTACCTGCTCCCACCCCACCCCCATCTGCTTCTCCTTTCTCTACACTGCAGAGGAGGGCTGCGGCATACCAGGGGCTCTAGGGGCACTGGCAAGACCTACAAGGGCAGGCAGCCAGCTCAGAGAGGACATGCAACTCCTAGCCTTCTTCTCAGGCCTGACTCCAAGCCAGAGGCCCTCAGAAACCCCTGGGGAAGAACGTGGGATCCTCTTACCTAAGATATTTCAAACACCTGGAATCCCAGCATGTTGGGAGGCTGAGGCAAGTGGATCACCTGAGGTCAGGAGTTCAAGACCAACCTGGCCAACGTTGTGAAACCCTATCTCTACTAAAAATGCAAAAATTAGCTGGGTGTGGTGGCAGCTTCCTGTAATCCCAGTTACTCAGGAGGCTGAGGCAGGAGAATCACTTGAACCCGTGAGGCAGAGGCTGCAGTAAGCTGAGATCGCACCGCTGCACATTCCAGCCTGAGTGACAGAGCAAGACTCCATCTAGAAAGAAAGAAAGAAAAAGAAAGAAAGAAAGAAAGGAAGGAAGGAAGGGGGAGAGAGAGAGAGACAGAGAGAGAGAGAAAGAAAGAAAGAAAGGAAGGAAGGAAGGAAGTATGTATGGAAGGAAGGAAGGAAGGAAGGAAAGAGAGAGAGAGAGAAAGAAAGAAAGAGAGAAAGAAAGAAGGAAAAGAAAGAAGGATTCCCTAGAAGCTCAATACATAGAATAGATGAAAGGGAGTAGCTGCCTGGGGCTGGGGGCTCAGCTCAGCATCTCATCCCTCTACTACTCTTGATAGGATACCTCAATCCTGGGGCATCATAAAGCATCACTTGAAAAGTAGCAACTCAACACTCTCACAGGACAAGGGAAAGGCTCAGAGAGGGCAAGCAATCTGCTCAAGGTCACACATTAAGTTTGGATGAATGCATGACTCCCTGCCCAGCACTCCATGCCCTGCAGGAGGGGCAATGCCCATCTATCTGTCAACCAGGCTGCAGACCTGACCCACATGTCCAGGAGCCTGTATGCTGGCCCCCTCTACCCTTGAGTGCCCAGGAGGGGATCTCATACACTCTCAGGCTAACAGAGAGGCTGGGCTTTATGCTAAGACCAGAAGGGGATGGAGGTGTCCTAGTGTACATTTTAAGGTCATTTTAAGATATCATGGAAAGAAGCCAGATTTGAGGCCTGTCAATGCTGGGGCAAGTTTTAATTCCATTCTTTATTAAGTCACTAGACCACTCTTTCTGCTGTTTTTGTTTTTGTCTTTAATGAACATAGTCATATGTGCCTTCCTGGGTGTTCTCATGGAAGGATTGGCAAGAGGAGGTGTTGAGGGCTGTGCACACCCTGCAGTCTCCGTGGCTCACCACCACACTGACGCAAGGGGCTCAGTGACCCAGACGTGTCAGTACAGTGAGTGGGCGTCTTATGAAGAGCTGTCTGGCATACGGAGGCGGGCAGCAGAAGCCATTCCTGACGTGGCTTTGATAGTTCATGGAAATAAAAAGAGCCCATTTCTTTCTTTCTAGATAGACTTTCTGTACACAGAGGCCCCCAACACAGGGATGGTGAGGTGGGGCACCACCCAGTCAGCCTGTGGCTCTGTTGGACCAGAACAAATTTGCTGACAAAACCAGGCTATAAATGGGGTTTGGCCTAGGCCAGGTCCTGGATACCTCTAGATCATATAAGCAGGCTGGCCTAGCAAACATTGGCAATGAAGAAAGAGTGGTAAAGACAATTATTTTAATCCTAGCCATTACATAGAATGGGGAAACAGTGACTAGGAAACAGGCCTTTTCTTTTCATTTCAAATGTGGATACTTGAGAAAGGCAGGTTTCATCACAGAAGGTGGAGGTAGATGGAAACTTTCATGAACATCCTAAAGGTCACCCAGGCTTCTAGGCACAGGGACTATAAAGTCCGTGATTTCTTTATTGCATCGTATTTCCCAGCAAGAGTTACTTTTCCTTTTTATTCGTACATGTGAATCACAGCATTACTCATAAACTTATCAAGCAAGATGGGAATCAGCATTTCACCTGACACAGCATTTGCCAGTGACCTGATCTGGGATCTCCCCTCACTGTCAGTCACTTGTCCAGGGACATGGACCCCAGAACCCCACACTCTACAGCTCCCAGGCATTTGGTCTAATGGGGCTTGGTCTCTCTAAAGAGATCTCCATGATGTTTTTAATTTGCTATTAATGTGCTCCTCCTTAGCTCCTGTTCCCTCCTTAGCTCCTCAGGAAAGCCAATTGCCTTAGGGTGGGTCACAATTCGACGGTCATTTGTGTGACTGAGTGGTGAGTGACCGTCTCCCCTACTGGACTATAAGTGCCTTGAGAGCAGCCAGCAGGTTTGTTTCTACTCTCGGCTGGGGCTCAGTAGATGCTCCATAGGGAAATAAAAGGGAACAGTTAGAAACAGAAGAAAAAGGCCAGGTGTGGTGGCTCATGCCTATAATCCCAGCACTTTAGGAGGCTGAGGCAGGCGGATCATTTGAGGTCAGGAGTTCAAGACCAGCCCGGCCAACATGGCAAAAATCTCATCTTGACTAAAAATACAAAAATCAGCTGGGCGTGGTGGCAGGTGCTGAAATCCCAGCTACTTGGGAGGCTGAGGCAGGAGAAATGCTTGAACCCAGGAGATGGAGGTTGCAGTGAGCCGAGATTGTGCCACTGAACTTCAGTCGGGGTGACAGAGCAAGGCTCCAGCTCCAAAAAAAAAAAAAAAAAAAAAAAAAGAAAGAAAGAAAGAAAAGAAAAGAAGAAAAGAAAGGAACTGAAGAAACAATGTGGGCCTAGGAGACCGCGGATTTGTGGTGTGCTAGTAAATGTCAAACAATCAATGTTTCAGGGGGAAAAATTCCTAATAGTGTGTGCCAATTTCTGTGGTGTAAATACTCCCACCATGCTGACTTCCAGTTTCCAGTGTGACATCTCTGAGGACGGAGTAGGAAAAAGATGTGTGGAGCGGTCTCATAAGCCAGCACAGGCCGCATCCAGACACCACTGGAGCGAACCGACTCTTTATGAAATCTTTCTCCCAACAAGCATCTGTTTTTGGAACAGTTGCCCACAGGCCTCTCTATTTGTTTTCAAAACAAAAGAGACTAATCTAAGTGGGCATCCACTATGCGGAGGGCCTAAAGGAGATGTTTAAAATACACGGACTCATTTGATGCCCCCAAGAACATACTGTTTTATAGACAAGAAAACTGAGTCTCAGAGAGGCTAAGTGACTTGCTCAGGGTCGTACAGCTAGCTCAGGGCTGGGGCCAGCATGGGAATCTGAGTCTCAGAGAGGTAAGTAATTTGCTCAGAGTTACAAGGCTTGTTCAGGGCTGGGTCTAGCCTGTAAATCCTTTGTCTTTTTACTCCCACTCCTAATTCCTTCAGTAATACCTTCATCCCAGCTTAATAAAACTTTAATTCTAAAAGCAGATGCTCTAAGAGCTGGGTCTGCTGGCAAGACCAGAGGAGAATGCACACAGGCCTGGGAGCTGGTGTGCACACTGGCCCGTGTCTGCAGGCACCCCCGCTCCTGACCGTGGTGAAGTTGTCCCTTCTCTCTGGACAGTAGTTGTCAACTTTGTCATAAAATCACTGGGATGGGTGGCTCCAAGACTGTGAGAGGAAATTTATCTCAATTGTTTCCCCTAATTTTATCTAATTTTCATTTTCTGCACTTTCTGTCTTTAGAACCCACAGTGGGCCAATCAACTCCCCTGAGATTGTGGCCAAGTCACTTTCCTCTTTTGGTGTCAGTTCGCCTTTCTATAAGTAGTGAGGGAGCCAGCTGGAGGCCTCCCTGTGTCCACCTCAGATTGGTGCCGTCCCTTGATGAGGCTTCGTGTACAACAACAGGAGAGGGGGCACCAGTGCGTATTGAGGAATTGTGTGTCCTAGGTGTGTTACATGTACTCTCCACTTGACCTCCACAACTCTCTGGAGTATGCATCATTACGCTGAGGCCTTTTGTCTAACCGGGGAAACCAAGGCCAGAGCATTCACATAATGTGTCGGAGTTTGCCCAGCTGGAAAGTGCTGGAGGTGGTACTGGAATCCAGGCATCTGGCTCTAGAGCCTGGCTCCCAGCTACCGTGTCCTTAGGCCTGAGGAAAGGGATGGAGGGCAGCTTAAAGCAGAGCTCTCCTTTTTTCTGGCAAGGTTATGGTACTCTTTTGTGTGCTAGAGGGTTATGCTTGTCATAGTTATTCAGTAGGTGGATTGATAGGTTTGTGGATAGAGCGGTGCAATGAGAGGTGGGTCCACACACTCTGGTGCTTGGAACTTGCATTCAGAGGATGCCTATTTTGAGCTGATTGTCCATGTGACTTGGATGGCATGCAGCGGGGAGAGGGGAGGAGTGGGGGGAGGAGGCGCACCTGCAAACTGGAGGGAACACGTTCAGCTCCCAGGGTTAGTGGGAGAATTAAATGAAACCGACTGCACTGACTACACTTGGTCCCCTCTCTTCTCTCTCCCTGGCTCTGTTTCCTTCACGGCACATACCACGATTTGTCCTTATGTATTTGTTTCTCTAAATGCTTACTGCTCCCAGGGCAACTTTCTTAGGATAGGGTTCATGTCTATTATATTCCTCAATGAAAAGCCATGATCTAGCCGGTGTCTGGCACATAATGCAAGCTCAGTTAGTTAGAATGAATGACTGAAGGTATTGTATATAAACTGCCTGGCACAGTATAGGCAAGAGGTGGTCCACTTCCAGGGAAGCCTGGACCGTCTGAGGTAGCTATTTTGCCCCTAAGCACAAGCCAGCAACAATTCTCACTTTCTTCGGAAGCTCTTTAAGTCTCCCAACTTCACTCACCAACCCCCTCTACACACATATACACACCAAGTCCTCCAGCCCTGGTTGCAGTCTGCCTGGTGCTAAGGAGCGAAGTGTGACTTTGCAAAGCTGTTTGACAACAAAAGAGAACCACTGAGCCCCCAACCCCTAAAATTGCTGTCTTAGCTAGAATTACCATAATCAAATTGCCTCCTCCCTTAGCGGTTCTCAGATAGGAGGAAGTGGTTTGAACAGAGTGTACTTATTTCCTTCGGAACTTGTAGGGAGATTGAGAGAGGGAGGAAGTCGATCACATGATGTGACCTCAATGGATATTTTATTGCAGGAAGAGAGGGATAGATGGATAGATGGATAGATAGATAGATGGATAGATAGATAGATGGACAGATAAATGTATGAACAGGACCCTTGGGCTGCTAACAAGAACCAAATGGTTTGGTCTGAAATATGCTGGAAGTTTTGATGGGAACTTTAAGTTTCAGCCTCTCTCAGAGCTGGGAGAAATACATTCTTGATGAATGTCAAATAAAAACATAAAACCCAGCAGCATCTATTAATGCAGGGCACTGATTTAGGTGCACTAGAATGAATAATTTCTGTCTTTAAAAAGGCTCATTTCCCTTGGAAATACATTGCCAGATTTCACAATTTAGAATGGGGAAGTTTTCTTCTGAAAGTGACTTAGGAAAGTGTTATTCGGAAAGCGACTTTAGTTTGCTGCAATGCAAACCTACCCCTGTCTGTTTCGTTTATATCAGAGGGAGGAACAAGCAGAAATACATATTCAGAAAAATGGAGGAGTGCCCCACTCATTGCTTTAGCTGTTTAATCCATCATATTTAACACTGTTTATTAATAGCTTTCTGCCTAGGAAATGTAAAAGGGATTGGATATATTTTAATTGTCTGATTTAGAAATGATACCAATAGCTCCTATTTAGTACCTATTATCTCCTAGATAGTACATGTAAACTTCTTTCAAACATACAGAGAAACTGGTCTTCTTTTTACAAGGAAAATACTCGAAGGGGCAAAGTGACTTGTACAGAGTCACAGAGTTCTTTGGTGGCCGACCCAGAATGTTGACACAGGTGCAGCTATTACGGCACAATCTTTCTATGTTGCCATCTTGCTGCTCTGATCTAGATTGTAGATCTGTTTAAGATGAAGGAATCTAATTAGATTTCAATTTGTCTATTCCATAGGTTTTTAATATTATTATACTTTCAGAGCATATTAAGCACTCTTAAATAGAATTCTTCTTCTTATTTTTTTTAGATGAAGTTTCGCTATTGTTGCCCAGGCTGGAGTGCAGTGGCACCATCTCAGCTCACTGCAACCTGCAACCTCCACCTCTCGGGTTCAAGCGATTATCCTGTCTCGCCTCCCGAGTAGCTGGGATTACAGGCACCCGCCACCAAGCCCAGCTAATTTTTGTATTAAATAGCATTCTTCTAAATGGAGACTATTAGTTGCAACAAATTTGCCAGAATTTTTACCTGGGCTTACCTCTCCACTTTTCGAAGGACCACAGCCCAGTTTAATAGACTTGCAGCTCAGCATCTCATAGCAAACCACACAATGACAATTTAAAGACTATGGGGTGCATTTTTTCCTAAAGTCAAGGGCACCACTTTAAACACAGGCCTCAGCTCTGCATCCGCTTGTTCTCGCTGAGGCTCCCCCAACCCTTTAGAGCCCCTCACTTGCCTCTACCTCCCACCAGCTCCGTGACTTGGACAAGCCACCTAACTTCTCTGAGCCTCATTTCCTCAGTTTTCAAAAGCAAATAACAATCACAATCCTATAGGATTGTTCTGAGGATTGCAGAAAAATAACTTTTTATGCATTGCTCCTCCCCAGCCACTCGGGATGGTGGATATCACCTCCTGACACCCCCATGCACAGCCCCAAATGAGGACATTCTGAGGCCAAAGCTCAGGTCACTTCTTTGACACCAGGCTCTCTCCATATGTAGACACCTAAAAGAATGTGGAGTGTGCCATATTTCTTAGAAAATTCCCGTTGTCCTAAATCTCTTCCAACTCTAACATGCTGTTTTCAGAATTTATATACTTCACATGTTTGCCTTTCCTTTGATTCCTCCTTTTCCCCATACACATACCACCTGCTCAGATTGTTATTAATTATCTTCGGCATCTTCTTAAAGAAGATGCATACAATCACACTCCAAGTAGCGCTATTGCAATCCCTCAACCCACCTGGCTCCATGCACCTTTAGACATCATGACTCCAGCCTGATAGCGTTTACTGAGCACCTGCTGTATGCTGAAACTGGCCTGGGCACCTAGCATATGTCAATTTCTTCACTTTGCCCTATACCTGTGTGCATTAGGTACCATCATTGTCACTTTACAGATGAGAAAATGAAGGTCTGGAGAGGTTTAAATGAGTCCCTCAAGGTCGCACAGCTAGGAATTCTGATGGCAAATCCCAATTATCCTTTGTAAGAAGCCTGCTAAGTACAAGCCTTTTTGGCGAGAATGTCTCCTCTGGCAGCATCCTGCCCCTGCTCCTCCAGCCCTTCTCTCCACAGAATTATGCATCCAACACCCACTGAGCCACTGCAGTGTGCTGGGCACCAGGTTGGGGGCTGGGCTTCTCTCAAGACATTGCCCCACCTGTTCTCAGGGAGCTCCTTTCTGACTCCAGAAAGTCAACCCCTGCCAACTGCGTGTTGAAGAGGCCCTGAAGTCTCTCCCCACCCCATCTCTGCCACATACTCCCAAAATACCTTCACACACTGGGCATGACTCCTGTGGGAGCTGTCTGCAGAGGGATTGCTGGGTGCAGAGTCACTGCCTCTCCGTCTGTCAACTGCTGCTGCTCCAGAATAAACAGGCAGCCGGGCTTCTCGCGGTTGTGGAGAAGCAGCCCATGCTACACAGAAGAACTGCAGTTGCTAAACTGGCCGCATACTTCCTCTGCTAGGAACGAGGAAGGCACAGGGCTTGCAGAAGGGCAGGTTCCTGTTTTCAGTAACCACTCTGAGCAAGCTTCTCTCTGCAAGGACTGGGAAGATAGATGGGTTATTAATTTTTTTACAAAGCATTTGAGAATATGGCCAGCTTAACTCTGGATTCTGGAATTTCAGAAGCTTGGTCTTCTTTCTCTAATTAAAAGGCAAATCAATGGGGCTGTGAATTTGCTCTTGTACATCCCCAGAACTCTCTGGGCCCACGAAGGCTGTGGCTAAGAGCTGCAGCTTCTCTGATTTCGGTTTCCCAATTTTTGCAGCTTCCTTCTGTTACTGCCGAATGGACCCCAGAGCAATGCTTTGAGATTAAAGGAGACTAAAGAGACACAATGACTTGGTGCCAATGTGTGCGTCAAGGGAAAAAAACTAGAAAGAACATTATGAGATGGCAGTTGTTTGAATATATACTGCACAGTTGATAATACTGTTCCAGTCTTAAGTTTCTTGGACATGGTAATAATAGTGTGGTTATGCGGGAGAACGTCTAGTTCTTAGGGGACATGCGGTGACCAAGAGGATGTCTCGTATCATGACGGCTATATCTTTCAAAGAGTTTGTTAAAAGAAAAGCTGCATCCCTATATCTACAGCCATCATATTGGCACAAAAGTTATTGTGGTTTCTGCCATAGAAGTAATGGCAAAAACCACAATCATTGTGGCACCAACCTAATACATCTACATCTATATATCAAGACACAGGAAGAGAATGAGGGAGACAGAAGGCAAACGGGACAAAATGTTAATACTTGGTGAGCCTAGGTGAAGGGGATATAGGTGTGCATTGTTCTACTCTTGCAAGTTTTTGGTGAGTTTGATGTTAAAATACGTGTGTCTTTATGTTATATATTATAAAATGTATGTTGTATATGTTATACATTATGTAAATATTGCATATAAAATCTCCCTACTTACAGTACGTGAGTCTCAAGCAGAGAAACTCAGGCACATGGGGCTTCAGAGCTTATTGATGAAACAGGTAAAATTTCTGGAATGCTGACCCCAAGATTGCCTGGGAATTGCCTGCTTGAGCTTGGAATGCCAGGTAACCACACTGGGATGGCCCTCAGAGCCCCTCACAGCCCCTCACACCTCACAGAGTGGACAGAGCATCAGAGACTTGAGTGATCTGTCCACAGTCACACAGCTAGTCCCAAAGAAGAGCCAGGGCCAGAATCTACGGCCGGTGACCCAGGCCCCAGTCCAGTGAGGCTGACACAGCCACCCTGGGACAGTCATTTGGAAACCTCACTTGGGGTAGTTTGCAAAGATGAATCAAAACCCTCAGGGCTGCTTCTAAATTTAGCAGGCAGGCACTCTGCACTAGAGAGATGGTTCCTTAGACAACTTGTGAAAACACCCGCTCAAGAAGAGCATGCTGGGAAGGTACAAAGGAACTATTGCAAAAGACTGAGTGGGCAGTTTGCTTTACAGGGAAGACGGGATAGGCAGAAATATGCAGAAGTGGAGATTTTCCCCCAAATTCACACAGAGGAGTAAAAGAGCTTTAGACTGATAGTCAGAGGTATGAGTTTTGTGATGACTTTTTAATAGACACTTACCAAGAAAGAATCTAGTACAGATGAAGCTCTGAATTTATTCCCTGTCATTTCTTTAGTAAAACTTTATTGAGCAAGGCATATTCCACAAACTGGGATTTAGCTGTAAAAAAAAAAAAAAAAAAAACAACTGCAAAAGCCCTGCCCTTCCCTGTACTTAACTTAATTTAAAGGGGACTACAGAGACATGGCGACTTGGTGCAAAGTGTGGGTCACGGGAAAAGAACTAGAAAGAACATTATGGGGTGGCGGTTATTTGAATATGTACTACACAGCAGATTCTACTACTTCCCCTAGGAGGAGTCCTATGGGAAAGACTGAATATGTGACTATCAATTATGGCGACCCATCAAAGAAACTCAATGGGTTGATGGGACCGAGGGGCGCAGATGTGCTACTTTGCACAGGTGGCCAGTCGTGGGGTGGATGGGCTCTCTCTAGAGATATCATTAGGCTGAGAACTGTAGGAGGAAAGGAAGCCAGCCCTGGGACAAGCCAGGGCATGAGAGGTGTGCGCAGAAGGGACTGCTGGTTTCACACAAGCTTTAAAAGTTTTTGGGAAAGACAATCAGCCCTAAAGATGTTCAAGTCAGAGGCAGAGGCAGACAAGAGAGAGGCCCATAGAGTGGGTTCCTGTTCAAGGGGTCCCGTTCACAGGAGAAGCTACAGAAGAAGGAGAAAGGCAGGATGCAGAGCCCTGGAGGTCAGGGCCGCAGGCTCTTCTCTGTTTTTGTCCAGTGGGTCATTGGGTGACTGAAGGGTTGCTGCTAACCTCCCCTGACCCCCAGCCCGGGGTGTTTATGACCCTCCCTTTCGCCTCCTGGAGTAACCGAGGAAACTTAGTAGGTTTGAGAAAGTGTTCCTCATACTGGGCACTGTGCTATCCCAAAGCCTGGGCTGTGCCAGAGCAGGGGGATGGAATGGAGGTTTTGGCCCTGGGCCCAACCAGAGACGGCAGGGCTGAAGCCCGATGCCACGCTAGACAGGTGACTCAAATCTTAGGCCTCTGTTTTCAGTAACCCCAAGCGGGGTCTCAGCCTCAGCACTTTGGACATTTTGGATCAGGGCATTCTCTGGTGTGTATGTGTGTGTGTGTGTGTGTGTGTGTGTGTGTTTGTATGTGTGTGTGTGCGGCAGAGTTGCAGGGCTGACCTGTGCATTGGAGGATGTGCCACAGCATCTCTGGACCTGACCCCCTAGACAGCAGGAGCCCCCCGCACCCCTCCAAGTCATGACAACCAAAAATGTCCCAGAAATTGTCAAATGTGCCCTAGGGAGCAAAAATTGCCCCCAGTTGAGAACCACTGGATCATACCCATCCCAAAATAAGACACGTGTGAAGGTTGTTCTTTCTTGGGTTGTAAAGTGCTGCCCTGAGGGCAGTTGGTTTTCCTGCTTTTGTGTGGACTCAGCTCTGCAGCACGTCTGCCTGTGCTCTCTGGTACACATCTAAGAAGCTGCTGTGTAGCAAGGCTCCTTTGGGTGGCTGTGTCACCCATCCTTCCTCTCCACCATCATACACGTGACCCAAGAAGAGGAACTGGTTTGTGGTCTGTTCAGGAGTCCCTGGGAATTAGGGCTTGGAAGCTACAGTATGGGCAGCCTGTGAGCTGCATCTTAAAGGAGGAGCAGTTTGCTGTCAAGAACTGGGGTGGGAGCATGTGAGCCACGAGCTGCCTAAGGACAGGAGAGGAAGAGCAGGAGGTGGACTTCTCACAACAGAGGCCCAGCCAGGGAGGACTGTATTGTGAGTTCGCTTCCATGTCTTCCCTGCTCCTCCACCACCCTAACCATTCCTCTCTCAACCATTTTCCATACTGTTCCTCAGTGATTCACACACCTTTTTCTTCTAATCCATCAAGAAGTCTCGAGTCCAAGAATATTGTCATTTATTCAAGCATGCATTTTGTGCTCCATACATTCATTCAGTTATTCATTCAACAAATTTTGTTAGCACTCACTGTGTGCCAGACGCTATGCATGTAACTGTACTGTGTGCCAGGCAAGACTAGGCCCTACCCTCAAGGAGTTCAAAGCTAAACACTCTTTTTTCTCTGTTTTCCAGGCCCAGAACAAAACAATGTTCATTACGTATTTGCTGAATTACTCACTTTAGCCAACATCTATTGTAAATTTCGTGTATGTATAACCTATATTCAGAGGACAGACGGGGAGAGAATTCTCAGGTAGAGCATGAATGTATCTCCATCCCTCCCTGCCCTCAAGGAGTTTCTGATCTAGCAGAGGAGACAGACACACATATCAAAACCCCAGGGTGTAAAGAAAGATGTCGGTAGGGAGGGGGCCAGTAGAGGAGACCAAGAAACCTCTAGGGCTCCTGGTTTCACACAGGAACTTCATGGCACTGAGGCATGGCGGGACCACATCAGATTCCATCCCAGCAGCTTGGTCTTCTAGGTCCATGTACTGAGTCAGCACAAGAAGCAAAGACAAAAACACATAGCAGGTGATGCCCCCACCAAGGACGTCAAGTGTAAGCATGGAGTCAGGCCAGGCTCTGCTGTACTGGCCGAATGACACTGTCAGGAGGTCAGGCTTTAGGACTCAAAAAGACACCCAGTACCATCTGTGTAGGAAGCAGCTGATTTCCAGAGGGCTTTGCAAATTAATTAGAATTAACTACTGGGGCCCAGACTAATGACCATAGGCAAATAATAACAATGCCAGCCATGCAAGGATTGAGAGTCACTCAGTTAAGTACTACGCTGTGGTCATCACCTTATTAAAGTGAAATGTTCCCCTATGTAAAAACTAGCTTTACATACTTCACGTTGTCAGGAGCCAGTTGTTATATTTCTCCAACATGTGTTGATGGGTTTCCCAGGGGAAGCAATAAAAAGCCACTTCTCCAGCTTCAGGTCTCGGAGGAGTTCCAGGTTCTAGGAGGTTAAGAGCTCCTAAGGCAATTCAGCATCATGCGGCAGATGTGATGTTGCAGCCCCATGCTGGGTCAGAGTCACAGCTTGGTCCAGTATGAGCAGATTTCCATTCCTACTTTATAGCTTGATTTGTTTTCCTCTTTCAACAGAAATATTCAAAAGTTTGGAAGAAGGAAAAGGCAGTCTTGGGAACTAGAAAGCTTTCTATCGATGGAGAAAACCAAGTGTAAGCTAATTCATTTGGTAGAGAAGTTCAATACCACTTATTGAATGCAAGGCATGACACTTGGTGCTATAAAACTGTTGATGGGATTCCCATATCAAACCATATGACCTTCAAGATCGCATACAAGATAGAAGTTCTCGAGAGTAAAGTTTTGCCCCCTCTATGGCTAGATGAGTGCTGACCCACTTATACAATAATTTAATAACAGTTTTTTGAACCCCTTCAATGTGTTAGGCATTTCTCTGGGTATGGAGTTAGAGAAATAAATGAGTAAAGTCATAGAAGGGAACTGAAGGCATGGGGACAGTAAGAGGAACTCTCCCCTTAGAAAGGTGACATTTGAAATGAGTCCAGAGTGACTCTGGCATGAAAATCAAGAGGAAAAAACACCAGGCAAAGGACATAACTGGTACAAAAGTTTGGGGCTGGAAATACTTGTGTTCAAGGAGCAGACAGAAAGGAAAGGGAATGAATATTGGGGAAATGCAACTTGGCCTTTGCGTATGTTACGTATTTAGTCTTTCCACTCACTCTATGTATCTAGACTTCACCTGAAGAAACTGGCACTCATAGGGCTTAACATAGTTGCCTCCAGTCACTCAGCTGATGAGTGACACCACTAGGCCTAGGCTCATGGGCTCTGGAAGTAGGAAATTTGCTGTCACTATTTCACTAGCCTCCCATTGGGTCTTCCCACGTCCCACCTCTCCCCGCCAATGCTCCCTTCCCATCCTCTTTCAGCCCTGTGTTTCCAAATAAGACTCAGGCCCTGCTGCTATCCTCCTCAAGCAGCTGCCCCAAACTCAGGACCATCTTCATCCCTTTCCCACAGGAACCACTTCACCCCTTTCCTGGCATTCAAAGCTCATCAATCTGTTCTCCACCCTCCTTATCAGCCCCATGGCAATGTCAGCACTCAAGGCCTCCATGCCCCACTCACCATAGGAACTCCCCTACCACTGTGCACTGTAGACAAGCCCCTCACCTCTTCCTCATGCACTTCACCACTGCCCTTTCTTTCCTGTGTGGATGCCTTTCCCCCTGCAAGGGCATGGGGCAGGTCCCTTCAGGCCCAACCCAGTGCTAACATCTAGGAAGATGTCCATGCATCTTCCTAGATGCCTCTCAACCAACAATGATTGCTCCCTCTCAGAAGGCCACTTGGTGTTTTATTTGCATCCTAGGAATGGGACACATTGCGTATTGGAGTAACGAGCAAGAGAGGATTTGAAGTACTTAGGAGTTGTGTGATCTTGTGGGACTCTCTGATTCTTTCTCTCAGCCCAGTGATGTTACTAATACTACTTTATCATGAGGGTCCATACATAATAATGTGTACAGCCCACCTGGTCTCCTGGTCTAGCGCAAGGCGCATAGGACGGGACCCACCAGATAGAGGTGCTTTTCTTTCCTTTCAAATTGGAGCCTGAGCTTGGGAAGGCAGGAGTATGTCTAACCATGACCATGGAGCCTAGCACAGAGGCTATCCCCAAAGATGTGATCCGTAACTATCCCTCAGTAAAAGAATAAATGAAGGTTGTGCCTTTTGAATTAAAGTAAATAAATTGTGAATGGTGACTTTTCACCTCTGGGGAAGACAATAAGCTAACTATGAAAACCATCTGGGGGGAGAGCAGACCCTATTGTTTCTCTGGAGATAAAAGTTTATGTTTCTGGAACATCTCCAAAGTTGGATCAGCGGTCCATCTGGATGAGCTGATTTCTCCAGCTGGAGTGGAACCTAAATGTGTATGTCATCAGAATCTTCGGGAGGTCTTTTGGCCCTAAAATTATTCTCAGGAAGAAGAAGAAAAAAAAAGTAGCCGCTTTATGTCCACCACAACTGTCTGCTGCGAAGAGCTGCACAGATATGTTGATTCGTTCAAGCTGTTCTCTTCTGTCATTGCTCAACCTAGACCCACTGCCTCCACATCGGGGGAGATCTTACTGTTCTCAGCCATGCAAGGGTTGATGAAGAGGTCAGCAGTGTTCCCAGAGGTTGGGAAGTTCTCTGAGCAGGACCCAATTTCAGTTGTTTGCAATGTTGCTTGCTTTGCTCACTTCCTGTAGCTGCACTCCTGTGTAAGCCTTCCTGCCTCTGACGGATTGTCACACAGGCCCCACTCAAGAGAACACAGCTCCAACAGAAGCGCAGAGGAGGAAACAGGCATCTCATTTCTAAGCAAAGAGGGCTGTAGCCAGGAATGTTGAAACCTTGTATTGTATCTTCCCTTGGTGCCAATTTAGAGTCTATCTTCTGCAAAGGGCACAGAGATCCTTGTGAACTCTGTTTAAGGACACAGACAAAAGACAAAGTCTTCCCATGTATGTGGTGTATGGTGTAGGGTGTACGGTGCTGGTGTTGGTGGTGTTGGGTGTTGTCAGGCCGCATGAAGGGAATTTTTTCAAGGGTGTCTCATAACACCAACCTTCCTTATCTTTTCTATTGGTCTGACTTTCAAAAACTGTAAGTTCCAAGAAGGCAGGAGTGTATCTGTTTGGCCAGTTATTGACAGCTAGCTTTGGCACTTTGCATGACTGGGGCAACTAGCAAAGGTCCACTGGAAAGACGGAGGAAAAGAAGGGACGGAGGGCAGGAGAGACAGGGAGCAAGTTAAGAAAAAAATCTTTCCCTCCTTGTAGATTGCAAACTTTCTTAAGGCCTTAATCGTTTTTGATTCCCTGCAGCATTGGGCACATAGAAGGAGCTCACAGATGCCCATGGAATTATCCTGATAATCGACTAGCTTGCTGCAGCAGAGCAGGCTGTGGGCACCGGGAAAGTGGAAACAGCGGCTGGACATTGAGCAATAAGGCCTTTGCGGCTAGCTTCCCCACGTCACCGGAGTCAGGCCTCTTAAACACTCTGCCCTGGTATTTTCACCTCCTAAACAATAATGCCATTAAACCTTGCCCAATCACTTCTAAGTGTGCTTGAACAGCACAAAATGACGGTAGGATCTGTAACAGCATTATGATGACTTTTATTACAGTTTCCTCTAATGTTCTCATTCTATGATGCCTTAATACTTTCATGGCATATACTTTTTTTCTAATGATAAGATTCTGTTATTGTTATCAGTTTATGCTGATAGCAATTTGCCAAAGCAAACTCGAAACTAGCCTCGATGTAATTTAAAACAGTGTCATCCAGTTATAACCGACTAGATGGGTGTGAAATCATCTGTCAGCGCCTGCTTCCATGCCCACTGAGCCACAACTAATTACACTTAGTGGCGTGGGGCAGACATGGAGGGAGAGCGATGAGTAGGCAGGCCTAGTTGCTATAGAAATAGTTCTGGCCAAAACAATATTTCAATCCCAAGAACCATTTTTAGGCTGGAAAATTTTATTTTTGTTTGAGTAGCAATAATAAATAATTATAACCTGTAAAGCATGGTACAGATGTCAGTTATCATTATTTATTATTGGTAATACTTTATAACCTGTAAAACACTATACAGTTGTCAGTTATCAAGTATTTTTTGAACCTGTTACTTAATTTTCACAAGAACTCTTTGAAATATCAATTGATTTTAACAATTGCTACCACTATTTATTGTAAACTTGAAACATGTATGCACTTTACATGTTATCTCATCAATTCATCTTAACAAATGAATGAGGTAAATATTCTCATCCCTATTTTACATTAGGGGAAACTAAGGCACTGGGACTTTAAATAGTTTTCCTAAGAACACACAGCTGGTTAGAGGGGGTGTTGGACTTGAATCTGGGCTGATGGACCCCATGGCCTATGCTCTTGATGCCACACCTTGAAACATAGCACATACCCATTTTACAGATGAGGAAATGGAGACCCAGAGAATGAAGCCAATTATCAAGTTGTCAGTGCAAGAGTCAGTAAGATTTCTTCAACCCGAAAGCCCATGATCTCTCTATTTTTTTTCTGCATCTCTTTAAAATAATAATAATTATTTTATTTGAAGAGGATTTGAAGAGGATAATGTTGGAATTGTGTGATGTGGGTTCCAGAATCTAAGCAGGCTCACGGACTCACATGTGCCCTTCTCATCCAGTGCCCTGCTGCCCCGTCCAGGTTCTAGTGAAGCCACCTCCTCCTCAGATGGTCCCTCTGCACCCAGTGGTTCCCAGTTTTCCCCCTGGCTCCCCTCTCTCTGCATGGAGCCACCTCAGTCACTCAGCCCAGGCCATGCCTCCTGTGGCACTGTCCTCTGAGAGGTGACCCTGATCTCTCCCACCTTCTATGCCATTCCCTCTCCTGTGCTCATGAGGCCATTCCCACCCACCAGCATCTCAGAACTTTCTGCATGCATTGTGTTTTCTAGGGCAGGCATGGTGAGTCCTTTCTGCTGGTCAAGAGCTGGCCCATGGCATTTACTGGAGGAAGGAGGGAGGAAGCAAAGAAAGGAGGGACGAAATGGAGAGAGAGGGGCAGTCTAGGGGCTACTGGAAGGAAAATAGAAAAAGACTTTGCCTCTGTCTAGGCAGTCCCCACTGCTCTAGCTCTTCTCCTGGGCCCTGAAACAAAGCTGCAGAAAAAAATGACTAGAAAGAAGCAGTCAGGGTCTTTTACAAGTTATAATGATGAAATTATTTTTAAAAGGAAACATATGCCCATGTGTATGTATGAAGTACTCATTGACAATGGAAGGGAGGCTCAGGAGCCTGCATTTTAAATTCTCTTTGAAATAAGAGGGCAGCCATTGCCTCGGCTATCACTCATGGTGTCACTTTTAAAGTGTGACACCTTTGCCTGGGAAATCAGAAATTTTCAAGTGCCAAGCATTTAAATGGCTTCTGACAGCCAGAAGGTGACAGAGGCAATTAGGCTTCATGTTTGTAACAGATGGAAAAAGGCATTTTGTCAAGTCTGTAAGACCTGTAGGAAAATATGACAGGTGCCTGCTCTGAACTAAAGAGACAAAGCCAAGGCTCAGGTCCTCTCCATTTCCCAGCAGAAGTGCCCGGGAGAGACCCCTTAGAGCGCTCCCCCACAGGGGCCTGGGAAGGCCTCCACACTGTGCCTCCACAGGCAAGGGGGACAGTTCTACAGCTAGACCACATGGACTGCCGTGCCTGTCAAAGATGTCTGCAGAAGGCAGGTTGAGTGCAGATTCTGTTTGGCACATAGAGGGTGGGTAGTGTCATGGCTTTGGAGAAAAATGGCCTGAATCCAATTCCCCAGCAGTGGGTGATTTGGGACAAAGTCATTTACCCTCTCTGAGCCTCACTCTTTAATAAAAGAGGCACAGTCGTGTCTCCCTGCTTAGTGAGCACAAACTGAGAACAGCATGTAAAGTGCTTGGAGCACACCAGCTCCGCATTACTTTTTGGTACCTTCCTTCTCTTTCCTCCGTGTGTAGACACAGCTGGTGAGTGATTTAAGCTTGCAAGTATAAAAATATACCAAGGTATAATCTCTCTCTAGGACAGGTTAGCAGTCCATTGTAAAAACAAGTTTTTATATATCTATAGATTGTAAAATATCTATCTATAGAATGCAAGGCAGAACTCGTGGACCTTGCACTAGGCAAGCATTTCTTAGATAAGACACCAAACCTCAGGCAGCAAAAGAAAAAATAGATACATCGGATTTCATCACAATTTAAAAAATTCTGTGCTCCAAAAGATGCCATGAAGAAAGTGAAAAGAAAATCCACATAATGGGAGAAAATATTTGCAAATTATGTATCTAATAAGGGACTTGTACCAAGAAAACATAAAGAACACTTACAACTCAGTAACAAAAAGACAGATAACTCAATCTGAAAATAAGCAAGGGATCTGAATAGACATTTCTCCAAAGAAGATGTACAAATGGGCCCATAAGCATAGCAAAAGATTCTTAACACTATTAGTCAGTCATCAGAGAAGTGAAAATTAAACCCATAATGAGATATTAACTCACACACACTAGGATGCCTATAATAATAACAATTTTTAAAAACCAGATTGTAAGCATTACTGAAGATATGAAGAAGTAAAAGCATTCTTTTATTGCTGGTGGGAATATAAAATAATGCGGCCACTTTGACAAACAGTTTGGCAACTTCTCAGAAGGTTCAACACAAGAGTTTTCATGTGACCTAGCAATTCCACCCCTACCTATACATTCAAGAGACATGAAAACATGCATCCCTATAAGAACTTGTATGTGACTGTTCACAACAGCATTATTCATAATTGGCAAAAAGTAGAAACAACCCAAATGTTTACCAGCCAATGAGTAGGTAAGCAAAATATGGTTTCTCTATACAATTAAGTATAATTTAGCAGCGAAAAGATATACACTACTAATACCTGCTATAAGATGGATGAAGTAAAAGAAGCCAGACACAGAAGGCTACATATTCTATGATTCCATTTATATGAAATGTCCAGAATAGGTAACTCTACAGAGACAGAAAGTAGATTAGTGATGGCCTGCGGCTGGGAGTGAGGGTGGAGAATGGGGAATGACTGCTAATGGGTACAGAATTTCTTTGTGGGATAATGAAAATGTTCTAAAATTAGATGTGGTGATGATTGCACAACTCTGTGACTATAACTAAAAACCATTGAATTAAGTGGGTGAATTCTGTGGTATGTGAATTATATCACAATAATACAATTTCCTAAAGTTAGCTATAGATACCAAGAATCATAGTTTGAAATACTGGATAAATGTTTATCATACAACAAAAATATTCTTCTTTAATACGGATGTTCATGTGGCACCTATTTAATGAGAAACTATTAACATGCCATGGAAACAACTCATTTAATACATTTTTATTATCTTTTTGATGAAAAAAAACTATACCTTTTGACTCAGTAATGCCTTTGCATAAGGAAATCATCATGGATATGTGAATAGATTTAGTTATAAAGATGTACATTGCAGTATTGTCTGTAACATCATAAAACCTGAAACAATAATAGCCATCATTTATTAAATATTTACAATTTGTAATGCACCATACTGTTACAGGAAAACTTTCTCATTTCTTTATTACAACAATCCTATGGGGAAGCTCTCAATATTGTTATGTTCCTTACAGATGAAGAAAGTCTCAAATCAAACAGTTGCAAATCAGAGCTGGGATTTGTATCCAAGTCTATCATATTTCATTGCCTGCAGGTGCCCCTAACCTGTCTATAACATTCTCCCTAATAACCTAAAATCCTAAATGTAATTAGCATGCTGGCATTGAAAACAATCTTGTAAATAAATAAGTAATGATACAGAATGATATCGACAATGGATTGTTAGGTGAAAAAGATAGGCTCAAAAACAATATGCTGTATAGATTTCCTGAATATATGTTTACACACACACACACACACACACACACACACACACACACACACACACACACACGGAAGAGACATATTGGAGGCTAATAGCATTTAACAGTGGTTTTCTTTGATTGGGAGGATTATGTGTAATTTTAATTTTCTTTGTTTCGTTCACTTGTTTTGTCTATTTGGGGACTGCTATTTTTGCTTTAAAAATTGCAGAGGGCTTTCTGTTTCCCCTTTAAATAAGCTAAGGTCGCACTGATGGATGTAGAGCAGTATATGACAGCCTTTTTCTAGAGTATGAAAAGGATTGCATTTGTGCCTATCTGTGAAGACAGCAAGGCTTATTGCTGGACCTCTTATCTCAGCCAGAACCACCTCCTTCCTCCCTCGGGGTGTGAGGGGACTCATTTCTCTCCCACCTCTTATTGTCCCTGCAAAGGTTTTCTAAATGGACTTGGCCATGTCACTTGTCCACTGATGTGCTTACACAATAAGTTATAATGACTGTTTCCATTTTGACAAGGATCAGTCATATTTTAGTGTGGAATTCATCTTTTAAATGTAATTTAAATTTTTTCTAATTAAAAATGTAACATTAATTCATTGGAGACAAGTTAGAATAGTCTAAAAAGTATAAAAAGCCAATAGAACTCCTCCATCATTCACTCACCTTGAATTGTTAGAAGGCTCTGTGGATTGATCAAGTCAGACTATTCAAATAAACCCAGTGGGGCCAGGCAGCAGGAGGTACCCTGGGACTGGATGCCTGTGAATGTCACGTGACCTCCTCCAGCTGTTGAGACAGCACGGAATCATGGGAAATGAAAACCTGGGGCCAGAAAACCTGGGTCTTAACCTCTTTCACCTGCTACTGGCAGGATTTTAAACTTCTTAGACTCTCTTTCTTGAGTGTACCGCAAATTCTTCTTGGAATGAAGTGGGCCGTACACAGAAGAATGATTAAGAAAGTAGCGGTTTCAATAATATTGGTTCTTCCTACTTCCTAGGATGGTAGTGGGAGTTTAAAGGAGCCAATAGAGGCGAGAGCTCTGTCTTAAGCAGAATGCAGCACGGTTGTACATGTGAATCAAAGCAACTTGGGATAGACTCTCCCTTGTCTCACAAGGCCTTTTCAGTCTGCAGACATAACATGGTGTGTTTTTGAGCCCTATGGCATTCCTGTGATGGAGGAGCCAGGCTCCCCTCCTGCTCCTCCTCCTCCTCCTCCTCCTCTTGCTGTCCCAGCCACCCTTGCAAAAACCTTGCTGATGAGTGGCCATCCACCAGCCGCTCATGAGTGGAATGGAAAATAAGGGTCTGTGATGTGCTTGCTGTTTTCTCGGGTAGGTAGCACAGTGTGGGGGGAACAATGAAACCTTTATAATTCTAGCCCTGCTACTGATCAGTTCTATGACCTTGGAAAAATTACCTACCCACTCCAAGCCTCAGTCTCTCTATCTGTAAAATAGGGATTCTAATATTACACTTAGAGGGTTGTTTTGGAGATCATGAGAGAAAATGTGAATAAATGATGTGGCCCTTAGAAGGTGCCTTATAAATGTTTAATTCTTTTCTGCTTTCCTTTAAGTAAACACACACGCACTTTTTATACAAAAAAGAAGGAATAGCATTCACTAGGCCTTCTTCAAATCCTACATTTCAGATTGTCTCCTAGATCATGTCTATACCAACAGGTAGTTTTGATGCCTTTTTTCCTATGCCCTAAGACTGGGATTTCAAGACGAATTGTATTAATTACTGTCCCTGTGATGGAAGTTTTGCCAAAACTGAAGTGTTACAAATAAGAGTAAAACTCAGGCTTTTAGGGATCAAGAAAACAAGATGATTTTAGTGTAGAAAACATGCAAGAGAATACAAATATAAACTTGGATGTTTAAAAAAAGTCCATCTGTGCTTTAGCTTCCAGAGCTCTCTTCCTAAGCTGTCCTGGCTGCTCAATAGCATGCCACAATTCAGCTGGCCCACGACACCTTGGTGGCACCTTCCAGGTGTGGGTGAGTTCCCAGGAGAGGTCGGTGCGAGGGTGGAGACATGGCACTCTGGGTCACACACTACCCCTTTATCCTTAGACCTTACAAGTCACCGATGGGCTCCCTGACTCAGATGCTCCCCACTCCAGTCCATCCCACAGTCAACTAGCCGAGCCACCATCCTGACATTCATTTCCAGTTCTCTTCTGTTCCGCATATGGTGTTCCACACCTTGTGCTGGGCTTTGGGGATAGAGGAATAACTACCTCCCAACCCCTGCCATCAGAAGCTCACATTCAGGAGGTATTGATGCTCCATCCTTTACTGAGGGCCTGCTGAGCACTACCAACCATTTTCAGCACTGAGAATGCAAAGACAAAGGACCCAGTGACAGGAAATTCCCAAGCCCTTTCTGTAATACCCCATTTAAAAGCCTTTATGGATTCCTCATTGCCCGTTGCCTAAAGGATACCTGCTCTGTGTCCCAGGGTTGGTGCCTTCTAAATCACATCTCTTACTTAGTCTGGGATTTAATGACCTCTGAAGTTTACTTCTCACTACACTTCTATGGAAATTCTTCTCTTCATTTAGAAGTCACTGGTCCATCTGCCTGCCATTCATTCATTTGTTCACTCCCTCACTCATACAGTCATTCACTCACTCATGCAATACATATTTTGAGTTCCAGGCCCTGTCCTGGGGCTGTCGGATTACTTAGGACCCAGCTCCTGTCTATAACTCCCTTGGGTAATCAGCCTCTGACCCCACTGCCATCCCTGCCCACTCCCCCTCGGAATGGTCACCCACCCTGTTCCTCCCATTTATTTCCTCCCATGGAAACCCACTCAAGTCCTGATGATTCTCTGCAGCTTCTTCTGGGCCACCCTAGTGCCCAGAAATCCCTCCCTCCCCTGAATTCCCAAAGTGCAAGAATTCTTGGCTTACTCCTGCTGATTACTGGACAGAGCTCATCTGGAGGTCACCAGTACATATGTCCTGCTGGATATAGTACACATTTTTAAAAAGCATCCGCCTAAATGGGGCTTGAGACTTATGCTTCTTTGTGACTCACTTTGCCTGGAATAAAATAGAGTCAAAAGAAATACAAGGTTGATAACTCTCAGGTAATATTTGGCAATTGATTTCAATAAGCCAGCATTCAATAAGCCAGCTAGAGATAGTCACGTTTCTAGAGGCCCAGTGGTCTGGTGAGGGCTTAGAAGTCACACATCTGGTTTCTCCCAGGAGAAGCAGAGAGAAGCCCTGGGTTTGGAGTTGGAACACCTGGGTTCAGGTTCTGTGCAGCAGAGAATTTCTCCCTGAAAAGACATAGTCCTTCCTACCTGATTTAACTTCATAGTGCTGTGGCAGGACATAAATCAAGAGAGTGAGCAAAAAAGCACCTTGGCCCGTGTGTGGTACCACAGGGAAGCGAAGCAAGTTGGCAGCCCCACAGCTGCTTTGCATGTAGAGGCACTTTCCCCCAAGTCAGACAGCGCAAGGGACTTGCTCCCCATCAGCCTAGGTTGTAACGAGGAGTTTCATCAAGTTACATTGTAGGCATTAAATCATGGATAATAACATTCCTAATGATGAATACAACCAACTTTGAGTGCAAATTACACATCAGGTATTTTCCCTCCATTGTCTCCTTTAATCTGCACATCAGCTCTGTGAACGCTGATCATAATATCTCCATTTTACAGGTTAGGAACTGGAAGCTCAGAAAGACAAAGGAAATTGGCAAAATGGCCATGGGCAGAGCTGGAATTAAAACCCCAGTCTATCTGGAACAAGAGCCATGAGCTTTTTACTTTGCTTTGGCCTCACCCCGCACCCCCCGGGAACAGAAAGGAACTGTCTGCCACAAGCACGAGATGACACACTGGTTAGAACATGGAGCTCTGGCACCTGCAGCCTAGGCTCAAATCCTGGCTCTGTCACCCCCAGCTCTGAGACTCTAGGGAAGTGGCTTCAACTCTACCCTGGAGCCCCCTCTAAAGTTGAAATAATACTGTTGTTACCCAGCTCCTGGGATTGCTCTGAGAGGTAGGTGAGCTTCTACACGTACAGCCCACATTCAATGCCAGGCACACAGGATGTGCTACTTGAATGTTTGTCCTCGTCTTCATTGTTGTGTCTGTGCTGGGCACTGCTGCAAGGGCTTTGTAGGAATTAACTCCTCGATTCCACGAAGTGCCTGATGGATAAGGAGCTCACTGAGCACCTGCTTACTGGGCTTCCCATCCTTCCCCTCTCCATGTGAGGTAGACACCACTGTAGATGAGGATTCACATTCCAGGGTGGGACTGAGAAGTGCAAGGCGTGCCAGGAGGGAGGCGGAGTCCATCCAGAGGACCCTCTGACACATGGATGCCCCAGGGCAGAGCTGCCAGACCTCCTGCTTGTCCGGGTAGCTGCCCACCCCGCTTCTTGTTGCTTTGCTTCTTGGAGCTGCTCTGGGGAGGCTGCCTGAGGGATTCCTCCCGGGAAATGCTGCAGGGTCCATTTCAACAAGGGCAGCTTTGTGTGTGTGTTTGTGTGTATGTGTCTGAGTGTGTGAGTCTATCTGTAGGTGTCTGGGTGTGTCTATGTGTGTGTATCTTTGAGTATGTGTCTATGACTGTGCGTGTGTGTCTCTGTGACTGTGTGTGTTTGTGTGTCCTTCTGCACTTATGTGAGTGTGTGTCTATGTGTGTGGGTGTATATTTCTTTCTGTAGCTGGATGTTTCTGTGACTGTGTGTGTTTCTAAGTGTGGGTCTCCCTGTGTCCATGAGTGTATGCCTGTGAGTTTTATGTGACCATGAGTGTCTGTGTGTGTAAGTGTGTATCTCTGTGTGAGTGTGTCTCTATCTATGACTGTGTGTCTCCATCTGTGGCTACGTCTGTGTGTGTGTGTGTTTCCATCTGTGGCTGTGTGTCTGTGCACGTAAGCATATGTCTCTGTCAGTGTCTGTGTGTGTCCTTAACCCACTTAGACAAACTCCAAGTCTCCTGGTGCTGCTTTAAAACAAAGCAAGTCTCCTGTGTTGTGTGATTTCCAGCCAGTGGCTCACTCTGATCTCCAGGATTTTTAAAAGAGAAAGAGAATCCTAACTCCCAGGATCCTCTGAGAAGTGGTACCAATAAACTCCTTGATTGCGTGAGTGTGTCTCCATCTGTGGTTGTGTGTGTGGATATGTGTGCTTGGCCAGGCGCAGGCCCTGACTCCGAAGCAACTACAGTGACTAACTGAGGTCAAGGCACCTTACCATGTTCGGAGGCCCGAGGAACAAAAAGCAGTGGTCAGCAATTGTGGTTTTGACCTGAACTATTTTTAAAGTTAAAAAAACAACAGCCAGTGGAAACTCCTCGCCATTGAATAGCTAGGTCAGATTTAGATAAAGCCGGAGCCCAGGGCTGTGGACCTACAGGCATGGCTGGGTGGACTGAGAAGACCTGATCCCTTTACATCCTGTGGGGTCCCGTGAATGTCACTGCACTAACCACAGTGCAGCCACAGCTCCCACTGTGCAGAGGACACGCTTCTTCACCTACCTGGCCTCATGCATCTTTGCAGCAACCCTATAACGTATGGTTGATTGTTCTCATCACAGATGGTCACTTGCCCAAGCCCACTTCATCAGGGAGTGACACAGCTGGGGTTCAAACCGAGCCCTTCTGCCCCAATCCCATGCTCTCTACACACCTCTGCACAGCAACTCCCCTCCTGCCCCCGAGTGCTTTGTCTCTAATCAAGTGCTTTAAAATGAAGGCTGAGTCAACCGTTGGCTTGCGTAAACACCAATTTTCCACGGTGAAAAAGGTTTCCTTCAGAAAGATCAATTTAAACAAAATACTTTAAGAGAAAGAAACATTCTCTTAGCCATCTTGCAATATCAGTGTGACCCACGCCTTTAACCACTTCCTCACCATATCAGGATCCCTGGCTTTTTATAGCCGAAGGAAATATTGAAACCGTCAGTGGGGGCCCCATCCTGACATTCACATCTCCTCTCTGCCTGCCTGTGGGCCCTTCTGCTGTTTGCTATTCAGAACACGGAGTTTTGAGCTTGAATATTTTGAGTGTGTGTGTGTGTGTTTTCTTTTCTTTTCTTTTCTTTTTTTTTTTTAATTTAAAGTACATCCAATGGTTCTTAAAAAAAGCTGCCCTGCTCATTGTTGGAAAAATAAACCTGAGGGCACAAGAACTCAACAATAGGCTAAATCATATTGACGCTTGTTCCTTGGGTCATTGAATTCCAGGCCTTGGCCTGGCTGAGTAGTTTACTTTTATTGCTGCTGCTTATCAGAGGATCCTGGGAGTTAGGATTCTTCTCTCTCTTTTAAAAATGCTGAGAGCAGAGTGAGCCACTGGCTGGAGATCACGTAGCCCAGGAGCCTTGCTTTGTTTTAAAGCAGGACCAGGAGACTCGGAGTTTGTCTAAGCGGTTAAGGACAGAAAATCACGTGTATCTCCCAGCCCTTTCTGGAGTCTATGGACCTAGTTGCCAGGCATGTTCTGAGAAGCCCAGAGCCATTACAAAAGTTCCTCTGGCACCAGGTCTCACAGCGGCCGTGTCCAGGATCCCCCAATTCCATGCACTTGTGTTTTTCCTTGCCACTGGCTGAGATTCTGACTGGCCTTGCCTCTGACCCTAGCCACATGTCCCTTCTTGAGCTTGACAATAAACAGAGATCATCGTAACAACAGTGCCACCACCTTTCATCAGGAACCTACCAGGTGTATGAAAGGCCACTTCACAGTGGCTCAGTGTTTGGCCGCTGGGGTCAGATCCCAGCCCTGCCTCCTAACATAACTGTTACATGGGACAGTAAGAGCAACCGACTTATACAATTGCTGTGAGGGTCTGATGAGCTGAAATAGGGAACCTCTTGAGTGAGTTTGTCGGAGCCCTCAATCCACAGTGGTTGCTATTATTTCCATCAGTGGCAGTAGCAGGGGTAAGAGCAGTGGCACTGGTATCACCACCACTGCCTCCCCTGGTTACCCATGACTCTTCAGTGGGCAGCCAGTGTCTGAGCTACGGGGAGCCCCATAGCGGATGCACCCTGGAACTGCACACTGGTCAGGACCCCACTCAGCTCATTTGTTCCTCCCAGGCGGATGACCCAATTCTACCAAAAGTCCGGGCAGAGATGAACTTCCTGGAACCCAGCTCCTACCACTTTCATTATTAGAAAGAAGAAACCTGTCGTTTTCTTTTTTTTTTTTTTTTTTGATGGAGTCTTGCTCTGTTTCCCAGGCTGGAGTGCAGAGGTGCGATCTCGGTCCACTGCAAGCTCCGCCTCCCGGGTTCACGCCATTCTCCTACCTCAGCCTCCCAAGTAGCAGGGACTACAGGCGCCCGTCACCACGCCTGGCTAGTTTTTTGTATTTTTAGTAGAGATGGGGTTTCACTGTGTTAGCCAGGATGGTCTCGATCTCCTGACCTTGTGATCCGCCCACCTCAGCCTCCCAAAGTGAGAAACCAGTCATTTTAACAGAGAGTACCCTGATTTTGATGAAGCAATTTACCCTTACAAAGACTGTGTTTTCGTCACCTCCTAGGTGGGCTTCCATTTTAAAGTCCAGCTCCATCTTAATGCAGCTTGCTAGTTAAGGAGCCCCCCAGGAGGTGCTGGTGGGAGATGGTTCTATCTTTGCAGAGTTCTCTTCCCAGAGGACTTTGCCACAATCTCCGATCCTCTTAAAGAACCATCAGCCCTTTGCCTCTATATACAAATTCATCTGCACAGCCAAGACTGAAGGTTCCCTTGTGCAGCACCCTCACTTCACAGGTTAGGAAACTGAGGCCTAGAGAGACATCTTCAGTATCACACTGCATGCTGATATGCTGTTGACCAATCCTTATCTTCCCATTGTGTGCAGCCCCAGAATGGGTCCTGGGACTCCCAAGCTTGGAGGAAGGATGCAGAACCCTGATGTGGCACTGAGGACTCCAGGTGAGCAGGGGCTGAAGATGATCTGAACCATCTGCCCTGAGCCTGCTTTCTCTTCCAGGGAGGCTCCGCACTCTCCCCGGCCGCCGTCATCAGCCATGAGAGGGCTCAGCAGCAGGCAATTGCTTTGGCAAAGGAGGTCAGTTGCCCCATGTCATCCAGCCAAGAAGTGGTGTCCTGCCTCCGCCAGAAGCCTGCCAATGTCCTCAATGATGCCCAGACCAAGGTGAGCACTTAAGTGCAAGTTGGGAAGGGACATTCTCTGGTCTTTTACAAATAGAAAATGAAGACCTAGGAAGGAGGTGTCACCCACCCCAGCCATACCACACATGAGGCTGATGACCAACTGGAGCTGGAACTCACATTCCCTAGCCCCTAGAGCTGTGCATGCGCCACAGCCTGCAACAGTCCAAACATGGGCACTGAGGGTAGACAGATGCCTCTGCAATTTGTCTTTCTTATTTATAACATGGGAATAGTTATACAGACCTTATAGAGTAGGAGGAGAAAATGAAGTCACACATGTGAAGGATTTGGCCTCACTCCAGGACCGTGGTGGGCAGGGGACCAAACCCTTAACAGGTCACAGCTAGATGTGTTGAGTATTGCAGACATGGCTTCACAGATGGCAGTGTATTTGAGTCACTTCACTCCCTTATATGGGATAGCTGTGTGTTCCCTTTATAGCATGCAAAGTTCTTGCTTGCAGACCAAATCTCTGGCTGGCCTTCACATTAATGAAGGGGACATTAGCAGGAATAATTGTCATGGCAATTGATGGCCTGATCGCCTTAGCAATGAGTCTGGACTCACAGAATTGGAGCAGGTCTTATTCTCAGCTCCCCTAAGTGCAGGCTAATTTGATCATAGCTGGAGCTGGTGAATTTCACCTGTCAGAGTCACTGCCTCCTCTTCAACCACTGTCTCCTCCTGCCTTCCTCACCCACCTACAGGCTCAGGCTTTCCCATCCCTACCTGGGGATCTGCTGTTACCTCTGGGATGCTCCCCTGGAGACCATCATTGCTGAGAGTGAGATTCATTCACCCTCCAGCCCCTGACTTTGTCACATGGTGTCCTGCCTGCCAGTTGTCCTGGTCACTTTTTCTCAGTAGAGTCATAGATGGATAACCAGTATTGGCATTCAGTATGGTTAAGACCTCTTTATGCAAAGCAGTGCAACTGATTATTCCAGGACAACTGATTATTGTTGCATCCAATGCAGCTCCTGGCCGTGAGTGGCCCTTTCCACTACTGGGGTCCTGTGATCGATGGCCACTTCCTCCGTGAGCCTCCAGCCAGAGCACTGAAGAGGTCTTTATGGGTAGAGGTCGATCTGCTCATTGGGAGTTCTCAGGACGACGGGCTCATCAACAGAGCAAAGGCTGTGAAGGTAAGCAGGGAGGGGGCCTCGGATGTCTCCAGCTGGGCATTTCCTAAGGGCTCTGGACCTCAATGTCTGACTTGATCAAGAGATATTGACCAATTGCTGAGTAACTACTGTGTGCAATGCCTATGTGAGTTTAGGAGGTGGTAATGGGGGGATTTAGAAATTAGACACTTGCAGGGTAGTGAGCAACACAGGCACATCCACAAATTACAGCTGTGAATGAATCGCTGTGGAAAACTGGAGCTGACCCAGAAGCTCTGCAGCTCAGGGCTGCAAGTTAGAATACCCACATTCTGGACCATGCCACCCATATTTCATGGAGGATGCTTGTTGTACTGAGAACTGAGAGATGATGAGGCAGGGAGATGAAGGGACTCTTGTTAAATCATCACCCTTTCCCAATCCTGAAAAAGACACTGAAGCACCAGGCTTCCAAGTTAAATTTCCTAGTAAAGAGAGCACGCACAATGCACCTGGCAAACACGCAGCTTTGTGTGGCTTGCTGGAGGCACAGTGAAGTGGGAGTGAGCTGGGAGGTCTTCAGTCTGCTTGAATGCACAGTTCCTGCTCTCGCCAGAAGTTACAGCCACTCACTAGGATGTGGCTAACCCTGGAAGAGGCTGAGCACATGCTCCTCTGCCCACCCCACCCTGCCTTGGACAAGCTACTCTTGGCCAAAGCCTTGTAGGTGGTCAAGCCTACAGGGAAGCCCAGTGTGCATAAAGCACAAAGAGAGGACAACTCTGGGCGTGGGTGGAGTGCACCTTCCCCTGCACATGCATGACATGGGTCTCTGTTGGCTCTGTTGAATATAAGGCAGTCTAACCGGAATTTTATTAAATCATGAAAGCAACCAAACAGGATCCTGAGTTCCTTTGGATAATCCTGTTTCCTTTGGGTAATATATTTCACCTTGGGGACTCTATCCTACAGCAATAAAAGCTCCAGTTTTACATGATATATATACAAGAGTATTTATTGCATTGCATTGTTTATTGATTGATTGTGGCATTGATTATTGTGGCAAAAAATTGGAAGCAACTCAAATGTCCATTAACAGGGAAATGGTTGACTAAATTAAGATACAAACAAGCTATTAAATATTATGCAGATATTAAAAAGAATGAGCTAGATTTATCTCTACTGGCTTAAGTGATGCCTCTGACACATTGTAAAATGACAAAAAACATGTAGAGGAATGTGAAATTAAGATAGCATTCATATTTTTAAAAACCAACCTGTATATATCTTTATATTTGTAAGTGTGTATATTTGTATGTTTTTCTGCATAGAAGGATAACTGAGTAAAAAGATTCACAACATGCAATTAACATTGGCTACCTCTGGAGATGTAGAGATGTGAGAAAGAATATTATGCATTATTACTATTGCTGTATATATATACACACATGCATAATGTGTTACATATTATATATATTTATGTGTGCGTGTGTATGTAGAGAGAGAGAAAGAAGCAGGGCTGGTGAGGTTTGCATGTGAAGTTGATTTCTGAAGGTTCCTATCTGGAAGGTGGGTGTGGCATGTGAGCAGCGATAGAGTTCTCTCTGAGGGTGTATGAGTGAGTGTGTGTGTGTTGCAAGGGGGGGTGTCAAGTAAAACTTAGTCACCCTCAGCTTGCATCTAGCTAACTCACAGCCAGGGCAAAATACCTTTTGTACCTGATCCATTTCAACATTTTTTCTGCCAAGCACTCACATACAGCATAGCCCTTACCCTGAGGGGCTGAGATTTTATTATTGGACAAGACAACCATTCAGGAATCACTGGAAATGTGCCACTCTCCTCCACTGCCTCAGAGTTTGTAGTCTCTAAAACAGGGATCCTCAAGTTGCTTCTGATCAAGCCCCTCATCAGTTAAGAAATAGTAAGTTTAGTTATTTAAGTATAAATTATATACATGTGTACTCTTGTACTAATACCCTGAATTATTATAAACCCTTTATTGAATCAAAAGAATGTTAAAGCAAGAGAAAGAAATGGAAGTTCTAGTCTTAGTATTCTCTTGCTGCCCCTAAACACTGTCCGCCCTGGAGACAGTACTCTGAGGCATGGGCAGACTGGGATGGAGCTGGCCATTGACCAGGGACAATTTCCCACTCACCTCCTTATTTGATACCCTCCTACAGGGGATGCAAAATCTCTGTGCACAAGACACCATGTCCTCACAGCTCTGGTTCTTTGGACCATGTACTGAAAACTTTTCATGGCCATCTTCGACTTTTGAAAGAGAGGAAGAACTAATTTTATATTCCCAGGAGCCTTGGGATCAGCCTAGAAAGGGCTGATGGGGCTAGGGAGGAGGGCGGCCCTGTGGTTAGTTCCCAGACCTCTCCCAACTCAGTGGAAATGCCATCCATCAGGGAGGGTGAGGGGGTTGTTCTTGTTGGCAGATCTGGGACCATGGTGTTCAGAGGGTAGCCCAGGCTCATGTTTTCTGATTATGCCCGTTCATTGTGAGAGGGATGACTGTGGGCTCATGGCTGCCTTGGGCTTCCCTGGTTCAAGCACGGTCCCAGGAGTGTCTAGAAGTTTCCTAACTTTGTCCTGAATTCCTTAACCAGTCCAGCCAGAGACCTGAATCCAGAGGACTGGGATCTCTACTCAAGGATGCATTTGCATTCTTCTCATTGAGCTTCCCTCTAAGGTTTTTAAGGAAAGCTTACTTTGTTTACTTGCAAAGAAAGATGGGGCCACCAGCAGGAGGCTCACTGCCAAACAGGGGCCTGGCTGGAGAAGCCAGCATTGAAGTTGGGCACCCCCAAATAGAGAAGCCTCTCTAAGGGCACAGCAGAGCAGCTGCTAGCCCTGCTCCATGGCGGTCATCCCAGACACCAATCACAGGGCAGTGTTCCCCCAGCACATTTGTTCATTGGTTAGACCGTTCGTTTCTGGCTTCGCTTCTTCATTCATTCCCTTGGGACACGCATTAGTGAAGCCACTGAGCAGCTTTTGTGAGCCTGCATCCTGCCAAGAACTCATCTAGGTGCTAATTGATGAGGAGGACTACCTGCAGCAGGAGAGTAGTGACGGTGGGACTGGAAGCCAGCTCACAGCTCAGTGCCACTGCATGCAATCATCTCCTAAACATGTGTCTGCACACAGATTTATTCCTCCTGGACTTTTCCCTTGAACTCTGAACTGGTTTAGCCAATGGCCCACTTGACATCTTCACTTACATGTCTCATAGTGTCTCATCCATAACACACCCAAAGTGGACTGCCGATTCCACCTCTGCTCCCATCCCCAACCAGCATGTTCTTCTGTAGTCTTCACCATCTCAGTAAACAACTCAGCAACTAAACAACTCATCCTTCTGTACTCAGGCTCAAAACCAAAAGTCATTCCTGACACTGCTCTCTCATACCCTACCAGCATTCTATCAGAAAATCCAGCTGGCTGTATTTTCCAAATGTATCCCAAATCCAAACCCTGCTCCCCTACCTCTTCTGCTATCACCCTGATCCAGCCACTTTATTTGAGATTTTTGTGCTAGCCCCCAACTCTCTCTCTGCACCTGCCTTGCCTCTTATAATCTATGAGAAGCACAGTAGCCAGAGCAATCCCTTTATAAGTCAGACCATTTTACTCCTCTGCTCCAAGCCTTCTCTCCAGTGGCCTCCTCTCATGCAGAGGAAAATTCCAGTCTTCTATGAACTGCCAGAGCCTATTTGATGTGACCTCTGTTAGCTCTCTGACCTTAACTCCTGCTGTTCCCTCTTGGCTCACTGGTTTATCCCTTTAGAGTTTCTCAAATAGGCTGAGCACATCCCATATCAGGGTCCTGGTACTTGCTGTTTTTTCTTCTGGAATGTTCTTCCCAGACAACTCACTGCCTTACTCCCTTCAGGGTCTGCTTATCAGAAAGACCTTGCTTGACCACTTGGATTCAGAGGGAAGCCATATCCCCAGCCTTCTCTATCCCTACATCCTACACCCTACCCCAGCACTCAAACCTCCTGCCATATTATGTATTTGTCTGTTGTCTTTCTTCCCCAACTAGAATGTTTGAAACTGCTATATCTCTGGTGCCTAGAAATGTTTCTAGTTCTGCTAGACAAATTGCACACAGCAGGCACACAATAGACATTCACTAGGATGAATGAATGAAATTATGAAGAACTGACTATGTGCTGGGCCCTAACCTGGAAGTCTTCAATGAAATAATTCACCCTCACAACTATTACCCTATGAGGTGGGGATTATTATTACTATTTTTCAGAGAGAAACCAGAATTAAAACCCAGTTCTATCTGCCTCCAAATATCCTCTTCCCATGACGTCACTCTGGGAAAAGCCAGGCTTTCCTCTGAGAGCCTTCCATCTACCATCAACGGTATGCTGGGTACTGAAATGTACACAAACCCAGCTAGAATAAAGGCTACTATGTGCAAAGGGCTTTCCAATTCTACCCACATTCTTTTTTTTCTGTAGTCATTTATTGATTTATTTATAATTTTAAAATTTCAATAGCCTTAGGGGTTAGCCTAAGTGAAGTAACTCATGCTCTTACTTTACGTTATCTCAACTGTATGGCTGTGAGGTAGGGAACCATGAACCAGTATTTAACACGATTTTTTTTCTGGGAAAGAAAGGCTTAGTGAGGTTTACCGGGTGTCTCTAGGTCAGCTAACTAGTCCTTTGGAAAGCCAAGTCTCCACTGCAGGTCTCTGACCCCAATTGCAGGGCAGGAGTGGGGAGGGTGGCGGGTGGCAGGCTCTACCCATTACCCTATCTGTGATAAACACTAGGTCAGGGATGCGCTATCACCACCTTACCCCCACCATACGCAAGCATCACCTAGAGAGATCCTCAGGATTCTACCCCACACAGAACTGCAAGAGGGCACAGTGGACAACCAAGTGGAAACTGAGTTATGAGCTATGCTCCCACCCTCCCAACAGTGAGGAAACTCCTCTGGACTTCAACCCAATGTGCCCTTGTATTGCCCTCCCTTGCCTCAGCCCACTCCCAACCTGAATTTAGAGTTGGGCTTGTGCATTTCTCTGTTTGCCCCAAGAAGGCTCCATGGCACCTGGGTCCAACCACCATCAGCCAAGGAGGACCTGAAGATGGCAGGTTCTGGAGGGCCTCAATCTCAGCCATGCCTTTTACTCCATCCTCTGTCCTTTGATACCCACCCAGCCCCTCCTGCCCCATCTGGGGCTGAGAAACAGGACATATCAATTGCAGTAAATTGCCACATCCACCTAAACAGGGTGTCCAGCATGTTTTTGTAACACCAACACCTGTTTGTTTAGTCATGCTGGGCCAGGTGTTTCAGCATAAAATACAAATTGAATTCCTCCCCTCAGAAGGGCTTGCAGTCAGATGATAACAGACAAGGCAAACAACTGAAACACCATTGATACATACTATATGGAGAGATGGACATCTATTCCAAGACCTCAGGAGGTGGAGATCAGGTGCCATTGGGCCCCATAGCAGCACTGTCAGCTGGAGTGACACAATGGCCAGGAACTGACCAGGACCCCGCTCCCTTGGTCATGTGTCAACACAGCAGGGAGAGTGTCCTGGGTGTCCTTGGATTGCAATCACGAGCATCCAAGTTACCCAGAGTCTGAGCCTCAGTTTCCCTATCTGTGAAGTTGGGAGATGATTAGTAAATATCCTCATAAAGATGTTCAAAAATTCAAATACACAACAATATCTGGAAAATAGTTTGGCTTCAATAAATGTTCGTTCTTTTCCCTTAATTTTTTAATTTTAATATTAAGATTAGTGTCCAAAGCTGTTATCCCTTCTTCAGATAATTATACACAGAAAGCAGGAATACAAAGAACGTCCAATCTCTGAACCACCTCAGCTGACCTGAGACCAATTTTCCAAATTGTAGTAAACACAAATGCATGCTCTCTACTCATGCCAACGCTGCATAAGTATCAGCTGGATCCCAGTCCACAAACACATGCAGTGCAGCTTCCCAGGGAAGTCACGGAGGGACAGGAGTGGAGCCTCTTACCCCAAGTCCTGCCCCCTGGAGCTACTCACCACCAGCAGAGACCCACCCATTTTCTTCAGACCAAAGACGGAGGGTGGGTACAGGATCCATCAAGTCCCTCTGAAGACCCTCCCCCACATACCACCCCAGGCCACCTATGGCCCACCCAGGGGGTCCCAATGACAGCAAAGTTAGCAACCTACCGGTGGAGCATCAGGGCTGCCTGAGATGTTCTCCATTCGCAGCAAATGATCTTATTTTCTGAAGTAGCAGCTTTCTATTGAAATTCTTCATCAGTCGCTGTCATGGGGAATTTCTCCCCCTTTTCTCTTTCTTTCTAACTGGTGAAATTGACAGTCTGCCTACATTATCCAGGCATTCATTTGCATGATCAAAAGCAGATTTGTTCCAAGATGCAATGTTCTGCCTTCCCTTCCAAGCACAGGCATCTCCAAGGAAGGCGAGAAAAATCAGAAACAGAGCGCCTCCGCTGTGCCCCTAAGCTTGGCCAGGAGTTGGCCTCGTCTGGGAGCAGGTGGAGTGGGGGCCCTGTGGGTAGCAGTAGGGGGAGGGCAGCCCATGTGGGAGTTGGAAAGCAGCACCTGGCAGCCCGAGGCGCTGGCACGAGCCCCAGCACAGGAATATCCAGTCTTTGGTGACAGATTATAGTAAGAGGAGTATGCAGGAGTTTCCAGTGTGTGTGTGATTTCCTGAAAGGAGGCACTGCTGCCTTAAATCCCCAGCACTCAGGGACGGGAGGGTGTTAGGGTCTGAACCCAGGGCATCGCGGGGACCTGGATTCAGAAAAATGGGTCACAATTCTTAGCTTTAGCCACACGATGTAGGAGAGTTGCTGAACTGGTCTGAGCTGCAGTTTCTTTAGCCTTCAAATGGACACAGTGAGAGCCACCCTGTCTGTCTCTTGCAGTGTTATAAGAAGCGAAAGAGGTATCTCCCAACACCCAGAGAGCCCTGTAGGTCTCATGGCTCTAGGATGCCCTTGCACACTGTAAACCCTCCACCCTGGAGCTATAGCCCCACATTACCCCTCACAGCTGACGCTTACACGTCACGTTGTCTAATTCTCCCCAGGGGCCCTGTGAGCTGGGATTATGGTTCAGAGAAAGCTGAGGATCAGAAGGACTGACTTGTCCCCCCCAAAATATTAAAATATTGTATTTCATGACTGCATTGTTATAAGGATGAATGTAAACCAGGCTGGATTCATTATTACATTTTCATTATTATTATATTTTTTCTTCTGATTTTAAAAGAAATTAGAAAGAAAAGACTTTTGTGAGTTCCTAAAAGTGCAGTGAGCCCTTGGCCCTGAGCAAGCTGTGCTTGATGGAGAAGTAAGTCCTTGTCCCTTAACACCATAAGGAGCAGTGAAGTCAGGAGTCATTCAAGCATTAACCCATGCAGCATCTCTCCAACATAGATTATTCAGAGGCTTCTGTGCGCTGGACTCTCTCTAGGCTTTAGAGGGCACAGTTGTAACCTAAACAGATAAAGCTTCTGACTCGGAGAGTTCATGTTCTCATGAAAGGACACAGATGATGTAAGTAAATAAAGAATTTCAGATCTTAGAAATGCCCTGAAGAACACTGAAGTGGGGCCATTGCAGAGGAGGCGATGGAATGGGGCAATTACTTTAGGGGCAGTCAGAGAAGGCTTTTCGGAGGAGGTGACTTCTGGACTGAGGCCTGAGCAATGGGGAGCCAGCGATGGGGATTGAGGTACAGAGTGGGTGCAAAGGCCCTGGGGCAGGAGTGGTCCTGGCTGTTTGGGGGTCACAGGGAGGTCAGTGCTAGGAGATCCAGTGGCCAGTGGAGGGACTGGGAGGAGAGGAAGTCAGAGGGATGAAGAAGACCAGTTATGAGATCTTTCAGGCCATCAGAAAAGTGACTTTATTCTCCTTGCAGTGGGCAGTTACTGGAATGTTTCAAGCTAATAATAGAAGGTGATTATATTGATCCACTGTTTTAAAAAGGAACATTTCTGGCAGCTATATGGAAAATTGACTAAGGAGATGTGTGACCCAGGAAGTAGAGATCAGATTGGGCTCTATTGTGGAAATCCAGGGGTTGAGCTAGTAACTTAAATTAGGGTTGCAGACATGGTCACAGTAAAAAATGATCAGATTTGGGATATATCTCGCGTTGGCAGCTGACTATATGAGTTGGGAATTCAGTAGAGAGGTCAGGGCTGTAGATACAGCTTTGGAAGAAAACCAAGAAAATGCGGTATCACAATAGCCAAGAAAAGAAAGCATTTCCAAAAGGAAGCAAAAGTCAAATGTCACAGAGTCAAGAGAGATGAGGGCAGAGATTGGGCTCTTGTAGGTCATGGGAGACCTTGATGAGGGCCATTTCAGTGGAGTAACGGGAAGGAAAGGCTGATTGGAATAGGCTGGGGGAAGAGGGGAAGTGAGGACATGGTCACATTGCTTCCCAAACCCACCCTGTCTCCACTGAATGATGCTCTCCACTGGATGCAAACGGCCACCCAGGATTCACAGAGCACTTTGCTCATTCACCAGCTGACCCCACTGACTTCACCAAGCTCTGCTCCATGACAGGAATTGTGTCATGTCCATTTGGAATCCTCAGTTCCTACTAGGTTGGTCTTCAATTCATGTCCCTCTAATGAACAAAGGAGTGTTGTGTCTCCATCTACCTCAGAGCTCTAGAGAATTCTGGAGCATTTGTGTATTCATTCACTCATCCATTCATATAATCTTGCAAGAAGCAGGTGAACTCTGGTAGGCTTCCTACTTTTCTGGTGGGGATTCTGCTCTGTGTCTCCTTCTTCCCCAACCTGTGATGTTACAACCATTTTTCAAAAATTGGAGCATTATCAATGAGCAAAAATTGACTACAGGCTGTCTGTGTACAAACCATTCCTCCCCTAAGCCCCTGCCAAGAGCAACATCTCTGCTTCTGCCCCAGTGTGGTAGAGGAGATGTGCTGTGAACTAGGACAGCAGTAGGGGTGGACCGGAGGTGGGGGCAGGTGTCACTCAGGATGAAGATCGTAGGCACAGGCTACAGCAAAATGTAGGGGAAGAGGGGAATGATTTTAGGAGCAATCAGGAAATACCTGTGTTTTAATCAGGTAATTGAGGGCTGGTCTTAGTCACTAAGGATAGGGAAATAGCAGGGGAAGAAGGTTCTAGGGGTGAGGAAGAACACATATGGATGACGAAGATAAATTGTGCCTAGGTTGAGTTTGAGGGGCCTGAGAGATTTCCAGGTGATGTGAGGCATTTATATGAAGGTATGAGGTTCAAGCTGGAGAGAGATTTGGGAATCATTAGCTTAATAGGTCATTCTTCAAGCAAGGAGAGGAAATGGCCCCACCCCACAAGCATTCGTGGACAGAATGGGAGGAAAAGGGGACAGGGTGGCAGCTGGGAGCCTTGGCTTTCAAGAGTAGTCAGAGACAGCAGAACGAGGTTCCAGAAATTAGGCTGAGGCAGAGCTGACTGGGAGGAGGAGATGGAGAGGTGGGGGATGGGGCGTCTACTGGTGGACCTCTGCAAGGTTATCAGTGACCTTGATGGAGGTTGGGGTAGCCAGATGGCCATATGGTAAAGAGGCTATAGGACAGTTGGAGCCCACCATGTAGACATGCTCTTGGAGTGCACATCTAGCTGAGAGCACCTGGATGAAGCAGATGGAGGAGACCCTCCTGTTGGGGACTGCCAGGCAGGCACTTTAGCTCTAGGTGGGGGTGGGACTCATGGAGAGCTGCACACTGAAGGTCTGAAAGAGCCAGTGGGGGGGTTTGCCCAGCGAGGGGCTCCAGGGCTGTGGGCAGCAAAGACTGAGCCTCAGAGAGATGGAGGGCCCTCAGTCCAAGAGGAGGAAGGGCCATTCCCTGAGGAGAGGGCAGTGTGGCCTGCAGAGTGCGCTGGCCTTGGGGTTTGCAGCAGGAGGCAGGGCCAGGGGGAAGCAGCGCTGAGGGGCCAGTCGGCTCCTTACTGAGGCTCTGCAGTGCCTGGGGCCAATGCAAGGACACCCAGCCTGGCCTGCTCTGTGTTCCATGCTCTCTGGCAGGTCACATTTGCAAACCAGGATGGGGAAGCTCTTCTCCCAGGTCCCGCCTGAAGCAAAAAAGCAAAAGGTAGGGTGAGGCTCTCCCAGCCACCCAGCCCTCTGTTCTTTCTGGCTTCTCCCCTGCTCCTCTGCCCTCATCACTCCACTGACCCCGTGGACCTCGCTGCTCCCCCTCACCCAGCTGTCCGCATGTCTGAACCCTACCCTCTCTTGTCTGGACTCAACCATCCTCCACGCTGCCTAACCCAGCTCCCTAGGGCACAACTGGGACCCTCACTGCCCAGCACCCCCGTCCCCTTTCCGGCTTCCTGTTCTATGCACGAATCTTGTTCCTTATCACCCCAGGACAGTCCATATCACATAGATGTGCTGTATATTGTCAGCCTGTCTCACAGAACTAGAAGCCCCATGCAGGCAGAGAACAGCCCGATTGTTCGCTGATGTGTCCCAAATGCCTCGAGCTGCTCCTGGCATACTCAGGCACTCCGAGCATAGTTGTTGAAGGGACGGTAGGATGAACAGCAAGGGCCTGCAGCCATGTGTTCTCATCGTGTCTCTCAGACACCACTCGGCGTGAACTAAAGGGCATTTCTCACCTGCCTTGCTGATTTTCTTTTTAATCATTTACTAACTAGAGGGAAGAGAGAAGTCATATTTATTGTCTCCCATGTGTCAGCCTCTTTATAATCATTAATGCATTTCGTTCTAACATCAACCCCATTTTATTGACCTGAAATGAAGGCACAGACAGGCATATCCACTGAACACATTTGTTCATTGGAGGTGAATCTTCTGAGGCCACAGAATAGAGCTAGATTTGAACCTGAGTCTCTCAAATGCCAAATTTCACATTCAATCCACTGGGCCCCAAGACATTCAGGTTGATGCTGAGGCCCTGCTCAGTCCCTCGGTGTTTCCAAGGGCTCTTACTTTTCATTAGGATGTGTTAATGGCAGTCCTTTAAAAGCACACACCAAGGAGTGGCCAGTTCATGACAGCCCTTTGTGTAATTCCTGCCTGTAACAAATCTACTGTCTAAGGCAGACCCCGCCTGTAATTACAGCTTGTGGAAGTCAGCACATGCAGTCACACGGTGGCCCCCACTCCCGCCTGCTGACTCTCTAATTAAACTGGCAATGGCATCTGTGCTCGGGGCCTCGCCAATCATGAAGGAATGTGTGTCCCAGGTCTTGCTGAAAATGTGCCCCTTCACATTCCCTTGCACCCCAGTGGGGCTTGGGAATTTATCTCCCACTATTTGGGAGACAACTTTTGGGTCATCTCCAAAATATTGACCAGTCATCAAGGCTGCACCCAATTAGTGTGTCAGATCCCCATAAAATGTGGAACTCTAATCTCAGTCTCATGGGAGCATAAACTGGGCCTCATCCCTCCAGCTACCTGGCTGTGAAGGTGTTCTAGATCATTTTTTGCAAGAGAGACTTATTTTTGCAATGCCCAGGGCTTGGTGTCCTAGCACTCCTAAAAGCTCATCTTAGAAGGAGTTTCCGCAGAACCCATGAAGGAGGCTCCATCCATGATTGGGGCCAGTCCTTTTTCTTTTCTTTTCTTCTTTTTTTTTTTTTTTTTTTGAGACAGAGTCTCACTGTCACCCAGGCTGGAGTGCAGTGGTGTGATCGTGGCTCACTGCAAGCTCTGTCTGCCAGTTTCACCCCATTCTCCTACCTCAGCCTCCCAAGTAGCTGGGACTACAGGTGTGTGCCACCACACCTGGCTATTTTTTTTTTTCGTATTTTTAGTAGAGATGGGGTTTCACTGTGTTAACCAGGATGGTCTCGATCTCCTGACCTTGTGATCTGCCTGCCTCAGCCTCCCAAAGTGCTAGGATTACAGGTGTGAGCCACCACGCCCGGCCTGGGGACCACTCCTTTATCTAGCAGGGGTTTGGAAAAAGGGTTCCAAGTGTTTGGGCTCAAGCTCAGTGGGGACAAAGCTCTGCTCAGGCCTCTCTCTCTAAGACATGGACTTTCCCTGGCCTGTCTGAATGGGGCTCAAGGCTGAGTCTACAAATATCTAACAACAAAGACAATAGACACAGTGCTAAGCACTTTGTAGGTTTCATCTCATCTAACTTCATGACAGTTTTATGATGAGGGTAATTTGTTGTGCCCATTTTACAGATGAGGAAATAGACATAGAGCGATTATATAACTTTCCCAAGTTCATACAGCTAAGAAGTCGCACAGTTACCCTCCAAGCCCAGACCTTTCCAACTCTGGGATTTGAAACCCAAGAGGTTTGACTTTAGCATCCTACTTTCAGCCTCTAACCTGTATTATCTCTACAGAGGTCGTTCATTCAATGCATATTTACCTATGACATGCCTGTCACCATACTGAGCACTGGGGCTATGGACACAATCCCTGCCCCCTTTGCCATGTAGTACTCTGGAACAATAGGCAAATAAACTAACATCACAGCACCTGGGTCCTGAGGGCCATGGGGGCCCCTGGTTTAGCCCGGGACAGGTTAATAATCATCACTCAAGGTTGTTGACCATGTGCCAACTACTGTGCTAAACACTTTTAATGCATGTTTCGTTGGGATCTGTTAATAATTCATGCAATAGGCATTTTTCATTATCCACCTTGTCTAAAGAAGGAAACTGAGCTACAGAGAGAGGCAGCAATTTACTCGGGGTCCTGGAACTACAAGGTAGTTCTGCCCTTTCAACCATTATCTCTAGAGCCTGACCTTTCAACCATTATCTGTCCTGTTTCCTGGAGGAGGTGAGCCCTGAGCAAAACCTGGATTTTCTATTATAATCTGATTGCTGACTGTGAAGTTCCCAGGCCAACGGCATCAGCATCACCTGGGAGCTTGTTAAAATGCACGTTCCTGGGCTCCACTCTGGACCTGCTGAGTCAGAATCTGTATTTTATCAAGATTTCAGTCTACTTTAACGCTTATTGGATTAAAAAGCATGTGTCTAGTTCAATAGCTGTTATCCAGGCAAACTAGGGAAAGGTGTTTAGGCAGGAGGAACAGCAGGCGCAAAGGCTTAAAAGTACGAGAGAACATTTGGTGTTGAGGAAACAGCACTCCTCACGTGGCCTGGGCATTTTGGTAATATTTCAGCAGCCTAGTTCTCAGGAGTCACAGAAATTGAAGGCCAAGTGGCAGCTCGTCTGGGTGGCAAGGGCAAAGCACAGCTGGGTTTGTTCCCCACCTGTGTGACTTACTCAGCTGTGTAAGACAGCACTTAGCCTCTCTGAGCCAGTTTCCTTGTCCACCCCCTCAGGATGGTTATGGGAGCAAATGAGAAGAGGGTGCACCAGGGACCCAGCACAGCATCTGACACGCAATGGGTGCTTGGTGCGTGGCACTTGTGCTGACCTCGGCTACTCCCTTTGCCGACATGACTCAGGCAGCATCATTCTCACCCCTTGGCAGTCTCCTCTAAGTTCCAGCAAATGGCATTGCACAGGGAGGAGACAGTTTATGAACTTGTTTTACTCCTCTGCAGCCCAGGAGGCATTGGTATCTTGGCTAGGGCTCTCACTATGACCCCCTCATGTTATGTATGAGAAAATGGTGCCCAGAGAGAGAAAGCCACTCTCTCAAGTTTGTACAGTGATTGCCAGATAGCGGGTGCTGGGACTTGGAGATCCTGGTGCCCAGACCTCAGTATAGCTCCCTCATGTTAAGATTTGAAGGCAGATTATGCCTGCCACGTAGCAAAGCAGCCTGGGGAGAACCCACTTTAGTGCCACTGCACCGTTGTCCTTGTACCCTCCTGGGCTCCCAGAACTGAGTTCTCCCCACTTCCGCTCCAGCCCGGGGCATTAGACCCACCCAATATCTGAGGTGGGGGCATCATGGATTCCTTCTTTATAAAGCATCTGTGAGCAGTACTTGGCCCTCGAATTTGGCACCTTCTGCCTTCCCCACCTGCCTTCACTCATCGCCCAATCTCCTTGTTCACAGCTCAGAGCTGAGCAAACAGGCTGCAGCATTGAGACAGCCACTGGAACGAACTATTATATTTTCTTGCACAGTTTTTCAAATATTCATATTATTTATATGAAGGAATTAGCATAGAAATAAAAGCAAGAGAGCCTTCTTCCATGAAGATAGATACACATAGCATTTTTTAAATGCTTTCTTCATCTAATAAAGCGGTTTGGGGCCCTGTGTTAATGCTTCAGTTTTCTAATTGAAACCAATTAAACCCATGATGGATACAAGTAGGTCTCTTTGATTAAGGGCGTATGCCAGACTTTGAGTGAGGTGCTTCAAAACGTTATTTCTAATTCTCAAAACAACGCTGTGAAATAGATTTTACTTAACTCCATTTTGCCTATGAGAAGCCTGAGGATTAGAGAGGCTAAGTGACTTGCCCAAAGCCACACAGCTGGGAAATGCAAGAGCTGGAACCCAAATCTGGGTTGCCAGCTCCAGGCCATTGCACCTTGCACTGAGACTTCCTAGCTCTTCTTAGCCCGCACCCACGAACAACCAGCCACGACTAGGAGTGGGATCCTTAGCAGGCGACTGCTTTGTTCACTTCATCTTCACAGGAGACAAAAACAGGGCCCATATGAATACACACAATACATTCACATTTGGAAGATGTCTGGCTCAGAGAGAGGAAAAAATATATTTTCCAAGATCCCCCCAAATTTGGCAGTTAGCACTTGAACCCTAAGTTTTGACTCCAAACTCAATGCTCTTTTCACTGCTCTGGGCCAGGCACTTCATGGGCAAAAACCACCCATCCTTCCATGGGCCGAGGTCCCAGTGTCCACAGCTCTGATGTGGGGTCCTGCTTAAGTTATAACTGGGGGAACGAGCCTGTCTCTTACCAGCAGTAAGACCTGGGGTTAAATCTCACCTCATGCATCCTGTCTGTGTGACCCTAAACAAGCTAGGCAGGTTCTCTCAGCCTCAGAATTATGGTTCATAAAATGGGATAACATCGTGCCCAATTCACCTTGTTATTTTGATGCTTCCTCGAAACATATGTGTGAAATGTTTAGCACAAAATTTAGAAATAGTAAGAGGGGTGCCAGTGGGTTACTAATATCATTTTTGTAATGAAATATTCCAGGCAGAAAAGGACAGAGAATATAATGCAGTTTTTTCCCTAAACTATTAGCAGGTTGTAGAGTCCACAAAATAGATTGTAGGTGAGTATTTTTTGAACAGACTAGACTAGACTAGGGTAGAATAGAATGGAAACTCTCAGATGCGTTGTAGATGGTAAGAGTATGGAGTGTGAACATTATTCGTGAGTGCTATTTCAGGTCTGTGTCTGTGTATGTCCATGTGTGTTCTGTTATGTATAAGATAACTTTCTTACATGATCATGGTCAAAATATTTAAAAGTCGCTGATATGATGAATATTCACAGATTCACCATTCAGATCTCCCAATTTCATATTTGCTCCAGACTTTTTTCCCCAATAATCAAAATGTTATTGATAGAATGAGAACAAAGCCCTCTTTGCATGCCCTCCTGGCTTCGGTCATCCTGAAGGATCAGTTAGTCCACAGGGTGGTTCAGCCTTGCTTCTCGTTCAGCCGGGTGGAGAGTCAGCCATCCCACCAGAAGGGGCTGTGTTCACCCAGGAGTGGCTACGTTCACCCAGGAGGGGCTGTTCCCACCCAGGAGGGGCTGTTCCCACCCAAGAGTGGCTGTGTTCACCCAGGAGTGGTTGTGTTCACCCAGGAGTGGCTGTGCCCACCCAGGAGTGGCTGTGCCCACCCAGGAGGGGCTGTTCCCACCCAGGAGGGACTGTGCTTACCCAGGAGGGATTGCTCATTGATGGAATTCTAATCACATTGATGGAATTCTAATCACAGGTCCTGTGTGCTTGTAAATGTTTGGAGAAGCAATTTAAACACACCAGAGTGTGCTGATAAGCACGTTGCACCGTTTACATAAGGTCCTAGAAATATGTAAACACATAGCACAGGACTGTGCTGGGGCCCAGGAGGCTGGGCCTCACACCAGGGGCTGCATCCCAGACTTTCCCCTGCCCATTGTCTTCAGAAAGGAGGAAACTGGGTCCTGGGGGAAGGCAGTGAATGGCCCCAGACTCCCACAGTGCAGACAGCAGCAACACCAGAACAAGGAAGGAACAGAGAGAGGGGGGAATTTCAGAGAGAAATAGAGAGAGAAGGAGAGAGAAGGGGAGAGAAGGGGAGGGGAAGAGAAGGTGAGGGAAGGGAGAGAAAAGGGGAAGCATGAAGGAAGGAAAGAGAAAGACAGAGAAAAGAAAATAGAAAAAGTTGCGCCCATCTGGACACACATCCCCCAGAGAACTGCGTGCCTTTCCTGGCCATCCTATATAAAATAGCCCCAGCCCCAGCATTCCATATCCTTCGTATATGGCCTTATATTTCTTTGTAGCACCTGTTCCCTGATATACCATACATTTATTTGCTCATTTTCCACCTCTGCCACTAGAACGTGAGCCCCAAGAGACAGGGAGCTTGATCGGCATGTTTGTGGCTGTTTCTCCAAGCCTGGGGCACTGCTGGCCCTGGTGAAGCGTAACTATCTGTATGAAAGTGTGCATGAAGCATTCATATGATGAGTGACTGAGTCCATGAATGAAACTGAATTTAGCTCTCCTAACATGACCAGACCACAGTTACTCATGAGTTGGCTGAGCAAGGAGCCCGGGAAAGCAAGTGAAACTCGGGGGTTTGACCTGTTCTCAGACTGCAACAATGGTTAACCTTAACAGAGCACTTATTAAGTGCCAGGTACCATTGTAACTACTTGCCATAATCCTATGTGGCAGGCACTCCCATTTTCAGATGGGGAAGGCAGGCACAGAGAGGGATAGCCATTTGCTTAAGGACACACAGCTAGAAGGAGGCAGAGCTGGGATTCGAACTCAGACAGTCTGGCTTCCACTTGTGTTTAATGCCATGCCCCACTGCTTCCCAGAGAGAAAATTCTAGAGCAAGGGTTTGAGGGACACTGACTTGGACCTTTCAGAATCCAACTGAGGAATTTCGTATCTTTTTTTTTTTCTAGCAATTTGAGGAAAGTCGAGGCCGGACCAGTAGCAAAACAGCCTTTTACCAGGCACTGCAGAATTCTCTGGGTGGCGAGGACTCAGATGCCCGCGTCGAGGCTGCTGCTACATGGTATTACTCTCTGGAGCACTCCACGGATGACTATGCCTCCTTCTCCCGGGCTCTGGAGAATGCCACCCGGTAAGCTAAGCTGCAGGAGGGTGCAGATTCCTACTGCTATGTTTTGGAGCAGACTCAGTTGGTGTTCAGGTCATGAATGAGAAATAAAGGCACGTGGCTTTGTGCTTGAGGTTTCCTCTGCATCATTCATTCAGCCTACAGCATGGGGAGTGTCCCTGCTGAGGGGAAGCCCTGGAGGACATGTAGGGTGGACCCTGCTGCCAGGAAACCCCAAGCCAATGAGAGAAATGAGGGGGTGACTCTGGCTCTTCCTGGGCCATGAGGGAGCTGTCGGAGGGCAGAGACGAAGCACTTGCCAGAAGTGCCTGGTGCACGCTCCACCTGAAGCAGCCGCTCAGCAAATGCTCAGGACAACCTTCCACGCTCCTGGCCTTGCATTCACTGAGCCCAGTGCCCCCAGTCTTGGCTGCCCATCAGGCACACGTGAGCGCATTTAAAGGGTAGGTGACACACAGGGCCCATAGTGGGGCAGCATTTTCCAAAGCTCCCTCAGCTGATTCCACCTTGCAGTCCAGGCCCACCCGGCACGTGGGAAGCAGAGGCCTGGAGGCAGGGAGGTTTTGTGGCTGATACCACTCCCCACATAGGAACAGCCCAAGCTCTGACAGCCCTGCGCCCTCTCTCTGGGGCCCGCTGTTTCTTGTATCCACTGCTTACATGCCTTGTCCCCATTCAAGCTCAAGCTTCTCTCACTTGGGGAAGGCTGCCAAACCCCCACCCCAAGATGGCTAAAGGCTGCAGCCCCCAGGCCCTGCTGTCCCCAGGGTCCCTCTCTTGCAGCACGCCCCCGGCCCCAGGGGTTGTCGGGACAGACCTGCCTCCCTCTCCTAGTACTGCATGAGCTCACTGAGGCTGAGAACTTTTACAGAAATGCACAGCAGATGCACAAGAAATGATTTTTGAATAGAAATAAGAAAATAGCCAGGGCTCCAGTCCTTTCTTCCTTCTGAGCTCCTTAGGATGAGACCACAGTGGGGACTGCAGCTCTCAGGTCACCTTTGAGTCCCCTCACAGGTGACGCATCTTGGTTTTCTGAGGGCTCTCCAGTCCCAGTGGGAAGAATGGGTGGGATGCGAGTGCTTTTTACATTCTGTGCCTCCTTTTCTCTCTCCTTCTGGGAGGCCCATTTGCTTGTTGTCCCTGGGGACAGAGCCAATGTCAAGGCTCAGCATCCTTTGGTAAACTGGAGCCTGTTGGGAAGGGATGGGCTGGAAGGTGTTAGAGACCCACTGCCCTGCTTGGTCTCTCCACTCAGGAGCCTGTGGTTTCCAACTGGAGGGTCACTGGCTCAGAATAAAACTGTACCACCCACTTGGATCTTGCGGACTAAAAGGCTTTAATTTTCCCTCTAGTGGAGATCTCCACTTTAGATTAAACAGCCAACAGCTATTTTGGGAGGCCTTGCCCTGGGCTGGACCATAAGAACTCTCAGATGTCCAGTCCCTGACCCTGAGAGGCTTATAATCAAGTCAGGACTGGGCTAGATCACATTGCAGAGAGAGCTCAGGGCTAGAGATCAAAAAACCTAGGTTCTTGCCTTAATTTTGCCTTATCTGACCTTAAGGACAACCTGCGTGCTGGGGTGAGAGCTGAGACTGAGGGAAGGCAATATCACCAAGGGAGGCCTCACTCAGAAGACGGACTCCAGCTCAACCTTAGCTCAGGCCTTCCTTCTCTCTGGCACAGACTCAGGACCTGGCCCCATCTCCCTGGCAGTTTCCTGGGCAGTGTCCCACCCGAGGCCTGCCAGTGCGTGATGCTTCCCATAGGTTTGATCCTGTCCCTGTCCTGCTCACAATGCCTCAGGGTGCATGGGGGGAAACTCAGTTGGCTTCATCTGCCCTCAAGATGCCCACAGTGCCCCACCCAACTTCAGAGCCTCACCTGGGAAGACTCAAGCACCCAGCAGACTCACCAAAGGCTTTTATCCCAATGACCAGGAAAGGAAGACGGGCACCCCTTTTGCTGAGGGACTCCCATGGGTGTTATTAAACTTGGGCATTACAAAACCTCTTCCAGGTAGGGACCTTTGGCCCCACTTCTCAGCTGGGAAGACAGAGATTCAAGGAGATAAAAGAACTGCTGAGTATCTCACCTTTACTCTGCAATGCAGATGGGATTGAAAACCTGGTGGGCCCAGGGTCAGCCAGGGTCTGTCTGACTCTTGGCCTGGCTGGGGCCGCCTCTCTAAGCACATAGCCTGTGCGTCAGCACACGCAGGGCCCCACTCTTGTAAGCTGCTGCTTCTGAAATCGATTCATGCTACCCTCAAAGGCAGAGCAAATATATAACTTAGGGAGATTTCTCGGCTTCCTCATCTGGACATTTTGGACTGGATCTTTTTTTCTTATGTGGCTCCCTTTTCCACTGTAGGATGTTCAGCAGCATCCTGACCCCCACACACTAGATGCCAGTACAATCCTTTCTCTTCCCAGTTGTGACAACCAGGAATGTCTCCAAGCATTGCCAAAGGGTTCTCTAGGGGAGGTAGAGATGGGGTGGCAAAATCTCGCCTGCTGAGAGCCCCTGGGCTGAGCTGAGGGTACCACATGCTTGAGCTATCTTTGCGGGCTCTGACGTCTTCTAAAATGCACAATGATTTTATGTTCCATTCCACAGTATATTGTATTTAACTCCACTGTATATTGCATTTACGTTACTATAAAATGTTTTGCTTCCATGTCTTTAAGTGAAATTGATGTCCTGGGAAGATGTTTATTTCACAGGTTTTTTGATGCCTAAAATACATCAGCATGGACGCCAGTTTTCGAGCCCACCACCTACCAGAGGGAACTGTGTACCTACCATACCCTGGCTTTCCCATCAATGTGGCAGTGGAGGCACTTGGAGAGCATTGCTGGGGAATGGGAAGAAGGTGTTCTTGTAGGCCTGGCAGGGGTGGGTTGGGGGCCCAGGGGGCCCCTTGCTGGGAGAAGCCCTTTCCAGGCACCATGGCCCATAGAGCCATGTTTAACCAGACTCCCCCCATGTTCTCTTTTCACCAGGGACTACTTTATCATCTGCCCTATAATCGACATGGCCAGTGCCTGGGCAAAGAGGGCCCGAGGAAACGTCTTCATGTACCATGCTCCTGAAAACTACGGCCATGGCAGGTAAGACGCTGCAGGGAAGCAGAGAAAGGAAGGTAAAACCGAATGATAAGTCCCAGTTCGATGACATGGGACACACCACTTAACCCCTCTAAGCCTCAGTTTCCTCATCTGAGAAATAGAAATAATTGTAGTAGCCACTTCATCTCACTGTCTTGCAGGCGGGGAAAGTTAAAAAAAAAAATGGTGTGAAAGGCTTTGCAAATGATGATGACACACTTTAGAACTGCAATGTTAGTTATTAATTGATTAATTTGACTTGAGAGAGGAGGCTTTTTCATTTACTCTCTATATTGATTCCTCCAGAGACTGAGCACTAGCTTAAGACATTGACTTTCCAAAGTATAAAAAGGCTTTTCTTTTCAGCCAAATGAAAGTTGTATTCATGCTTGATTTATATATCATTCTTACTTCCAGAATAGGTTCCAGCTCCCTTAGAATAAAGTATCAGGTGCAATGAAGTCATCAAAATGAGAAAGAGAAATAAGGTGCAAGTGAAAGGAAACCAACCATAAAGGAAGGGCCAAGCAATGAGCATAGAATTTAGCCTTGAGTTTCCCAGAAGCTGGGGAAAATATTTTAAAAAGAAGAAGAAAAGAAAGATTTGGGTTTCATAGCTCTAATAGCTGAACAAAGGAAGCAGAGAGACTGAGTGACAGGGACGCACGTGATCTCAGCTTCAGAGTGAAAGAACAATGCAAAGAGGGTATCTGGGGACTTGGATGACCGGCGCTTTGAATGGAGGACTATGGGGCTATCTGTTCTACTGCCCCATGAGCTTACAGTTCTGAGCCATTCATCCATGTGGGAAAACCCCAGAACCCTTCCCACTGAGGCAGTGACTTCGTGCATTAAACCACATCAGATCATAGTGAGGTGCCTTTGGCAAGACAATCTACTCCTCTAGAGGGAAGACAGTAGTGGTGTCCTTGTGCTCAGCCTCCAATAAGCATTCACAGGTAACAGATCATCAGGGAACACATGTCTCCAAAAGATGCAAGAGCATTATTGTTTTACTTCATATAAGAATAGGAGCAAGGCCTGCCATCTGGGGTCAAGAACATTCATCACTCACATCCATGGTCTATTTTATGGGCAACAGGGAGCTGGGTGAAAGGACTGCAGCTTTAGAGGTGGGGGTCCAGCCACACCATATACCCGCTGTGCCATCATAGGTAGTTTTCTTTGTCTCTCTGATCTTCAATATCCTTACCTACAAAATAAGACTAAAGTTTTTCCTCTTAGGGTTGGCATTGACAGTACCTGGACCATAAGTTGTCCAACCCATAACAGGGCTTTACCCTGTGTTACTTAGCAAGGCAAGGGAACTCTTATAAACATGCATCATTTATCTTTACAATTAGCAACGCCCCTAAAGTAGGCTGAATAATGGCCACCTCAAGATAGACTCCTTCCCATGTCCTCCTTTCACCAGGGACTACTTTATTACCTGCCCTATAATTGACATGGCCAGTGATTTGGCCACCTTCCTGCCATTCCCCAATAATGCTCTCCAGGTGACCTCACTGCCACTACGGGAAAGAAAGGGCATTCTCATTTCTCCTAAGCACTCATTAGTTACCTGATTCCCCCAAACAGATTCTTCCTTTTTTTTTTTTTTTTTTTTTTTTGACGGGGTCTCCCTCTGTTGCCCAGGCTGCAGTCCAGTGGTGCAATCTCGGCTCACTGCAACCTCCACCTCCCGGATTCAAGCAATTCTCCCGCCTCAGCCTCCCCAGTAGCTGGAATTACAGGCATGCGCCATGATTCCCAGCTAATTTTCGTATTTTTAGTAGAGATGGGGTTTCACCATGTTGGCCAGGCTGGTCTCGAATTCTTGACCTCAAGTGATCGATCTGCCTCGGCTTCTCAGAGTGCTGGGATTACAGGCGTGAGCCACTGTACCTGGCCCTGACTCTTGCATTTTTATAGCACTCCACAAAAAAAGTTCAGAGCCCAATTTTGCAGGGTTGAAATGGCCACCTCTGTTTTACAGAGGAAGTGTGTCTCACAGTCTATTCGAGCTGCCGTAGTAAAATACCTTAGCTGAATAGTGGCCCCCGAAAGATATCAGGACCCAATCCCTGGAACCTGGAACATTACCTTATAAGGAAACAGAACCTGGGCAGTTGTGATTTAGTTAAGGATCTTGGCGTGGGGAGATAATCCTGGATTATCCCGTGAGGGCCCTGAATGCAATCTTAAGTATCCTTATAGATGAGAGCCAGAGGGAGAAGTGCTGTCTACAGAAGAGAGAAGGCAATGTGATCACAGAGACTGGAGTGATGTGGCCACAAGGAAGGAATGCCAGTAGCAGCCAGAAACTGGGAGAGCACGGGGAGGGAGTGTGGCCCTGCTGTCACCTTGGTTTTGGCTCAAACTGGTTTTGGGCTTCTGGTCTTCAGAACTATGAGAGAAAAAAGTTTCAATGGTTTTAAACCAGTAAGTTTATGGTGATTTGCTACAGCAGCTGCAGGAAACTCATGCAGTCCCCAAAGTGCTCTCATTTCCCCGGAGCACCCATTATTCATCCGCTTTCTCCAAACAGACTCTTCTGTTTTTATAGCACGCCACAAAAAAATGTCCAGAATCCTTGTGAGCTCTGCAGGGTTGAAATGGTTACCTCTGTTTTACAGATATGAAGTGTGTCTCAGTCTATTCAGCCTGCCATAGTAAATATATCTTAGCCTGGATAATTTATAAACAACGTAAACTTATTGCTCACAGTTCTGGAGGCTGGAAGTCCAAGATCAAGGCATGGGAAGATTTGGTGTCTAGTAGGGAGCTCGCTGACTGCTTCACAGGTGGCACCTTCTTTCTGCATTCTCTCATGGCAAAGGGGACAAACATTTTCCCTAAGGCCTCTTTTATGAGAGCACTAACTCCATTCATAAGGCTCCACCCTCATGACCTAGTTACTCCCCAAAGGCCCTGTCTCTTAATACAAACACACTGGGGATTCCATTTCCGCCTATGAATTCTGGAGGGACGTAAATATTCAGAGCATAGCAGAGTCTGAGGTTCAAGGAGTTCAACATGATTCCCTCGAGGACAAGCAGCTGGTTAGTTAGCAGTAACCCACCCGCGGCTTCTCTGAGCCTCAGAACTCTTTCCACTCTAACACGCGGTCTCTCTGCATAGAACTATAATTTCAGCCTGAACTACAGATTCAAGCAACTGCCTCCAGGTTGTAAGAAGAAAAATAAGTGGCAGGCCAGGATTCTGGGAAGGAGGCATTGAGGGAGAGAAGGAATGATGACAAGAGCCATGTGGTTTGGGTGGAGATGAAGGTGCCCTCCTAATCCAGTGGTCTATGGCCACCCATGGCAAGGGAGGCCCAGCATGGGAAATGTTCCTAGAATCAGCCTTGGCAGTGTCCTCCTCGCCAAGGCTCTCAGGAATCCACCCTCAATCCACTGACTCTTTTGTCTGGTTTTCTGCCTTCCTCACATGTAAGGTAGAGATTACAATGAAAGGTGTAACTCTCTCACAGCAAGTTCATTAAAAGCCTTACAAATATGCACATACCGTTGGACCCCAGAATTTACAGTGGCAAAATAAAAAAGAAATGAGTCTTCTACATGAGGGTGAAAACAATCAAAGCAAAACAAAATGAAAGCATTCATATCATTGCTGTGAGAATCAATAGTGCTTGGGCCCTACCTGGATCACTTTCATAGGCTGCTGTAACAAAGTGCCACCAAAACTGGGCAGCTTAGAGCAATAGAAATGTATTGTCTCAAGTTCTGGAAGCCACAAGGATGAATTCAAATTGTCAACAGGAGCATGCTCCCCCTGTAGGTGCTAGGGAAGGATGCGTTCCGGCCTCTCTCTTAGCCCCTGGTGGCCTAAGGCGATTCTTGGCTCATAGATATCTGTGTTCTTCGTCCGGTATTTCTTTACGTCGTCTTTCTTCGTGCACGTCAGTCTCTGGATCCAAGGTCCCCATCACCCATATTGGTTAGGGCCCACACTAATGACCTCAGTTTTACTTGATGACCTCTATAAAGATTCTATCTCTAAATAAGGTCCCATTCTGGGGTACTAGGGGTAAGGACCCCAACATATCTTTTTGAGGGAGACACAGTTCAACCCATAACACTGCCTTTCTCTAAAATAACTGAGCCTGTCAAGCAGGCTCTTGAATGGCAATGGCCCAAAGTGGTCTATTTTGGACCTTGGATTGGGGTGGTCCTCAGAGGAGCAATCCTAACAGAGTGGAATCACAACCTCAGACTCCCATGGCCAGTGTGGGTTTCTCTGTTGCTGAGTAGTGTCCTCATGTCCCTAGAGACAGGGTTCCACTGCGGCAACCCAGGGAACCTCCCATGAAACCAAGCCATGTTCATGCAGAGGCCCTCATAACTACCTCCCGTGGCTCCGTGGCTCTCTGCACCTCAGAGCCCAGTGACCCTCCTGGCACAGATGAAGACTTAGTAGGTGCTCAGGAAATCATACCGAAGGATAGATGGTCAGGAATGAGTCCTTTCTACTTTAGTTTTTAGGCTCTATGGGGCTCAGTTTTGCCACCCGTGAAGTGGGAGTAGGGAGGCCGGAGAGGTCTGAAGCACCGATTCTTCACTGGGTTCTAGGCAGCGTGGATCCTGAGCCTCTTTGAGGAGGGGGCAGGTCTGAGCCTCCCAGCCCCTTTCTCCCTATGTCACAGACTGAGCTTTGAGTAACATTTCCAGGTTATTCAGTTTAGAAAGTATGAAAAACTACTGGACCCAGTCACCTAAAGAAATCGTTTAGTTCTCAGTTCTATCATTTTTAGAGGAAAGAGACACGCAGATCCACGGAAACATTTTATAGTAGCGGTATTGCTATTCTTATGGAGGCAAAATAATGCCCTGGTCAAAAGCAGAGATGCTGGCATCTACTAGTTTGGTGAAAAACATATCCTTGAGTCTTATCAGCTCAGTGACCTAAGGCAAGTCATGTAACCTCTTTGGTGACTCAATTTCTTCATCTGGCAAATGGGTATAATAATAGGACCCATCTCAAAGGTTGTGACGATCATTAATTTTGCATAAAACAGAGACAGGCAAATAGTGCTAAGAGTATTCTGTTCTTCTTGGCCATCAGAATGCATTCTTGACAACCCCCTGTGTAGATGTCTCCTCTCTCCATCACCATCACATATGGTGCCATCTATGTAGCAGATAATTGAATCAATGAATGACTCACAGAAACTAACTCATTTGATTTTTGGCAAGTTTATCTTATTGTCCCAAAAAGACATCTCTCTTTCTCTCTCTCTCTCTCTGCCCCGGAGCTGTCACATCTCTCATTTTATTTCTGGCTCAAATCTACATACTTAAAATATATGTGTGTTACATTTTCAGCCATCTGTCTCGTACCTCCATTTCTGTTAGCATATATTAGCTTTCCTGGCAACAACTAGTGAAAAAAAATACAACGAATTATTGCTTTCTTATAGACTATTGTAAACTGATCACAGAATAGTGTGGTTTTCTTACTGTGCACCTGGATTATAGATGAGATTTTCATTCCTGAAATTGAGGGCAAACTTCTATGGGGAAAGAATAGGCATAACAGATGGAGAGGAGAGAGGGAAATCAAAATCTCTAGTGTGAGAAGAAGGTTCTAGTTTCAGATTCAGATTCAAAGAATCATAGAATATAGAAGATGAGACCGTCTAGCTCCTTCATTTTACATGTAAAGAAACAAAAGCCCAGGGATGTGAGCAGATTACTTCCCCGTCCCTGAGCCAGTGAGTAGCAGTCTGGAGCCATGCCCTGTTCCCTGCCCTCTCTCCAGCTTTCTTTCAATTGCTCCAACGTTATCCTAAACCCTATTGAGTGCCTACAATGGCCAAGTCCACTTACTATCTGTGTGGCCTTGGGCAAGTCACTTAACCTCTCTTAGCCTCCATGTAGCCTCACCTACATCTGCAGAGAGTAACAGGTCCTGTTCCATAGGGCTGTGGGAGGGTTTGGGGGACACTGCCTGCATGGTGTTTAGCTCAGAGCCGGCATCTGGGTTGTGTGAATGTCTCTGCGTGTGAGTGTATGCATGTATGTGTATCTGTATGTACAATACCTGGCAGCTTTGATTTCCAAGGCTACTGATGAGAGAAAAAAACTCACCAGCTTTCTCCTGTTCATCTCTGCCCACTGAAGAAACTTTGAGCCAGTTTCTCCCACGGTCTGTCTCTGGAGCCCTCTGTTTTAGGAAGTGGGATTTCCAGCGCGGCCTGTAATCCAGGGCTTCTCAACTTGGGCACTGTTGACATTTGAGACCGGATAACCCTTTGTTGTGGGAGGCTGTGCTGTGCATTGAAGGATGTTTAGAAGCACCCCTGCCTTCTACCCACCTGATGCCAGCAGCCCCAGTCCCCCTAAGCTGTGCCAACCACAAATGCCTCCAGACATTGTCACGTGTTCCCTGGGGACACAATCCTTGCTGGTTGAGAACCACTGCTGGAATCTATTAGAACTGAAGTTATTACTAACAGTACCTGAAAGGAAGTAGCAACCCCTCTCCCAGACACTGCCCCTGAATCAAGGTAGGATGTCCCCTGCCAAGATGCTGTCCCTGGCCCCTTGGAACCCCCTCAAGCAGATGGAGTGTGCCAGAGAAACAGAGGGGTGGTTTCAGTGCTTCTTTGTGACAAAGCTGATCTGGAAGGCCAACAGGCCTTCAGGTTCACATGCAGAGGGGCTCTGGCCTGCTGTCTCTCCCGGGTCTGAGGCCCTGGGCATTCTGTCTAATGCCTCCTGTGTTCTCTCTAATGCCTCCTGTCACTTGCCCAGGTACCTTTCAAGGCACCACCTGCTTATTCTGCTGGGATCCTTCCCTCCCTGCCCGTCTCTGGTATTTCCATCTCTTTGACTCACCGGTGATGTCCTCCTCTCTAAACAGCCCCTTTCAAAGGACACACTGGCCTTTAAAGGTCCAGGTATCATTCCCAGGAAGAGCCCCATCTGTGTCCTCTGCTGCTCATGAACAAAGGACTCAGACCCTGTGGCCAGGTTTGGGGACCGCACCCCCAGCCCTGGTCTGTGCTCTGGGCCCCAGCAAGTGTAGAAGAGAGCACCGGTTTGTTCTCTGCTGTTTCCTGTCTTTCAAGGGCTCTGCCACTTTCTATGTGCCTCTTTAAGAGTTGGTTTTCTCATCTGTGCAGTGGAGCTAGTAATAGCACTTATGCTTACTATGAAGTGTGTCAGGATTAAAGAAGACAAGGCACACAGACAGCCTCGCCTGTGGGCCTAACTGCCTGGCAGAGAGTGAACACTGATTAGGTGAGCATTACTAATGCTGCTTCGTGTATTATGCTGGAAGAATCCAAATTGGAGATCAACAGGTCCTTAGAAGAAAGCAAACACAAGTGAAGTGGTTTCTGGTACCAGACATTGCATGAGGAGCTGTAGCCACTTCAGAGAGGACATGGAAGCCTCTCATCTTAAAATGCCTGGGGGCTGGGCCAGCTGTGGAGTTCATGGTTTCCATGGAAATTCATCATGAGACTGAGTGTGTGCTATGGCACTTGAATTGTGTGCTGCATCTGGGTCTTTCTTCTGAAGGCCTTGGCCTCCAGGGTGCTGGGATGTCATTCCTACATCCCGATGGTGTGGAAGATGTTTCAACAAGACCACATTTAACTTTTCTTTGAATGGAAGAGTGGGGGCTGGGGTATGGCTCTTGGGATTAAACATCTACTCACGCCCCATAGAGGATGTTAGACTGGTCTTTCATTTTGGCAGAGACAGCCCAATCTAGTGAAACAGCACATCCTTTGAGACTAAATCAACTAGAGTTTTAATCCCATATCTACCATTTATTAGCTGTTTGCATTTAAACAAAACCCTTTACCTCAATTTCCTCACCTTTAAAATAGGTATAGCTATATCTACTTCGTAGTATGAATATTCAAGATCATGTCCATTAAACATCTGGCTCATTGCAGATGTTCAATGTTAGGTAGCTAGGGTTATTTTCCTTTTAGGAAAACTGAGGCTCTGAGAGAGAAAAACAAAACATTCAAAATGACTAAAGAGGCAATAATGTTCCTCCTTGATAAGTTGTCCCAACCCTGGAAAACAAAGCTGTAAATTCTAGACTCAAGGCATTTTGTACACCACTACACTTGCGTTCTAGACACTACTGTGCATTCCAGAGGCTTTTAACATTCCAGATTCAAAATATTATCTTTTTAGTTGACTGTCTTGGTGAGTTTGTTGGAATTAACAAACCAAAGAAAATACGAAGTGGATAGATTATTGAACTGAATCCATCAGCCTGGCTACATCCTGTGGGATTATTTCCCAGTGTAGATGAAAATAAATCATTTTCTGAAACTGATCACTCCAACTCCTTGACATAATAGGGTTTGCACTATATATCTTCTTCAACATTGATTTGACAGAGATTTACCTAACGCCGTCTATGCTGCAGATCCCCTTCCAGGTCCTAGAAATGAGAAACCTGCAAGGCAGAGAAGAGCTGCCTTCTTGGGACAAAGACTATAGTTGCAGGTGGGGCTGATGGGTATCTAGGAATAGTGTGTAAAGAATAGACAATACACACATCAATATGCAGCATATGTTCGGATAACAGTACTAGGAAGGAGGTCCACTAGGGTGCCATGGTCAGTAATAAGAAAAGAACCTTGTGTAAAGGTGACATTTGAGCTGAGAACCAAGAAATAAGAAGATGTGTGATCCTCATGTAGAAGTGGGAAATCCCAAAAGAAAGATCATCAAAGGCCAAGGCCCTAAGTGGGAAAGGGCTTGGCATATTTGAGGATAAAGAAGGCCAGGGAACTGGAGCATTACTAATGCTGCTTCGTGTATTAAGCTGGAAGAATCCAATTTGGAGATCAGCAGGTCTTTGGAAGAAAGCAACCACAACTGAAATGGTTTCTGGTACCAGACATTGCATGAGGAGCTGTAGCCACTTCAGAGAGGACGTGGAAGCCTCTCATCTTAAGATGCCTGGGGGATGGGCCAGCTGTGGAGTTCATAGTTTCCATGGAAATTCATCATGAGGCTGAGTGCGCGCTAGGACACTTGAATTGTGGCACTTGAATTGGAGCCTGTTGAAGAGGAGGGGAGTGGTTGAAGGTGCAGAGGGAAAAAAATGAGTCTTGTAGTTCACATAGGAGTTTGTAAGCTGTGGCTAGCAGAGAGATAGTATTTTATTTGAGTGTGATGAGAAGGCATTGCAGATTTTATAGAAAATATATATAATGCACAATGGTCTTTTCATTCATATCCAGGACGGCTCACTGAAACATCAGTTATCTTTTTAAAAAATAATAAAATGTAGAATATCAACACTGTTATCAAATGCGATGGTCAGTTAGTCAGAAAAGTCAATTAAGAAGAGAACTTGTGAAAAATGAGTAAGATAGGTGTGATGCCTTAAATATTTTATTTTAACTTTAAACACATAAATCTGCATCACCTGGCCATTCTTTTGGTGCAGGATCAGAGGGTTAAGCTGGAAAATGCTGTTTGGAGTTCTGCCTTTGAACTTCTTGCAAAACCATAAACATAGTGCATGATCTATTATTTCCAGTCTGGGATCCATGAAAATGGAGTATCTGCATGGTATTCAATAAATTCAATTAGATGTAAAATCACAATGACAAATACAATGACTTAAACAGTTGGGCCTTGGTAAGCACACAACACAGTTATTGAGGATGCATGTTTAGGGCCTGCAAAGTTCATTTTTTTCTGGACAGCCGTTATCATACTTTATGGAGGGAATAAAATGTTCAGGTTAATCTAGCAAGATAGTTGAAAGTTTTGAGTCTACTGTGAAACAATATATCATACAGCTCTGCTGAGCTTTAGGAAGTTAGGGGACTACAGCAAATATCTCCTCTGGGGCCGGGGGTGGGACTGCACTATTTAGCGTACATCAGGGAGCTTATTTTTAAAGGATTGCATAGCAAATTCTCTTGTAAAACACAAGCCATTTGGAAAGCAAATAATTACTTCCTGATTAATTCACATGCAGAATCTGAACTTTTGCATATTAGATTTGCCCAAAGAGAGGCACGCTTATAAGCTTCTAGTCATAAGTTATTTAATACTTCCTCAGCTTCTAAAAAAAAAAACAAAAAAACAAAACAAAACAAAAGCCTGGGAAGCAAAGGGACTTTCATTCCTCCCCGTTCCCTAATTTCCTTTGGAGGAAGCTATGGAGAAAGATGCTGGCTGGGGATAAAAAAAAGGGAGTATATTTTATGGGGATGAGGTCAACAGACTTCCTGCAGACAGACGGAAGAGCAGGGACTGAAATCCCTGCAAGCACAGGCTCTCAAATCAGTCCATTCAGATGGGCCGGAATGCCCATCTGTGCTGTGCCATCTCCAGCACAGTCCTCTTCACACCATTATCAGCAGAATGGCTTCCCCATGCAAAACAGTGTCTTATTTCTGTCAAGAAAGATCCTTCCTCACACCCTCACCTCATCATAAGGGGAACCCAGGCTCAACCCACCTCCCCAGCTCCATCCACTGCCAGGTGCATCTCTTTGAATGGATGTACCTCCATCATCCTGTTTGCTGATAAGCCCAAACTTTTGTGGATTATGACTCCTGATCCTGGAAGCTGAGAACTTGTGCAATGGATCATCTCTGAAATGAGGCTTTTGGCTCGCTGGGGTGCAGGCTTAGCCTCCCTGCAGGTCCTCAGCAGCACCAGCAGGATTAATGATGAGCAGTGTGGCAGAGAGGTAAGCTTGGAGACATTATGTGAAAAGGTTCTGTCTTTCCTGGACAGTTGCAGCGACCCTAGGATTTCTCAGTTCTAGTCTTTCTTCCCACACACCTCTAGTAATCCTTCCAAAAGAAATGCAACTTACAACTCATTTGCTAAGAAACCTCCAGAGTTCCCAGCCCTTTTAAAACATGACCGTCAATTCTTCTGGTCTAGGCCGTCACACCTTTCGAAGAATTAGATTCCAGTAGACCTTAGTAAGCATGCAGTTTAGTGGTTTTTCAGACTTTGGATTTTTCTGGACTAGAAAAAGTTCCAATTGCACTTCTTAGCAGGACCTGTGAGGCCAGCGCCTTGGGGACTGTTTTCTGCCAGCTGCACCAGCCCCCACCTGCCCTGGCTCTCCTTGTGCTCAGCCATACCCCTTGTCATTCCTTGCTCCATACAGAGCACAAAGCCCACTCCGTGATGGCCCAAGTGCTGAGTCGCTACCCACATGCCCTTCCTCGCCTCATCCACTCACTAACCCTACTCATCTGTCCAAGCACAAGTCCACCGCGGCCTCCTCTCTCTCGGTTTCCATAAACTCCTTTCCATTTTCTTGCCTGGAATAAATGGTATTTCATTTCTCTCTCTTCTTATGGTAGTTGGTAAGTAATTCTATCACTTGATAGATACCTACCTATCTATCGTACAACTCACAACATTTTATTTTTGAAAAGCAGTGGTTGATCGCACTTTCTTGTTAGAACGTGAGCTCCTCAGCAGAACGGCCACCTTTTGAGCCTCAGCATCCATCCAGAGGACAGTGCACAGCAGGCATTCGGCAACTGTGGGCGGAGCAGGGTCTTAGTCCCAACACCCCTTTTCTAATTTGCCACCGTCCTCACTGGACGGCATTCAAATCCTGAAACTGAAACAAAAGGCGTGCACACACACACACACACACACACACACACACACACACACACACACAGTCATCCGCAGAGCTCTGTGGCTGGTCAGTTCTTTCTACAGTCTGGTTAAATGTAAGTTTATCAACTTCAGCAACCTTAACTCTTCCTTGAGTGGCAACTTACAGTTTTTAAAGGAATTTACACCCACTCGATCTATGAGCATCCGATATACCATATGGGAGGCTGAACGGAGATGATCAGACCCATTTTACTGACAGGAAAACCAAGGCTTAGAGATTCAGCAGTGGAAGTGGGACTTGCACAGAGCTTGCCCATCTTGGGCAGGTAGCTTTCCCAAGCCCAAAGTCTGCCTTTCCATGTGACAAGGAGAAGATTCAGATCTGGCCCTGGGCGTAGGATGAGCAGCTGTCAGATGAGGGGCAAGTTCCACTGCAATGTGATTACCAAAAACAGCAGATGACAAGTAAAAGCTAAATGCCTCCAGGCTGACCATATACTGACACAGCTGCCACGGGTCTGGACCTATGATTTATCAGTGATCAGACACAGCGCAGGGCAATGAAGCCACATGAGCACACGTGAACTGCCTACCCCAAGTCTGCGAGCACCAGGGCCACTCAGTTGAGTCTTTTCTTTTACCTTGTCAGACCCTGGCATGTTCTTCTGGGTCTTCCTCTGCTGCTGCTGCTGAATCCAAATCCCCTTTTCTTCCTCCAGAGGGTCCTGGAACTCCCAGCCAGTGCCCAGATTCACCGAGGACTTGGTCCTCGACTCCCAGATTCCCTCTTCAGAGGCTCCACTCTTTGTGCCTCCTCCAGATGTCCCTTAAACTGCTCAAAATAACTCCTGCATCCTGATAGAGATCAGCTCTGCTAAGGAAAAAACAAAGCAGAAATCCTCATACACAACAGGCTCTCAAATTAAACAGATGGGATGGGCTGGAATGCCAGGACTTTCCCCCAAAGCAGTGCTCTGTGGCCTTTCTAAGGTCGCAGACAGTGGTGGCCTGGAGCTGCCTCATACAAGTTCACGAGAGCTGGTGGTACACATTGCTTCCCAGCACCATGCTCAGTGATATCACTTTGAAATTGGCTAAGGTGGGAGTATTTACACTGTAAAAATTGGCAAGTATTACAAATAGGATTTCCTTTCCCCCAGAGAGTCAATTATTAAACTTTTTTCTTTTTTTGAGACAGAGTATCACTTTGTCACCCAGGTTGGAGTGCAGTGGTACAATCGTGGCTCACTGCAGCCTCGAACCTCCTGGGCTCAAGTGATCCTCCTGCCTCACCCCTCCAAGTAGCTGGGACTATAGGCACACGGCACCACACCCAGCTAATTTTTGTATTTTTTGTAGAGATGGGATTTTGTCATGTTGCCCAGGCTGGTTTTGAACTCCTGAGCTCAAGCAATCCACCTGCCTTGGCCTCCCAAAGTCCTGGGATTATAGCCATGAGCCATCACGCCCAGCTGATTATTTATCAGGTCATGACCTTCTTGAGAATGTGATGGAGGATATGAAACATCTCTCAAGAGAGATCCACCTATACACTTAACAGCATTTTATGTGTAATTTTAGGGAACTTGTGGCTCTCCAAAACCCTGCAATGGGACCTCCCCAACCTCCCACAAGTTAAGGACTCCCACTCTTAAGCTTTCAGATGTCTCTCTCAGTTAATCAAAAAGGAAATAAGTATATGAGCCAGAAACTGGGTCAGAGAGATTAAAAATATTTTATTGCTAAACCTCGTTCAGCATCTGAAATAAGCATAATTGTGTCACCATTTTACAGAGGAGGACACTCAGACCCAGAGACATTAGACAGCTTGTCCAAGATTGCACACTAGTCAGTGACTGAGCTGGGGTTTCAACAGAGCACTCTGGCCTTTAAAGTTTATTTCTGTTCACTAGAATACTTGGAATGCAGCTTCCTCTGGAGGAAACAGTAGACCAGGCTATTGTAGTAACAGTTATACCCCCGCAAAATGTCCAAGTCCTAAACCCTGAAACCTGTGACTGTGTTACCTTCCATGGCAAAAGAACTTTGCAGGTGTGACTAAGGTTCAAGACCTTGAGATGGGAGCTTATCCTGGTAAGCTCAATTTAATCACATGAGTGCTCTAAGCAGGGGAGTGTTCCAAAGAAATGCAGCATCAGAAGGACTTGGCCACTGAGGATGGAGGAAGGCAGTTCTGATCGGCAGCCTCTAGTGACTGGGAATGGCCCTCAGTTTGTAGCCAGCAGGAAAACGGGGGCCTGGGTCCTCTACCTCAAGGAACGGAATCCTTTCACAACTTTGAATGGTCAAGAGAAGTATTCTCCCCAGGGCTTTCAGAAGGAACGCAGACCACTCACCCTTTGATTTCAGTCCACTAAGATCGATCCTGGATTTCTGAACTCCAGACATTGTCAGATAGTAATTTGTGTTGTTTTAAGCCACTGAGTTTGTGGTAATTTCTTAGGGCAGCAATAGAGAATTAATACAGCCAGTTTTCCAGAAGCGCCTCCCGAGAAACAGGCTGTTGAACCTTTCATCCCACTGTGAGGAGAAGGACTAATCCCCAGTGGGGAGAAAGTCGGCCAGACATCACTGGAGGAAGAAAGAGGAGGGGGGCCCCTATTAACCCTGGGCCTCCTGGCTTCTCTGTCGCCACCGCAGAGGGAGTGTGGTGATTGAGAAACAAGACAGCTTCAACAAGACCGGCAGTGGGGTATGACTCACCTTCCAGAAGCCAAAGGCAAAGTCCAGACCTCTCTTTGGGCAAAGCCCGATTTTTTACTATGCAGTGGTGAAATCCATCCTGGCTTTTCCACTCTACCACTCTCCCTGGTTCCCAGTGCTCACTCCATGGCCCATGTACCAGGCTCCTCAGCACCAGCTCCAGCCCAGGCCATTCACACCACTGGACTGGCTTCCAAGTCATTATTCCCACCAGGATGCTGCTTCCTAGATATTTAATCCAGTCTAGCATGTATTTATTGAATAACTCCTATTTGCCAGGTACTGTGCTGCGGTGGGCTTCATGGATAAATGTCTTCCTTGAAAAGTCATAAGAGTGTGAGTTGTATATGAACACAGGCTAGTGCGGAGAATGGGCTCAAATACAAGCTACTTTCATTATTGCTTTTTCAGTGACTAGAAGAACACCAATATCCAGTGATACCATAAGTATCGTGGTTAGAATATGACCCAAAAATCATTGTGTTGGGAGGTTTCTCGCAGGCATTATTTCCAGAGACTTCAGTGTTCCGTGTTGGTCTCACTTTAGCAACAGACATGCCATGGATCTCCCCGCAAGGGGCCACTGCACTAAATTTAGGCCAAGCCAAATCTCCATTCAACTGGGCCCTAAACAGGATACTTGGATATGATATAAAGAAGGGAAAGTCTTGGTTTTGGAAGAAATATTTTTGTTTGTGTGTTTGTGTTTTTGAGTAGTTTACTTTCTCTTGACCTTTTGCTGCTGCTTTTCCTCTGTTTTCTCAGCCTGGAGCTGCTGGCGGATGTTCAGTTTGCCTTGGGGCTTCCCTTCTACCCAGCCTACGAGGGGCAGTTTTCTCTGGAGGAGAAGAGCCTGTCGCTGAAAATCATGCAGTACTTTTCCCACTTCATCAGATCAGGGTAATTTTGGACCACTTGTTCAGAATTCTGTCACTGTGCTTTTCCTCCCGCTTCCTTCAAGCAGAACGCAAAGGCCCAATTTGCATCGATAGACTCATCCTTTCCTCCGTAGACACTATAATCACCAGCCACTGGCCTCCCTGTCTCAGTCACCCCCTCCTAGCCAAAACTGCTTTTGCATACATTAATCTTCATGAAGAAAAGCTCTAATTATACCAGCTGCATTTGATGACTCTAGATCGGGGTTTCTCAACCTTAGTGCCATTGACATCGGGGGCTGGATAAATCTTGGCTGTGTCCTGTGCATTGTAGGATGTTTAACAGCATCCTTGGCCTCTAGATGTCCACCAGATGCCAGTGGTGCCCACCTCGGCCCAGTTTTGAGAACCAAGCATGTCGAATGTCCCCTGGAGGGAAAACCACTTGGAGGAGAGCCACTGTCTCTCCACAGAGGGGAATACCAGTGCCTTGGGTTTTCAGCTTAAGTTGAAATGCTCAGGGCCCTCCTTTATTCACCTTGAGGCTCTTCCTCTCCTTGCCTGCCTGTACTCCAGTCCAATGAAGTATACTCGCTGTCCCCACCTGCAGAATTGGTTCCTGCTCTTTCCTCTTCATGGTAGTTTACCTGTTTCCTTTTATCTTTTTGCCTGATGTGAGTTGATTACCTAGAACTGTGCTAGGTTCCCTGGAAAGATAAAAAGGTGCAAAAGTCATGACCCAGCTACCAGCTACTAATAGTCTGAAAACACAAAAATGAACCATAATTCAAAGCAGGAGAAAATAAAGCTTTATGCAGTTTGTTATGGGAGTTGAGCAGAAAAACACATTTCTTGTAATTAGGGTTTTAGAAAATATTTCACTGAGGAAGTCACAGTTAAGCTGGGCCTTGGGGGATAAATAGAATATTTATATAAGCAAAGAAGAAGAAGACACTTCCAGGAAAGGAGGTCTGGGCAAATGCAGCAGGGATGAGAGGACACACCTTATCTGGGAAACGTCAGGTGGCTGCAGGGCTGGTGTTTGGGCTACATGGCAGGGCATGCCGGAAGACGGGCCTGGGCAGCAAGTTTGGGAAGGAGCCTTTATCCCAACAGGTCTGACATCCCCTTTATGGGGCAGCTGGCCTACAGATTCACCCTCCTGCCCGGGCCTTGGACAAGCAAGGACATTCCAAAGGCTAGCTATGGTGTCTAGATCTGAGGACATCAAGAAAGAGAAGAGCACAGTGATCTCCTGACCATTCACAAAGACAGAAGGGCAGCGCTAGGTCCTGGGTAATGCTACCAGGTCATGACCTTAACACCTTTCCTCACCCAGAAATGGCCTAGCTTTGCAGTGCTAGCTTTGCAGTGCAGTCAAGATCACAACCCCAGAAGCCAGATTTAGGGAGTTCACATGCAGCCTTGACACCTACAGATACATGAATTGTCCCTCAGATACCGAGTGCAAGTGGGAAGTGATTCAGGTGATGAAAGGAAAGACAAATTTCCCTCATGGATATTTCTTTCTTCTCATTTGCCCAGAAATCCCAACTACCCTTATGAGTTCTCACGGAAAGTACCCACATTTGCAACCCCCTGGCCTGACTTTGTACCCCGTGCTGGTGGAGAGAACTACAAGGAGTTCAGTGAGCTGCTCCCCAATCGACAGGGCCTGAAGAAAGCCGACTGCTCCTTCTGGTCCAAGTACATCTCGTCTCTGAAGACATCTGCAGGTAGCAAAGCCCTGGGACAAGTGGAGGGAGCTGGGTGTTGATCTCAGCATCTGCTGTGCTCGCTGCATGAGACCTGTGCTGCGCGCGCATTGGAGCCAAGGGGTCACCAGTGCCAATGGCACAGCCCCTTCCTGTGAGTTGTTCATGGTCTGGGGAGCTCCATGTTGCCAAGGGCCTCCTGTTCTGATGTAGGGCTGGAAGGAAAAGAAAGAGAGGCACAGGAAGAGGGCAGTGGGGTGACTAGGAGAGAAGGTCTATGGGGGGTAGAATGCTGAACCAACATCAGGGCTTCCAGCCTAGAACGTTGGTATGGGAAGAGAAGGGAGTGTCTTGAACCTCATCCTCACAGTCCTTGAAGTCCTAGATAGAAAATCTTGGAGAGGTAACTCTAGCCAGGGGAAAAGTGGGCATTTCTACCTCTTCCTGTTGCAGAGGTGTTAAGGAGAGAAAAGAAATTATAATGAAGGCACTGGGAATAGAGAGTAAACACAATGCCCTTAGGAAGCTTTGGAATAACGGGTGTGAGTGACACAACCCAGGGGATGGCCCTCAGCTTTCCTGGAGCCATGATGGAAGCCTGTGTCTGAGTGAGCAGGAGCCCAGAGGAAGGAGGACTCACTCCTCCCTGGAGGCTCTAGGAAGGGTCCCCAGGAGAGGTGATGCTGGGCTGTGGTTTTTAGAATGACAGGAGTTTTTCAGATACAGAGAAATGGGAGTAGTCCGTTAAACAGGGAAGGGATCTTGTCCAGCTATAGTTTAGATTTTCAACTCTGCTTTTAGCTTCCAAGGCTGAGTGTCTGTCTGCTGACAACAAATCCAAGTACCATTGTACCCTTAGCATGTCCCTATAGCCAGGAGACCCATCTGGCACCTCAGCCAGTGGAAAATTCCCTCTAAAGGGCATTAGCAAGAAATGTCCACTGGAGGCTGGGGTCTCTTTGGGACAAAAGGAAGGGACCAGAGAAGAGAAGTCCTAATCTGGCTTGGACCAACCTTCCTTGCCCCTCTGTTTCAGATGGAGCCAAGGGCGGGCAGTCAGCAGAGAGTGAAGAGGAGGAGTTGACGGCTGGATCTGGGCTAAGAGAAGATCTCCTAAGCCTCCAGGAACCAGGCTCTAAGACCTACAGCAAGTGACCAGCCCTTGAGCTCCCCAAAAACCTCACCCGAGGCTGCCCACTATGGTCATCTTTTTCTCTAAAATAGCCACTTACCTTCAATAAAGTATCTACATGCGGTGAAGCATTGTTGACTCTAATGTGTGAATCCAAGGCAATTCGTTGGTAACACCAACTATATCTTAATAATCTTTCTAAGGTTTGAATCCCAGGCTGCTGTTTCCATTCAACAAATGTTTATGAGCATCTGTTATGCACCAGGCCCTGTGCTGGGTGCTGGAGAAACAAGGACTTTGCTCCTCCAGAAGGAGAGAATGCTGGGCAAACAGTGACACAAAAAATGGGGATCCATCAAGAGCAGGCCCCAGGTGGCATAGTCCCACCTGAGTGGTAGAAAAGACTCACTCACAAAGGTTCCAGAGTGGAGGTAGAAGACCAACTGGAATGGGTGCAATGGTCCAGTGAGAAGCAATGCACTCTGAAGCAAGACAATGAGGATGGAGCTGGGGCAAGAAACAGAGCCACAGGCCCTGGAGGAAGTAGAACTGATGGAACTTGATTAAATGTGAGAGGGGGTTGGTGCAAGGTGATAGAATTGCCCCAACTTTGGGATGATTTGGATTCCCGGATAAGCAATGTTCACCCTCCTAAGGGACACACGTTTAAGGCAAATATTCTGGTTAAAACGTTCTGTCTCTCCACCCCCTTTCACACACACATGGACACACACTTCACCCAAAGTAAAAGCAAGTGGAGCTGGTTAACAGTCTTGTTCACTTAGATGGCATGCCATCAAATGCATTCATACCCATCATGTTATTTGAGTTCAGAGTAAATTAGTGATGATTTGTAGGCTGAGATTTTTGTCCTATCTTGCAAATGTGGAAGGTGAGGCTCAGAAAGACTTACACTATACCTGAATTCACATGGTGAAGAGGAGGAGAATCAGAGTCCAACTCAGGTTTTCCCATTTCTCTGTTTCCATGCACTGTATGGACTATAAAATATAGGCCTAGGGTCACGTTGTGTGTCCTACAAAACCTACTGATAGCACTGAAAGCCCTGACTAGCCTCCAACCTGCATTATAGGCTCTGTTAGGATGGTTCAGCGAAAGCACTTAAATACTGAACTAAAAGGCCTTAACCAAAGGAAACTCGATAGGTAGATGGTCCCAGGGTTGGTCAGTGTCTCAGTGATGTCATTAAGGACCCAGACTCTTTCCAACCATCCTCTTTGCCATCTTCAGCGCATGAATGGTGTTTCAATTCACTGACATATTATGGCTGCCACAGCTCCAGACATCACACATAATCCCCAACAGCATCTCATGCTGGAGGCAAATGGGGAAGGAGCTAAAGGGCTTTCCCCTCCAGTGCTTCTTTCTTTTTTTGGAGGAAAAGTTTTTTCCCAGAGGTTCTCAGCAGAATTCCCCTTACATCTTTTTGGCTAGAACTAAGTCATGTGCTCCTTTTTTTTTTTTTTTTTTTTTTTTTGATGGAGTTTCACTCTTGTCGCCCAGGCTGGAGTGCAATGGCACAATCTTGACTCACCACAACCTCTGCCTCCCGGGTTCAAGGATTCTCCGGCTTCAAGGAATCCCAAGTAGCTGGGATTACAAGCATGTACGACCATGCCTGGCTAAGCTAATTTTTTTTTTTTGTATTTTTAGTAGAGACGGAGTTTCACCATGTGGGTCAGACTGGTCTCAAAGTCCTGCCCTCAAGTGATCCCGCCTCAAAGTGCTGAGATTACAGGTGTGAGCCACCGCGCCTGACCATATGCTCCCTTTTAAACCATCACTGGCAATGAGGGATGAAAGGGCCTTCTGTGATCCAATTATACCAGGCATGACTTATCCTCCAGAGTAGGACATATTGCTGTCCCAACAAAGCTGGGGTGCATTTAGCAGCAATGAATGAGGAGACAGTTATTGGGTAGACAATGGATGCCCCCAAGACTATGACAGTTGGGGCCATTTCCCCATCCTTGGGTCTCTCCTGGCATGGCCCCGGGTTGGAGTTGGCCTCAAGCACCTTTTTACTCCTTTAGTGCAGTGTGGGTTGAAAATCATGTGCTGTATTTGGAGGTGCTCTCGAGTTCCCAGAATCAGGAGTCATGGCCCTGGTGCTTCCTTGGTGTACCCTTAATCCAGGGTAAGGCTCCAGGATCTGGGGGCTCAGACAGGGGCAGGAGACATGGCTCCAGGAGGTAGTGCTCTGCATTCTCACTGTGTTTGGGTCTCCTGCGGTATCCAGACTGGGGGATGGATGAGACCTCTATCAGTTGTCTGTGGCTACTGTCAAAATTTTCACAAACTGAGTGGCTTGAAACGACAGAAATGTATTATTTCATAGTTCTGGACACCAGAGGCCCTGGATTGAGGTGTTACTGGGGCCGTTCCCACTCCAAGACTCTGAAGGAGGATCCAGCCCAGGCCTCTCTCCCACCTTCCAGTGGCTGCTGGTGGCCAGTGTGTTTCTTAGCTCATTACTGCCTTCTGATCCCTTCCTCTGTCCTCACTGGCCTTCTTCTCTGTGCATCAAACTTCCCTCTCTTTTCTCTTAGAAGGACACCAGTCATTGGATTTGGGCCACCCTAAATCCAAAATGATCTTATCCCATGATCCCTAATTTAATTACATGTGCAAAGACCCTAATTCTAAACAAGTTCACATCAACAGGCACTGAGGGTTAGGACTTAGATGTGTCTTTTGGAGGGGTCACAATGTAAACCACTATGGGACCCAGGGCTTGGGGACTGGACAGCATGTCCAGGAGGGGCGGGGGCTGGGCTGATGCAGTGCTATGGGAAAGCCCTCAAATCAGACTCTCTAAGAGGAGGAAGAGGAAGGGGCCTCTGTGGGTTTTGGAATGAGGCTTCAGGTATCTAGAAGGTCCTTCTGGCATAGCCCTCTCTATAGTCTGGCCCTAATAATGATAGAAATAAAATAAAAGCAATGTCATTTATCAAGGTCTCATGCCCTATATGAGGTTCTGTCCTCTGAACACTGTCTCATTTTTCTTTCTGAAAGGAAAGCTTGTTCTTGTGTTGCCATCAGGAATTCAGTGCTTGATATTCTACCCCTGAAGTTCTGTTCCTTTGGTTTTAATCACAGTCTGTTTTTAGTTAAAGTGAAAATTCCCTCCAGCAAAAGGGTAGGAGGTTTCTCCTCCACCAGCCCCTTAGTGGGACTTTGAAGTGAGGTAGGCTGGGCTGTAGTACCATGTTTGTCCAGGTGTTTGGATGAATTGGAGTAATTCCTTGGCCCAGTGGTTTCCATCCTTGACCGTTCATTGGAATCACCTGGGAACTTTCACAAACTCCCAATGCCCAGACCATATCCCAGACCAATTAGATCAGAATCCCTGGAGGATGGGGCCAGGCATTAAGGGATTGCAATGCATAGTCAAGAGCGGACACCACTCCTAATCTCCCTGATCTGCAGTTTCCTCACCTGTAGAATAGATTCAATTACATTGGGTGAGCAATGCTTAGCAAGGTGCAAGCTGGAAGCAATGTTGTTTCTTTCCCACCCTTCTCCATTTGTGGTAGATGGGATAACTAAGACTAGAGGAAATTAAAGTTGCAGATAGAGTTAAGGTTGCTAATCAACTGACTTTAAAATATCTGGAATTACACAGATGATGCTGATGTAATCACAGGGTCCTTAAAAGTAGAAGAGGGAGGGAGAAAAGAGGACCAGAGAGATGGCAGCATGAGAAGAATTTGGCCTGATGTTGCTGGCTTTGGAATAGAGAGAGGAGACCATGAAGCTAGGAATATAGGTGTCCTCTAGAAGGTGGAAAAGGAAAGGAAAATTATTCATCCTTAGAGGCTCCAGAAAGGATTGCACCCTGTGGACATCTTAATTTTCACCCATTTGAGATTCATGTTGAATTTGTGACCAACAGAATGGTAAGACAGTATATTTGTGTTGTTTTAAGCCCATAAATTTGTGAAAATTTGTTGTAGCAGCCATAGAAAACTAGTGCATCACTATACCTGTGCAGATGTATATTTTATCCTGCCCTTGGACCAAACCTCATATACCTAGCTCATGATTTTTCTGATAATAAAAAGTCTACTCTGGTATAATACAAACACCCCTTAAATTAACCAGCATTGGCCCTGAAAACAAATTGTTCATATTCCTTCACATTAGAGTTTAGTGATGAGCTAATGTTGGCGAACTGGTTTTTGACCGCCCCTTTGCAAGCCCTGCACGTATGGTCTAGCACCACCGGATGACGCCTGCTATTTTGTTCTCAGCCTTTGAAAACACCCCATTTTAACATCCTGTTATAATAATAACGCCTACTTTGCAGATTCACCCTGGTGACTAAGGGTGTGAATATATGTGAACAGAAAACAGCAAAGTGCTGTTCACAAAGATCTTGAAGTTAACCATGGATTTGAGGCACTTGCTATGTGCCAATGCATGAGAAAGGTAAAGATGGGAAATAGGAGGGACCCAGAGGCCAGGCGATCACAGTCCTACCCTGGAACTACCTTCAGAAACCTGCAGCGGAAGAGACAATCTACAATAGCTAGGGTGTGTGAGCTGCAGGAGATCAGAGTTCCTATTAAGACAAGTAGGGGAAGGTAATGCCCCAGGCCCCACGGTCAGCCCTCTCAGACCTGGCTTCCAGAACTCTGGGCTCTGGACTCCCACTGCATCTTTCATGTGTTGCAGAGATTCCTCTTGAAGTCACATGGGATTGCATAACCCATTCCCAACTGCAATGGGCAAACATGAGTGTACATCAGGGCAACTGTAAAGGTGTCATAATCTCTTTTCTCCATCTTTAAAGGACAGGAAGGTCACAGTACACCCACATCAAGCTTAGGGTCAACCAAAAGTCAAGAGGTGAATGAGACATCACCTCGCATCGAGAACCAGAGTGATATTCACAATCTGCAAGGCATGAATTAAGAAACAAAATGAAGAAATTATCTGGGAGCTCACTCATGAGACTGAGTCAACTTCCTCCTGAGTTAGAAGCAACCAGGAATTACAGGAAGATGAAGCAAGTGATCTTTTCAAAGGGAAGTTATGAAGTAACCCTGCAAGGTTCCCCAGCTTCCAAGCCCCTTTTCAAAGGCAGCAGAAATGCCCAAAGCTCAGAGATTCCCCAGGTCCTCACTGAAGCTGGGGAGACAAGAACAGCCCCTCCCAGGCCATCCAAAGCCATAGGCAATGGTTCCAAGACAGGGCTGAGAGCATAAAAGTTACCTGAGTAGCTGATTAAAATGCAGATTCCTGTTCCCAAATTTTTTAGAATAAATAGATGTAATATAGCACTCATAAACCTAAAGGTTCAAATAAATAATACTTCTACATAGGAAATGTCTTATGTGGTCCTCCTGTCTGCCATAAATCTATTTTCCAGAAGCAACTTCTTCTAACAGTTCCCATCTTAGTTCAGTCACCCCAGAAGTCTAGATAGTGTGAGTTTACCTCTGTTTGTGACTTATCAGCTTTATCTAGACCTATTGAGTCCTTTCGGAGAAAAATGAGGGTTTAGCTCACTTATACCACCCACCTCCTATACTTCCAACAGTACATTTTTATTCCTTCTTGAGATTTCTTTTTAATTCTAAAAAAAAAAAATTCTCTTTTGTATTCCATACATTTTCTAATTATTTTCTGCCTTTCTACATAAATGATGAGCATACCTATATCTGTCTTAGTCCATTTTCTGCTGCCATAACAGAATACCACAGACTAGGTAATTTATAAAGAACAGAAGTTTATTTGGCCTGTGGTTCTGGAGACTGGAAAGTTCAACAGCATAGCACTGGCATCTAGCAGAAGGCAGAAGCGAGTTTTGAGAAACACAGAAGTGGGGCCAAACTTATCCATTTATCAGGAGCCCACTCTCAGGATAATTCCCACGACAACAGCATTAATCCATTCATGAGGGCTACTATGAAGGCTTCTTAAAGGCTCCACCTCTCAATACTATTACATTGGCTATTAAATTTCAACATGAGTTTTGGAGGGGACATTCAAGCTACGGCACCATGCTTATACCCCCACCCCTCCTTCTTCCCTCTTTGGCCTCATCCCTTAACACCCCTTCTCTTTAATGTCCACACTCTTAGACTTACTTTGTCCTGCAGTCTCAAATCAGCCTTCTGAGCTTTGTTCCACAGGTCAGTTCCAACAGCCGAAGGCCAGTTAACCTTATTTGCTGTATTAAGGCTATATATATGTATTGTTATCCTAACCAACACCCATGGGGAACTGACTAATACCTGGGGTCTGCCAATGTTACATATATAGTTTACAGGCCAAGCAACATGGTTAAAATCATAGTTTGTACTCTCTTAGTACATGTTATAACCCCTGGGCATTTAAAGAGGAACATTGTTTACCTGAAGATCACATTGTAATATTATATAATATATGTAATATTATGTTGCATCTTATTGTTCTATCTAGACTTTATAATTGTTTTTCTTTCCTCTTTCTCTCTCTCCCTCCTTTCCTTCCTCCCTTCTTTTTTTCTCTCTCAATTCCTTGAATTCTGTGTCTTTATCACATCTTCAAGGAATTTGCATGTTTTTATAATATCCTGATGGTCTTGTCCAGGTTTGTGATATCACTGCTTTAAGGCTTTGGATATAAAGGAAAGAATATGGATATCTGGAGCTTGACAGGCCTTTGAGTCCTGACTCAGCTTCTCACCAACTGGATGATTCAGAACAAACCCCTTCACCAATCTGGGCATTAGCTTAACGTGGAAAATGTAGATAACTAATTCCTTTCCTAACAGTATTGTGAGGTTCTTAAAAAGCAAGAGAATTAAATGCTCTGCATAATTAGAAATGGTGAACAATAATTAGAAGACATTTTCATGACCAGAATCTACTTCTGTTGAGCTCATTCATCACTTTGGACCGGGCCCCTTGTTTGGTGCTGAAGGCACAATGATTAAAGCTCCCTATGCTTGAGGAGCCCCAAGTCTAGAGGGAGACGCAGGCAAGTAAAGAGCCAATCACAATTCTGTGGAATACTTGTGATAATAGGGATAAAATAAAGGGGAGGCTTCAGGAGCAGAAGAAGGGTACCCAAGTCATATTAGTGGATGTTCTCCAGAGAGGAGACCCCAAGCTGAAAACCAAAGGACAAATAAAAATAAGCTTGGTGGCCGGGCACAGTGGCTCACTCTTGTAATCCCAGCACTTTGGGAGGCCAAGGCAGGTGGATCACGAGGTCAGGAGTTCAAGACCAGCCTGGCTAAGATGGTGAAACCCCATCTCTACTAAAAATACCAAAAAAAACAAAAAAAAAATAGCCAGGTGTGGTGGCAGACGCCTGTAATCCCAGCTACTCAGGAGGCTGAGGCAGACAATTGCTTGAACCCAGGAGGCGGAGGTTGAGTGACCCGAGATCATGCCACTACACTCCAGCCTGGGCCACAGAGTGAGACTCCATCTCAAATAAATAAATAAATAAATAAGCAAGCTTGGCGCAGAGTATTTGGGGATGTGGGGGTGGTGGTGTAGGCACCAGTACTGAGCCTAGGAGCACTTCAGGCCTTAAAACATCTGGTGAGTTTCCACAGCCTTAGTGGCTGCCTCCCCCACTTGCTGGGAAAGCCCCGGATCCCTTCTGAAGTCCATGTCAAATTGCCCATCACCTCCCCATCTTCCCAGGGGTACTTCCTGGGACCCTGTCCATCCTTCTCTCTGCAGTGATCCCAGGTTCCTGCCCAGACAAGACTGCAGGGTCTAAGGCAGTGCCCTGCACTCCCTAATGATGCCTATGCGAGTGGCATTCTGGCCTTTCAAAAAGAGAGTTATGGCCACAATGGGGACACAGGCAGGGAAGCAGCTAACCAACACTCATGGGGAACTGACTAATTCTGGGCTCTGCCAATGTTCTGCCCCCAACCTGAGCTCCATCTGCTTTGAAAGATGATGCAGGGGCTTGTGTTTGTCCCTGGCCTTTGCTGGTCCTTTTCTAAGATCACCAACTTTTGGGATTTTTCCCATCCTCCTTGTCTCTTTCTCATTCAGGCTGGAGCTCATTGTGTCTCCCCACCATCTGAACGAATTCACAATCCTTCCTCCCTTGTCCTAGTCCAGCTGTTGCCAAACATTCATGGAGTCCAATTGTGTGCCAGGCCATAAGAAGGCATGATGGGGAGGGAGAGGCCCCAGTTCCCTCACTGAGGAGATGACATCCCTGTGTGTCTGATTGAGGAGCTGGAGCTAGCCGTGGAAGAGCTGGGAGAAGGGTATCTGAAAAGAAGAAAAACAGGAAGCAAGGAAAAGTAAGCAAAAGTCAGCCCCTTTAGGCAGAAAGAAAACCCATGGATCTCACCTGTCTCATTAGCGTGGAAAAGTCAGTGTGACCTCAGAAATCAGTCCAGGTGTCTGGACCTTTCTGGTCCTGGAGAAGGAAAACATAGCATGAAAATCCCCAAGCTCTGGGTTCAGGCTCCAAATCCTCCATTCCTTCCTCCTTCAGGTGTCCTTCCTTACTGTGGCTCCTTATGGTGCCCCTTGGCCAGGCACTCGAGCCTTCCTGAGGCTCAGTTCGTTTAACTGTAAATGGGGACAAGAAAATTGCTGTCTGCACAGAGTTGCTGCAGGAATAAAATAGAATCGTGGGCTGGGCATGGTGGCTTACAGCTGTAATCCCAGCACTTTGGGAGGCCAAGGCCGGTGGATCACCTGAGCTCAGGAGTTCGAGACCAGCCTGGAAAATATGGTGAAACCCCATCTCTACCAAAAAATACAAAAATTAGCCAGGCATGGGGGTGCACATCTGTGGTCCCAGCTACTAGGGAGGCTGAGGTGGGAGGATTGCTTGAGCTCAGGAGGTAGAGATTGCAGTGAGCCAAGATTGTGCCATTGTACTCCAGCCTGAGTGACAGAGTGAGACTCTGTCTCAAAAACAAACAAACAAAAAAATAGAATCATGGACTTGGAGGAATTGCTGGTCCCTCTGTGTGGCCTGGTGAAAAGAACACAAGTGAGCACTGGCAGAGGACACACCTGTGTTTGAAGCCAGCCTCTGCTCCTTTCTAGCTCTGTGTCCTAAAACGAGTTACTTAACGTCTCTGAGCATGTCCTACGTTAGTGATAAAATATATAAATGTCCCTCTCTCAGGGTTGTTGTAAGGAGTAAATAAATTAATGTACATAAAAAGCACACAAAAGTATCTGTTACACTGCAACTGCTCTAGAGGTGATTGCCATAATGAAGAAGAATATTCGAAACTGGAGGTGAATCTCATGATTCTGCACTTTTTATCTGGATGTTGCTGGCTTTTCACCATGGCTTTTCTGACTTTGTTCCACAGTGTGTGTAAAGCACTTAATCTGTTCCAAGTTCTTTGTAAGACTTTAGTCTGAGGACTGAAGCCCACAGCTCATTGCCCTTTAAAGGAAGAGCTATAAATAGTACACTGGGTCATTAAAAAGAGGAAGGAATGCACCTGGACAGCCAAGTACATGTAAATTTGGCCAGAGGAGACTTCAGGGCCCAGAGCATGCCCGTCAGCAAAGTCTCCCCTGGCTTCTGCAGAAGAACTCTGGTCATCCAGGTGAGGGACCACAGGCCAGCCAGCTGTTCCTTCCAGACGTCTCCAGAAACCTCTATGAGTCCCTTGGAAGGTAACAAACTCAGACCAAGGTGAGTCACATGCCTCCAGTTCTAGACAGCCTCAGCCCTGGGGGAAGAGGGAAAATGAACCCTGGCGGGGAGGTGCCAAGGCTTCGTCCCAGCAGGTGTGGTGCTTCCTCTGTAGACTGGACTGGAGGTATCTCGATGGTCAAAAGTCTGGAGAGTCAGAGAGGAGAGGAAGGGTGAGTCCTGACTGCAACATAGAAGCTGGATGATCTTGGCCAGTTTCTCAACCCCTGAACCCCAGAGCCCCAGCTTTCTCATGTGTGTAATGAGATGCCGTTTGGGCATTACAAAGAATGCAGAAAGTGTGTCTGGCAATAATAGACGTTCAAGAGTCAGTTCCTCTTTCTCCTCTTCCTCTTCCTCCTTCTTAGTGGTCTTAGCATTTCCATTTTGTATCCCAAACATTTAGAAAAGTTCTTGGCACATCTATTTCTTGCTCGATGGATCTTTCTGAGAGAGTGAGGAAGAGCTCAGATATCCCCAGCTCAAAGTCTCTGTCCATTCTCACAGTGAGACTAAATTCACTGTGGTGTGTGGTAGACTGAATAATGGCCCGACAAGGCATTCATGCCCTAATGCCTGCGGCCCATGAATGGTTTCTGTTAGTTACATGACAAAAGGCACTTCACAGATGTGATGAAGGTTAGGACGCTTAACATCAAGAGATTTCTGAATCATCTAGTTGGGGCCCAGTCTAATCATATGATCCCTTAACAACAGAGAACTTTCTCTGGCCAAAGTCTGAGCAGTCAGAGGAAGAGGAAGGCAGAAGGGGAGGGCGCAGCTATCTCAAGCTCGAGAAGGATTCCGCACATTATTGCTGAATCTGAGACATGGGAGCACACATACAAGGACCAGCAGAGGCCTCTGGGAGCTAAGGGTGGCCCCCAGCTGATAGCCAGCAGGGAAAGAAAAACTTCCGTCCTACAACAGCAAGGAGCTGGTTCTACCTGGAACTTGGAGCTTGGAAGTCAATTTTTCACCAGAGCCTCCTATAAGGAAGGCAGGCCTGCTGACACCTTGAGTTAAACGTGGTATGGCCCATGTTAGTCTTCTGACCTGCAAAAAATGTGAGATGCTACTATGGATTATTTTAAACCACTAAATATGTGGTCATATTTCATACTGGCAACAGAAAAGTAATACACAAAGCCTCCAGATTATGAGGAAGACAGAAACACCCACCTCTTTGGCAAATACGTCCATTCACCAAGCACACCAGAAGTGCCGACGTCACCACCATGGATAGGTGTCGCTGAGTCAGGCACTATGCTAGCGGCTCCACAGACCACCCTTCAAGTTATCTTATTCTGAGGCTACAAAGGCTCCTGGCCCCTGAGGCTGTGGCCTCCAGGGTGCCAGGCAGGATAAATTAGGACCAAGGCCTTTTGGCCAGGACAGTCTGTGGAGAATGTATTGCGACTAAGCAAATCCCATGCAATGAGAGTCCAGTCATGTTCCACACAAAGTAAAGATTTTCCCCAAACATCCTATCAGCTCCATGTTAAAAGAATGTCCTGGCCGGGCACGGTGGCTCATGCCTGTAATCCCAGCACTTTGGGAGGCCAAGGCAGGTGGATCACAAGGTCAAGAGATCAAGACCATCCTGGCCAACATGGTGAAACCCCGTCTCTACTAAATATACAAAAAATTAGCCAGGTGTGGTGGCAGGCGCCTGTAGTCCCAGCTACTCGGGAGGCTGAGGCAGGAGAATGGCATGAACCCAGGAGGCGGAGCTTGCAGTGAGCCGAGATCGCACTACTGCACTCCAGCCTGGGCGACAGAGTGAGACTCTGTCTCAAAAAAAAAAAAAAAAAAAAAAAAAGAATGTCATAACTTCATTCCCACAGATGCCCCCATACAATCATGTGACACCCCATATCCGTTGCATGGGTCATGACGTGGCTGGTGGTGATTGGGAGTTGGTGGAGGAGACTGCTGGAGAGAGCTTGTCCCTTGTCCCCTCTTAAACTTGGACATCTCAAGAAGGTCATGCTTAAACACTTTGGGGTCAGAATCTTTTAGTTGTTGTTCCACATGCCAGAAAGGCAAAACCCGCCACTCTTCTCCTTGTCAACCTCTTTTCTTGCTCGCAAGAATTGAAACTGGATCAAAAATGTGGGTGCATGATGGTTTAGACAGAGGTATGGTCCAGCTCCATCAGTGGGGCTAAAAAGAACCCAGAAAAACTGCCTGGCTTTTCAATGACCTCCTCTGTAAACATCTCCATGGCACCTGGGAAAGGAGACCAAGCCAAATGTTTCTTTCTGAGTTCACTTCTAGTGTTAGTATTAGATATTTGTTCTGTTATTAATAACTGTCTTCATTCCCCTTTCCCCAGTGAGAAGCTGAGGCTGGGAGAGTTTACATAGGAAAGTTAAGTTGCCAGAGCACTCCCAAACATCCAGAAGGAGTGAGGGTTCTGAGATGCAGGAGAAGTGGATGATTTGCTTAACAGACAGTAAATAATCACCCGACAGAAGCCAAACTGTCAGGTATTGCTCCACTTACTTGTACATACAATTCTTCATGTCATTCCCACAAGAAATGAACAGTGAAAAATCCGTTTCACCCAATTCCTGAGAGGTCCTGCCCGAGGCCATGCTGCTGTAGGAGGGATTTAGACCAAAACAGTCTGGCATGAGGGCCCAAGCGTGGCCACTTCTGCAATCAGAGGAGGAAGGACATCTGCCCAGGCCCTTGGGGATGGGTTGTTACCATGCAGGGCACCAAGGGGCTGCTGTCGGGCAGAGGCGTCAGGAGGATGAGGCAATGTCAGGGGTCAGCCCTCCAGGGCACTGGGGAATAGTCAAAAGTGACCAAGAAAATCTCCTGTAAAGCCCAGGCGATTCAGCTGTTATTTGAGCACTGTCTCTCGATTGTGCAGTGGCAGGAAGTCAGCAGGTTGGGCAGGACCAAGAAGGCTTAGGCCTAAGGCCAGAAAACATCCCCCAGGCCTCCAGGCCCAGGCATGGCTCCTGTCAGCTGCTCCACGTGCAGCTGTGGAGCCCCTTGGGTATCTCTTTGGGTTTTCCTGTGGGCAGAAGCCGGGAGACAGCTCTGGAGGGAATAAGGGGCCACCATGAACTCTCCTCCCTGGTGACTTCACTGGCCACAGAGCCGCCAGCCAGGCAGTGAATGACATCATAACCGCAGCCGAGCTGGCTCGCCAGGTGACATCAGGACCCCAAATAGCTCTGACATGTGTTAGCAGTTAGGAGAATGAGCAGGGTTAGCATGGTCTCTCCTCCCAGCCATTGGCATGCCCCGTGGAATCCTTCTGGGAATTCTTCCCCAGATGGCTTCTTGGATTGACTTATAACTTTGATTACAGAGGCATTAAAGATTATTTAAAAAGGCAGACAAACAAAAAAGAGAGAAATAATACCCAAACCCCAACACCCAGAGAGAGCTTCTCATAACGTTTTGAAATATAGCCTTCCAAGCTTGGCCTGTTTATTTATGTTTTAAAGAAATGTCATTGTGTATATTTAACGTATACAATATAGTGTTATGGTACACATTTAGATAGTAAAAAGGTCACCACCATGAAGCAAATGAACATATCTAGCACCTGGTTTTTGTTCTTCTGGCAAGAGCAGCATAAATCTACTCATCTAGCATGAACCCCATGTACAGTCAGCACTCCAAACTCATGGGTTCTACATCCATCATTTCAACCAACCACAGATAAAGAATATTTAAAAAATAATAGGCCGGGCACAGTGGCTCACTCCTATAATCTCAGCACTTTGGGACGCCAAGGCAGATGGATCACCTGAGGTCAGGATTTCAAGCCCAGCCTGGCCAACATGGTGAAACCCCGTCTCTACTAAAAATACAAAAAACTAGCCAGGCGTGGTGGCCCATGCCTGTAATCCTAGCTACTCAGGAGGCTGAGGCAGGAGAATCACTTGAATCCAGGAGGCAGAGGCTGCAGTGAGCTGAGATCACACCACCGCACTCCAGCCTGGGCAATAACAGTGAAACTCCACCTCAAAAAATAAATAAATAAATAAATAAATTAACAACAATAAAAAAACAGTACAAATGAAAAACAATACAGTGGAACAGCTATTTATATAGAGGTGATTAAAGTAGGCACAGTGGTGCACCTTTATAATCCCAGCTAGTTGGGAGGCTGAGGCAGGATAATCACTTAAACACAGGAGCTCAAGACCAACCTGGGCAATATAGTGAGACACTCCATCTCTAAAAAGAACGCAAAGAAAAAGAAAGAAAGTACTATATGACACTGTGTGTAATTTATATGCAAGTAATACACCATTTTATATAAAGAATTTAAGCATCACAACTTTTCACATAGGCAGAGATCCTGGAACCCCTCCCCCATGGATACCGACGGGCAACTATACGGTACAATTTTTGTTACCTATACTCCTCACAGACTTGATATGTTTAAAAACATATCCCTATAGCATGTAACTATTTTCATGTGTAAACAAAAGTGATTCATCTGCTATTATTTTGTAATCTGCTTTTTTAAAAAACTTTTAAATAAAATATGGACATTTACCATGTCATTAATTATTCTAAACCTTTTTTTTTTTTTTTTTGAGACAGAGTCTTGCTCTGTCACCCAGGCTGGAGTGCAGTGGCATGATCTCGGATCACTGCAAGCTCCGCCTCCTGGGTTCACGCCATTCTCCTGCCTCAGCCTCCCGAGTACCTAGGACTACAGGCGCCCGCCACCACACCTGGCTAATTTTTTGTATTTTTAGTAGAGACGGGGTTTCACCATGTTAGCCAGGATGGTCTCGATCTCCTGACCTCATGATCTGCCCACCTCAGCCTCCCAAAGTGCTGGGATTACAGGCGTGACCCACCACGCCTGGCCATTCTAAACCATTTTTAATCACTTTATACTAGGCTAGTACTGAATCCTGCATTGTTGGGAGGAAGTTAGGTTCTGATATCTTAAGTGAAAATCCTAGATTGTCAAAATTACGTTGAATGTCTATTATGTCCATAGACATACAGTTGTGGTGCAGGGTATAGCCTCTCAGCTCTAACACAATCTGTTTTTTTCTCCAGTGTGGGAGTAGATCCCTGTTTCTTTGGTTCATTATAAAAAAAAGTAGTTGGCTTGCATCTGTGGGTATTTGATGCATCATGACTGTTTACCTAGCACGTAGAGTTAAATATTCATGTTACAACGTCACCATGTTTTATCCTGCGGGCCTTCCCTTTTGCTGGACATTCCTCAGCCTCATTTTGACCTCCTCATTGAGAACTAAACAGATGTTCTGAAGGTCCCAAATAGTCACACCACAGACTGAATTGTATAGAAATTCAGTTCTTGGAAAATGTCAGAGTTTGAAAGAACATTTAAGATCATCTCACTTCCCCTCCTCTCCCATTTTTAAGATGGAAACTGAAGTTTGAAGGGAGTAAGGCACCCCCAACAGGTTGACAGTGGCTGAGCCTGGCCGACCTCAGCCCGCGTAACATGGACACCTGCTAATTGAGGTCCTGGCAGGGCTGGCAGGAATCTTGGGTACGATATAATACGACCCCTGCCCCCACAGTGACTTCACACACAGTTTATCAGAGACCAGACTTCCACTTCCGGACGCACATACACACACACTACCATCTTGTGAGTGCTCATAGGCTGCGAATGCTCATGACTTGTCTGAACCTTACAACAGCTATGGCAGGTTGTCCAGGGTACAGATTATCATCCCCATTTCACAAATAGAAACACTCAGGCTCAGAAAGGGAGAGGAACTTGCCGAGGGTCACAAAGCTGGCCCTTGGGGTCTCCTGTGAGTCATTTATCTGACATCAACTCCACGGCGTATTTTTGTTCATTGTATTCCTCCTCTGACCCACTATGTCACACTGTGTTTCATAAGTCAGTGGGGAAGTAGAACCATTTCTCCAGTTGGGACAGACCCTCCTGGGGAGTGAAGGAAGAACTAGAACATAGGACTCCTAGATCCAGGCCAGCGGTTCTGGGACCTTTACTCATCAATATAGAGCCCGTGTTTCACTTAGAAAAAGGTCCCCCACTCTGTGGAGGCCCACCCTCTAGGATTGTGGCTTGGTGGGCAGAGCAAGGGCTGGAGTTCCACCATGACTCTTCCCCAACAGGAACTAAGCTGATACTATTGTGCAGGACACAACTTCCTCAGCCAGTTACAGCAGACTCGTCTGGACTTACTCAACCGAGTTCTCTTCTGGTGACGACATTTCTCTACCACGCTGGCCAGTCACATTGCTGTGGTAGCCATTACCTATCCTCAACTCATTGTCTGTCTGAAAGATGCAGAATTTCCTCCAACTAGCAAGCCACCCCTTCTACTCTGAAAAGACAGTGAGAGAAGGCAGCAGGCAAACCTGGGCTATTAACCACCCAAAGCCAGCGCCTCCTGGCAGAAATCTTAGTGTTTCTGGTTGTAGACACTCAGCTTGGCAGAGGTTGAGAAAGAATGTTGTTCCAGAACAGCTTCTCGCAGACGTCAACCCCAACTTCCGGGTCAGGCTTATTCACATCTCCTGCCTCTGCTCAGGTGGCATTCCTGCCCTGCCTGGCATGCTCTCCTCTCTTCTCCCTGGTGACCTCCTCTTCCTTTTCACATCTCCCTTTCTGTGAACCCTGCCTTGGCCTCTCTAGGAAGCTGGGAACTCGCTTCTCAACTCTCCTACAGAATATCACTGGTGCCATTTACCACTTAGAACATCGACTTGCAATCAGTTACACACCTGTCTCCCTCTCTGGATGGTGAGTTGTTCAAGGGCTGAAAGGTGTCAAACAGATATCTGTGACTCTGGAGCCTGTATAAATGACCTCATTTTCCCAGACTCTCTCCAGTCCTTTTTGTGGTCACCTTTTCTTTTAATGAGAATAAATGGCTCCAGTTGCCATCTCTCATACCTTGGGAAGTCAATTGCCCTCCCTGTGAACTCTGGAAAGAGCAATAAGAGAGATTGTCTGGCAATGGCCTGGGGAACGCACTATGTGCTGCCTGGACAATAAACTTTCAGGGACCAAGAGCCCTCTCCTCCCAGCTAGAGGGGCTCCACTTGGGCTGAGCTTCCCGCTAGACTGGATCTTTCATCCCCGGTGGCAGGGACTGCAACTTTTCATGGTGCTCAAGATATCCAAGCATGGAGCAGCCGGTTTCCCACACAACAGCTATAAACAACTGACACCCAAATGCACTGAGGTGCCTGGCAATTAACCTCTCCACTGAGAAGGCTGCTTTCTCATAGTGAGGCTGTGCCCCTTCCCTGGGAAGTCACTCTGCCTCTCAGAGGTGATGGAAGGGTGAGTTTCCTGTGTCCTCTCCTCTTGCCAACCTGGCCTTGGAAGTTTCCTTTTAGCAAGAAAACCAACACCATGCCAACACTGGAATTCGTTTCCAACACTGATGCCTGGCCAATGGTGATGCCCAGACAGGCCATCCTCCTGTGCCCACCTCCAGCGTGTGACCCTCTAAATTCCAGTCCTCCTCACTCAGTGTCTGCCTCCTGCCTCTGCTGCCTTCTCCCTGAAATGCCTCCCCCATCCATGGCTTCGATTCTCACCCTCCTTTTCCCAAACCCAGTTGCTTTAGTAGTAGGAGTCTTCCTAAAGGCCGAGTCATAAATATGACCCACAAAAGATCAGGGAAACACTGGATAAGTAACACAAGATCATTCTGAGCTCTTGGCCATCATACCACTGGACAACTACAGTGTCCATCCTTCTCCCCAAGCCCAGCCTCCCACTAGCCTGTGGAACTTTCCTACTAAGAAATGTTCCTATATTCTCTTCCTCTTCTCTTTCCAGATTGTGGCCTCTCCCTCCCTCTTCCCACCAGAAAAAAATCTGAAATTATGATTATGTTATCAGGAAAGTTGTCTTCATCTATGACTAGCCTATGTTCATGCCCTGAGGAGGGAAGGGAGAAAAGTTTTGCTTTTCTTAACCCAAGAGACTCGCATGGCATTTTTCTACACCAAAGAGCCATCCACCCATTTTCCTTCCCATCAGAAAAAAGTCTGAAATTACGATTATGTTATCAGGAAAGTTGTCTTCATCTAGAAATAGCTTATGTTCACACTCTGAGAAGGGTAGGGAGAAAAGTTTGCTTTTCTTAATCCAAATAGCTCACATGGCATTTTTCTACATCAAAGAGACATCCACCCCTGTTTTCCATCTTTAGCCCCACCAAAACAACATTTCTGAGGCTTTAAAATTCTAGTAGTTCCTTAGTGTGCACTTCAGCAGATTCACTCCCTACCTCTCCCAACTCTACTAATGATAACAGAGGGTCCCGTATCCAGTGGAGCTTCCCTGGGGCATGTGCTCTGTGACTTCTTCCTTTCACTCCAGCGCAGTGTGAATGAGGGGGTGAGTGAGTCGATGCTCTATTTCTGCATGTGTGTCAGGGGAGCGGGTATACATGTGTTGGAGTTGAAGGTCACATGTGTGTGTGATTGCATGTGGATGTACTCCCTTGTGCTGTTCCGGGAGGGATGTGTGTGTGCCGTGCACATGTGTGCTTACATGTGCTAGGGCTGGAGGTCAGGTAGCGTGCAGAAGAGGAAGAAATTTGTATAGGATTTGAGATTTCTCAGGCTGCCTCTTGCCAAGTGGTTTCCTCTGAAGCTCAGAATCAGCCCATATGGGCTGGGGTGGAAAATAACCACTGTAAGCAGGCAGTCCCTGACTCATTCCGAAAGCGTGTGGGCCCACCACTTACTACAATGTGTCTCACAATTGAATCTGCTCACCCTGCCTTCAGACTGTGCCTCTGAGGCCCCGTATTCCTTTCCAAAAGCTTGGGAGAAACCATGTAGACCCTTTATCACATCCATCTACTTTTTCCCTCCTGCCTGGCCCTCTTCCCTGGAACAAAGCTCACACTGCCATTTCTTCAGACTCTGTATCCAAAGATCTACCCATTAAAACCTCTGTACTCTCCCCAAGAGGTCCTGGAGAGTGCCTTCAAGGTTCCATTAGTGTCCTTGTGGCTGTATTTGCTCTGTCTTCCCTTTCTGTCTCTCCTACTTACAACCGCTGTGGAGACCCATCACCCCAGAGCCAAGTAGAAGCAACATCATCTCCGGGAAAGGGGACCACTGAGACCATCTCCAACAGAGAAACCATTACAGCGTCTGCTTCTTAGTTCCATAGAATATGCACCCCAGACACCTCATCTGTCCAAGATGATTTCTCTGTTCCTAATCCTTTCCCCTAACCCTGAGGTGAGAGTATGGCTAGGTCGGGCTCACAGGTAAGACTCATGAATATTTGTTGAGTACATTAGGCAGCAATACGGGCAGTCATTTTATATTCAGACCCAGCCATCTTGATGCATCATGAAGTGGCTTGAAAATGCCTGCCTCAAAAGGTCCCACTTTACTCCCAGGATGGTGCTACCTACTGTGCTTGGAGCTGTAGCCTATATGCAGGTTATTGTCCTGAGCTATGCTGCCCTGCACTACCACAGTGTGTACGTCCTGCTAATGACAAGAGAAGCAGTGCTGATATTCAGCTGGAATGCATCGACACACCTCTACTGGTTATTTATAGCCTGCAAGCACACCCATAGGTTATCTGCTGACTGGCTGGTGCCCTTCCACTGCCAATGGTTTATATGCTCCCCTGGGGGGGGTATCCCTCCCACCCACCTCCATACACTCCCCCTACACACATGCACACTCACTCATGCATTTAGAACCTTGCTGCTATAAGACACCCTGGAGGCCCCCTTGCCAGGCCAGCAATTCCTCTGGACAAACTGAATGTTCTATCTATGCCTGTAGCCACCTCTTCTTAGCACTCAATAGACCATGAGCAGAGTCAAAGGACAACTTCACATAGCCTCCTATCTCCCTAAATCCCCTCTCCTAGTGCCTCTGTTCTTCCACTACTCTGTCCCTCCCTTCTGTATCTGCCCTTGATTTCTGCATTAAGTCCATTTGCTGCCAGGTTCTAGGGACCTTATGGTCTTGGGCAATCCAAAGTAGAGCTCCACATGGCCCATGAAGCAAAGGCTGGGCCATGGAAAATAGATGTTACTGCTTACTGGTTGAGTTAGCCTCATTGAAAAATCTCAAATGGGGCCAGGCACTGTGGCTCATGCCTATAATCCCAGCACTTTAAGAGGCCAAGGTAGGCAGATCACCCATGGCTGGGAGTTCAAGACTAGCCTGGCCAACATGGTGAAACCCCGTCTCTACTAGAAATACAAAATATTAGCTGGGCGTAATGGTGGGCACCTGTAATCCCAGCTACTCGGGAGGCTGAGGCAGGAGAATTGCTTGAACCTGGGAGGCGGAGGTTGCAGTGAGCTGAGATCACACCATGGCACTCCAGCCTGGCCAACAGAGCATGACTCTGTCCAAAAAAAAGAAAAGAAAAGAAAGAGGGAAGGGAATGGAAGGGAAGGGAAGGGAGGGGAGGGGAGGGCAGGGGAGGGAAGGGGAGGGGAGGGGAGGGGAGGGAAGGGAAGGGAAGGTTTCAAATGGGAAGCTCATTACCAGAGGGAACTTCTGATTATCAATGCAGTGGATTACAAATTTCACAGTCACAGAAACAGACAAACAAAAGTCCAACTTAAAGTCTACTTTGGGCCCTCATCTTGCCAGATAACAGAAAACATAATTTAGTCATTTCTTGACAAATGGAGTCACTGCGTATACATGTGCAGTCTCTTTGGGATAGACGGTCAAGGGACTTCTCTCTCACTGAGTGACATCTGAATTCTGTTTGCCAATGTCATGACCTGATGTTAATGTTCTCTTCCAGGATTTGGTCCTTGCTTGTTGGGTGGCCAGGAAATAACAGCTTTGCACAGGCTGCTCAAGGTGGTGAGAGAAAGACCTATAGCCCCTTGCCTGAATCCAAACCACTGTTTTTTGGCTATTACAAGATAATTTATAAGTGACTTATTTGTATGCTGCATACTATTTTTTGCTGCTATACATTTTAATTTCCAATGTTATTTTGGGTGACTTAAAGGAAGTGGCTGGGAAAGAAAGCTTTGGCTTGACATACGGAAACTGCTACTTAACCTATACAGAATAAGAATATGGGCTTTGGAGAGGACAGATCAGGTTTGTCAGAGTGTGAATTCTCTGACTCATGAAAGTTAAAATGTAATCAATAAACATTCTTAACGGGGATAAGTGTATCAGTGTTAAAGCCACATTTTACTGAAGTTTGTTATTTTTTTCTTAAAAAATGTTCATTGCTTTTTTATTTTAAAAAGTCACACATTTAAAATGTAAAAAAAAATTATAACTAAAAAATTGAAAGTCACCAGTAAACCCAACAAAAATTCCAAAAATAACCATTTTAAATATTTTGATGTATATCCTTCTGGCCTTTTGTCTCTATGTGTGGATGTGTATAAATTTAAAGATAACACTAATTATTTATATATACTTTCATTCCTTTTTTGGGGGGTTATTATATTTGCTGTATATCATGAGCTGTTTCAGTTTTTCACTAAAATATCTGTGAAGCCATTGACGATGAAATTGAAAGAGAAACTTAAAAAAGAAAATCTGGCCGGGCACTATGGCTCACGCCTGTAATCCCAGCACTTTGGGAGGGCAAGGCAGGTGGATCACCTGAGGTCGGGAGTTCATGACTAGCCTGACCAACATGGTGAAACCCCATCTCTACTAAAAATACAAAATTAGCTGGGTGTGGTGGTGCATGCCTGTAATCCCAGCTACTCGGGTGGGTGAGACAGGAGAATTGCTTAAACCTGGGAGGCAGAGGTTGTGGCGAGCCGAGATGGCACCATTGCATTCCAGCCTGGGCAACAAGAGCAAAACTCCATTTCAAAAAAAAAGAAAGAAAGAAAAAGAAAAAAGAAAATCTGTCTTTTTTTGAGCACATATCATGTGCCAGTCATTGTCTGAATGTCTAATATATCTTATCTCACCTGTCTTCACAAGAGCCTTAAGTGTTAGGTACTATCCTCTCCCCCATTTCATAGAACAGGAAAGTAAGACTTAGATGAGTAATGTGTACAAGGTAACAGACAGAAAGTTGTGGAAATAAGAATTGAATTGATACATAAGATTCCCAAAATCAAGATCTTAATCACCACACCATTAATTAATTAATTATTTAATTAATCTGTTTATTCATTCATTCTACAAATGGTTGAGTACTTGCTATTACCAGGAATTATTCTAGAATACATCCATGATCAGAACAGGCAAAAAACAATGCACCCATAGAGTTATATTCTACTGGGGGTTAGGTGAGCTGAAAATAGACAATGAATAAGAAAAAGCAGAAATGTTACAATACAGTAGATGTCTGTCAGTGCTATGGAGAATAACAAAACAGGGAGGTGTGATGGGACGGCCATGCAATTTGAAATAGAATGCATAAGGCAGACCTCATTGAGAAGGTAATATTTGAGCTAAGTCTTGAAGGAGGTGAAGGAGCGAGACAGGTTGATGTCTGGGGGAAGAACACTCAGGCAGAGGGAACAGCATGTGCAAAGCCCCTGAAGCAAGAGGGTGCTTAGACTGTGTGAGGAACAGAAGGAGGTGAGAATAGCTGAGACAGAGTGAGCAGAAGAAAACATGGAGGAGAGGAGATTTGAGATTTGGGTCCAGTCACATTGTAAACCTATGTAAAGACTTGGGCTTTTTCTTTAGGAGTAATGAGAAGGTATTAGCAGACTAAATAGAGTGGCGTCATCCAGCTTGGATTTTAACAGGATGCTTCTGGTATTTGTGTAGAGAAAAAGCTGTACAGGGAGCAAGGATGGAGAGTCAGGAAGCTAATGCAAGCATCCAAGCAAAAGACGAGGGTTTGGACCAGGGCAATGACAGGGAACGTGAGCTGTGGTCACATTCCAGTTCTATTTTGAAGACGGCAAAGGAGGCACATGAGCATGGGAGTGCTGAGGGTTACGCTAGACATTTAAGGCTTTGAAGTTGGATGAGATCGCCAAGGGCATGTGTCCTAGACAAGAGTAGAGGCCTGAAGACTGAGCCCTGGGCATCCTAACAGAGGTTCGAAAGATAAAGGGAAACCAGCAAACAATGAAAGCAATGTAGGTGGTGAGACAAAATATCAGTCTCTTTTGAGAGCCAATCTTGGGCAAGTTCATTGACCTGCATTATTTCATCAAATCCCTATTCCAATCTTGTCGGGGAAAGTATCCTACCCATTTTATAGATAAGAGAATTAGAGGCTCAGAGGGAAGAAATTATTCAAGGTATCAAATAGGCAAGAAACAGAGCTAGGATTGAAGCCTTTTTTTGGATGTAAAGAGCATGTTTCTTGGCCTGGCTGGGTTCTTGCCCTGTGCATTATACAAGGTAATATGGAAGCTCATGTTTCTCTTGCCACAGTAATCTCCAGGAAGCAATCCTCAACCACAGCAGAAAGGGAGTTGATTGGTGCATATTTCAGCTTCCTCCATCTTGAGTGAGGCAATTCTGAGGTGTGCCATCCACCTTCTCCCAGAACACCACAGTGGAATTGTGACCTGGTTGCCCATGGTCACTGCTGTGAGTTGACAATGTTCCCTGACTGGTTTCCTTTAAGTCCCTGCCTCACCTGCCCATTCCCTTAGTGGCATTGCTCAGATCACCTGCCTTACAAATCCCTTGCACTCATATTCTTATTGCAGAGGCTGCTTCTGAAGAAACCCAACAGTAGACTCTGGTGTGAAGAACAAAGACACACAGCTTGAGCCTGGGGATGGACACCTCCCAGCAGCCCTGGCTGCCACTCACTGCTGTGCTGCAGCCTGAGGTGTGTGGGGATGGGTGCCGTACACACTGTGTCTGCATGTACAACACACGTGCATCCAGGTGCACATCTATTGGTGGATGTGGGCAGGTGTCCACGTCTGTGTGCCAGCTCAGATGTTAACAGCAGGAAAGGAAAACTGAACCAGCTCCTTATGTAAATATTGGACAACTAGAACACTTTTCTGTTTCTTTGAGTCATTTCAGAGTTTCTGAAACTTTGCCGCCACTCCCCTTGGATGGAGGGTGGGAGTGGAGGTTGGGGGAAAGGAGGTTATTTTTGGCCCGGGGATTTCAGAGCTCCTCCGTTATGTGTGTTTCTCCTCTCTCTCCTGCCCACCGAAGCCCTCAGAGGGGAAGATCTGCTGAAGAGAGGGAGAGGTCCTTGCAGTCCCTTGGCAAATCATGTGCTACCTCTGTGGCTCTGGATAGCAGAGAATTCACTGAAGGACATGAGATGCCGAGTGGCTCCCCCATGCCAACCTACCCCAATGCTCCTAACTCAAGAGAAAAGAGGTGGACAGACACCAGATTCAAAACAGTTCCAGGTTTAAAGACAGAAGCTGTAGGTTTGCAATCTCAGTTTGTGTCCCTGACCATGTCATTCAGCTGCTCTGAGTGCAGGGCTCTTGCCTGTGGAAAGAGGATGAGGAAGCCTGCCCCATGGTCCCTTAGGGTGGCTGTGAGTCTCCCATGAGACTAGCAGCCTGAGGAGGGCATCTGAAAGAACACTTTAGAACCAGATAGATACAGGTTCAAATCTTATCTCTGACATTTCCTTAACCCAACCTTGAGAAGTAAATTAACCTCTCTGAGCCTCTGTATTCCCATCAGTAAAATGGTGATTAAAAATATTTTAATTTTATTTAATTAAATGATGTAACATATAAACTACCCATTAATTCACTGGCAAGTAGAATGTGCTTATAAATGTCTGTTTCCTCCTTTCTATCTACCCTGATACTTCCCAGGACAGTGAAGGAAAATAGAGACGAGTATAGGTAGAAAAATGGGAGGGAAATAGATTTGAGGCATAGAGCATTTTTCTTTGGTTAACCAATGCAGAGGGTTACTAGAGAGTTAATTTAATCCAATATACAAACTTTACTGCCACAGACAATAAGGACAGGTAGAGAATGAAGAGCTGTAATATTCAAAGATTCGTACTACAAATTGACAGGAAAAACACAAACCACCCAATAAAAAATAGGAAAAAGTGTAAAATAAAGCAATCCAAATGAACAATAAACATAGTAAAAGATACTTAAATTCACTAGAAGTCAGGGAAATAAAAATTAATATAAATTTCATGTAATTAATGAGACATTATTTTACATTCATCCAGCTGGCATACCTAAAAAGAGCATTAACACTTGTTGCTGGTAAGTGTTCCATGAAAAGAACGTTTGCATATATTGCTGGTGGAAATGCAAATTGTCACAGCATTTGTATAAATCAATAGGGCAACATCTATTAAAACTGTAAAACATATTAATATGGTTTGGCTCTGTGTTCCCACCCAAATCTCATTTTAAATTTTAATCCCCATGTTTCAGGGGAGGGACCAGGTGGATGGTGATTGGATCATGGGGGCGGATTTCCCCCACGCTGTTCTCGTGACAGTGAGTTCTCACGAGATTTGCTGAATTTTAAGTGTGTGGCCCTTCCCGCTTCGCTCTCTCACTCTTCCTCCTGCTCTGCCATGTGATGAAGGTGCCTTGCTTCCCCTTCGCCTTTCACCAAGATTGTAAGTTTCCTGAGGCCTCCCAGTCATGCTTCCTATTAAGTCTGAAGAATTGTGAGTCAATGAAACCTGCTTTCGTCATAAATTACTCAGACTCAGGTAGTTCTTTGTAGCAGTGTGAGAATGAACTAACACACATATATTCTTTTATCCAGCAATTCTACTTTTGTGACTCAATTCCATAGAAATTAAACATCAGCACATCAAGATACAAACACACACAGTCAGGTGAAGGTTTAAACAAATAATGCTACATTATGCCATGGTGCATTATGTGATTATTTAAGAGACTGTATTTGGATTATATTATTAGATTTCCATAACATATTATTAAGCACTAAAAGTAGATACAAAGAATTGTTTTTATATCATATGATGTCATTTTTGGCAAAGCAAACAATAATAAAAAAACTATACATGGATGCACACATTTGTGCAAAGCAGAGTGAAAAGTCAGAGGGAGTGACTGTCGGGTTGGTAACAAATTACTCAGAGTGGGTTCAAGGGTTGGGGTGGGGGAGGGGTCTCATCATATGACAGGAAGAAGGTAAAGAGAGTAAAAAAGGAAAGGAAGACAAAAAGCAGGACCATGAGACCAAAAGCATGTACAATATAATCCCATGTATGTGCATCGACGAGCATTAAAAAGTTCAGAGAAAATAAAAGATAACATTAGATATATAACCTACTGACTCAATAAATGAACATTATACATTGTTGAGTAAAATAAAATTGTAATGACAGTGAAAATGCAATGAGTAGGACTTAAACTTCCAACGCCTCATGGAAAGGACAGCCCCACAAAGAAATGAGTAAGACACAGGCCTGGGGCAGCCAGTACTCAGAGGAGCTGGAGGCGGGGCAGACCACTGGGAGGGTGAAATTAAAAACACAAAAAACTCCCACATGCACATGTATCCCAGAACTTAAAGTCAAATAAAAAAGAAGAAGAAGAAAAACACAAAAAAAGAACCCTTTCCTGTGATAGAATGACCAATAGAAGTTGTGAGGAAGTAGAGAGAGAGAAGCAGAAAGAGTGAGGAAAAATAAGGGAAAGTTTTGGGGTACTGATTTTCTTATTCTACACAGTGGAAAATAAATAGGTCCCATGTAAATACGATGGCTTAAAAATAGTAGCTTGAAGTGGATAATATATAAAGCTCTAATCATAATAAACAATTAAAAATTAAAATATTTTAAATTCTACATGTTGTAAATATTTAATTTTAAACCTTATGATATTATAAATATTATATTTTTAATTAAATATAACCAATAAAATAGTAGGGGTGGGAGAGAAAGGGGAGTGAGATCTCTGGCCCACCATGGCTAGCAAGAAGTCTACTGAGATGACAGTGATGACAAGACTGCATGGTCTCTGCCCTGTGGAACCCATGGTACACTGTGGAAGACTGGAAATAAACAGGGAAGTGAATGATTTTACACTGTGGTCAGAAGTAAGCTGTAATAGGCAACAGTGGGGCTTGGGGGTGGTCCTCAGCAGACCGGCTGGTCAGGGAGGCTCTTGGAGGAGACAGCATTTCCATAGAGATATGAAGAATGGAAAAGTGTTGGCCAGGAAAGGCACTCTGGGCAGAAGGAATCTCAGGATGCAGGTCTGGAGCAGCAGGGAGCTTGACCTGCCTGAAGATTTGACTCATGAGGTTCGGGCAGCTGCAGCAAAGTGAGCAAATGGGGTGATTATTGGCCAGAAGGGAAGAAAGGCAGGCAGGAATCAGGCCATCATCAGCAGTGGGGACCTTATTCTCAGAGCAATGTGAAGCCTTTGATGTGTTTTAAATGTGGGAGTTACAAGACTACAGTTATGTTTTTGAAAGATCACCATGGTGGGGCAGGAGAAGACCTCAGAGGCTGCTGGGTGCAATGTAGGTTGAAGGTGGGGAAGTGTAGAAAACAGACTGATGGAATAGCAGGTGCTGGCATTTTGCAGGGAGTAGAGAGAAAGCTTGGACCAGAGTGGTGACAGCAATGGGAAGGAGAGGAATTACAAGACTCAAGATCCAAGGAGGATCTTGTAGTCAAAAGGATTTGTTAAGAGATTAGATAAGGAAATGAAGAAACATCTCCATTGTTCTGGCATTAGCAACCAAGCGGATGGTGTTACCATTGACTAACATAAAAAGACTGTGGAGGAACATTTTGGAGATCCCACCAAGAGCTCAGTTTTGCACATGCTGTCCCTGGGGTGTCCATGACACATCCGTTGGGCATATGAGTCTATGGTTCAGAGGAGAGGCCTGGGTGGGAGGTACACATTTGGGAGTTGCTGGCATCCCATGGTATTTAAAACCACTGGAATGTATGAGGTCACCAGAGCAGAGAAGAGACCCTTAAAAAGTTCAAAACTCAACGCAGTTATTTCCAAAAAAAATACTCAGATCCTTGAGGATTTTGGAAAATAAATGACTTGGAAGAATTTTTCCCCTGGCACTTGGTTCCCCTCATCGTCTTTGGCTGCAGGAGTGATGCTGCTGGCCCAGGCCTTGGTCTGCTCACAGGAAGACGCTACGCCAGCTTGAAAACCACATCTCCTCCAAGGGTCCCGTGCCAGGCCCCGTGACCCACCTCCTCCCTCTCCCCTCCCTTTCATTCCAACTCTACTATGAGGCTGCATAGAAATTATGTTTTCTGTTATCTCACAAGATGAGGGCCTATACAGAATAGGAATGGGCTTTGGAGAGGACAGATAAGGTTTGTCAGTGTGTGAATTATCTGACTATGGATTTTACAAGATTCTGTCTTCTGCTACAGAGGATGAAAGCTGGTGTGAGCCCCTTGCTCAGATAAAGCGTGGCTGCAGAAACTAGCTCTCCTCAGCCTTGCCTCTCATGCCCCTTGAGCTCTTTTCCAGAACAGATGCCACCCCATGTCACCAACTGTCTTCTTGATATTCCTTCTCAGGTTGTCTCGTGGGCTTCTTCTCACTTACTATGTCCAAAACAAGATTTTTGATGTTTTTTTTTTTCTCCAATGCTGACTCTTATTCAACTTTCCTAATTTCTGTTAATAAAAATCATCATTCATCAAATTTGTTGAATCAGAAGGAAAAGATGGATAACCAACAGAGATCCCTTCCCCATCTCCGTGGCCCATGACCATCAGTCTCCAAGTTCTATTGTCTCTGTTCATGGCTGTTCGCTCCTCATCTTCTGTCACTACCTTAGCCCAAGCTTCCACTAATCCTTGCTTGTCTCTCTTTGCCTGGAGTCTCACTATCTGATTCCTCCTAACTCCTCAAAATCTACCTTCCATATATGATCTTTCCAAATCACAAATCTGATTCTGTCTCTACCATAAAACCCAAACAGCCTTCTCCCATTCCCTCAGAAGAATTTCCAAGTTCCTTAGCTATCTAAGGGTCTCAGTGGCATGGCTACTACCTGGTTTCCCAGTCTAATCTTCCCCAGTTTCCTCCTACACTTTCTCTTTCATCTTAGTGAGGTTCAAGTAGCTCCTCTAATTCTCTGCCCACACACTGTTTCTATTGCCCAGACACCTTCTTTGTCCAGCTACACCTTCTTATCCCTCCCTGTTTCCCTCCCCTTCTCGCCACCCCATCTCTGATTGCTATGCTGTCTCCTCTGTGATCCCATTATTATGCTATCCTGACCCTTTTCACCCTGTGATCTGTTCTGTAATGGAATGAGCTGCACCCCCAACCTGTCTGCATGTTTTTTGAAGGTAGGGTCTGGATCTGATTGGACTTTGCTTCCTGTGCTTCCCACAAGGCCTGACCCCGAACACATCAGGCAATATACCTGAAGGAAATAGGAAGCATGTCCAAAGGGGACTTGAAGAGGCATCCATGGAGGGACAGTTGATTGAGTTGTAAAGAAGGGATGTGGAAGCACCAGGGACCCAGCAATAGCACACGGCATCACTTCACCTCTGTGAAGGGGGCTAGAAGAGGGCACGGTCCTACTGGAATGGGGCAGGAGCTGGACTGTGGAGGGTGGGCCACTCTGCATGGCAGGAGCTATAGGACCCATGGTGATCGCCCAGCACATGGGGATCATTCCTATTGGCTTAGTTGCCTGTCTTCCTCAGGGGACTGTGGGATCCTTAATAAACCAGGTCTTGCTCATCTCTAGACCCCCAGAATTAAGCACCAGGTCTTCCACTAAGTCTTAGTTAACTAATTAATTGAGGCCTCTTGATTTCCTAAGACCACTCACTCCTTGATGGTGATCTCTTTACCTACCATGGGCTTCCCCCAAAAGAGACATCAAGGGCTGAGCTGATCACCCCTGTCCCCAAATGGCCACACTCTTGCAACATTCAGTTTCCACTGGATGTGCCCCTCTCCAAGTGGGGTGCAGGGCTCTGGATCCTGCCTCTCAAACCGAAAGAGCAGCATCACTGAGTGCACACATAGATAAATACAATGAGTTATGGCCAAAAGTTAGGGCTCCAGTAGAGAACTCAGAGAATTCAGGTGTCTGAGATGACTGGGACAGCCGGAGAAAAACCCTTCTGGATTTCCATTCTGTATTTCTGCCTTCTGGGGGTTAATATGGAAATAGGGAACCAGGCTCAGCCCCTAAAATCCTTCAGCTCAGTGTCTCAAGAGCAAGGGTTAAACAATGTTCTCTTTATTTTCTCCACACACAAGGCAGTCTTCTTGTGAAAGTGAGTGGATTATGTCACCCTCATGTGTAGAGCTCTTGAGTGGGTCCCCATTCTACCTAGAACTAAACCTAAGCTATCTCTGTGGTCAGCAAGGCCCTTGAGCATCTGGATCCTGCCTAATTCCCCTTCCTCACCTTACTCCACATCCCCTCCATTCACTGTCCTTCTCCACAGCTACTTTTCTTTTGTCTCCAAATATCCCACACTCACATCTCAGGACTTAGTGTCCTCTGTTTTCTTTGCATGAAGTGCTCTTCCCCCAGACTATCTCATTCTGCCTCTTTCTTGTTATTCAGATACCAACTCAAGGGCACCCACTTTGCCTGGTCTTCCCTGAACCTAGCTAAGGAATGTGCTGCCTCCTAGCCATGCTCTACCACGTTCCCTTATTTTTTTTGCCATCACAGCACTTAATAAGACCTCACATTGTTTTATTGATTTTGGTAGATATTTATGATCTGAATTTCCTTTGTAAGAGCAGCTCAGTTTGCCTTTGACATTATCATATCTTCAGTGTGAGACGTGCCTGGCACAGAGTAGGCACTTAATAAATCATTGTTGAGCGGTTATTAACTGTAGTGATGAGAACTAATGTTTAATAACCACTCATTGTATACTGGGGGAGATGGTACTTTGGGGGGAATTTGAATTTCAGATTCTTGTTTTGCCCATATTTGCTGTGTGTTTTGCCCAACCTACTGAACCTCTTTGAGTGAAATGGGAATAACAGCAGCCTTTTCTTCAAGGAAGTGGGGATGGAAAGGGCATTGGAGTTGAGAAAGTCAACTGGATTTTTCATACTGACAGTTCTCTCATTCAATCTTCCCAAGCTCTTTTGAAATGTGTGTTTTCATCCCATTTTACAGATGAGAATACTGATGTTCAGAGCAACCGACTGAACCCCTGGAAGTCACTCATACTGAAAATGGCAAAGCAGTATCTGCCCCTGCTCTGTCCAATGCTAACAGGACTGCTGAGGCCTCCCCTCCACCTCGCCTCAAGTTGACATTGGGCCTGTGGAAATAGACCTCTAAGCCAGCCTTTCTTGCTAGTTTGGTTTTAGCCTTTCTTGGACTCAGCTTTGCCATCTGTGAAATATGTGAGTCATCTAGATAGTGTCTGAAACCTACCAGCTCCAAGTCTATGGTCCACGGATGGGCTGTGAGGACAATCAAGACTGAGGCAGGTTTTCACTCAAGTCCTGGAATATCTGGTCATCCTTCCAGGGTTCTTCATGGCAGGGAAACAAAATCAACAACTGAAGAACATGAGGTTCAGGAGATTTAAGTCTGAGTTCCAGTGTTGGCTTTGGGTGCCTCTAATCAACCACAAATCTATCCCAAGCCCGAGGCAGGCTGGTCTTACTCAACATTTATGGGGTCTTGCAGGGCTTATGAGTGAGCTCATGTGGGTGAGCTGTGGGTACCACAGGACCAGCACAGATTGCTCCAGCACATTGTCCAGCCACGAGACAGAATTTCCCTCTTACAGATCCATTGAATAGCCCTGGCCTGTGGGTTTGCTGTAAAGATGCAAAAGCCCTGAAGCATTATCTGCCAAACCTCAGCCCTGACCATGGTTAGGCTGACATCAGGGGAGGCAGCAGGAGAGGGAGAGAAAAGGGTATCTCATTGTGGAACTGGGGCAGTGGTGGGCAGGGGCTGATGCAGGAGGGGTGCCATGGCCCAACTGCTCTTCACCCACGGTCCTTACACAGACCTGATCCTGCTAATTCTGACTCAGCTTTCAGACTCAGCCTGCGGACACTCAATTTTTAGTAATAAGCAGTCTCCTCATAATTTACTATATAGCAAAATAAATTTTTAAAAGATATTAATAGTTGGCACCAGAGTCTCTTCACTTCATTTATTCATTTTTACAACAAACATCTATTGAGCCCCTGGGATGTGCTTGTGCTCTTTTGGGCTGTGCAGATTTAACGGTAAAGATAACAATGTTCCAGTCCTACTCAAGTTTGCATTCTGATGCAGAGAAAGACAATTATAAATCATAAAATATGTATAATATCAGTTAAGGATTGGTGCTTGGAATAAAATAAAGAAGTAGAGAGGGGGAAATTGGTCATTTTTGATATGATGGTCCAAGAAGCCTACTGAGGTAACATGTAGCAGAGATGATTTTTAAGGAAATGACTTTGATCAGCAACATGAGATTGGTATTGGAATATCGAGGACATAAGTAAGACACAATAAATCAGAAGGTGTTAAAAATAAAGATGGATTCATGACTGAGGGGTGGGGAGAAAAGAAAAAAAAGACAAAGAATCATGACAAAGAGCCAGACAACTACAATTCTAAATTGTTTGTCTTACTGTGAATAACTTTTCTTCCATATACTTAAAGCTTTATACTAAATTCTGCTACAAACAGAGGCTGTGTGTGCGTGTGCATGCATGTGTATGTGAGCATGTTTGGTGAAGAAAAGGGCTGTGTTCCAAATTTGAGTCCATGCCAGGACAACTTGTAGAATATAGAAAAAAAGTGCAGTGGTGGCAGAAGGAGGTGACAGCTGCAGGTAGAACAAGAGTCCTTCTGAACTCCTGGTTGTTCCTCCTATGGGAAATCACTCCTGGTCTCCCTGGCCCCTCGTACGTCCTGCCCAGGGAGGAAAGCCTGGACATGCTCAATGCAGTTCTTGCCCACTTCCTCTGGAGAGTGAGTTTTCACTGGGAGTAGGCATTCTGCTTGGCTTCTCTAAGCCCAACTATTATCTGGGCAAGGCCTCCATGTGAATCCCATGGAAAATTCAAACCACCCCTCCCTTCAATTCAGAAAGAACTGAACCATCCACTCAGCTAAATATCAGTTATTATTATCATAGGTGCTATTATTAAATATAGACTGAGTCTTGTGTAAGCAAGCCAGCAGCACTAAGCACACAGAAAAGCCACAAATCTGAGACTTGGAAAATCCAGGCAGCTTCATTACAGGAGGCATTTCAGCTATTTCTTGCTGCAATAACAAACTACCCACAAGTCAGTGTGTTAAAACAATCATTTTCTTTTGCTCACAATGTTATGGTTCAAGAAGCTGGGAAAGGCTCAGCTAGGTGGTTCATCTGTGATCCACGTGGCATCAGCTGGGACAGCTGAGGTCGGAGCACCCACTTCCAAGATGGCTGCTTCATCTGGACATCTTGGAGAGATGGCTGGAAAGCCTGGCCTGCATGCACCTCTGTCCTCCACATAGGCTTAGTACCTCTCCAGTAAGATTCCAAGACCAAGGTGGGAGCTACTTGTCTTTCTAAAGTCTAAAGTCAGAACTGAGTTATTTCTGCCTTACTCTACTAGTCAAAATAGTCATGGAGACAGTCCAGACTCAATGGAAGTAGAATTAGACCCCATTTCTCATTGGAGAAGTATCAGTGAATTTACAGCCATCATTAATCTGACCACAGAGTGAGGTCCAAACTCAAGGATTTGCTAACATGCACCAAGCACTTTGTAGGTGGCAGACACTGTTCTGAGCACTTTATATGTGGTAACTCCCTTAAGTTCCCCTGGAGCCCGATAATATGATAGGGTATACCTATGATATAGGTATAATTATTAGCCCCATTTTAAGTTTCTGAAAGTGAGGCTCAGAGGGGTTGAGTAACTTGCCAAATGCCATAGGCATAAAAGCTGGTGAAGTCAGGAGTAGAACCGAAGTCAGGAGTAGAACCCAGGCTGCCTGATCGAGGGCCTGCACTGTGTAGTGCTACTCTTAGGATGGGCCAGGTGAAGAGGCTTGGAAGAGAAAGTAGATGCATTATCTGGGGCTGCCATAGCATATACCACAAACAGGGTAGCTCAAAACAACAGAAATTTATTCTCTCACAGTTCAGGAGGCCAGAAGTCCAAAATCAAAGTATTTTCAGTGTTGGCTTATTCTGGAGACTCTGAGGATGAACCTGTTCCTTGCCTCTCTCTAAGTGTTTGCTGGTTACTGGAAATCTTTGGCATTTCTTGGCTTGTTCATTCCATTCCTTGGCTTGATTGTATTGCATGACTCCAATCTCTGCCCGTCTTCGCTTGGCTTTCTTCCCTTTGCATCTCTCTGTGTCTTCTCCTTTTCTTACAATGATGTCAGTCACTGGATTTAGGGCCCAAGCTAAATTCAGAATGATTTTACCTAGAGATTCTTAACTCATTCCATCTGCAAAGACCCTATTTCCAAGTAATGTCATGTTCTGAAGTTCCACATAAGCATGAATTTTGGGGGGATGCTATTCACCCACTACAGAATATAAGATCAGGGATGCATCTTCTGGGCTGAAAGGAGGGGATGGATGAGTCCAGATGAAAAGACAGAATGGAGAATCTGCAGGAACCCACTTGCTCAGGTGGGGCACAGAATGTGAGAAGACACGAGAGCAGAGGGCTTAGCAGAGGATGCACCTCATAGGGGCTTAGGAGTTTGGGAACCAAGCTCAAGGACTTTGTGTTATAATGGAAGAAAATAAAACAACTTTTATGGATTTTAAGAAAGAGAGTAAAATGATCAGATGTCTATTTTAGACCAATCACTATTGCAGCTGGGAGAGAATGAATTAGAGAAGGATTCCTGCAAAGGTAGCAAAGAGAGGTTTGCTGTAAGATGCGTGTTTGGGCTGGCCATGCTGGCTCATGCCTGTAATCCCAGCACTTTGGGAGGCCAAGGTGGGTGGATCAATTGAGGTCAGGAGTTCGAGACCAGCCTGACCAACATGGTGAAACCCCAACTCTACTAAAAATACAAAAATTAGCTGGGTGTGGTGATGTGTGCCCATAATTCCAGCTACTCAGGAGGCTGAGGCAGGAGAATTGCTTGAACCGGGAAGCAGAGGTTGCAGTGAGCTGAGATCATGCCACTGCACTCCAGCCTGGGCCACAGAGTGAGACTCCATCTCAAAAAAAAAAAAAAAAAAAAAAAAAAAAAAGGTGCACATTTGGATGCTCTGACCTCTACATGACAGCCCTGCTGAGTCTTCCTGAGATTCATGTTAGGGAGCTGTCCGTGTACAGGAGAAAGAAGGGGGCTTCATCCAGCACCCAGATCTGTTTAGACCTGAGTCCTCCCCCATCCTTTGCAATGTTTTCTTAACTGTGGAGTAAATAGAATGAGAAACACATGGTGCTGGGTTTTTTCACTTAGAAAAACAACAACAGACTTGAGGGTTTACAAGAGAAATGTCTGAACTTGTGCTTTGATGCTCTGGGCCAAACCCTAAGGGATCAAAAAACAAAGATTCTCAAGAAATACAAAAAGATTCTTGCCCAATCTTTTGTGGCCTTGCCCACTGTATCCTAAGCCCCATTCCCTCTCCCCTCCCATCCAGGCAGGCCATGTGGGCAGGGAATGGGTGCAGGTTCTGAAAAGTGCACATCTATAGCTCCTTAGTGAGATGTGGGTGGTGACCTGGCTACTACGTTTCTGGAAAAAGGCCCAGAGAGACACCACAGTTGTATGGGGAACGGGGGGAATGAACAAAAAGCAGAGATAGAGTTTGAGAAACTTCAGATACATTGACAGGATATTGACACCTTAGCCCTATAGGAAGGGCTCCTGGGTAACTAAATTGTCATGTGCTTTGGACTCAGACAGAACTGGGTTTAAATCCTGAGCCTTCCCTGCCAAAGTGGTGGGAAGCTGGAAGCAAGTTAAGTGTCCAACAATAGAGGACCGTTCTCACAAATCATAGCAGGTCCATACATGGGACACCATGCAGCCATTTCAAACCAAGCACCCACAGGGTATTCAAGGCACAGAAATGCTTAGTTTATAATGTTAAGTAAAAAGCAAATAAATACAAGTACCATGACTCCACTTTCTAAATATACATCTAATATATACATATATACAGAAAACATACTGAAAGTCCCTTAGAATGTAACAGCACTTACCTCTGAGAATAAGTCTATGGGCACCTTTTGATTTCTTTCTTTAAAAAGTTTCTTTGGGCCGGGTGCGGTGGCTCACGCCTGTAATCCCAGCACTTCGGGAGGCCGAGGCAGGTGCATCACCTGAGGTCAGGAGTTCGAGACCAGCCTGACCAATATGATGAAACCCTGTCTCTACTAAAAATACAAAAATTAGCTGGGTATGGTGGCATGCACCTGTAATCCCAGCTACTGGGGAGGCTGAGACAGGGGAATCGCTTGAACTGGGGAGGCAGAGGTTGTAGTGAGCTGCGATTGTGTCACTACACTCCAGCCTGGGCAACAAGGGCAAAACTCTGTCTCAAAAAAAAAAAGTTTCTTTGATAAAAAAATATTATTTATATATATATAAATATATACATTTGCATATGCTTACAGATGTACCTAAACACACACACACACAAATATAAATCAGTATTAAAAATAGCCAGCATGCCTCCATGTGCCAGATGTTTGGCCAGACTCTATAAATGTTTTATTCTCATTTCCACAAAAGCCCCTTTTGGCTAATTATTAGCAATTTTCACTTATAGATAAAGAAACTTGAAGGTTAAGGAGCTTGTTTAAAGGCACCCAGCAACTGAGCAGTTGAGTCAGTTCAGTTCTGCCTAAGCCTCACTTCTCTTCAAGCCCGAGGTGCTCAGCCCTGAGCCTGAGTCCCCACTCCCCACACCACACACCTCATACCCAGGAACCTGCCACATCTGCTGAGTGAGCCCGTGGGTGGAGTGAGTTGTTTTGGAAACTAGTCTCAGTTGTTGTTCCTGTGGAAGATCACATTGAGCTCGGCTTGTTGACAAATGCCAGATTCTCACTGACCTGGCAGCTTTGTCGGGGGCAGAATTTGTTGAAACTCATAGAAAAGAAGGAAGGAGAAGAAAGCAGACAATTTATCCAACCCAGATCTTGAAAAGGAAAGACAGTCAGCATTGTGCCCTGGAGAGGCGTGCAGACTGGGGACAATGCAGACCTGGCAACCCCCTGGAAAGGCTGCCCACGCAGAGTCAACGATGCCCCAGGATTCTGCAAAGGCAAATGGATCAGGTGCCTTTGGTGCCTTCCAGCCAAAGGCCACAGCCAGATAAGAGGCTGTCCCTGATTCCCCTCAACTCAGGGAAGCCACCTGAGGTTTGCAGCGAAGTCAGGGAGAGCCAGAGACAGAAGGTCTTCTAGAGAGTCTGTCCAACCCCTCAGTTTACAGAATAGGAAACAGGTCTAGAGGGTAAGGGACCAGCCCAGGGACCCACAGGGAGGCAGTACACAAGTGTGCTGCAGAACCCAAACACCGCATCAGCTGGATCCAAAAGGAAGGCACATGGACTCTATACCAGGCACCATGGAACCAGGGAACCAGCAGTGGGTGAGGTGCACAGGTCATTGCTCACCCAGAGGCTGCACACCCAGGTGATGAGCACTGTGTGCCCATTTAACAGAAAGAGAAACCGAGTGCTGACAGATTATGCAGTTTGCTCCAGGAGCACGTAAGCAGGAATACTGAGGTCTTCCCTACTGTCTTTGTACACACAAAAACTCATAAGTAGAAATATTCATAAATTCAGTCAGGAGTCAGTCTCTAAGCCTGGGTCCTCAAACTAGCAGCCAAGTGACCGTCTCATTCTCTGAGACCCCCAGAGCATAGATCGTAGGGCAGGCCCTGCCATCCCCTGGTTTACAAACCTCAGAATTTGATCTTTTTCAGTTTCCCAGATATGTGTTCCTTCATTTACTCATCTATGTAATCACTATTCATCTATCCTTATATCCACCCACCCATCCATCCACCCATCCACCCATCCATCCACCATCCATCCATCATCCATTCATTCATTTATCCATATATTTATTTTCCCAATTTATTCTTTTTTTTATACTTATTTTTGCTATTTATGCTCTCTGTTCCTTTTCTCCTTTCCTCTCTGCCCACTCTCTTCCTCTTTCCATTCCCCTCTTCCTTCCTGTAAACACTTAACTGAACACAGGTCAGACATACAGCACAGGGGATACACAGGTGAATGAACCCTTGTTTCTGTCCTCAGATCGGTCATGATCTGTTGAGAGAATTGACAGTACATCCAAATAATTATAATACATGTGAGACACATGTATATTTTATGTATGAAATCTGTAACTGTCATTTGAACTGTACAGAGAAAACCAAAATGCTACAAGAATCAAAAGGAGAGAAACCTCTGGCTAGAGGCTTGGGGAAACCTATATGGAGGAGACACACTGGACATGAGAAGACCTAAAAGCATTCAAAGCAGCAGGAAAGTTGTATGAAGGGAGGAGCCAATTGTTATCCCAAAGACACAATCCTGAATGCCATCATCTTGAATACTGAAATCCCAAGATATCAAAACCCCAAAAATATAATTCTGAAAAAAAATAATAAAAAAAATTATTTTAAAGACACTTACTTACATTTTTAGGAGATTTTGTCCGGGTGTGGTAGCTCATGCCTATAATCCCAGCACTTTGGAGAGCTGAAGTGGGAGGATCACTTGAGGCCAGAAGCTCAGAACCAACCTGGGCAACAGAGAGAGACCCTATCTCTACAAAAATAAAAATAAATAAAAGGAGATTTATTTGAGAAACATAAAAACATGACAGAACACTTCATAGGCCACTTTACACAACAAAATAAGGCAAAACATACATATCTTTGCAAGCATAAACAGGTGTATTAATGACAGTCTCACAGTATAATGTTTTTGAGCAGATGAGCCATATTTGTAAAGAAATCAGTAAAAATCAAAATGTAAAAATGCCTATCATTATGGTTGGTAATTGTATGCACCCAGCTTTACAACTGTGGTCAACTGAAATATCAGAATGAACAACCTGAGTCTTTTGATGAGATAAATCAAAAACCACAGTGGGTCACTGCTGTATAGGTGTTTGCCCAGAGCTGAGATCTGGAGAAATTTTATCTTTCATAAATTTGCATGTTCAAAAAGAAAATCTCTTCATTTATTGAGGAAGCTTCAAGGTTTATATGTTCAGAACGGGGGAGGTCGACGGTGTGACTTGCATTCTGAGTCTAAAATCCTTAGGACCAGTGGGGCCTCTGATGTAAGTCATGGAGTCCAAAGGCCAGTGAGCCTGGAGTTCTGATGTTCAAGACAGCAGAAGAAAAATTCATTCCAGCTCTGAAAGAGATCAATTACCCTCTATATTTCTTCCCTCCAGGCTCCCACTAACACTGAGGGCAGATCTTTCTCACCTAGTCCACTCAGGCTCGCAATCAATCTCTGGAAATATCCTCACAGACACACCCCCAAATAAGACTTTACCAGGTTTCTAGGTATTCCTTAATCCAGTCAGGTTGGCACCTAAAATTAAGTCCACTGCTTGTCAACTTGTCATCCATACACATCTCCTTATACTACACTTAATTTCCAAACAAAGACAATAACAAAGCCAAACAAAGACAATAACAAGGCAATAGTTCCACGTAACACCATGCAGTTATCCTGTGATTGTGATTTTTGGTCTTTTAGATATTAGGAGTTTTAGACATTAGGGATTTAAACGTTAGAGATTTTGATCTTTAGGGATTTTGATCCTTTGGGATTTCAACCTTCAGGATCATGTCGTTTGGAATTATGATAGAAACCCAATAAAGAGAAGTCATCTATCCCCAACTCTGCCTTGGGTTTCAATACGGAATCTCTGCTCCCATCATTCCTCCAGGCACTGTGCATTCCATGAGGACATGGGCCATTGCTGACTTGTTCCCCAACTGTATCCAGCACCAAGCACACTGTTGGACAGTTAACTGAGCTATTCATCTTTCCTCTCACTCTCCACTCACACCTACTTTTCTCACAGATGCAGCGTTGAGCCCACATGGGCAGAATGTTCAGATTATTAAGTCAATCAACTCAGCAGCTGTTAGAGGTGAGCTTTCATCAGCTGTCACCTCTCCAGGCTGTTATCCTGGGAAATATGGAAGTACGGAGGCCAGTAGGCTGTCTCCCCACTTCTGTTCTTTCTTTCCAACACGACTAGTCCACACATCCATTCATCCAATCCTGCATTGATGACTTCATTCATCCATCGCTCATTTTATCCCTGCACAGAAGCCCTTGGAGATCCACCACCCAGAGGATGAAGTCCACCTCTGTCCTGACACTGTCTCCTTTCAAAGTGGAGCCTCTATTTCACTAATTCTCTCATGTGCCCTGAGCCCCAGCCACCCTTGCTGCACCCCACTTCCAAACCCCACCCAGGAACAGCCTCCTACCTGGACTCCCAGATGCCAACCCTCTCCGCACCATGCCCCTTCCCTAAGGTAGCCCTAGGGAATATTCTAGAAGATCTGACATTAGCCTCCTGTTGACACCTTTCAGTGACTCCCATAACCCCCAGAGGGATGCCACAATTTTTCATAGGGGTTTTGGGATCTGATCCCTTTGTGGCTCTCTTATCTTCCCTCTTCCCAGAGTGTCCTGCCCAGCCAGGCTGAACTCCTTTGGCCCCACAATCAAGTGGCAATTTTTCTCGCCCTGGACCACCTACTCTTCCTTCTGCCTGGAAAGCCACAATTGCTTTCTCCACCTAACTTAATTCTATGCTTCAAGTCTCAGCTTCCTTCATCTGCAAACTCTCACCCACCTCTGGCTTCATACCCCATGGCTACCCCTGGCTGAGTGAAGGGTCTTCCCTGTATTCTCATAATTCTTGGGCTTGCCTCAACTGCAAACCTATGGCATAGGATTGAACTTGACTATTTGCTTATGTATTAATGTCCTTGGGGGCCAAGACTGTAATTATTTGAGCACTGTAATCCCAGCTCCTTCCAGTGTCTGGCACATAGGAGGTGTTCAGTGAACTGTGTATGACAAATGGGAGATTCACCATCAGCATTATAGAAAGCTAGACCAGAATAGAGTTGAGGAGTGGACTCTGAGCCATTTTCCAGCCATGGAACTTGGGGCAGGTGATTTGATTTCTCTGCATCTCTGTTCTCTCACATACCAAATGGAGCTGAAAGAAGGAAAGCTGTGTTTTGTTTCATGGTGAAGATTAGTGAATGACTACGTGTGAGGTGCTTTAAATAACACCTGGTACATACAAACAGCTTGGTAAATGCTACATTGTATTGTGAATGTGCACATTTTTTCCTCCACCTAAAATTTGAGTCCCCTCATATCCCCTTACCCAGATACCGGACTCCTATTCATCCTTTATATGCCTTTTATGGCCCTTCTATGACCTTTCTAGGTTTTCTCTCCTTGGTCCACCCCAGTCTGCCCTATGGAGAAGTTGTGTGTGGACCTGCTGTGATCCCCCATGGCCCTGCAGTGGCTGGGACCTGAGTTTGTCGCTTTGTTCATGTTTGCATCCCTTCTGTACCAGCATGGACTGTTGGGTCTGCTGACACTTGTTGAGTTAAATTGACTCACCTTATGCTAACAGTAGTGAAAGAGTAGACACTAGAGAGGCAAGTGTCTGGGCTGGTGCTGAGGGACAAGAGGCCATCAGATCGCTTCATCGCAGTGACATCAGCATCTTATCTGTGACATGGAAGCTAAACACAGAGCTGGGAAGAATTCTGAAGGCATCCAGCACTCAATGACCCTAACCCCAGAGAACATTGCTGCACAGATGAACTGGGGAGATATCACAGCCATGTCCAAAAATCCCAGATGGTCTTGGCAGGAAAAGACTCCAAGCCACAGATGCTGTCTGACTCTTAGGCCTTCTTAGTGTTCGAAACTCAAGAGCCCTTGGCCAAATTCAGAGTTTATGTCTGATTCCAGCGGCTGACCCCTAATATTGAGGCAATCTGAGCATCATTGCTCAGGGAAGAGAGTGCCTTGTCACAATCCTGCCACAGACCTGTCATTTGTCAACCCAGAACATGTTCCCCATGCTCCGTGGAGGAAACAGAAACCCAGTGGCGACCAGGCTTCCCCAGACCTCAGGCCACACTCTTCTGGGTTGAGTCAAGCCTGGTCTAACCTCCACCCTGCCTTGCCCCACATCCACTTGCCAGTCCTTGGAGAATTTGCACTTGTGGTTGACTTAAGGGAATTTGGCGAGAGCGCATGCAGAGAGCCAGAGTGCCAGTCCAGAGGCTCAAGCACGTTCAAATCCAACAGGTGTGTGAGGATGGCGGGGGTCCAGGGGTCAGATCTCCACTTTGTGTGTACAGCACACCAGCTTTACAATCTCCCCGAAGGGGCCAAGTGACTACAGATTCTGAATCACGATTTATAGCTCTGATTGTCTAGCAGGTGCCCTGCACACTGTGCATACTAGCACCATGCCCAGAAAAAAATCCTGATGGTGCCAATCAACATTTGTTTGTGGGTGGATAAAGGGCTGAGCTAACCCAAATGTCTGGTTTCAAATTCTAGCTCTGTTGCTTTTCAGCCATCTGTTATGGGCTGAATTGTGTCCATCTCAAAGTTTTTATGTTGAAGTCCTAACCCCCAGTTCATCAGAATGTGTATTTGCAGGTAGGGTCTTTCCAGATGCAATTGCATAAAGCAAGGTCATGTGGGTGGGCCCTAACCCAATATAATTGGTGTCATTATAAGAAGAGATTAGAACACAGACACGTGCAAAAGGGAGACCATGTGAAGACACAGAGCGGAGACAGCCATCTCCAAGGCAAGGAGAGAGGCCTCAGGAGAAACCAATCCTGCCAACACCTTGATTTTAGACTTCAAGCTTCCAGAACTGTGAGAAAATAAATTTCTGTTGTTCAAGCCAACAAAGTCTGTGCTACTTCATTTCAGCAGCCCTAGCAAACTAACACAGCATGGAATCTCTCTGAGCCTCAGTTTATTTCCCTGATCTCCTGTTTTCACAGCTGTAAAATGGGCATCATAATACCTGATATTGTAAGATTATTTTGAAAATAGAATGAATCATAAACTTAAAAGTGCCTGGAACATGGGAGATTTCCCCCAAATTTCAGTTCCTCTCCCTTTCTTTTCTGTGACCAATTTTTAATTTGTTCTTCTCCATTGCTGAATAGTATTCCATGGCATGGCTATGCTAAAGTTTCTTTAAACAATTACCCATTGAAAGGCATCATGGTTTCTTCCAGTTTTGGGTTATTACAATTAAAGCTGCTATGAATGATCCTGTAAAGGTTTCTGGGCAGACGTAAGTTTTCCTTCCTTCCTCCTCTTTCTCCCTTGTCTTCTTTCCCCCATCTCCTCCTCCCTCTCCTCTTCTTTTCATTTTCTTTCTCCTCTCCTTCTTCATCCTCCCTCTCCTCTTCTTTCTCCTCTTTTATCCTCCTCCTTTTCCTCTTATTTCTCTTCTACATCTCTTTCCCCTCCTCTCCTGCTCCTTCTCCTTTTCCAACCTCTCTGAAATTTGTTGCACTGTCCTGGATGCAGAGGAGTGAGGCTAACTGAATTTTCCAGTCTACAGCTCGTTATCATCCATGCAGCACTTGTTCGCCTTTTGGCTCCTGTGTTGCCCTTCCACCCCAGTCCCTCTCCAATCCTCTCCTTCACAGCCATAGGAAGCATCTCTAACATGTGTGTCTCTGAACATGTACATGTACATTGCAGGATGAGGTGCATCTGATTCTAATTCACATCACTGGTGCTGACTGGAGGTCTCCTCCCCGTTTTACTTCTTTCATTCAGCTCTGGGTATCAACTGTTTCCCTGTTGTTCTATGCACATCCATCTCTTGTTTTGAATGGCTGCTTTTACTTTCCTTTCCTTCAAATCAGATGCCTAGGCTGCCTCCTGCTCCTTGTCACTGCAAGCAATACCTGGATAAGTATCTTCCTGCATGTCCTTTTATGGTCCTTGGGAAAATGTCTCAGGGGCGTACACACAGAAGGCCATAGGGCACATGATTGCTTCATTTTATTAAGCAATGCTAGATTGTTCTGCAGAAGAGCTGCCCAACATACATTGGGAGGAGGGGTGTGGCCATGCAGGCTTCCCATTTTTAGTGGGTCATCTCCAGGAAGCAGGGGGAGTGAGAGGGTGTGGTTTTAAGAAAGCAATGAATCCCAGCCCTTGGTCCCAAGCATCCAGCACTTGACAAACAAGACCACCCATGGCAGATACCACATTTCCCATCCAGAGCTTGGGAGAACTGGATCTATAATAGAATATCATGTGCCTAGAATGTTTTTCTCCCTAGAGCAAGGACATGAACCAGTAGGAGATATATAGATATACATATACATTTAGAGATAGAGGTAGAGATATGGACAGATTTATATATAATTGACTTCTGTTACTATGAGGGCTTGCAGGTCCAAAATCCATAGGGCAGGCCTGCAGACTGGAGACCTTCAGGAAGGAGTGGATACTGAAGTACACATTTTTCCACCTAAATGTGGAATAGGGAAAAACTGTCTACTTGGACTTGTCCCTACAGACAGGACAATAGGCACTCAATGCTGGGCCCTTTCTTAGCCCTCCACCATATACCCATCTAGGATATTCTGGCCCTCATTAATCAAATTTCAAGCTTCTTCCCAATCTCTTTTTTCTTCCTTCCTTACCCTCCCTTCTCTCCTCCATCCATCTCCCCATCCCCGTGCTATTCAGTCACAGCACAATGATGGAGACTACAGACACTGTAGAGTGAACCCAGCATGGCCTCCCAGGCTTCTAATCCTAGCTTGTTGTCTATTAGCTGGATGACCTTGGGCAAGTTACTTAACCCCTCTGTGCTTCACATCTCTTTCTTGCCAAACAAGGATAATAGCAATAGAATCTACATTATCAGGTTTTTCTAAAATTACATGGCTTATCACATAAAAGGAACATAGAACAGGGTTGGCTCGTGGTAAGTTCTAAGTAAATAGGAGTTAATATTAGTATTTATGACAAGAACAAGGATTACAGCCTTTACTTCTATAGGTAAAAAGGGATGAAGAACAAGGAAACAAATACAATTCATTGTGGGAAGGTAAGACAGCAGGAGAACTTAGGTGGGTGAACAATACATAGTGGACATGGAAAAATGCCATGAACTAATACAATAACAGTTAAGTGAAAGGATTGAGACAGAGCGTTTAACTCTGTCTCTGGGGTCTCCAAAGGTGAGTTGGATTGCATGTGCCAATTTGGCTGAGGTTGAGAATGTTAACAACTAGAACCCCCTTCTCTGTATAATTCCAAATAGATGTATCCAAAAGTAAAACTTGAATGAGATTAGAAGGACAGAAGTAAGGATGAAGTGATAACTCTAGAAGATCAACATGACTATTTTAACTTCTACCTGGGTCAAGAACTGATAACATGCAAAACTTTAAAGGTCCTGGCACCTGCTCTCCTACAATATTTTAGTAGTAACAAAGAATCTAAGTACTTTAGGGTCGGTTGGTTGCTCTCCAGTACACTGGAGAACTTAAGGAAAGAAACTGATCTTCAGACTTTAAGTTCCCAGCTCAAAATCTGAATACTGAACCACAAAGCTTCTACTGTGGTCCTGAAAGAAATCCTTGTCTTTTGTAGCCAAAGGATTGACATTTATAAAAGCCAAACACAACACCACGTCCTGAGATGGCTGAATTATAATGCAAGTTGAATTCACAAATTTGCAAGGAAGGAGGAATTGGGAGAGTGGAACCCTCAATATTGAGTTGGGAACATATGAGCAGATTCCAAATGAATTTGAGGACCTGGAACTCCCAAATTCTGTAAGCTTTCTTTCCAGTTGAAACCACCCTTCTTCCCTATCTGAGAGGTTGAGTTCTCCATGTCCATAGAACATATTATGAAACATCCTGAGATAGCTGCCTTGCAAGGGAGCTAATCCTACTAAAAATGCACCCCATAGCCTCTGATTTCATCTAGACATCACCAGATGCAATCTTCAGCAGCACCAGGGGATACAATATACCACCTACAAAATTTTGCTAATTTGCATCAACAGACACTCGGAGCACATGAATTTAAATAAATCCTAAGAATGTTGGATCAGGGTAAAAGGAACACGATGTTGGCACAGGCCATATCCATTGACATGGGCTCACTAGCTAGAGATCCCGGATTTAATGCATCAATCAACTCAAGCAACTGGGAATAGTTCTAACAGTTTGTTTGGTAGTTTCACTGAAACCTGAACCCCAAAGTGGCCACTTTGGAGTAAGATTGAGATACAGAACTTCTTTCGTGTTCCATAACGGACTTAGGGAGGTCAGATTGCTAGCATGAGTTTTCATACCATCTGCTCACCCACAGCTGAGTTATACCCCCCAGGAAGGTCCAGAGGACACTCCTTTTCCCAAGCCTATGGGATACAATGGTGGAGAGAGCACCAGCAACCATGAAGGCCTCTGCTGGGGTCATCCTCTGCAAGCTGATGGTTATAGTGGGATGTGTTCCCATTAAATGGGCTCCCTGAATTCGCTGAAGATGATGAAGTCCCAGGCTGAAATCTGCAAGAGATCAGGAGGGTGTGGGTACCGAAATGGGCAGCAAAAATAAAATAAAAATTCAGTAGACTGATTAATGGCTGTTCTCTGACTCCACCCCTATTCTCTCCTCCTAGATCTTCACTGCCCCTGTTTCCCATTTGTGTAAGCCTGAATGCCTAAAATTCCCATATGGAATAAGTTTCATAAATAAATGGCCATGTGGAATAAATGGAATCCAGTGTCCCTTTATGGTGACTCTTCCTGTCTCGTAGAATCCTGAGTGATACAGAAGCTTCCCGGAGGACAAAAGTCTGAGCAGAATCTTGAAGGATGAGCAAGAGTTGGCAGCAAGGCATGTGGTGAAGGGCATTGTAGGAAGAGTCAGGTCATAGGCAGAGACCGGTCCTGCGGGAACTCTGGGTTGGCCAGGCTTATCTGAGCTGAGAGGAAGGAGAAGTGGGTGTGGTGGGAGAGGAGGCAGGAGGCAGTCCAAGATGGTCTGGGGTACAAGAGTAAGGAAATTGTTTTCTCACATCTAGAAAACCCCACTTTCTGCTGGAGTCCTCCCTAATCTCCCTTTTCTCTGAACCATTCCTGCCTATACAGTAGACATAAGTCATTCAAATAGAGAGCTATGTGGCTGGGAAGGTGCAGAGAGCGGTGGCCTCTTCAGCACATGGATGGGGTTCTGAGGCCCAGAGGGGCCACTGATTTGCCCAATTTCAGGAACCATTTGCCACTGTTTGCCCCTCAGGAACTGTTGGGCACTTGGGCTGACTCTTATAATCCTGATTTCCCCGAGGGCCAGCCAGGCTCCATCCCTATATCTGGTGAAGCTCTGAGTTCCACCATGGCCACTGCCCTGAACCTATGCCTCTAGCCTCAGCAGGTTCCTCAGCCATGAGAGAAGCCACTCAGCTCTTCTCAGGGTGGCCACTCTCCTGGGGTGACACCATCCCTGCTGGGTGTAGGTCACAATGCCTATATGGTGGTAGTGTAGGTGATAAATGATCAAATTGTGCATTTTAAGGTGGGGATGACAGGATTTAATAACAGATAAACAAGAAAGGGCAGATGGAGGAGACTGATATGTACTGAGCATCTATTATGCCCCTGACATTGTCCTCAGAGTTTTCATGCATGTTGCCATAATAGGATGAATGGTGGCCCCAGAAAGATATGTCTACATCCTAACCTCCAGAGCCTGGGCACATGACTTTATTTGGGAAAGAATTCTTTGCAGATGGGATTAAGTTAAAAATCTTGGTGTGAGATCATCCTGGATTATCTGGGTGGACTGTAAATCCAATGGCAAGCGTCCTTATAAGAGACACACATTGAGGACAGAGAAAAGGCGGGACCAAGGCAGGGATTAGAGTGATGCAACCACAAGCCAAGAACCCCTGGAACTACAAGGAGCTGGAAGAGGCAAGGCAAGCGTCTCCTCTAGAGCTCTCAGAGAACGTGCTGCCCAGACAACACCCAATTTCTGATTTCTACCCTCCAGATCTGTGAGAAAGCAAGCTTCTGTTGTTTTAAGCCACTGAGTTTATGGAAATCATTATGGTAGCACCAGGAAACTCATCCAGTTGCCTCATTCCATCCCCACAACCTGCAATGGAACATATTATCAGCCCATTTTACAGATGGGAAATCTGAGGCTCAGAGAAGGTAAATAGCTCCTCTGTGATGAAACACTGGCAGGAAGTGGAGTCAGATCCCGCCCCTGCCTGGATCCACAGCACACACTTTTCCACTCTGCCGTATTTCTTAAAGCAGGCTCCAAGGATGCTCTTCCTCTGACTCACCCGGAGGTGTTTGTTTAAAAGCAAATTTGCAAACCCTTACCAGACACACTGACTCAGAACCTCTGGGTCACAGTCCTGGGAATTTTTATGTTTTAAAAGCTTCCAGGTGAATTCCATGCACCAGGGCTTTGAGAACGTCCGTTCCACAATGTGCTGCATTTGATGTGGGCCAGCTGCTAAGCCCTAGGAGCTCAAGAATGAAGACACTCTCATCGCTACCCACCCCAACCCCCGGCCCAGGCCCCCAGGTGGCTCCCTAGGCATGGTTCAGGGGCTGGGGTCACTCTAGGTTCCTGGCACAGTCTGGCTTTGAAACCGCTTCTCTGCCGTTTTCTCCACGGGTGCTTTGGAAACGCTCAACACCCAGGACAAGCACAATATCACTCCCTTTCCCGTGGCAGAGTCGCATGGCAGCTGCTCACTGCTTCCCAGCCCAGAATGCCTGCTTCCTGCTCGCTGCCAACCCAAACCAGTGCAGCCTCCAAGCCCCACGTGCACCCAGATCTTCCACCAAGTCTGCCAAACACTCCAACCCACACTCTCCTCCTCCTAGGAACACTTGGAAGGCTCTGGAACCTTGAGTGCTTCTCACTCAGAGAGGCCCACACCTGCGCAATGGCAACACCACAGTCAGGTATCCGATCCCGGCCCCTGCCTGGCACGTGACTTTGAACAATGACTTACCTCTGTGAGCCCAAAGGTGAACCCAGAAACACTGTTTCTGCCTCTGTAAAATGGGGAGGATGTTAACACCTGCCTCATCTGTGGCTCTGCATTAAAGAATCAAAACCCAAGGAGGGCTTGGTGGAGCCCCCAGCACGTATTCTAGAAGCAGCCAGCAGTGCTCTTGCCACAGGGATCTGAGAAACAGAGAGGTGCACACTTTCTGTGATTTAAAACTCTCAAGAGCCCCATGAGGTAGATGACACCATCCTCTTTTTATAAAAGAGGGTGAGCAGGACTTATTCTTACATTGAACATCTATTGAGCACCCACTGCATGCAAGTCATGGGGCCAGACCACAGGGCGCACAAAGATGAAAGGGCACGATGTGGCCATGGTGGCCCACAGCAGGAGCCTCACATCCAGCTGGGGATCTATGTGGCTGGAGTCCAGGTCCTGGGGCAACAGGGGTGAAATTGAAATCTGGACACAGAGCCCTGGCTGAGTCCCCCACAGCAGAGGAAAGGACAAAGTCCCAAGGCTAGAGTCTGAGGCCCCACTGCAGACCAGAACTGGACAGCAGGAGTGGACTCTCCCACTGCAGCCCTGAAAACACAAAATACTGTGGCTGGAGCAGCCACACCAGCGAATCTCACGGGCACCATGTTGAGCCATAGAAGCTAAATGTAAAAGAGCATGTACTGTACGCTTCTGTCTGTGTGAAGTTCACGAACAGACAGCGTGAATCTAGGGTGATAGAAGTCGTCATTGCAATTTGCGGGGAGGGAGGCATGAGGGAAACTCCCTATCTTGAACTGGGTGAGTGATACACATAGAAGTTCTCATAAATCATGTATAAAATTTATCAAGCTGTACACTTAAGATGTGTGCATTTTAATGTAAGTTATACTTTAATAAATAGTATTCTTTGTTAGAGACAGGGTGTCACTGTGTCACCTGGGCTAGAGTGCAGTGGCATGATCATAGCTCACTGCAGCCTCAACCTCTGGGGCTCAAGCAATTCTCCTGCCTGAGCCTCCCACGTAGCTAAGACTACAAGTGCACACCATCATGCCAGGCTAACTTTTTAATTTTTTTTGTAGAGATGTGGTCTTGCCGCATCTCCGAGAGGACAGTGGCCTTTCCAGGATCTCCCAGCTGTCATGCAATGCAGCAAGGGTTTCCTTGTATATTTAGCAGAGGCCATCCTGACGCCAAAGCTCTTGAGGAGGCTTGGGAGACCTCACCTGTGGCCAAGACTGGGGCTACAGGTGAGTTTCCGCCCAAATAAGCTGTGGCTCAGGATCTGAGTGGTAAGAAGGGGAGCCAGTCAGGGGTTTCCTAGTGCTGCCAGCCTCCCAGAGTAGACCTAGCTGTTTAAGGTAGGGCATAAGGGACACACCTCGGCCCCTCTGGCCTCTAGGCAGGCCTGGTGTCAAGGGTGCCCCTTCAATGGTTCCTCCATTCTTGCTTGGGCCCCAAGAAGAGAGGCAGAGGCTCATCTGGGCCACACATCTGCACTGCCGGGAGGCAAAGGTCTAAGAAGAACCCATCCCCACCCCCCTCTGCTTTTCCAAAGCAACTGCATTGGCTCAGCAGAAATGCTTTGTGTGCATCTGAGTCACCCAGGAACGGGCACCTTGCCTTCTGTACAGTGTGGGCTCTGTGCATGTTCATGGGACAAATAAACGGCAAACAAATAGGCTATGAGTAAATCTGGTGCAGATGGGAGCTGCAGGGGACTCTGGGGTGCCTGGTCCTGAGACAGCCTCTGGAATCTTCTGTGCATCTGTCTGTGGTCAAGGTGGTCTTACTGTTTGGTATAGGAATGCTCTTGCCTGGCCTCTGTTCTTGAGCCCCCTCCACCAGCCCCTCTCTGGAATTTATTTACAGCTGCCCTGAGAGATCTGCTGCAGGACCTGCCTGGAAGCCCTGCTCAGAGCTGGATGCAGGGATCCCAGGCCCAAAGAGGAGGAAGTGTGAGGCCCCACCTCCAGTGCAAGGTTAAATGCAGGCCGGAACCCAAACAATGTCCCCACCATGGGCTCGCCTGTCCTTGCCACACACATCAGAAGCACCTACTATGTGCCAGGCCCAAATGTGGGACACAGAAGTGACCCAAGCCGGACCCTGACTTCAAGGTGCAAGGGCAAGTGACAAGAATATGCATCCTAGATGTGGGGTTTTATTGAGCACGTACCATGTGCTAAGCTGTGTAATAAATCCTTCTACATCTCTTACTCAGTGCCGGGAGCAGTTAAGAGTGATTGGTACTGGCCGGGCGCAGTGGCTCACGCCTGTAATCCCAGCACTTTGGGAGGCCAAGGCGGGCGGATCAGGAGGTTATGAGATCGATCGAGACCATCCTGGCTAACACGGTGAAACCCCGTCTCTACAAATACAAAAAAAATTAGCTGGGCGTGGTGGCGGGCACCTGTAGTCCCAGCTACTCCAGAGGCTGAGGCAGGAGAACGGCGTGAACCTGGGAGGCGAAGCTTGCAGTGAGCCGAGATCGCGCCACTGCACTCCAGCCTGGGAGATGGAGCAAGACTCCGTCAAGAAAAAAAAAAAAAAAAAAAGAGTGATCAGTACCTCTCTCATCTCCACTTTATAGACAAGGGAACCAGAACACAGAGAGGTTATGTGACTTCTCCCAGGGCTCACAGCAGTAAGTAGCAGGAGGTAGAAGTTCAACCCAGGCCTGTGTGGACAGCGTTGAACCATCAGCCACATGAGAATGACATCAGCCAAGGTGGCAAGCCCTGAATCCCAGAGGAATTCCTTAACAGGCCTGAAAGTAGCAGTGGCTGGGTCTGCTGGTGGGAGTTGGAGGGAACTTAAGGGTCCCTCATGGGGGATGGGATGAAGTCACACTGGGGAAACCAAGGCAGCAGTCAGGAGCCACTCACTAGGAAGGGGCTGCCAGACAGATCTGAAAAATATAGAACTCAGTGGAAAAGAGGAAAAATGGAAGGAGGCTGTAGCACCCACCACCTACCTATATTAAAAACTCACAAAGGCGCAGGACTCAGGAGCCCACTCTCTGGCTCCAGTCTGTAGTCAAATGCCTGCTAGCTGTGAGACCTGGAGCCAGTTCCTTTAGCTTTCTGTGCCTTGATTTCCTCAAATATAAGGAGGACGTGGTTTGAGCACCTATCTCAAAGGTGCTTAGCACATAGTATGTACTCCATATGTGATTATTGAATGAACAACCTCACAGTGTTTACAAGGACACGTGCAGACAAATCATCCAAGTTCAGGGATGCAGATCCTGTTGTCAGTGGGGAGCAGAGGAGAGGCATGGGGAATTAGGATCAAGGGAGAACATTGGTAAATTAAGTTTAGAGGGGACCCTGTTCAGAGAGGGACCCTGTTCAGAGAGGGACCCTGTGTAGCCTTGGCAGCATGCCATGAACCCTCTGCAGCACCGGTACCAATAAATCACCATTGACAATGAAAATAAGTCACCCTGTGTGATGCCTATGGGCCCGACTCCTGGAGAAAAGGCAGAAGATCACCCCCAGGACCTGCAACCTGCACACTCTTACCTGGGCTCAGCCAGGATGACGGCCACCTCCGTCTTTCATTTACGCCTTGATGCTCCCTCCATAAGTGGTTCCTGGAGACCTGAAATGGGCTTCATCTTCCTCTCAGCACCTTGAGGGAGCAGAGTTTGGCTCTTGAGGAGCATGTGTGGACACATTTGTCTTCTCCTCCAAGTATTTCCTCCTTCCTCCCTTCATTCTTCAACCCATACATCCCTTCACCACCTCACTCATCTACTTCTTCATTGGTTCATTTGGTCATTCACTAAAAAATATGTCTCAAGTACCCTCTGCATGCCAGGCTCTGTGCTGATGCTGTGGACACAGTATAGATAAGAAGATGTGGGCCTGGTCTCACCCTTGGACCTCAAAATCTATGTGGGAAATGATCAATACTCAATAAACAAACAATGGCACACAGGGCTAGAACCATGAAGGAAGAAAGTGGGTGACTGAGCTACAGACCAGCCCGGAGGGCCTATTTAGACGAAGTGATTAGGACAGGGGGACATCCTTGCGGAAGACTGTCCCTGGAAGTCCTGGGAAATGGGACATTCCAAACAGTGGTATGATCTCCCCATACTTGAGTGCCTCCATCCCTCTGCCCATCCGTCCATCATCTACTGAATTCATTCATTCCTTACTTATTCATTTATTTGTTCAACACATGAGGAAGCTGGCTCTACTTGGGGAAAAAAATTGTTTGAAGCTGCACAGATCTGTGTTCAGATCACAATTTTGCCATGTACTAGCCGAATGGCAGGGAAATGTTACTTATCTCTCCATGCCTCCATTTCCTCATCTGTCGAATGGGGATAATAATGTCTAATGGGAGACTGGTTGTGAGAATGAATTGAGATGAGGATTTGGTGAGATGGTGTCACCTGGAACACAGCAACTATTGTTCTGGTCCACTGGCCAGACACTTAGTGTTTGCCCGGCTCTTGTGGGGATGGACACACAACAACCCAATCGTAGCAGCCTAGGCTGCGGCCCATACTGGCTCCTCTAATCAGGAAAGTGGGGACATACCAATTATCCCCTTTTGGCCTCCTGAGGACCCTATCTGGTAGACACTAACATCATTTCTTTAAACAAGCAAAACTGAGGCACAGAGAGGTTGTTGATTGTCCGAGGCCCCCAGTAAATGGAAGAGCTGGGGGACACCTTGGCATTCTGCCTCCAAATCTACCATCCTGGCCAGGTCACTGGGCCGTTTGTTTTCAGTTTCACTGACATTGAAGAATGGCAGGTGCCCATGAGGCTCACCGGGTCATGTGAGGTTTCACCCACAGGTGGAATGGTCAGCACTTTGATCATGTTTTGGGGTGCCTGCTTCAATTGCTCGAGACAATTGGATTTCCTAAAAATGATGGTGGAGTTCAATGGCTTCCAGCTCTGCAGGCTCTTGTTACACTTAACATTGAGAGGCTTTGGCAGGTCAAGCTGGCTTGGAAATGTCTGGTCCTGACTCTGTGCCTTGTCTGAGGTTAAGAGACTTTAGTTTCAGCCTCAGATCTACTACTCATACGTGTGCTCTGAAACCATCTAGCATCTCTGAGATGTGTTCCACCTATTTCATAACACTGTCTGCCTTGTAGTCATGAGATGCTCTACAGCACAGAGCCCGTTCATACTTAGTGTTCATCAAAAGCCAAGTGAGCCTAGATTGGCCCCTAACACCTTGGGTTATTTATTAATGACACCTGTCAACAATGCTGGCCTCCTAGGATTTATTTTTTGCTTTGTTTGTTTGCTTGTTTTGTTTTGTTTTTTGAGACAGTCTTGCTCTGTCACCCAGGTTGCAGTGCAGTGGCGCGATCTCGGCTCACTGCAACCTCTGCCTCCAGGGTTCACGCCATTCTCCTGCCTCAGCCTCCCGAGTACCTGGGACTACAGGTGCCCGCCACCATGCCTGGCTAATTTTTTATATTTTTAGTAGAGACGGGGTTTCACTGTGTTAGCCAGGGTGGTCTCGATCTCCTGACCTTGTGATCTGCCCGCCTCGGCCTCCCAGAGTGCTGGGATTACAGGTGTGAGCCACCGTGCCCAGCCTGGGATTTGTTTTTAAGCATCAATAAATTAATGAGAAGAAAATGACTGACATTTATTGGGCAGTCCTTACATGCCCCCCACATACCCTGCCCTTTAATTTTACATATATGATTTTAGTAATCCTCATGTATCAATTAGTATACAACTTGACTCCAACAAAAGAAAATTCAGACTAACTACAGTTTAAACAATAAAATATTAAATTATTTCATGTAATGAGAAGTCTGAATGGTGGCTCCAACAACAACATGAAGTCCCAACGACTCAGACCTTTTTTTTGCTTCCACTCTGCCATCCTCAATTTGTTGACTTTTTATTCTCAGCCTCATATACCCAAAATGGCTGCTGCAGCTCCAACCATCACATTTGCACACAAGGAAAGAAAAGAATGAGTAGATGGTCATTCTCTTCCTGAGGAAGGGAATCTTTTCTAGAAGACCCTAGCAGGTTTCCCTTATGTCTCATTGGCCGGAATTGGATCAGAGGCACATCCCCAGGTCAGTAAATGGAGAAATCATGAGCACCATCTCTTCTGGGGTCATGTCTATAGGGATCATAAACCTCTTCCATGAACACAAGCCTGCTGCTACCTCCAAGCAGCCACACATGCTTCAGCATCCCTTGTTAATAAGCTACAGGAAAAGAGAAGAGAAGGAGTAACTGTCATTTAAACCTCAGTGTCGAGTATTCCTACTGAGACCTGGAGATGCTGAGAACTTGCCAAGGTGTGAGAGGAGTTGCAAGGAGGCCATTGTGGTTGGGCATGGTGCACGAAAGGGAGAGAGGAAGAAGTGTACAGGGAGCTGGCTGGCCCAGGGGCCACGCCAGGACTGGGGACTCTGTGCTGTGTGATGGGCAGGCTTTGGACAGTTGTATCCAGAAGATGATCTATACATGACGCTAGTTCAAGGATTGCTCTGAGATGTGTGGATGGTAGAAGGTGGGCAGGGAGGCTGGGTATCAGTCAGGAGGCTGTGGCAGCGGTCCCCATGGGGAGCACAGGGCTGGACTAGGACAGCCCATAGAAGACATCCCATCTCCTTTCTTGCCCAAGGAAGAGACTCAGTGGCAGCAGTGCAATAAGGGTACAGGCCAGGAAACCCAACCCCCCAGGGATAGCAAGCATCCAGAGACACGTGGGGACAGCTCCAGCACCAAACGGCTTCTGACCAATGAGCAGAGACGGCAAACAGCAAATGCGTTACCGTGGCTTTCACGTGTCATGAAGGTGATGCTGTAACCTGAGCCTCAGAGCTCATTTTATTTGTGAATTCCTATCATCTCTAGATGGGTGGACTGAAAGCCACCTCTTTCGCTTGCAGCTAGGTAGAGGGGAGTGCAAGAGGGCAAATGAAAACCAGAAGTAGGGTTGGGCGCAATGCCTCACGCCTGTAATCCCAGCACTTTGGGAGGCTGATGTGGGCGGATTACCTGAGGTCAGGAGTTTGAGACCAGCCTGGCCAACATGGTGAAACCTCGTCTCTACTAAAAATACAAAAATCAGCTGGGTGTGGTGGCACATGCCTGTAATCTCAGCTATTCAGGAGGCTGAGGCAGGAGAATTGCTTGAGCCTGGGAGACAGAGGTTGCAGTGAGCAGAGATCGCGCCACTGCACTCCAGCCTGGCCGACAGAGCGAGACTCTGTCTCAAAAAAAAAAAAAAAAAAAAAAAAAAAGAAAAGAAAAGAAAAAGAAAAAGAAAAGGAAAAAGAAAACCAGAAGTAGGAGCAGCCTGAAGAAATGACAGGGAGTTGATTTCCCACTGGGAGCCCTCTCAAAGCCCACACACCCGCCTGCCTGGGGTAACAGTATCTCCTCGGACATCCTGCACCCTCCCATGCTCCCCCCTCCCTACAGTAGTGAAAGACCTAGGCAGGATGACCCCAGCTCCTCTGTGAGAATTTCACACCCTAGTGTGAAGTCATAGCCTTGTAACTTTCCCTTTAAGAACTGTCAGAGCTGGGGAGGCTGGCCAAGCTCAGGCTGGAGGTGGGGACAGAGGGAAGAAAGAAAAAAAAAAAAGAGAGAGAGGCAGGAAAAGTTTTTTCAGAGGAAAATGCAGGGTTTGTCCTTCACCCTGACGTCAGATCTTGCTTTAATAAAACCCCCCAAGGGCTGCGGAAGAGGCATATCTGGTGCTCCTGATGGGCCGGCCAGTCTGGGCCCAGCTCCCCCGAGAGGTGGTCGGATCCTCTGGGCTGCTCGGTCGATGCCTGTGCCACTGACGTCCAGGCATGAGGTGGTTCCTGCCCTGGACGCTGGCAGCAGTGACAGCAGCAGCCGCCAGCACCGTCCTGGCCACGGTGAGTCCTGCCTGGAGGGGCTCAGAGGGAGACCCAGCTCCCTTCTCTACTGGGTCCTGCTACATGGGGGCTGGTGGGCAGGATGAAAAGGGCCAGGAAGGTTTGGGGCTGGAAGGTGGCCACTTACAGGGCAAGGACAGAGCCCAGGGTGAGGAGTCAGCTGCCCAGGTTGGCTGAAGCTGGCAGGGTGAGGAGGACGGTGCGACACTTGGGGAAACAAACTGCACAGGTCCAGCCTGCCCTCTCTCCCCACCTGAAACAGTGCAGAAAGAACGGGGCCCTCAGCAGAACTGGGAGTCAGGGGCCCGGGCTCCAGACCCGTCTTCGCCTAACCTGGCTGTGTGGCCTCGGGTGGGTCACTCACCCTCCAGGAGCAGCGTAAAGCGACGAAGTTGTTAGGTGACTTCTAGAGTCTCTGAGTTTGAAAACTCCAAGACTCCAAGCATTGGAGATGCTGCGAAGATGGGAGATGGAAAAAGCCAAAAAAAATTGGAAAGAAAAATGCCAGCTTTCAACAAAAGCTCCTTATTGAGCAAACAGTGCTCAGGGTGATGTCTAACCCCAACTGCTGTCACCTCCGGTCTGCACAGCCCTCTGCAGTCTGCAGAGTGTCCATACTTGGGTCCTGCCTATGAAGCCTGCTGTTCCAGGGTGGGGGTGATGTGGGCACCCCAGAGTCTCTCTCTCTTCCACCTGCACCCCAGGGTACACCAAGGGGAAGGGACAAAGGTCTGCACCTCCAAAAGCCAGGGGAGTCACATATGTGACCGTGTAGAGCCAGCCTGCTAGGGCCAGGCATGGTGAGGAAAAGGCAGAGGCAGGCAGTGCAAGGAGGGCAGGAGGTGGGTACCTGGCAGCTTCTGAGCCCCAGATTCCACAGCCCAGGGCAGGACCTGCTCCTGGCAGAACAGCCTAGAGACGGAGGGGTGATGGCAAAAGAGTGTTTATCCCCAAATGACACTGATGGCTTCCTTGGGGGTTAAGAAGCCCCCTTCACAGATAAGGAAACCGTGTGTTGGGGTTAAACCACTTGCCAGAATCAGACTCTAGGTCTGCTTCAGCCAGAACTGAGGCCGAGAGCCGACAGCAAACTGAGACCTGGGAAATAGGAATTCCTCTCAATGCCTCGGTGTGTGTAATGATGGCGGGGAGTGGGTCTGTTTCATCTTGGTTAAATCCTCACGCCTGGCATGGTGCCTGACTATAGTTGGTTCAGAACCACCTTACCAGAAAGTTATCAGCTCCATTTCACAAATGAAAGAAATGGAAAGTGAGAGCAAGTAAAGGACTTGCCCAGGAGCTCCTCATTAATAAGTGGCCAGGGCCCAAACTTAGATCTTCTGATGCCAATTTCTAACCATTCCTACTTAGGGGAAGCTGACTGTGTCCTACAGGAGTGCCCAGAAGGAGCTAAGTCGCTGTTTATTTCGGCTCTGGGTATGGCTGCGCCTTTATTTGGGTATAGCTTTGCAGGTTGCTATGTCTGGGAGGGCAGGGAGAGGATGGAGAAAAGGTGAGCGTTTGAGAGAAGCCAAAGTCTGAGTGGGCAGAGGAGGCGAGAGGTTTAAGCATGAGTCCAAGTACTCTGGAGCCCCAGTCAGCTCCCAGAACAGCCGGTGCTGAGGAGGAGTGAAGGACAGAGCCGAGGACTCAGCCAGAGGAGACCAGCAAAGGAGCAGAGCGTGTGGAGGGACCCAGGGAGCAGGTTGGAGGGAAGGCTCCCGGGACCAGCACAAGGTACCTCTCTTCTAGGCAGCCCCTGCCTGGGGAACCCAGACCACCCACCCCATGCTTGTTTCATGATTTAGATGCTTCTGGGACAGAGGTGTGCACGGCACTGGAGTTCTCAGGATGTCCTGAAAGCCCCGCCCCCTGTGTGGGCTGTGAGACTGATAGAAACGAGCTGGACTCCATTTGGAAACCAGCCTTGTTTCATAGCCAAATTCCATACATGGTCATCCTCCCGAATTAATATGCAAAGGGAGCACATGTCCAACCAGGGTCTCAGTGAGATCTTAATGGAAAAAATTGTTGTAAATGTTCATATTGAAGAAAATGCATGTGAGAATTGCCAAGAAAACTTTGAGGAAGTAGAGTTACAAGGGGGACTTCTCTGGGAGATATGAAAGCACTCTGTAAAGATTCTGCAGTGGAAGGAGGAAGATGGCAGCCCAGAAGGAGATCAGCCAAGGAGGAAGGCACTGGAGTGATCTCAGGAACAGCCGAGTGTATTTGGGAATTTAATCTGTGCTAAAGGTGTATTGCAAATATGACTTATGCTTTCATCTCTTTATTCTTTTCTTCTGCATTTGTTGAGCATGTCCGCCATGTGCTAAGAGAAAGGGACTCCATTTAATGTGCATTAGCAAGCACTGAGCCAACACATGTATAAGACCAACCTCAGTTCACCCAACAAACATTTATTAGGCACATTCTACAATTCCCATAACAATATTATTTAGCAAGTGCAATTATCCTCCTTAACAGATATGAAAACTGAGACTCGGAGAGGTTAAGTAATTTGTCAAAGGTCACACAGCTGGTAATCAGGGAAGCTGACATTTGAACCTTGGTCCAGCTCTTGGTAATGTAGCCTCCTGCCTCCCTGGTCCAAGGGCAGAAACCAGGGGCATGTAGTCCCTGCCCGACAGAGTTTACTGGCTAGTGGGGCAGGTGACAGGGGTAACGTCAGCCAGAGTAGAGGGGCTGGAATCAGGCTCTGCCACTGGCTGTGTCGGCCGCACTAAGTCCCGTTGCACCTCAGACCTCACTTTCCTCGTTTGTTAATTGGGACTAACTGTCTCACCACACCAAGCTCCCTGCTGCTGAACGTGAAAATGTGCCTGAGGAAAACCTCTCAGAAGTGTGTAATTCAGCAAACGAAAGCTGAGTGATAAAATCCTGGGCAAGCATTAGGCCTGTGGTGGTCTATGTATAGGTCTACAGGTAAAACCCACATCCTCCCTCCTGTATCAGTGCATGTGGGATGTGCATAGCTGCACTGTGTGTGTGTGGGGTGGGGTGTGTTTGTGAGAGGGTGTGTGGGGGTATGCGTATGGTGTGTATGTGGGGTGTGTCTGGTGTGTGTGTGTGGTGTGTGTGTGTATGTGTGTGCCTGTGTGGTGTGTGTGGGGGGGTGGTGGTGTGTGGGGGTGTGTGTGTGGGGTGTGTGTGTGGTGTGTGGGGGTGTGTGTGGATTTGTGTGGTGTGTGTGTGGTATGTGTGTGTGGTGTGTGTGTGGTATGTGTGTGGGGTGTGTGTGTGTGTGGTGGGGGGTGTGGTGTGTGTGGAACATGAGTGTGGTGTGTGTGGGGGTGTGTGTGGTGTGTATGTGGTGTGTGTGGGGGGGTGGTGGTATGGAGGGGTGTGTGGGGTGTGTGGGGTGTGTGTGTGTGGGTTTGTGTAGTGTGTGTGGGGTGTGTGGGGTGTGTGCGTGTGTGCGTGTGTGGTGGGGGATGTGGTGTGTGTGTGGTGTGTGTGTGGAGGGTGTGTGTGGTGTGTGTGGGGATGTGTGTAGTGTGTGTGTGGTGTGTTTGTGGGGTATGTGCCTGGGGTGTGTGGGGGGGATGTGTGGTGTGTGTGTGTGGTGTTTATTGTGTGTGGTGTGTGTGGTACGTGTGTGTGTGGTGTGTGGTGTGTGTGTTGAGTGTGTTTGTGGTGTGTTTTTGTGTGTGTATGTGTGTGGTGTGTGTACTGAGTGTGTATATGGTGTGTTTGTGTGTGTGGTGTGTGTGTGGTGTCTGTGTATGTGTGTGGTGTGTGTGTTGAGTGTGTATGTGGTTTGTGTGTGTGTTGTGTGTGTGGTGTGTGGTATGCGTGTGTATGCATGGTGTGTATGTGTGTGGTGTGTATTATGTATGTAGTGTGCTTGTGTGTGTGTGGTGTGCGTGGTGCTTGTGCATGGTGTGTGTATGGTGTGAGCATGTTTGTGGTGTGTGTGTGTTGAGTGTGTATGTGGTGTGTTTGTGTATGTGGTGTGTGTGTGGTGTGTGTATGGTGTGTGTATGTGTGTGGTGTGTGTCTGTTGAGTGTATATGTGGTGTGTTTTTGTAGTGTGTGGGTGGTGTGTGTGTGTTGAGTGTGTATGTGTTGTGTTTGCGTGTGTGGTGTGTGTGTGTGTGAACCTTGTGTTTGGGTGTGAGATACAAACTCATTCTCTGCTTCCAGAAGCAACTGCAGAATAATGTGGGTCAAGTGTATGGCAAAATATCCCCTTTAGAAAACAGAGAATGTGAACAATATGTCTTTTCACACCTCCTGTTTAGAGTTGGAATCTGAGTGAAGATTTCAAACCCCATCCAGGCCCCACACCCCCAACTCCCCACCCAGAGCCTCTTTGGGCTCCCTGAAGCCCCTGCTGCCAGCTCAGGGCCCCTCCAGCCGACAGCTTATCTTGGAGGCTGGCACGAGGACGGCACTGAAAGGCATTTCCCCCTCGGCATGGCATTTGGAGAAGGAGTGGGCACGGGAACAGGCCTCCGCCCAACCAGCTCCTTGAGAGACAAAACGCTACCTTGTGGGCTGAGCAGCACTCCTGGCTCCACAGCAAGCCCCACCAACCACCCCCAGGTTTTAGAAAAGGCTCCGGCCCTGTGCCAGCAAAGCACCCACATGCCAGGAGGCTGCCCTTGGCTTTGTATAAACAGCAACCCAGGGATCTTCCCAGGAACCTCAGCCATCCTCTGGGCAGCAGGGAGGCAAACTCCAAGGGAGGTGGGCTCTGATATGGAAGCAAGGGTGGCGAAGCAGCCATGGTCCAGGTGGGTTCCTGGGAGGGGCTGAGAAGGGTGCCAACCACAACCAGGAAGCAAAGCGAGCCAGCAAGGGTCACCGTGGAGGTTTCAAAGCAAGGCTTCAGCACAGCTGTCCCCTCATTCAAGGACACTGTGGTGGGCCCTGCATCCCTGTGATGTGGATGGTGGCAAGGGTTCACACTGAGCATGTGCCCACTCTACTCTGGGCACAGTGCCCTTTTGCACACACCTATGAGGCAGCGGTGTTGCTGTAATCTAGACCAGCCAGTCAGTAGCCACGTGTGGCAGGAGGCCACTCAGCACTTGAAATGAGGCTGGTCCCAGCTGAGATGTTCCGGAAGCATAAGATACACCATTGATTCCAGAGACATGGTATGAATGTGAGAGCGCAATATTCCCATTAATAATTTTTATATTAACTCCATATTGAGATGATAATATTTTGAATATACTGGGTTAAACACAATCTATTATTCCACTAAACTTCATCTGTTTCGTATTACTTTTTAATACCGCTACTAGAAAATGTAAAATTTCATCTATGGCTCTTATTGTATTTTACTAGATGGTGTCGGCCTAGAAAGACACAAGTGTGCCTAAGGCTATGATAACAGGTAGGGAGGGAGAAATGCCAAGGGTTCTAATCCCAGTGTCTCCACTTACAGGCTTTGTGCCCTCAGGTAAGTAGCCCAGCTTTTCTGAGCCAGGATCATCTCTGTATAAAGGAATATATTAACATTAGTACTATTGGCTTGTTAAGGGTGTTGAATGGGGAATGAAGCAGAGACAAAGCCCACAAGGCCCCAGAACACCCAAGGGAAGGATTCTATTGTTCCAATAGCAGGGCAGGGGAATTCCAACTTGAGTGGATGCACCAGCTGCAGGCAAGGCCCTATCCAATGAGCAGGGGTTTATAAAGACCTCAGGCTCAGCACCAGTTGGCTAGGAGGAGGGGCAGGCTGAGGGGCAGACTAATGGGCAGGCTGTCCTGGCTCAGTGCTGGGCATGTGTTCTAAAGATCCCACAGATTCCATAGCCTGGCCAGCTTACCTGGCACATTTAGAGGGTCAGTGAACACTTTTGGGTTATTGTGTAGGAGAAAGAAATGATGATGATGATGATGATGGTGGTGGTGGTGGTGGTGGTGGTGCCTGTAGGTGAGATGTGTATCTTACTAACCTGAGTCAGGATGTCCCTCAATGCCAACTGTGAGTTTCTGAGCCTATTTCCTTTTTCCATGGACCCCAACAGACCCAACTATATGCCCAGCCACTTCCAGTTTCTAGAGGTGTGGTGGTGAGTGGTCTCTCTGTGTTTAAACTGGAGGATGGTTCCAGTGTGGAACAGAGGTTTATATTAGCAGAGAGGGGTATGTTTAGGACTCAGAGGGGGAAGCTCGGAGAACATGGGAGATGGTGAAAAACATGTTCTGGAACCCTGAACCAGAATTCCTAGAAAGACCTCACCCTCACACGTCTGCACATTAACCAGCACCCTGATGATTCTTATGTATACTTGATTTCAAACACCAGTGACCGAGATAGACTCTAGTCTCCCCCCCAGCTCTGACATTCCATTAACCAGTCAGCTCCCCTCCTCCTCCTCCTCTCTATGAAAGAAGGAAGAGAGACAGAGTCGAGGGAGAAGAGACTGCCTCGCAAATGTGAACGATGGGCATTCCAGGGGATGCGATAAAATCTGAGCCCGCCCACCCCACCGTCTCCAATCTGGAGGCAAGTTCAGGCTTGGGGCTTTGAGTGTGGATCTGCTAAGTCTTGATTAGGGGTAGGGGGTAGGGTGAGAGAAAATGAAAGCCCAGGCCCAAAGGAAAGGAAGGGAGGGGTCCACCCTGCAGCTCTAGGAATCCTGCTCTGAGTCTGGGAGTGGAGAAAGGCATGTGTGCTATGAGCCTGCCCATGGCTGGGAGGGGATGAAGGCGGGTAATTCTAAGAGTAGGGGAATATCCTGAGAGAGCAGGGACTCATACCCCTGCCCTCAGAGCAGAACAGCAGACTCCTTGCCTAGAGAGCTAGAAGACCAGGGGGAAATAGCTCCTGCTGTGTGGCTTTAGGCAAGCCACTTGCCTTCTCTGTACTCACTTTCTCATCTTGAAAGTGAGGAGATTGGACTTGATCCCAAAGCTGGCTTCCAGCTGGAGCTGCCATATATTCCAAGAGTCCACTCATTCATTCATCGGGCAGATCCATCATTTAACAAGCAGCAGGGGAGCTCACGCTGCTGCTTCTCTAGAAAGGGGTTGTCGGCACCCAAAATGTATGTCCCTTGCTCTAGGTGTCTATTTAGATGTGCTTTGTCCCTCTTACAGTGTCCAAAAATATTCTCCTTTCAGCCCACGTCTCTTTTGTCAATCCTCAAAGTGTAGCTGTGTTTCTGGCCCACAGCAGCCTCATACAACTGAAAATCACATCAGCACCTGGACGTCCGAGGGGTCCCACCATCTCAGTGGTTTCCCAATTAGGCCCTCTCCCTGCTCTTCCTACACAAGCCTGTTTTCCCAGTCTCTTCCTTTGGTTCTTCTCCCATTCACCTTCTTTTCTACTTCATGAGCCTTGCTGTCAAATACTCCTGAGTTCCGCCTCTGTGCACGTGGCCAAGCTGTTCCTTTGCTCTGAAATGCCTTCCCCATGCTTCTCTGATTCATGAAATTGAAGCCATCTGAACTGGTGGCCTCCTCCAAATGGAGCTGCAGACATCTTCCAGTGGGCACCCATGGGTTCTTGTTCTTGCCCACGTGGAGGGAAACACGTCGCCCAGCTGGGACTCTCTGCTGGCCTTGCCCTGTGTTTGAGCCACCCTCCCTCCTCCCCCTACCCTCCTGCAAAGCCAAGCCCTTTGTCGCTTCCTGACCACCTGTGCCCTCAGGCCCCAGGGCCTTTGCACATGCTGTGCCCTCTACCAGGCTTGCCCATACATCTTCCCTGCTCTGTTGCTCTGTCACTGTCTATGCCTGCATATTGCAGGTGCTCACAGTGTACTTCCTGATAGGATGAATTAAAGCAAGAACCAGACCTGGCATAGGCTGGGGAGAATATGTGTATAGGAGATGGGGGAGGCTGGGAGGGAACACCACTGATTTTTTTTGAAGTAGAAGCTTCATGCTGGGGAGGAAAAGGAGGGAATTTGGCAAGAGGGCCTGGACTCAACTGCTAAGAGGACTGAGTGGCAAGCGGCAGCTTACGGGCTTGGTTCTGGAGCAAGGACAGAACGAGGAGTCAGGAGACTGGGGTCTCTGCAGGCTCTGCCTGCATCTCTGAGCCTCAATGTCTTTATGTGAAAAAGGAAACAAGAAGAATGCCCCTCTGCTCAGGCTTGTGCTCTAGGCAGGGTAGTGCGGTGGTGAAGAGGAGGCGGGCAGCACACAGCCTGGGTCAAGAGCCAGCTCCACCACATCCCAGCCCCAAGCCCTTAAATTTCCTGGGTCTCAGTTTCTCATCTGTAAAATGGATGTAAATGCCCGTGTCACAGAGACCTTAGGACTAAGAAAGAGGACTTAGAAAGAGGTTGGGTGTGGAGCATGTGTCGAGAAGGGGCTTGGAGGAGCCATAATTAGACAGGGAATATCAAGCTGCTTTGAGATTAGACAGTGTTGTCTCATGGTCCTTTTGGGAGCTCATGGATAACAGAGCTGGCAGGCGCGCGTGGAGTGAGATTGCAGCCACCTGTCTTCCCAGCCATGCTATTTGTATTTAAATCTGTCGCCTACATACACATGCACACACGCACACACAGGCACGCATGCCAGTTGACTTCCTTGACAGCTGTTTCTGGCCTTGTGCTCCAGTGCCAAGTCCTGATGCTTGCAAACTTTGGCTCTTAGATGATCAAAGAGCCAGCCCTTGTTGGGCCCTTAGTGTGAGCCAAGGCCCACGGCGAGCCCCTTCCCACAGGTCTCATCTGATGTTCACGAGAGCCCTATGTGGCAGGAGCTCCTATCAGCCTCATTTTAAAGAGGAGAAAACTGAGGCGCCGAGAGTTTTACGCACTTCCATGGCATGCAAGGTTCAGAACACCACCGTGTGCCCCAAGCAGGCTGCCTAGACCAGCTCCTAGGGGTATCCTTGTGTGTCAGTCCCTTAGGCCAGTTCTGTTTCTCCCTATCTGAGCCAGGGATCCAGTGCAGGAGGAGGGAAGGGAGATGGAGTCACGCTCTGGGCGGTGGAGGGAGGACAGATAGACTTTATCCCCTGCTTTATTTCCCTGATCCACGAACCATTGCCAGATGTGGAAGGCCCACAGTGATCCCTTCATCCCAGCCTGCTCTTGTTACAGAGAAAGTGACTTGTCCAAGGCCACCAGCTTCAGCATGGGGACTGGAGCCCAGGGCCTCTCCCCTCCAGGGAAGGAGCTCAGGAGACTGGAAGACGATCCCCACTACCCCATCGGGTAGATGCCCACTCTGCCCTTGTAGGTGGAACAAGCCCGAGCTCAATGACAGCAAAGAGCTTCATTCTTCCACCCGTGTCTGTGTTCGCTGTGGCTCCAGGGCTGGCCCCCTCCGTGGTCTCCCCATAGCCACCGCCAAGCCCAGGCCTGGGACATGAAAGGCCCTCGGTTACATATGGTTATTTGAATGAACTGGACAGTGGGCAAGAACAAGGTGCCTTAGAGGTAGCTGGAGGAGGATAGGACCTGGAGTCAAAACAGCTGACTGTGTCATTTTCTTGTTGTGTCTCAACCTTTTTGGGTCTCAGTTTCCCATCTGTCAAATTGGGGCCATCAATGCTGACCTCATGGGATTGTTTTGATGATCAGGAAACTGACTTCAGGAAAGACCACTGCCTTCCCCAGGGGAGGGAGCACGCATCCTCTGTCCCGGGCCCCTGACTGCCATCTCCGTGTCCTTGAACATTAAGCCCTAGCAACATGGCCCACTGGTCATCACGTGTCATGCCACGTTGCTTCTGCCTGCACACCCCTGCTCATGTCATCCCCAGCTTCAGGGCCCTCTCTGCCCTCCCTCTCATCAATTTCCACTCATCCTTTAGGATTCAGTGCAAATGTCTGCTCCTCTAGGGAGCACTCTGTGGTCCTATTCCCAACCCCATGCCCTTTCCCCTCTTCATCTCATCCTCGTAGCCCTTACTTAGACTATGCTAAGTTACCTTACAGTGTGGCCCTTAGGTGTGAAGCCTTAAGAAACGGATGCTTTGAGTCCCAGGGCTGAGGTTCAAACCTCAACGTTGCCATTTGCTAGTGGCTTTGGAAAAATTATCTGACCTTTACCTTTTTGTGACTCAGTTTGCTCATCTAACAAATGAGGAAGCTAATAATAACAGCAGCCTGCCTCTTAGGATAATCACAAGGATTAAATTACTTACTTAAAATGTAGATGATCTTGATTCAAAGAAACCATCTGTTAAAAAAAATTATTTGGGAGAGTGCAATCTGAATGTGGACTGGGTATTAACTAGAGAAAGTTACAAAATTGTAACTAATTTATTGGTGTGATAATTGCATGGGGGTTACATTTTTCCTAAAAATTCCTCATAATTTAGAGACACACTGGAGAATTTCAGGTAAAATCTCAGGCTGTCTAGGATTCGCTAGATTTTTAAGAATAAAAAAGCATACAGCCAGGTGTGGTAGCTCATGCTTGTAATCCCAGCACTTTGGGAGGCTGAAGTGGGTGGATCACTTGAGGTCAAGAGTTTGAGACCAGCTTGGCCAACATGGTGAAACCCCATCTCTACTAAGAAATGCAAAAATTAGCAGGGCCTGGTGGGAGGCATCTGTAATCCCAGCTACTCGGGAGGCTGAGGGACAAGAATCACTTGAACTCTGGAGGCAGATGTTGCAGTGAGCCGAGATCACGCCACTGCACTCCAGCCTAGACGATACACTCAGATTCAGTCTCAAAAAAGAAAAGAAAAGAAAAGAAAAGAAAAAAACCCATACATGTGTGGGGAAAATGGAAGGAACAAGACCAACTAAGTGTTGATAATTATCAAAGCTGCCGATGCGTATGTAGGGTTCGTTATATTATTCTCTCAACGTGGGTGAATATTTAAATATGTCTCTAGCAAAGAACACAGTTTAAATTTGTGTACAGTATTCAGTGTTTTTTGTTGTGGTTTTCTCACTACTCTCTAAAACTGTGAGAACATTCAGCATTCTTTCCCCTGCTCAGTAAGCAGGTCTTGTGCAGTTAAATGAAAATGATGTATTTTACCCTTGATGTTTTGTTAAAATGACTGAAAATGGGAGAAAACCAAAAGGAGTAGCTCCCGATGAAAAGACCCTTAAGTTCTTCACCTCCCTGGACAAACAGGGTTATCATATAGTGGGCAGGCCCTTATAAAAATGTCATGAGCCATCTATGGCTCTTGGGCTGTAGTTTTTGACCTTTATAATGCGGTTGCCTGTTTTACGTTCCTGTCTCCTTGGAGGCTGGACGTTCTCAGAGGCTTTGTCTCTGACACTGGCCACTGCATGTGGGACTTAGTAGATGCTTTATATACAGATTGACAAATGAGTGAATGCATGAGTGAACACATGGACTAGGGCTCGTTATCTGGAAAAAAAACCTGGCTTCTTGCCCCTTGTACCCTCATCATGTAAAGTTGACTTTCCCCGCCTGCATGTTTATAAAACCAATTAGTAGAAAATCTCGAAAACCTTCTACATCCCATAACATGCAGCCTGGCCAACAACTTTCTGGAAACCACCCTTGGGAGTTTCTGGGCAGTGCGGTGGGGGAAGGAGGAGGATGTACCTGGCTCATACACCTTTCACGGGTTTGGAGCTAAGAGCTTTCAAAGGTGATCTACCCAGGACCACTGTCCCAGGCCCCACTTGAAGGGGAGCCCCCACCAGGGCCCGGGATACAGGTGCCTAGGGGTGCAAGTGCCGGAGGTGTTGGGAAAAGAGGTGTTTGTTACCTGTGGCTGACTCAGAGGCACCCGATGCGCTTTGAAACAAGCGTGGGGAAGACATGGGCACCGGCCAGGCCTGTATTCTCTCACGGTCCCCAGGGCTTCTCTTTTCAGCAAAGCAGTGAACAGAAGCTGCTTCCAGCAGGACAACCCTGTCCTGAAAGCTCCCGGGCCCAGCTAGGGCCGGCTCCGGCCATTCCTGCCTCAACCCTGCCCCCTGGTGGAGTATCTAGGTGCGGCCTCCGAAACAGGGCAAGCCAAGGCCTCCGACCGTCCACACTGCTCACGGAGCACTTGCCCAGGGTGTGCCAGGCGCAGTGCCGGGCACCCAGGAGGCGGGAAAGGGCAACCCGTCCCTGAGAATCCCCACAAGGGCTCCTCACTCCTCTTCTGGGGGCCCTTGGCAACCTGGGCTCAATTCCATTGCTATCTTCCCAGGGGGTGAGGACCCTGCCTTGTTCATCTGAACAGCAGGCACATAGTAGACGCTTGGTACATGTGTGTGATGGGCGGGTGGAGGGAAGAACAAATGAATGAGGGAGCCGTGCAGCAAGGTGATTACAAGTAAGGGTTCTGCAGGGACACTCTGGGTCAATAGACCACCTTCCAGCTGCGAGATCTTGAGCAAGATTCTTGAGCTCTTGGAGCCTCATTTTCCTCATCTGTGAACTAGGGATGACACTAATAACTGCTCATTAAGGCTGCTGGAGGATGTTGACATCACCATCATTTTACAAATGATGAAACAAGCTCAGAGCAGGTGAGCACGGCTCCAGATCCCAAAGCTGGGAGTGGCAGGAGGTTGGGGAATTGTCAAATGGGGTCCCCTCATTGCAGATGACGTGCCCTTTCTGCAAATTCCATGCCCTGTTCACAATAAACTGCACACACTCTTAGAAGAGAAAGGGATCTATCTCCTTCATCAAACGGGACGCTTCAGATATCCTGGGCAGTCCACCCCACCGCTGCTAGCCTCCCACGTTCTGCTCCTATGCCTATTGCTAAGCATTTTTGTAAAAATGAATACTGATATGCAAACGTCAAATTATAGACTTACCTCTTCCCAAGTCCACTTTCAAAGAGCTGAAATACACCATAATAATCAGTTACCACTCACCTTTAAATATTATCTCAAAAATACATGTGAAACATTTCCTCCAGGGCTTTATTTTTTTTCCTTCCCAATTTTAATCAGCTTAAGTTTGTCCAATAAGTATGATTGAAGGGATCACTTCATCACTGTTCACCTACCTACTGATAACCCTGTTTGTCCAGTGGGGTTAAGGACTTAGGGGTCTTATCATCGGGAGATACTCCTTTTGGTTGTCTCCCATTTTTCAGTCATTTTAAAATATCAAGGATAAAATACATCATTTTCACTTAACTGCACAAGACCTGCTTACAGAGCAGTTGTGTCACCCTGATGAATCACAGAATGCGGTATGTTCTGCAGGTCTGCGTGAACTGCTGTGTGAAAGCAGCTTAGCAGTGTCGGTGGGTAATGAACATGGGTGTGGGTTGTACAAAAGTCAGATGTTAAAAAAGGAAGATGGTCTAAAATCTCCACACTTTTCTCTTATCCCTGCCCAATGTTCTAAGGCAGTGGTTCCTATTTCTATAAAAATTCCCAAGGGTTGCTGGTCAAACTGCTACGGATTCCAGGCTTCAGCCTAGAGAAACTTAAGGCGAATATTCAAAGAGGGATCTAGGAATCTGGTTTTTATCACTCTGTCACCCAGGCTGGAATGCAGTGGTGCAATCTTTGCTCACTACAGCCTCTGACTCCCAGGTTCGAGCAATTCTCCTGCCTCAGCCTCCTGAGCAGCTGGAACTATAGGCATGTGCCACTACATCCAGCTAATGTTTGTATTTTTAGTAGAGACAGGGTTTTGCCATGTTGGCCAGGCTGGTCTCGACCTCCTTGACCTCGAGTGATCCACCTGCCTCAGCCTCCCAAACAGCTGGGATTACAGGTGTGAACCACATGCCTGGCTGAGGAATCTGTATTTTAACAAGTTTCACAGGCCAGTGATTCTGAAACTTTGGGGCATTCAGAACCACCTGGAAAAAATCCCAATGCCCAGGCTCCTCCCAGGCCCCTTAGGTTGGGATCTCTGAGTAGAGTGTCCATTAAAGCCCCAGGGTAGTTGTACTTTGCAGTAAAGTTTGGAAATCATCATCATAGTACCTGGGTAGCTAGGAGGGGTTGCTGAGGAGGGAGGGGTATGGCAGGAGGAGTCTCAGTGGGGTAGGTGGGGCCCGGTGGGCTCAGAGGCTGCAGCAGGCAGAAGTGAGCAGGACCAGGCTGTGCCTGGGCAAGCCCTGGGCATCTTGCCAGCAGAAGCACCGCAGAGTGGCCACCACCTCTGTCTTCCCCATAAACATAGTGTTATCTGCAGAGTCTATTTCCAGAAGTACATCATGAAAGAGACTTTTATGTGAACATCTGCAATTTGGAAATCCCAAGGCTGTTTTGGTTTGTTGTTGTTCTTGTTTGTTTGTTTTTGTCTTTGTCTTTTTTTTCCCCCTCCTCTGGCCTTCCCTAGACAACACTCTCCTTGACTTACGATCTTTTCTCCTTTTTGCCTTCTTGGCTTCTGTTGTTGGACAGAATGATGCAGGCTCCATATGACAGTGTGTTTGCAAAGATCATTTTCTCCATCTGCAGAACAGGCCCAGGCACCCCAGCTCAGGTAGCTCATGGTGGGTAAGAAGATAGCCGTCAGGGCTCTCTGGGGACTCTACAGGATAGGATATGGGGCAGGCTCCTGCCTGTGGCTGGGGAAAACAGGAATAGCTTCCAATCCCCAAGGAAAATGAAAGCCTGGTAGAAACCTCAGAGGGTCCCAGGGGCCCAAGCAAGCATCCTGGGGTTTGAGGATGAGCCCCAGCCCCCAGAAGGAAAGCACTATTTTTGAGATCCTACAGAAGCCTCTGGAAAATGTGCAGGCCTTTTTTTGTATTGTTTAGCTGCAAAAAGATTCCTCTAAATGTTCATATTCTACTAATTACCTCTCTCTCCCAAACCCAGGCAAGCCAAGCAAATAGGTATTTGTTTTGCACAAATACCCATTGCTTACACAGAAATGGGTTTATCGTTTTTATTTTGACAAAGGCCATACTCTCATTGTCCACTAAAGATAAGGGCCAGGTGTGGCTTAGGGGCCCGAGCTCCCGGGCTTCTTCACTGCACAGCACCACAGGTGCGGCATGGGAGTCCCACCAGCAGCCAAACCAGGGTACTAGAGGCTGGGATGATACAGCTGGTTTACCTATGGAGCCACAGCTCTGACCCAGAGGCGCCACACATTTCCTTCAGGATGTGTTGATGTTCTGGACCAACAGAGACACCCCCAGAAAGGCCCCAGACCAACCACTCAAGGTCAACACACATACGTGCCCCAGATATTCCCCCAGTGACTCCCCATCATGACAGACCTGGGTGCACTGAGGAGGTCCCCAGACAGCAGGAAAGGGTGGGGCTGGTGGTACCTGGGCCCTTGGATGACTCCGCAAGCGGATGTGCAAGGAATGAGGAGTTGAGAGCCCACATAGGATGCACAGACAGAAGGTGGTGTGGGAAACTCTCATCTCCCTTCTCTGGCTGAGATGCTTCCCCCACTCCTTTTTTTGGGGGGTGGAAAAAGAGAACCATTCAGTGAAAAGAGCTGTGAACCAAAGCAAAGGACAGGTAGAGATGTCATGCCATCCTGGATGTTGAAGGAGGCTGATGGTGTGTGCGCATGTGTGTGTGTATGACAGAGACAGAGAGAGAGACCCTACACTGGCCTTCCAAGCAGCTGAAGCCCCAGTGAGTAGCCTTCGAGGGATGCTCAGGGGATGAGCTGCCTCAGCCTGCCTGGGGCCGAGGGAGGCTGCCAGTGGATGGGCACAAGGTGCCAGGGATCACACTGGAATTAAGGTCCCAGAACTAACTGGGAGGTTCTAAGATGTGACCTCGCCACCCCTACACTCCAAGCCACTGCCAGGGGGTTCTTGGACAGGCTTTTTCATTAGAAGCTGGTATCATTCACTGTATATGCCACCGGCCCAGGAGGAGTGAAAGCCGCCATGGCACCATGCACCTCCAGTTGATCAGGGCCCCAGAGCAGCTTTGGAGTGGAGCAGGAAGGCGGGGGGGAAACTATGGCTTCACTCAGGGAGAGGTGGAGAGTGTAAGCACAGGCTTAGAGTCAAGCACTTCAGACTAGAGTCCTTCTGCCGTTCCCTGCTCATGCAGGGACAGATTGGGTAAAGGAGTTCTAAGATGACTCACAGCGTTAAGACTCACCGGCTCTCCAGGAGAAGTTCTGGCCATGAGGCCCCTCCCAACCCTCACTCTTCAGCAATGAGCATCATTTGTTGTCTCTGGAAGCTGAGTGCTCATGCACTAGACCACCCGAATGGCAGCTTAGGCTGGACTTCAGGGGAGAAGCAGGGCAGTGGGCCGTTATCAGCTCATTTTTGGCAGCAACAAGAACCCTGAAGGGACAGGTACCCCCACATGGGGATCCAGCTATGTCCCAGGATCCCAAAGCCTCTCCTTGAGCTCCCAGCCCCCATGAAATATTTGTTTTGCTCAAGATCTGATGGGAGCATGTCCCCAAAATTCACATGTGCACGGTGTTCCCTGTGCAGTGATCAGAGGCAGAAGAGTTAGTGGCTCGAAAACTCTGGACAAGGCAGACCTTGGTTCCATCCCTGACTACCTGACCTGTGTGGCCTTGCACAAGACATTAACCTCTCTGTGCCTCTGTGTTCTCACTGCTCAGGGGAACATTAGCAGACCTGCCTTGTGATTTGTTAGGGGATTATATGAGATAGTGCAAACAGAGTTCTCCATATAGAATGAGCCCTCACTCAGATCTTAGGTATGTTGATTATAAGGGCCTGTGAGTTTGTGCATGCAGGGGAACAGATGGGCGGCATGTGGTTTCTGCCTTCAAAGGATGGCAGATTGGTTGGGGAAATGAACATTCACTCATGTATTCACCCTATCAACAGATGCTTATTGACACCTACTATGTGTCAGGCTTTGTGAGGCTTGATGTCCCTCTACAACTGCCAGCCCAAATAATTGTCTAGCTGCTTCTTGATTACTTCCACTGATGGTGCACTCACTACCTTTCAGCTGTTTTTTTTTTTTTTCATCAGAAAATTCTCCCTCATGTACAGTAGTGGGAAAAACATTAACTGAAACAGTTCCAGATTCAAATCCAAGTTCTGTCATTTACTAGGTGTTGGGCATAAGCAAGCCACTTTACTGATCTGTTAAATGGGAATAATAATACCAGTCACTGTGCAGAAGACAAATGAGATCAGCCAGAGTCACTGAGGGCTAGGGCAAGACAGTCCCCAAGTGGTCATCAGAGTGATGGTTTGCAATGGATGTACCAGCAGGAGGAATTCCAGCTGTGACCTCATATGATGCTCACTTCCAGTCACTTGCGAGCTAAGCGATGGTAGCAATGCCGTTTTACAGAGGAGAAGACAGGCTCAGAAAGTGAACTCCCAGAGTAACATGAACAGTGACAAAGCCTGGACTGGATACAGTGTGGTGTTTCTAAAACACAAATCTAACCCTGCCATCCTCCTGCTAAAATCCTTCAATAAACCATTCTTCCAGACCTCAGCCCAAACCAAGGCATTCAAGGTCTTCCTTGATGTATGCTGTGCCTTGAACCCATCCTCATCCGTCCTAGCCTTCGCCTCCTCCTGCCTCCACCCTGCACCCTACACCAGGCTCTGCAGGCCCCAGGCCCTGGCACATGTTGCCAGCTCAGTGCCTGTGCACTTGAGGGTCCTTGCGCATTGGGTACCCTCTCCTGCTTCCTCACTGATCTATTCCCACCCCCTCTTCAAAACCCGTTCCCAGTGCCTCCTGTCTTGGGAAGCCCTCTTCAGCCCCAGCACACACACAGCCCAGCCACTCCCCTGTCATCCCACAGGCAGGTCTGCTTGGCTCTCACACTGCATCCCCAGCACCTAGTGCTGCACCTGGCACAAAATAAAAGCTGACTACAGGTGTGTTGAATAAATAAATGAAAGGGAGAATGAATAAATGAGTGGATGCCATTGTTATAGCATTGATTGCACTGAATTGCAATCATTATTTATGTGTCTGTTGGCCTCACTAGGTGGGGAGCCAGTCAGGGGCTCTGTCTTAGGCACCTTCGTCTCCTCCCAGCCTGGCACAAATCCTGTGCATAGTAGGGATTCAATAATCCTCGGTCCCTAGAATGACTCAGTCATCGTGCACATCCCCAGCTAAACTGTCAGTGCTGGAGGGCGGAAACCGCCCTTGCGCCAGTCATCTGCTTTCCCTCGTGCTCACACAGAGAGGTGAGGATTGATCGATTATCACGAGTCAGGACTCACTTGTGGCCTGCAGACCCAAATCCTAGGTAAGCGTCTATGCTGGACATACCCTAGGTATGTGTCAGTGCTGGACAAGGCAGCTGGCACTCAGAGGCTCACACACCAAACCCAGCAGTCCTCATGCCCTGGGGTCCAGAGGGTTTTCCCCTGCACAGATCTTGTCCAGCACCTTCTCCTGAGTCTGGGAGATTTTCTACCACTAGATGGTGCCAATTGCAAAGGCTGGCTCAGCCGACTGCCCACAGCCCTTCCCTCCTCTGCCCAGGGATGCCATAAATGGTTCCCCTGTCCAAGGGAGGACTTCTCTGCAGCTTCCCCTCACCAGCTGTGTGCCCTGGCACCTCCAGGCACTTAGAAAGGAAGCTTCCTTCTGGGCATCTTTAACTTGGGATGGAGACAGGAGGATGGATAGTGATCCCAGGAGTGGGATACCCACCCGGTTCCAACCCATTCCAGCTCAGCTCAAAGTGTCCAGATCCCCAACTCTGTTCTGGGCACAGTGGGGTCAGGGAGGACACACAACCAAATGGGTGTAAGAGGAGACAGGCTTCTGTGTGCCATGTGACATGTGCCAGGCCCTACCTAGTGCTGCCACATCCACAATGCCCCTTCACCCTTCCAACTGCCCCCAAAGGGAGGTGAGTGTGATTGTGCCCATATCACAGATGGGAATGCTGAGGCTCAGAAAGATGAAGATGCTGTTCCAAGGCCACACGGAAAGAACGTACGTCGGACTGTCTCAGGTTGCATGTTCTTTTCTTGACACTCAAACTTAGGGCCCAGAGGAGAGGTTCCAGTACATGATGCCTTAAATATCATAGATATCCAAGCCTTTTTAGCCGACAATCCCCCATCCATCCATTTCACCAGTCAACACATATGAAGCCCTACTGTGTGCTCTGTGCTGTGTTTCAGGCGCACAGAGAGATGCAAGGCCCGGGCCCTGCCCTTTCCAAGTTCACATTCCAGTGAGCGAGGTAAGGGCAGGGAAGCCTTCCTGGAGGAGAGGGCATCTTTATTTCCTCTGCCAAGAGCACGTCCTGAGTGTGGTGGCTCTGAGAGATGGTCTGCTAGTGCTCATGAGGCTCTGAGGCTTCTAGAATCATGGCCTAACAAGGAAATGTCTCTCCCCAAAGTCAAAAAGAGGGGTGTGTGTGTGTGTGTGTGTGTGTGTGTGTGTGTGTTTACTGATTCGGATATGTAGGGTTTTCTTGCATCCTGTTGTGTTTTTGAGGAAATATGAACAAGGGCAGGCTAACTAGTGCCTCCTCGGTGAACCACCCAGAACTGCCAACCCCAAGAGCTCTCTGTTCCCTACCAGCAAGGCCTTCCAAGGCCACATCGCCCACAGAGCCTTCCTCCCTGCAGGGGGCTGCAGGCAAGATTTTTTTTGGCCATTCTGGTGTCTGTCTGGGCCATAACAGAGAAGTCACCCATATGTCCCCAGTGAAGACTGGCAATGTGCAGGCACTCTGTGGGGGCCTGCCCCATCCTGCCCTCACCCCATGGAGTTCACCGGCATTAACCTCCAAACACACACAAATGTCTAATTTCTGAGCCTGCCTAGTGGCTTAAGGGAAAGCCAGACACACGCAGGTCAGCGAGTCAGGAGAGTCCGCCCAGAGAAAGGGGCCCCAGGTGAAAAAGATAGGAAGGGCCTCTCAGCCACAGGGAACTGCATCGCAGCGGCCTTGAGGTAGGGAAAGGGTGGATTTGACCAAGTTCTGAAATCAAGCCTATGGGAGATGAAAGCTTCAAGTCGGGTTTTGTCTGTTGACTTGCAAGGGCTTTATTTATTGCATCAATATTTACTACATTTATTGTGCGCCAGGTTCAGAGCCTAGTCAGACTAATTCAGAAATTCATCTGAACCACTTTCCTCATCCCTGGTCCTTCAAGGTGCAAGAGTGGACCCCACTCTCCTGGGCAGAGCAGTTACTGCCCTGGTGTTCAGAGAGCTTCCATGCCTCCTTGGAATGCCCAGCACTTTGCGTAGTAAATCCCTCGAGTTGCAGTAAATCCCTCGAGTTGTAGTAAATCACCTCTAATACTTGCCTCTCCCATAAGCTGTGGGTTCCCCAATCATAGGGACTTTTAACGCTTATCTTCAAATATCTAAAACTTAAGAGAGACTATGAGCTAACTCTGCAAATGTCTGTTGAGTGAATGAAAGAACCCAGAAGAGGCAAAAGTAGAAGCTGTTGTAATGAGAGTTAGGAGATTAATTTGCATCTTGGCCTTGCTGTGAACTGTGTCATCCTGGGAGTGTCCATCTGTCTCTTCGGGTCTTGCCTTCCTCCCCTGTAAAGGAGGAAAGAATTTGTCTGAGTAGCTCAGCACCGGAGCCTGGTGTTCCGAGTGGAAAGCAGATCTGTGATCCCACAAAGCAGGCTCCTCTGCTTCCAGATGGAGGGAGCAGCCCAGAGCCCAGCCAGCCCCCTGTCCCAGCCCCACAGAAGCCCTGGATTCTCCTCTGCTTACTTCAGAACTCAGCCGTCAAGGACGAGAAGTGCTGGGCAGGATGATCCATGGCTTGCCCAGGAGAGGGAGGACTGACTCAAAGCCTGGCTCCCGTCCCCGCTCCTGTGTCCTCAGGCGATTCTCTTCCTCTTGCAGGCCCAGGTCTCTTTCGAGATAGAGCAAAGGGCACAGATGGGATTCAGGGGGGCAACCAGATGGGACAGCAGGTGACTGGGTGCTGGAGATACAGGCAGCTTGAAGCTCCTGCACTCAGACACCCAGGCATCTCCATCTGCCGCTCCTCAGGCCTGGGCAGCTCTTAGGGCCTTGGTTTCCCTTCCCAGCTGGCCTCTTGTGTCCATCATATTTGCCAAAATAAAGATGAAGCTGTTGACTGGGGGATGGGAATGGGGATGCTGGGGAGGAGTGCGGGTTGGTAGAGTGGAGTGTGTATGTGTTGGGTGGGGGGTCTCATTGCCCTGACAGCAAAATAAAAGGGCTCCTCCATGTAGGGCTTGTGCTGGCAAAGGAAGCGCCAACTCACTCCCCAAGGGCTGGGGCCCATGTAGCTGCCAGGAGCTATAAAGTTGAATACCTGCCGCTGCACCACGCCAGCCCTTTCCGGATGCTCAGAGGGGAAAAAAATAATAATAGGTCAGCGGGCCGAAACCGGTATTAAGTAGGAGTCCTCTGACTCAGAGAGGCCTTAAGAACTCTCGGTGAGTGAAGGAACTGGCCCTGCAGGTCGTCACAGAAGAGCCATGGGATCCGAGCCCCGCGCAGCCACATGACTCACAGCCAGCTTCCACCTGCTCAGGGCCTCGGCTTTCTCCCTGTAAAGTGAGGCCACCTCCCTTACCTCGGGGCTGCAGCGACAATCACTCAAGAAAGGAAAGGAGCAGGGTCTGAGGTGGAATTTGGGCCCCACCGCTGACCAGCGGAAGGATTCGGGCAATTGGTTTAACTTCGCTGCATGTTGGGCTCCTCTGTTCTATTTGTTTTACTGAGAATAAAGGAGATGTTTGGCTATCAAAAGCGTGATAGAAAAAATAATTTTATGAAAACCTTTTGAACAGCATGAGGACAGGAATGCAATGGCAGGGCCCTTTGGGCGTTGAAACCCCTGTCTCAGCAGCCCCCCTTTCCCTCTGCCCTCCCCCCGCAGGCCCTCTCTCCAGCCCCTACGACCATGGACTTTACCCCAGCTCCACTGGAGGACACCTCCTCACGCCCCCAATTCTGCAAGTGGCCATGTGAGTGCCCGCCATCCCCACCCCGCTGCCCGCTGGGGGTCAGCCTCATCACAGATGGCTGTGAGTGCTGTAAGATGTGCGCTCAGCAGCTTGGGGACAACTGCACGGAGGCTGCCATCTGTGACCCCCACCGGGGCCTCTACTGTGACTACAGCGGGGACCGCCCGAGGTACGCAATAGGAGTGTGTGCACGTAAGTGAGTCCTCCATACCTTCTGACCAGCCCCTGAGCACCCCCAGCTCTGGCCCCAAACCCCTCTCCCTTGGCACCCCCACAGCCTTTCACCTGGCCAGGCTTCCGTTCAGCAGGAGATACACCCCATGATCAGAGGCCAGAGGCTGGGTCCTTCCTGGGAAGGGGAGGCAAGGATGCCTGCACTCTTCTCGCCTCCAGAACTTTGCTTCTTGCTTTATTCTCAGTCCTGGAGGCACATTCATGGCTGTCCCCAGGGAAGAGGGAGACGCCATGAAATACCTAAGCCTGGTTTTGTTCTCTTAGTGGTAGGATCTTTTAACAAATGTCCATGGCCTACTAGGACACACCAGCATACTGCAGAACTCCAGATATTTTGGTAATATTGTAAATTAAAAAATATGGTTTTAAAAATCCAGTAGCCTTGAAAGAATGAAAATCAGCAGCCTGCAGTCATCCCTTCCCACCAGCTACCTACATTTCTCAGTTACTTCAGTCACTTAAATTTTCTAGTTATTTCTTCTGAAATATAATATAGTATATTATAGAAATATACTATATATTCTATATAGTATAGAAATATAATATAAAGATAATATATACACTATAAATATTATCTTTCTAATGAACTTGAAGAACAGTTTTCACAGGGGGAAATATACTACATATACACTATATATAGTAGTTAAATATACTATATATACACTATATATAGTAGTTAAATATACTATACACTATATATAGTAGTTAAATATACTATACACTATATATAGTAGTTATATATACTATATATACACTATATATAGTAGTTATATATACTATATATACACTATATATAGTAGTTATATATACTATATATACACTATATATAGTAGTTATACATACTATATATACACTATATATAGTAGTTATACATACTATATATACACTATATATAGTAGTTATATAAACTATATATAGTATATATAGTAGTTATATATAACTACTATATAACAGTAGTTATATATAACTACTATATATATATAATTGCTACTATAAAATGTATGTGTTCTGCTATATATTAATTGCCTTGATATATC